>NC_000023.11:111212542-111837542 GCF_000001405.40 Homo sapiens
CCAGTTTAGCCCATATATAACTGAAAGTGTGGATTTTTGCAATGGAAATTAGTTGTAAATGATACTGTTGCAATTAAAATGAAAACAATAGTTGCAAAAGAAATAGTCTGGGTTTTTGTTTCCCTCAAAGAGTAGGGCTTGATGAAAAGCAGGTTTAATCCTAGGAAGACAAAGAGAAATAGATGGGGATTTTTGTGTAAATTGGACACTGCAGCTTTTTAACTGTATTTTCTAACTAATGTTTTGGAGGTTTTAAAATAATAAAAGCAACTGTGTCCATTGTAGAAAATTTGAGAAATTAAAGAATACATTTCAAAAATTAAGTCACCAACAATCCTACCATCCAGAGAGAACCAGTATTCACAAATTGGTGTGTTTCAGCCTTTTTCTTACCGCATGCATTTTTTAATCAGTTCACCAATAGTAATTATGGTGCATCGACATGATGAACTATTATGCAGCTCTTAAAATGATATTTATGAAGAATTTTTAAAACATCCAAAAATATTTATGACATAGTGTTGAGCAAAAGGCAACCTTGCATTTGATACCTTGTTTATGGATGAGGGAGTATAAGCAGATCAACACTAATCAACCAGGGCAGGAGTCTGCTGTTAGGCCACCAGTCAGAACCTCCTACTATCAGACCCACCCCCTAACAAAAACTACAGCCAGACCTTTTTGTTGAAGTTCTGAGGAGGACATAAGGGTTCTTTGAAGTACTGTAGAGGTTCGTAGCACTGGCTCTTCATTACTTCAGATTTTCCTTCAAATTACAGGGCTTTCTTCTCCCTTGATGTACTATTTCACTAGCACTACTCAGGCTTAACAACTGTGATTAAGGTCATTTTTTTGGATTCATAAATGGAATGGAAAAAAGGCCAAGTATTTCCTTAGGTAATTATGCATAGATTGGAGAGAGATGAGAAGGACTCAGGTAGAGAAGATGTGTATGTACTTTCAAGGAAGAAAATTATGTGGAATAGAATATATTAAGCTAAGAATGGTGAAAGTAAAGTGAGAAAATGAGACATTATAGCATGAATACAGATCTACAGAGAGCGGAAACGAGTCTGGGAAAGGAAGAAAGAGGTGTGCTTGTTTAGGTCTGGGCTTGGCTACAGAGCAGGAAAAAAAGGAAGAACAGTGACTTTGGGGAAGTTGTAGCCAGCTGAAATCAAAGTTTTAGGAGGAGGCAGCGAATGCAATTTGTAGCAACTGATTTTGTTTTAATAAAGGAATAAAGATGTTTGGGAGGACAGGTGCTTCAAGTACTAATCATCCAAGAAGAAAAGCAGTTTGAACTTAATTGACTATATCTGCTATGATTGTGCACTATTCGATTTTAGCCCAATCAGTGATTTTCTAAAAGCATCCCATCTCCTTTTAGTCAAAACTGGATTTGTCACTGACTTGTATGTTGGCATGGAGGTCCTAATAGCTGCCACCTGCATTTCCTGTTCATCAATGAAGGTATTGAAAATTACAAAGGAATGAGAGTTGGGGGAAAGGAAGATGTTCATTTCGTAGGGGTGAGGGATGTATTTACATGTGGGTTTTTAAGTGTACAGTACTAGAAGGAAAAGCCAAAAGTTTCCATGCATTCTAGAGAAGCATATGGCATTGTAATTCTCACACATTGCTATGCAAGACAATCTCCTATGGAATTCTGTGGCTCTTACCTTTGGTGTACATACGACGCAGAGATTCTGAGTTATTATGTGTGAATTGGGCTCCAGGTTCTCAGCCAGGGATTCTCATTGTTGGTTGTAAATTGGAATCACCTGGAGAGCTTAAAAATATTGGCACCTAGGTTCTGTTCCCAGAGGTTTTTACTTAATTTTTCTGGGGGTGAGAACTGAGCATGGGGATTTTCTAACTCTCCCCAAGTGATTCTAATGTTCAGACAAGTCTGGGACTCTCTAGTTTAGCCCATTGCTTAATTACTTGGGTGGATTAAACTAGTTGTTCTTAAAGTGTTGTCCTGGAACCAGCAGCTTCAACATCAACAGGACACTTATTAGAATGCAAATTCTTGGGCCCCTGCCCATATTTACTGAAACTCTTGGGGTGGCTCAGAAACCTGTGTTTTAACAAACCCTCTGGATGATTCTGATGCATGCTATAAAGTTGACAGCCACTAGATTAAACGGTTGTTCCTGACCCTTTCTAAAGTACATCTGTGGGAGTTGCTAAAAACAAGAGATGTCTTCAAGAGCTGATGAAAACTGGCCTGCAAAAGGACTTTTACAGAAATACCTATAATAATAATAATAGAAGCTAGAGTAGAGAAAGGGGAAAGGGGATGATAATTTGCTGCAAAACCTGGGCAAGTTCAGGGGGAACATGTCTTCATGAGTTAGGGAGTTTGTTGCATGGGCTAGTAATACCCTGGCAGTACCTGCAGGCAAACTCCTACTTATTCTTCAATACCCTTTTAAAATGTCAGCCTCCTCTGTGAAGCTTTCTCTGAGCTGTGGTGTAAACTACTTCATCCTTGTGTTTACTTAGTGCTTTCTAGTTTCCTCGATTAGCTCTTGGCCCACTGTACTGTAGCTCTCTATATATGTCTGTCTCCCACTAAACTGCGTGATCCTTCAAAGCAAGAACACTGTCTTATTCATCCTTAGCTCTCCAGTGTCTAATAAACTATCTGGTACATACTAAATGCTCTTGAATTGTTTGCTTAGAGGGGGGATCAGTAATGGCCAGCTTTCTTGTATCAAGAACCTTCAGCTGGGCGCAGTGGCTCACACCTGTAATCCCAGCACTTTGGGAGACCGAGGTGGGTGGATCATTTAAGTTCGGGAGTTCAAGACCAGCCTGGCCAACATGCTGAAACCCCATCTCTACTAACATGGTGACGCGTGCCTGTAATCCCAGCTACTCTGGAGGCTGAGGCGGGAGAATCACTTGAACCCAGGAAGGCGGAGGTTGCAGTGAACTGAGATCGTGCCCCGCACTCCAGCCTGGGCAACAGAGCAAGATTCCGTCTCAAAAAAAAAACCTTCAAAAGATGGGTTTACCTTTGTGAATTAATCGTAGTCCTGAGTTCAACTCTGACTAGAAGACTAGAGACATTGATTCTCTCAGGCCATCATGACTTGATATCTCTTAGTGGTGGCCTTATACCACAAAGCTCTCAGAGAAATATACAATTATTAGCAACTTATTATTTTACCATGATAATTGGCAGGTGCCAAGACTACTATTGTCATTTTTTCCTCATATTTCCTCTCATTGTAGATGCACCTTCATGGGAAATCTAATTAAAATCAATAGGGATACAGCTGCCACAGGGTAAAAGTATTTGAGTTCTTGGGCCCCACAGCTTGCCTCTCTCATCCAGGCACTGGCATCTTCTGGTTCATTGTACTTCCCTAATTCTATAATGTACTCTCTTCATTCCACATCTATTCACAAACATTCTTCAAACAAGATAAGCACTTAGCAAATTACAATTACCTTTCCATTGCACTTTCCCAAGGTTATACTCAGGTCAAAATGAATGGATGTATGTGTATTCCCCAAGTCTTTAGAGAAACAGATTTACAGGCAATCCTTTGGTTTAATTTTCTAGATACTTAATCACATATTCGTTATATGTGGGTTTTTACTGGCTTAACTCTCAGAGGACAACCATATAACCTTATTTTTAAGTTTTTGGAGGTAGGACGACACTTCACTGTCACCTCAGTTACTGCCAATATTAATCATTTCTAAATGTTATAGAAACTTTGAAATATATGTGTCATTCTCTAAAGTGGAATTATTAAGACCCAGAATGTAAACCAGAAGAAACTGGATTTTTGCCGTCTGTGCCAAGCCATGATTTTAATATGTATGTGCTGAATGGATTTTTCTATTTTTTTCTACAGGCATTGTATCTGATAGCCACTAATGGAACTCCAGAGCTCCAGAATCCTGAGAGACTGTCAGCTGTATTCCGTGACTTTTTAAATCGCTGTCTTGAGATGGATGTGGATAGGCGAGGATCTGCCAAGGAGCTTTTGCAGGTGAAAATAAAATAGGACAATTACAAAGAGAGGCATTATACTCAGCTTTTCCATCTCAATGTGTGACAGAGAGCTCTGTCAAGAGATGTCTAGAGTTAGGCTATTACCATTTTATTTTAGACCACAGGCACATAACTATAGGCACGCATCTAATACATGATTGATTGACGTGTTGCCTTTCTTCTGAGAAGTTGGCAGTGTAATCTGTAAATCTCTTTTGTTCTTCCTGGAGTCTTATTTTGCAAGGAAAAAAAAAAAAGCAATGTGACCCTCTGGTGTTGGTGTTTTGTTCTAAACTTTACTTGTGCCCCTGGATGTTGTATGCAGGTGCTCTTGGCCGGAGGTAATTCTCTACATAACTATGCAATTATTTCCATGGCATTTGCTACTCTAATGCTTTGCTGGTCAAAGCCCCTTTGCTTGTGATGCCAATTGGCAGGCACCTGCTTGCCTGGGTGAGTACCATCCAGTGGTGAGTGCCTCTGTAACCATTTGTCCTTTTCACGGCTCCCAGGGATTAGTATACATGATGAGAAATAATACTTACTATGTACCAAATTCTTTCAATAAATTATTTCATTTTTATAACAACTTTATAGGGTAGGCATTATTATCCCATTTTATAGATGTAAAAGTTGAGACTCACAGCTCTTGAAGGGCAGAGCTGGGATATGAGCCCTGAATTGTCTGACTTTCCACCACACGTCACACACAAACCAATTTAGATAAAAATATGTCTGTATTTGATAAAGCAGTACGTGCCCAGGATTATACACATAGCTTCACTGCTGGGGAGTGTTTCTCAGGGACATGTATGAAGACATTTAACATCTAAGAACAATGACTGCTATTTTTCTTTGTGATTTTGAACACATAAGCCAATTAAACAGAAGGTGCAACACTTGGTTATACAGCGCATTAACCACAGATTGTCTGTTCTAGCCTACTCCCTGAAAGAAAAACCTGTTCCTGTTGCTTCTGAACTCCTTCCAGAGACAGAGCTGCACCCAGGCAAAAACTATCCCACCCTAACTCAGATCATACCTGGAATAAACCTATTTGGAGAAACTGAAGAGACTACATCTTTTCTTTTCTGCTACCTGCAAGCATTTCACAGGTTATCATAGGGCCCTAAAATGTCAAATCTGGAATGGCCCTTTGTTAATCCTCTAATTAATCCAGCCTCAAATTACAGATGAAAAGACAACTTTTGAGTACATCACTTTTATATTTTTTCACCCCTCCCACCACTCCACATACACATTCTGATACACATTCCTCTTATATCTTCTTGTAAGGATAATTGAAGGTGTAGGTTATCTTCAATTGGCTATCCAGATAAATGTGGCTATCCAGCTAAATAGATCATTAAATCAATTATCTAGTTAATTCATTCCCCAACAATACTTTTATATGAACCAGTCAGATAACTGATACAAAATTGTATTTTGAGTCTAAATTGAATAGTTTATTGCGTCTTTTCATTTTATATATGTAAGCAATAGCCTGTGTTTCTCTTTGAGTCCATGCAACTCCATTCTCTGACTCTAGCCTATTATTGCCATTTTCAAGATTAGAAAGGGGAGAGATGCATGACATTCACCCCACTGGAAGGCTGGAGAAAAGACACAGGTCTTCAATATTTGTGTGTCTTTCTGTATGACCTAAGACAGTTCTGTCCATCAATTGATATTTATTGAGCAACTTCCATTTGTAAAGCATAAGTGCAGTGGGTGATACAAACCTATTAAAAGGCATGATTCCTCCATTTAAGAAGTTCACAACCTTCTTAGGTACATGAAAATATAATGCAAAGCTGTTTACAGACTCATTCAACCCAAAGAGCTGTTCAAATAGTAAATGATATGGTTGATTAGAGAAATACTTCTGTTAGCTAGGGGTGATCAGAAAATGTCTTCAAACAGGAAAGAGGTCTTCTGGGCCTTAAAGAAGTGATCAGGTTTAGTTAAGTTGAAGAAAATAAGGGAAGGGATTTCAAATGGAAGGAAGTGTTAGGGTATAACCAAAGACATATGGGCAAGGTCTACAGGAACAGAACCTAGAAAGTGTAGCTGAAATAAAGAGTTCAAGTAAAGAAGCTGCAGGGGATAATCCTATGGTGGGCCTTGAACACCAGGCTTAAGAGTTGGGGCTGTAGGCAGTGGGGAAACACTGAAGATGTCTGAGGGACAAGCATGATGACAACTTTGTTTATGAAGATTAATCTGGTAGTATGTGGTAAGAATTAGCAACAGGAAAAAATGGAGACAGGGAGACCAAGGGGGAGTTATTATAATTTGGGATTAAGATGATTAGGATTGAATTAGAAAAAGCAAGAGATGGCCAGACGTGATTGCTATGATTGCTATGCCTGTAATCCCAACACTTTGTGAGGCCGAGGCAGGCGGATCACCTGAGGTCAGGTGTTTGAGACCAGCCTGGCCAACATGGTGAAATGCTGCCTCTACTAAAAATACAAAAATTAGCCAGGCATGGTGGCATGCGCCTGTGATCCTAGCTACTCAGGAGACTGAGGCAAGAGAATCACTTGAACCTGGGAGGCGGAAGTTGCAGTGAGCTGAGATTGTGCCACTGCACTCCAGCCTGGGCAACAGAGCAAGAGTCCATCTCAAATAATAATAATAATAATAATAATAATAATAATAATAATAATAATAAGCAAGAGATAAATGTAAGAGACGTTGAGAAGAGAGTACCCGGTAGCTTATTGCATTTAGAACATAAAGAAGAGGAAGACAAAAGTGACTTCAGGCTATCAAGTCAATGGTAGCATTCAGCAAGAGGACAAGTGATGGAAGACAATATAATAGCTAACATTTCTTGACCCTATGTAACTTACAAGGGATTGCCACTTACCTCATTTAACCATTTTAATAAACAGAGATGAGGATTTAACCTAAGTGCTCTGACTCCAAAGCCCCTGTAGCTTACATTACACAAGATTGCCCTGCTTGTGAGACTGTAACATAACTTTTTAAATGTTGAATTTAAGGTGACAGAAGAAAATCCCGTAGGAAATATCCAGCAGGAAAACTAGGACCAGAGTTCAGGAAAGAGATCAGGTCATACACTATGGATTTAGGAGTCATCTCCATAAAGCTGATGGTGGGTTGAAACCATGAAAGAGAATGACATCTGTAAGAAATTAAATTAAAAAAAGAAGATGATGACAGCCAAGTTCTTATGAGTGGGAGGTAGGAGGAGGAAGTGAAACCAGGGAAGAAAATGGAGCTGGAATATTCAGTGCACATGCGCATGGAAGAGACCCAATATGGTAGAATGTCACAGGCTTCTGAGGCAAAAAAAATAAATTAAAAAAATTCAAAGAAGGAAGGGATATTCACTTTTATTAAGTACTGCAGAGGGGCCAAAAGAGAAATGGTAGAGGCACAGCCGTTGGGTTTAGCAGTTAGTAAGCCATTGGTTTCAGGACAGAGTTCTCTAGTGGTTAACTAAATATACTTTTTCCAAGCATGACAGCTTCTCTAGATAAATATATCAGTTTAGGAAAATCAGAGAGTCAGACTGTTGCAAACACAGTGAGGTTTTACAAGATCCCTCAGAGTTTCTCACTCTGCTAGTCAGCTTCCAGAGGATTTCATGACAATGAAGTACAAAAACATCTGAAGGACAAAAGCTGGCACCGTTTTTAATTAAATGATATTTAATTGGGTGTTCAAAATATATCTTAATTCAAAAGGGCTGCTTGAAAATGTAAAGTAATATACTTGTTGGAGGAAAGAATTCCAATAATTCCTCTTTTTCCTTCCTTTTGCAGCATCCATTTTTAAAATTAGCCAAGCCTCTCTCCAGCCTGACTCCTCTGATTATCGCTGCAAAGGAAGCAATTAAGAACAGCAGCCGCTAAGACTGCAAGCCTTACACCTCACCATCTCCCTCATGAGTAAGACTGAAATAAAACTCTGCTGCAGGAAAGATGGAAGAAAAGACAGTCAAATGGGGTGGGGGTTCTTTACCTTTCAAATGAATAGAAACTTCTTATAAGCCTTTTTCCTACTCCCTCAGATTATGTAATTTATTTGTAAGCCTGAATCGCAGCCCAAACAGGGCAGCAATGTTGAAGTGACCATAAAGTGGTCACTTCCACCGTGAAGCGAAAGAGCCAGTAGTGAATCCCCTCATTTTGTGCATTCACTTTGAAGAAAAAGGTTTCTCAAAGATGCACACTCCCTCTTCATAGTGTTGTGTTTGTTTTTAAGTTAGAGAGTAGTCCCTCTTGCATTCAAACCTCCTTCAAAACTCCTTACCCAATGTGATGTTTTTCACTTGCATTGTCATTAGATGTCCAGAAAAAAAAAAGATGTCAAAATGTTTTTCTAAAAAAAGAAAGCAAAAAAAGCAAGGCAAAAAAAAAAAAAAAAACAAACAAAAACAAAAACAAAACAAAAACAAGCAAACAAAAAATACCAGAGCAAGTACTGTGTGAACATGTGGAAGTCCATGCCCTAATAGAGTTGCAATTTTTTATTCTTCTTCTATAGTGGTGGCTTGGTTTGTGTACCTATTTTTCTGCATTTGTATTGGAAAAGGTTTCTTTTAAGACATTTTCCAAAAGTGGAGAGGAATATGTGTGTTCAGGAAGGGCTTTCAAAAAACTGTATATCTAAATAAAGCTCAAACGGTGAAATCCTGTCACATTTTCACAATGATGCTTAAAAGATAATTGAGTAAACCAGGTTGTTAATCTCCTTAATACCTGAAAGAGGACACACTGAAACTGAAACTGTGACATCCTGCTAGGTGAGTTCAGGTTCTGAACCTAGGAAATCCTCATAGGAGAAACCACATTTAAACAAAGATGGGACTTTCTCTGAGAGCCAAAACCAGATAAATGTAGAATACTGAAATCCTTGTTGGACATTAAGTAAACAAAGATAATGATACCTAAATTAATCCTCTCTTGTGCTTATGAAACATATGCACTGTAAAATAGGCATACCAGGAGGAAATAGATACATTAATCATCATTTACTTATGATACAAATTATTTATTTTGACAATTTATAACGTTTAAAAAAGTTTTTTAAAGATCTAGAGAAAGGTGATATAGTAAACATTCAACTCTGTAAGAAATGGGAGGTCAGTGAAGGCTACATCCCAATCAATATTTGGCTCTAAGTACCTCTTCCCATTTTTCCTATGTATCACCTATTTCTGTTTCGGAATATGGTGTGTTCATGCTTAGTTCTTTGGGCTTTTGAATATCAAAAGCATATTCATAAATGTCTTGAAATTCTCTCCAGTGGAAAATAATTTTAACTTACAATCATATCCCAAGAAATGTCAGTCCGACAGAATTCCTTATATGACTTGGGGAAAATAACAAAATTTGACTACTATTTCACCATATATCTATTTATTAAAAAATTCAACAGTTGGCACTTCCTGAATCTTCTGAGAGTAGAAAAATATCTGCGGAGTGTCTGTGTAGAAAAGGATATGCCTCTCTTTTGAGTGTATTGACAATTTTGTAAATTACAGAAAGTTGTTTCTCTAAGCCTTTGAAAAACTAACAATTTGTGTTATAGAAGGCTTCTTAATTTGCAGTATAAAAGAATCTAAACAGAACTTATGTACATTCAGCCAGAAGGGGAAAGAGATCAGTTACATAGGCCTCTCTCCTTCTTTGCCAAGGTACATCCATCCATCTAACCATCCATATATCCACATCTTAAAATGAAAGCACTTTCTTTAGAGTTTCAGCAAACTATATAGTGTACGTGTTTATGTTCAGGAGATGACCCCACTGGTGTATTTCCTATTTTCCCTATTGTTTTCTTTGACTGTAAAAGTTGGGAGAGGCTTGACCTCCTCCCCTTGAAAATGTCCACAGTGGGATAAAACAACAAATGTGAAAAGAAAATGAAACGGTAATATTAATTTGAAGCATACTATGTTATACTTTGCAAAAACGAATCTGGGCCTGTAATTTTTAATGCCACACTGCTCTAATGAGAGAGAGAGGCCTTAATTTTGATTTCATTTAAAAATAAGTACTTTAAAAAATTTTTCACTCATAGTGCCGGGAAATTCAATGAAATCCTGGGATGCAAATAAAAATCAGTACATTAGTGACTGTGTCCTGCCAGTGGAGAGAGCCCAATACCTGGTTAGGAAGCCCTATTCATTAGTTAGCATCCCTTACATGTTGAGAAGGCCTTTTTTTTGTTGTTATTTTGGAGACCTTGGAGCAGTGACCCTTCAGATCACTGTAGGCAGAGAAATGGCTTCTCTCTTATGCTTTCAGTTCAGCATATTAACAATGAGGAGCCAGGTACTTCTTTACTACCACTTTGTACCAAGATTTGATAATAATATATCCCAGGAGGCATTACTTTTATAAATTTGTATTCATGTAAATTTTCAAATGAGAACAGCTTCTAAAGCCCCTTCCCTGTATTGGAGAGTTATGTATATTTCTAATAAGTATTAGAAAGAAGCTGTTTCTCATGCCACAGTGATGCTGAAGGATTCACATTTGGTACAATCGAGTAACTTGAACGCCAGATTGTTAACAGTTTATTCTCTTTCCCTGGATTTTTAAGCTCATCTTGACACAGGTGAGTCTATCCAAATCTTTGATGTTGCTAGTGTGCCCTGAGATAACGAGGGCACATCTTTCAATGTTGATTCCAAAATGTCCTGAGTTAGGAATAGGGCAGTGGGAAAGTCAGGGAAGGGTGAGAAGCACAGTAGAGATTATTTATTTAAAAAAGGAAAGAACGTTAATGTTGTTAGCAAGGATCCAGTGCGTTGTCATAATCCCATGAGGATTTTCAGATGACACAATCCCCTCAAATCAGTCACCATGTTGGGTAATGACTTCGTTCTTGCTGATCTCGTGTGTGTGTCATTGTAAATATTTGTGTGTCCATGTTCCATTTTGGCTACTGGATGGCCAAGCCATGTAAGAAGATTTAACTCAAGTATTTATTCTTTATGTTATTCAGATTTCTTTCAGGCTTGTGAACTGCACCCCAATGTTTGAGTTTAACCACCTGATCCTTACATCTATCCCTCCCCGGTGAAGCACATTCCATTGCTAAAAGAAAAAGAAACACGAAATTGCTTCCTGTTGTCTGTATAACTGTTTTGATAGTTTGAGATATTTGTCTATAAATGATATTTCTCAGCTCAAAGATCGTGTAAATAATTATATTCCTTTGCTCAATGGGTTTATTTCTAATGAGGCTGCCAGTTCTGAGAGATTCTATAATATCACTTTTAAATAACATAAACAGGGATTACAACTATGTAAAAAGAAATGCATATGGACAAAGACTGGGAACACAGATAATTGAAATCAGTTGTGTTAGGGTGGTGGAATTATGTGAATTTTTTTTTCTTTTTAAAATTTTATTTGATATTGTTATAATATTGCTTTACAATAAATAAACAGCAGAAAGGGAACTATAGACACATAGAAAAGATGCCAGAAGCAGATGCCTTCTGGCCAGAGCGCAGAGCATGCAGGGCAGAGATATTTGCTAGTTACAATTATTCCATAGGCTTTATGCTTGCCTGGGTGCTGAGGTTGGCACACGCTCGGGTATGGCACACGCTTTCTTAGGAGACTATTATCTATAAGTTAAAGCTAGGGAGATGTCACTATTAGAACTCCAAACACACTCTTCTGCTTTAAAACAGGTTGTCTGCCCTCTGCTTTGGTATGGCATTCGGGTGTCTGTTTTGTGGTTGCTTTAGATTGGAGGGGTGACCATTTTATTAGCCCCCTTGATAACATCTGTTGCAGATATTGCCTTTCTGGAACGTTTTAACAGACTCTCAGGTTGAATTTTGGAGGACTAGAAGGATAAAATCCCCAGCTCCCACCATTTTCTTGTCCAACAGGATATTACTGTATATCATTCAGGTAGGATTCTTCTTTTAATAACCAATAGGGCAAGTCCCACTAATTTCAATAGAAGTTATGACTTGCAATTAAAAGCTGACTTTGAAATCATTAAACAAATATGTAGGACTGTCTCTGCCTGTTGGCATTCAGTTATAGTTCTGTTAATTTTGGCTTGGGATGGTCTCCATGTGCTTTTTTCTGCCTATTTATAGGTTGTTTGCAGTAGTTGTGATTTTTAAAGAGCAAGGGAGACCATCTAACCAAAGGATAACTTCCTTCTAACTCACCAAAGAAATTTTAGGTGAGAACTTTAATAATGAGGTAGTCACCTCAGATATGCTGCTTAGTTTCACTAAAAGCAGACCCTATACCTAGAGAAGTCACTGGCTTTTTATTGGTCATTCTCAATACAGAAATACTTAGGGGAGTCTTAACCCTGCCATCCCCGGTTGAATCTCTTGGTCTTTATCTAAGCTACTTGCAGTTAATATTCAGTTAAGCAAAGGTATGGCCAGTAGTGCAAGTATCTCCCAGTCTCTGAGCTCTGAACAAGAGGACTGAAATTCAGCATTTGTAAACTGACAGTTTGATGGGCCTGGGATTTGAAGTGAACTCAGCACACAATTCTGAACGTGTATTTGCATGTGGACTGGGAAGGAAATAAATGGGAACTTGGAAATAATGGAATATTTCTCCTATGAAAGAATTTTTCGTAGAAGATTTGTTTTTGATATAATCTTTCTGTTGGTTAGCTTTTAGTGTTTTCATTCCTTTTCTGATCCACACTCCTTTAAGTGACCAAATGAATATAACCCAACATGCATTGGGAATGTGTTTAATATTAAACAATGTCTAACTGAATCTGCAAATGCGGGAACTGAGATATCACCTCCATGTGCACACCTGTGTGTACGAGTATTCTATACAACTTGTAGCATTTACTGCCACTTAATTGGGTTGAACTTGCAAGATAAACTTTTGGAAACTGCTTAGTGCCATCGGAGTCTCCTTTAGAAGCTGCCATCAGGCAAATGCTATCCCATAATACCAGCAGTAAGCCTGGCAACATGTTCAACAGATTTAGTACCCAAGAGGAAATCAACAGCGATAGTAGAGAATGAGTCAGATGTAGTGGGATAAATACTAGCCTAGGAAGAAGGAGCCCCGGAGTCTAATATGAGCTTTATTACTAAATTGCTATGTGACGCTAGGCAAGTCACTTAACCTCTCCATGGCTGTTTCCTCATCTGTAAAATAAGTGTATTGGACTAGATGATCCTTAGGGTCTTTCCAAAAGTCTAACATTCTATGGCATTATAGGTTGCCTTGCAAATTCAGCCTGCTATAGTGATGGCAAATATCACGTTTAAGCCTGAGTCTCTTATGTTGCAGTTAAATAAAAGAACTATGTAAGATGATTTTTAAAATTCAAGCAAATGGGCCGGGTGCGGTGGCTCATACCTGTAATCCCAGCACTTTGGGAGGCCAAGGCAGGCGGATCACCTGAGGTCAGGAGTTCGAGACCAGCCTGACCAACATAGAGAAACCCCATCTCTACTAAAAATACAAAATTAGCCGGGTGTGGTGGCGGGCGCCTGTAATCCCAGCTACTTGGGAGGCTGAGGTGGGAGAATCGCTTGAACCCAGGAGGCGGAGGTTGTGGTGAGCTGAGATCATGCCATTGCACTCCAGCCTCGGCAACAAGAGTGAAACTTCGTCTCCAAAAAAAAAAACTCAAGCAAATGAAGTTCATAATAATAGGGGATGTTGATAAAACTTGTGGCAGCCTTCCAATTCATTTACAGTTGTTTCGTTTTGTTTTTGTTTTAATGTCCATTTTCTGTTGACTGTTCCCAGTTTTCATTTTCCATACAGTCTGTATGTAAAGTCTGGTTTTCATTAAGCTGTGGCCAGTATTTGCCACTACAACAGAAACACACTGTCACACTTGCTAGAATATAACTGTACTTGAGCTTCTCCTTTCCTGTGAAGTAGTGCTGGGCTTTCTAGAGTTTAATTCTCAAGTGGCACAAGATAGCAGAGCCCATGCATTTTAATGGCTGAGACTGCTAAGAGTGAACCTAAACACTTACAAGTTGCAGAGAGAAATGAAAAAGTAATTACATGCTATTAGCATTGAGAAATGTTGACAAATTAATTTGTTGGGAACCAAAGATAGCATTTCTGATGACAACTCCCACAGTGATTGGCCAGTTGTATGATGAGTACACTGCTGGAAAGAGGGTAAACTGGGAGTTAGTGGATGGTCCCAATGCCCTGCCTACAGCAGAGTGCCAACCAGCCCTGAGTGCAAAATTCAAGTTCAATGTGTGTGCTTGTGTGTGGTGTGCTTTATGGACCCGCAAATACCATATTCATTATTGATGATAAGATCTTCACAGAATCCTGTAGCTACTAATGCATTGAGTTTTTAATCTCAGTACATCAGCCAGGAGGAGCCAGATCACAGGGTAGTGATGTCTACTGGGATTATACTCATAACATCTACACAAAACAAGTTGAGAAGGATCCACGTTTTCATTGTTTATCAGAATTGTATCTCATTTGGCTGAGCATTACTTTTGTCAGAATGTGTTATCTGTAAACCATGTGTAGTGAAATTCTTCTGTAACTTTGGATTAAAGGTATTTATGGTCTTTTTGTTTGTTTGATTTTTAAGTAAGTTATTTCTTTTGTAGACCTGCTGATGGTATGGTTCCATCCTTCTGACCTCAGCATCCAATCTTTTTAAGGATTTTTGTTTTCAATATTGTTATTTTAAATTGTGGTTGAAGCAATAGAAAATTGAAATATGGATTGTGCATGACTGTGTCTTGAGTGTAAAAATATTGCAGTTTGAAACTTGGACCTAAAGTATTGCAAATAAAAATGACAAACATCAATGAGCTATTGCTTCTGTCTTCTGTCACCTTCCCATCCACCCCCCTTGGCATTGACCATTTTACCTACTTCACAGGTTAGAGGGTATCACCATCTCATAGGTCTGGAGTCAGGGAAATGCCCAGCCTTGTCAGCCATACAGGAAATGCTCTGCAAATTCTGCTACTAAATAACTCGGACCCAGAGTCTCCATCTGATGTTTACATGGAATAGCTCAGAGAGGTGAATGTGTATACTCAATGCAGGTCAGAAGCCTTGCAGATCACAAATGTAGATGAAGGGGAACTACCAAAAGAAATCACGTGTAGTAAATAATTTGTTTTTGATCATCTTTCCACTTGGAAAATTCTGAACACGCAAAACCATCTGCACAATGTTTAGTTTTGTCTTATATCTGATACCAAAGTCCAGAGGTCACAGGAGGCATTTCAACCAACATTACTGAAAACCTTCATTCATTAATTTGCTCACACATTTGAAAAGCATTTATTGAGCTGCTGCTACATGTCAGACACTGTAGATATTCAAAAAATCACCTGTAAATGTGACTAAATGACAGTAAAGCTTGTTAAAAGCTGCTAGATGCACCTGTTGGAGTCAGGTTTGTCAGAGGCTCTCTTGAGTCCTCAAGACTCAAGGACACCAGCAATTTGGTAAACTGGAGGTTTGTTCCACTAGTATTACTTGTACAGTGGGCATAGTACTCCTTCTAGAGAACGTGTATATAATTTTGTACCTTTGTGTAAGTGCATACACACTGGTACTATATTCCTTACAAATGGATTATGTATCTTACCAAATGTTATTTGGTTGTTTTCTAGTTCACTGTACTTACATGCAAGCTTTAATTTTCTCACTTAATCTCTCCATGTTGAAAGCCAAAAAGACATTTTCTGTAAATATGAGCGGGCAAGTGAATGAGAATTCCAGCAACTAGGATTTAGCCAAGTTCTCTACTGCCCATGTGCATAATTACTGCACTGCCTCTCTTACTAACAAGCTCCTGCTAACAAGCCTCACACCCTTCCAGCCTTTCTTGCCAGGTTACTCCAACTATTTTTCTATTCCTATTAAATGAAACAG
Source organism: Homo sapiens (assembly GCF_000001405.40). Classification (NCBI taxonomy): domain Eukaryota; kingdom Metazoa; phylum Chordata; class Mammalia; order Primates; family Hominidae; genus Homo; species Homo sapiens. Next base: position 111,228,440 of record NC_000023.11, read on the forward strand.
AAATACTGTCTATGAGTTAGCAAATTACCAATATCTTCCATCACAAAATAAAATTTGAAGGCATTTTCCTTTGTCACAATGACTTGGAGGAGCAGGGCCCAAACAATGATAAATATATTATTCCACAGCTCAACCTTATAAGCATGATTGCTGGAACTCTAGCCTTATCCAAGTTCCTTACCTCCTACTGAAGTGAGGAGGGGCTAATACCTGAAGTGCCCCACAGATTTTAGTTGTTCTCCACATCCCATGAGGTCTTTGCCCCCAGGCACTTGGGTGGCATCTGCTGGCTTCCCACACACCTGTGTCAAGCACCACTACTACCACTACCCTCTGCTAATCCTGTACCAGTGTCACTGTCCAGCTGCTCCTGTGCTTGCCATTCTACTTACCTATATCTGCAATATACACAGCAGTCCCTGATGCTGACAGATCTCTGGGATGATTCAACCACTTTGCAGTTTTACAGCTGACTACTTTTTATTTGTTTTCCATACCTGATGGCAGAAACCCTTCCCATGGAATCAAATCATTTCACTACATCTTTGGACCCATTTTGATGTTGATGTTCTTTTTCAGTTTTTGGCACCTCACTGAACCAGGGAGCAAGTTTGGTCTTGGTTTTTTCCCCTCTCCCTTACTGGGGCTTGTCAGGTCAACTTTTGCATATTACAGGCCCGCTGCCTACCATAGAGGTTAATCTGAAGCCTTTGCTATAGCTATTGCTTTATACACATTTATACATGTTCTCTCAAGCAGCCAACCTTGGAGTAAAAAGGAAATTGGCAATGTGGCCCTCTTATACGTGTACTTTAGTATTTTACCTAGAGAACCCTTGTCCTATTTCCTAGACATATATATTTCTGCAAAGTAAGAAGCAAGGCTATATTACCATTGAGGGTAAACAGATAAAAGGTACACAGGATCTCTCTTCATTCTTACAATTACATGTGATATACAATTATCTTAACAATATTTGCAATAAGAAAAGCAATGGACTGCATGGCATCTTTGTTTATGACATTTCAGAGGTCATGGTAATGATATAGGCTGGGTATCATGGCCCAGCCCACTTCTATCTCCAACTACCTATACTTTGGTATCAAGAAGTTCCTCACAAAATTAATTCCACCTGTCACCAGTCCCACCCACCTTAGATAGTAGGACATCCCAGTTTCTCCTCAGCCACTTGTGATTTCTCCCTGGGGATGCAGGGAATGCAAATATCATTGTTTATGAGTTCCTCCCTGTGGACATGAATTGACTGGCTTCTCAGCCTACAGTATTGCAGGAGAATAAAATTCATAATGAGAAACATCTTTTAATTTTATAATATGTAAAGCCAAATTGCTTTGCTTTACAAAATGGGAGGGCTATGCCATGTTCTAATGTTGTAAATTAAGACTCTACATTGTATACTGAAACCCTGCAGTAAGAATAAATAAATAGCCCCACTAGGCTTTCCACATTTTCATTCTAAACTCTCTTGAACAGACATTAGCAAATGGAGTTAAAATTCCTTTTATATTTAAATATATGTAGCTGACATAATTCAGATATTTTAAAATTATTTAAATAAGATAGTTACTCCTCTAGAATTCAAGTAGAAAATGGGGATTATCAAACTATTCACCATAATGAAGATCTTAATCCCTGCTGCTATTGGTCCATTACCACCTTCAGCAGTGATTTTTGTTTTGATTTTGCAAGCATTGTGCTTGGTAAGCTGTTTTTCACTTTACTCAGAAGTGCATATATTATAATCTGCTTTCAGGATATTTCTATCATAAGGTTTGACTGTAGAAAAGACAATAATGTTCCCAGTTGGTAATTTAGAGTCTTCTAACTCCTCTGGATAAACATTATCTGGATTCCATGTGATCTCATCAATCTTACCAACACCAACACATCTAGCATCAAAATGATATAAATAATTCATTGTATGAAGGATCATATTACCAAATCCTGAATGATAAAGGTTTTATCCCCTACACTGAGAGAAAATACTAAAACGTTCATGCAAGAAGCAGCATTTATGAACATTTCAAATCCATGCAGGCTAACTCTCCAATGGCAGAGTTGCATGGATGCCACTTGGACTGATCTGTTAACCAATGATGTAGGCATGTGGATTAATATCAGAATAGCCTATACTATCAGGATAAGTATCTGTAATCTAGAATATTCCTTTCATCAGTGCTCATATGAGGAGCAAATGTATCAATTCCAGGATCAATGAAACCCATTTTCCTTAGCTCCATGGTGAGCTTAACTCATTGACTGTATAATTTTGAGCACTGTGAACACCAAACTTAGCCCCTCCTTTAAATGGTATATAAACTAAAGCACTTTGTATGTTATTAAAGAAACGAAAGCCTTAATATCATTTTCACTAACATCTGTACCATAAGGGGTGCAGTGTTAGTTGTGCTGGGCCAATGTGCCCTCTATGACCATCTAGGAGTCACTGTTCCTCTGATGGGAAAACTAAGGCCCAGCACATAGTTGTAGGCTTAATGATTTGTAAAATGTCGTGTCCCCAATTGAGTTCACCTCACCTTCTCAGATCTTCAGATTTTCCACCAGCTTTTCTCCAACCATCATGGCATCACAGTTGAAGAAGCTACCCACCCCACCCTGTAATAAATGATTTCCAATCATATTGTCCTTCATCATTGTAATGATGCCTTGTAACAGATGAGGTGGTTCCCACTGCTGCAGAAGCAAGGTCAAGTACAAATTTGGCTCCCCAGCCTCTAAGTGAGAATTAAAGGAATTCTGGAGGGGTACTTACTTTGCTGGCAAACATATGGATGGTGGCCTGGTGACTTTTCTTTAATTTCCTGTTGACTAGAGTATACACTGTGGCCCACTGTGATAGGGTGACTCATTTTTCTTCCTGCCCATAAACAGGGCAACCATTTTGGACTTCCCAGGGAGGCCCTCAATTATTCAGTGGAACTCAGCACCTCTCCATGCAGCTCCTGTCATCATACTCTAACAATGTAATAGTGTTTATTCCATTCGAGGTTGTTGCAAAATGCCTTGGAGGCCAACCTGTATGTTTCCAGTAGTTTCCACATTGGTTTAGCTACATATTTTAGCCGCTTCCTAAATCTCTACACCTCTTCTTCCTCCCTCATAGAGGAAGTCTCTGGTAAATGGAGTTTCCCACCAAAAATAAAATTAAGTGAGTAAAATTATCATCCCCTGTAGGGTGGTAGCCCAGTACCAAAAATGCTCAATCCTGTTCCTCTACCACCTGTTTTGCTTTTGCTTCAATTTGACTCAATCACATGCTGTCAAGTCAATGGAATCACTGAAATTATAGATCCCTTTAGGCTAATATGGGCTAAGAGTTTAGATTTCAGAGTTAGAACTGCATTTTATGTCTCTCTAATCATGAGTTTCCCCCATTTTAACAAGAGTGTAAAAATACATCAGAGGTTGTGAAGAATAAAAAGTTAACATATCATAATGCTTATCCTGCTATACAGTAGATACTCCATAAATGGTAGCCATTATTATTATTCACCTTTTAAAAAGTCTTGGTCGATTGGAACACTTTCAATAGTAACCACTGCCCGGAGTGAATTTTGGCCAGCAATTCAAATGCAGACAAGTGGCTCTTCCACAGTAGTATACCCATTGTTAGAGACCTTCTGGTCCTAAGCAGGACAAGCTTAGGTGGGCCCTGGTTGGTGCAATGTGTGGACATCATTAGTATGCACCCCAGTTTTCTCCATCTATATCCAACGGCAAGAAATCTTTGCTCACTAACACCAGTCTCTTGCTTGTGGGGATAGCATCCAGCTGTGCTTTCTGTATTGGCTAGGGCTTGTCCTATTTAAAGCAAGCCCATGCCTCACATTTGTGTGTCAAGCCCTCATCCATCTTAGGCAGAAATAGCCCGTTCTTTATTAGTTCTCAAGTATTTTTCCCTCTTATATTGCCCAAACCATTGTGTAATGCTTTTAAAACCATAAGACAATACTCTTGGGAGGAAAATCCAGCTATTTCCATTTATTTTTGCAAAAGACATTATGGCATCCATATAAAACCTGATTGACCCATAATTGAATTGTATAATTAGATAAGGCAATTTTATTGTATTTATATTTCAATGAAGCTGAAACGTAAAAGCAATATGAGTGTTGTGTGTGCGATTGTATATGTACAATTTGACCATTCTTGCCACTTTTACTGCAACCAATCTGATTCAAGCCATATTCACCTATGCTTTGATTTTTGCAATTGCTTCTACACTTGCACACCTAACTGTAATCTCAGCACAGCATTCAAAATAAATCAGAACTCTCCAATGGTTCCATACCCCTCTCAGAGTAAAGACAAAGTCCTTGTAATGACATCATACATGGCCCTCCACTGTGTGTACCACGCTCTTACCTTCTCACCTCATTCCCTTCTATTCTTCCCCTCATTCATTCTGCTCAAGGTAGAATGCTTCTTTGCTATTCCACAAACATTTCAGGCATGTGTTTACCTCAGAGCCTCTATAGGGGCTGTTCCTTCTGATCAAACACCCTTCTCTCAGATATCCACATCTTCACCTTTCACCTCAAGTCTATATTCAAGTTTTTCTTTTTCAACGAGTGCTACCCTGATCACCCCGTGTAAACTGAACTTCTCTGACTGGAACTCCTGATCTGCATTCCCTGGTCCTTTTTCTCATAACATCTCTAAACTTCTTTCATACTTTATTGTTAATTTATTTGTTATGTGTATTGTTTGACTCCTTCCCGTTCAATGTTACCTCTACCAGAGCAGGCATTTTTTTCCTTTTTAATTCCATGAAGGCATCCCCAGGTACACAGTAGTCATTCAATAAACCTTAGTTGACTGAGTGAATGTTGACTGTTCCTTTCTTCTTGAAACTCTGTTTTCTTTTGGTTCTGTGACCAATCTCTTCTGATCATTTCCCTACCTTTCTGGTTGTCACTACTCTAGTTCCTTTTTATATTCCTGTTTCTAGCCATCCCTTACATGTGGATGTCCCCCAGGACTCTTTCCTGCTCTATTTTGTTCACACCCATGTCTCTAGCCCCCATCTGCATCATAACTTCCAAATTAATATCTCAAGCCCATATATATTTCCTCTGAGTTCTAGATGCTTATTATAAATCCACCTATCTACTCAAAATCTCCACTAATGTGTTTCAAAGGCACTTGATACTCAAGTTGTCCCAAACTGAATGTGTTCTTTTATATTTGTCATATCAGAGCCTCTCCTCATATTCTCTCTTTTCTCACCACTCAAATCAGAAATCTAAGCATCATCCTTGAATTTCCCCTCATCTTATTTACCCGTACCATTTCCTCAGTTACCAAGTTCTTTTGATTATTCCCATTAAACATCTCTTAAACTATCCCTTGCTCTTTACCCCCATTACTCCTGGGGAATATTGCAGTAATCCAGGAAAATAAATAATGAAGACCTAAAAGAATTGGTCACTTAGCTTCTACTTTTCCCTTCTAATTTACAATTCTGCTAGAGTGTGTGTTCTAAAAAGCAAATCTGACTAGGTCATGCTCTTTCTCACATCCTTTCTGTAAACTCTCTGGCCTTATCAGGGTGTGCCTCTGGCTCTTCAGTGCATCCCCTCATGTGGATCCTCTGCTCAAGCTCAAGAGCTTGTCTAATGCTTTATGAATATAAAACATGACCCCTGCTTACAGATCCATAGAGAGATATAGAAACCACCTATGAAAATCACATCAAAAAATCAAAATCGATGATCTGTAAGCCAGTAGGGAGTGAAAAAAGTTAGTGAAGAATATTGGCTGTAGTTTGTGACTGCAAAATCTTCCTGTGTGATAATCCTATATAAAAGCACATAAACCCAATGATGAAGCTGAGAAATCACAAACAGATGAGGAGAAGGAGGAGGAGGTATTTTTGCACTGCCCATCATGCAGAATAATCCCACAATGCTCCCCATCCCGTGGAGCTTGAATTTGAACTTTCAGTTGTTGTAGGTCAATCTCCATCCTGGAAGGTAAGCTAACTCTTCCTCAACTTGCTCAGGAAGGCACAGTCCTTGGTAAATAATCTGAATTGGTTTGATATATTTAGCATTCTTGGAAATGACCATATAATGGTCTAGAGCTAGACACACAAAGATCTATTATTTTACAGTAAAATGAGTTATAGTCATTGAGATTGTCACTGAGAGCTACATCTCAAATGGTTTAGTAGGAGAGAAGATCTGCACTGAAATAAAAAGTATGAGTTTTTTGGTCTGGATAGATGTCTTGACATGGAACAAAAGGAAATGCCCTTCCCTGAGTAGAGCTCCTCTGGAGAGATGAACTGTGCCAGGGCGCAAGTCAGCTTGGATAAGCACTCTGGTACAGACTATGGACTTTCCTTGTAACCCTCAACATCTGGAAGGAGCATCTGGGAACAACTCAACAGCTACTAGGGTTCAAAGAAAGATAAGACCCCTCTGCCAGATCTGGGCAGAGGTTTGAACAGATGTTTTTATATTGACAGTGGTCTCAGAGTATGGGAATAGTATCTGGAGTAAAACCAACCTTGATTCAAATCCTACCTCTGCCACCTAAAAGCCCTGTGAGTTCAATCTAAGTTGTTAACATTCATAGGCTTTAGCTTCCTCATCTGCAAACTGGAATTGTTATACCTATGTAAAAGGTTGTTGCAAAGATTGAGTGGGACTATGTAATGGAGAAATGCAAGTTACAAGGCTTGGCAGATAATATTCTCTTGATAAATGAGTTTTCATCTTCCCTTACCCAGACTTTGACTGTATGAAGAGTGAGCCTGCAAAACCAAGAATGCTCAAGATCAAAACTGCCCCTTTTCGAACTGACCCAGTTCTCACAGCAAGGTCTTTATTTCTGTCTTTAAAATACCATCTAGAAACAACATAAGATGGAGATGTGACACTTGTTAAGAAGGAGGCCTTAAAAAGGGACTAGTACATTATTTTGTAAATGAACAATTTTTGTTTTACTCTTATCTAAAAAGTGATACACACCCTATGTTCCTTTTAATGTTGATAAGTTAAATGCCCTGTAATATTGTTAAGATGGCAATATTCCCCAAATTAATATACAGATTCAATTCAATGCCTATCAAAATCCTAGCTGGCTTCTTTGCAGAAATTGAAAAAATTTGACAAGCTGACCCAAAATAACAAAAATTATTCAAAGATAAGGAAACAGTTGGAGGTCTCACACTTTCTAATTTCAAAATTTACTACAGAGCCATAGCAATCAAAACAGCATGGTACTATCATAGGATAGACATAGATAATAGAATATAATTGAAAATCCAGAAATAAATCCACACATTTGTGGTCCATTGGTTTTCAACAAGAGTGCCAACACTATTCAATGGGTAAAGAATGGTCTTTTCAAACAAGTGAAATAAACCATTTGCACATGGATATCCACATGCAAAAAAAAAAAAAAAAAACAAATTTGGATTCTTGCAGTACATCATATACAAAAATTAACTCAAAATGGATTAAAGTCCTTAACATAAAAGCTAAAACAACAAATCTCTTAGAACACATAGGCATAAATCTTTGTGACATCGGATTAAGCAATGATTTAAACAGTGGATTAAGCAATGATGTAAGCTGTCACACCAAAACCACAAGCAGCAAAAGAACAAACAGATAAATTGGGCATCATCAAAATTAAAAATGTTTGTGCATGAAAGGACAAATCAAGAAATAGAAGGAACAACCCAGAAAATGGCAGATAATATTTGCCAAGCATATCTGTTAAATGGCTTAGATCCAGAATATATATATAAAGTCTACAACTCAATAAAAAAGACAACCCATTTTTAACATGGGCAAAGGATCTGAATACATATTTTTCTGAGTAAGATGTACAAATTTCTAATAAGGGCATAAATAGATGCTCAACATCATTAGCCATCAGAGAAACACAAAGCAAAAACACAATGTTATATATTCATCCTGCATACCCATAACTTTATACCTGTTGACCAACATTTCACCATTTCCCCGACCTCCCCACCCCTGGTAGCCGCCATTCTACTGTTTCTATGTGTTTGACTTGTTTAGATTCCACATATAAGTGAGATCATGCAGTATTTTCCTTTCTGTTTCCAGTGTATTTCACTTAACATAATAAATAAGTCTAGACATTTAATGTACAATATGATGACTAGCGTTAATAATACTGTATTATATATTGGAAATTTTCTAAAAGTACATTTCATGTTCTGTCACCAAAAAAAGTGACTATGAGAGGAGATGGATATGTTAATTTGCTTGACTGTAGTAATCATTTCACCACGTATATGTATATCAAAACATTATGTTATATAATGTGATATATAAGATAAATATAATTTTATCTTAAAAATAAAAACACTATGAGATATCACTTCACACCCACTAAGATGGAAGAATAAAAGCAACAGATAATAACCAGTATTGGCAAGAATGTGGAGAAATTCAAAGCCTCATATACTGCAGGTGGGAATGCAAAATTGTGCAGCTGTTTTGAATAATGATCGTCTAGTTACTCAAACAGCTAAACACAGAGTTACCATGTGATCTAGCAATTCCTCTCCTAGAAATACACCCAAGAGAATTGAAAACACATGTTCAAACAAAAACCTATACATGAATGTTCACAGCAACATTATTCATAATAGTCAAAAAGTAGAAATAACCCATTTCCATTAACTGGAGAATTGATAAATAAAATCTGGTATATCCATACAATGGACTATTATCTAGCAAAAACAAATGAAATACTGCTTTGTGCTGCAATATGGAAGAACCTTGAAAACACTCTGCTAAATGAAAGACGACAGACACAAAAGTCTATATATTGTATGATTCCACTTACAGGAATGTCTGGAATAGGCCAATCTATAGAGAAGAAAGTAAATTAGTATTTTCTTAGCGAGGAAGAAAAGAGGTTGGGAGTAAGTAGAGCGTGACAAAGGAAAAAATATTTCTTTTTGGAGGTGATGAAATTCTTACAAAATTGACTTTGGTGTTGGTGGCACAACTGTTAATATACTAAAAAGCATTGACTTTTACACTTTAAATTGGAGAATTATATGGTATGTGGATTATATTTCAATAAAACCATAATAATAAAAGATGACACATGTTCCTTATAAAAACGTGAAGAAATTCAGATATGCAAAAGGAAGAAAAGGAAATTCCTTTTACTTTTTCTTTTTCTTTTCTATTTAAACTTTTAACTTGGATTCAAGGGATAAATATGCTGGTTTGTTGCATGGATATGTGCATGATGCTGAGGTTTGGGGTACAGATGATCCTGTCACCCAGGTACTGAGTATAGTAGCCAATGGGTGTTGTTTTTTTTTTTTTTTTTTTGAGGCAGAGTCTCGCTCTGTCGCCCAGGCTGGAGTGCAGTAGCGCCATCTCGGCTCACTGCAAGCTCCACCTCCCGGGTTCACGCCATTCTCCTGCCTCAGCCTCCAGAATAGCTGGGACTACAGGCACCCGCCACCACGCCCGGCTAATTTTTTTTTGTATTTTTAGTAGAGACGGAGTTTCACTGCCCAATGGGTGTTTTTTTAGCCCAAGACCCCCTCCCTCCCTCTCCCCTCTAATAGTCCCCAGTGTGTATTGTTCCCTTCTTTATGTCCATGTGTACTCAAATGTTTAGCTCCCACTTATAAGTGAAAACATGCAATATTTGGTTTTCTGTTCCTTTGCTAATCCACTTAGGATAATGGCCTCCAGCTGCATCCATGTTGCTGCAAAAAAGACATGATGTTGCTCTTTTTTATGGCTTTGTAGTACTCCATAGTGCATATATACCATATTTTACTTATCCAATCTGCCGTTGATGGGCACCTATGTTGATTCCATGTTTCTGCTATTGTGAATAGTACCTCAATAAACATGTAAGAGAATGTGTATTTTTGGTAGAAAGATTTATTTTCCTTTGGGTATATATCCAGTAATAGGATTCCTGGGTTGAATGGTGTTCTACTTTTAGTTATTTGAGAAAGGACCAAATTGCATTCCTCTGGCTTCATTCTTTTTGCTTAGGACTGCTTTGGCTACTAGTGGCTAAACTAACTTACATTCCCACCAACAGAGTATAAGCATTCTATTTTCTTCACTGCCTTGCCAGCATCTGTTGTTTTTTCGACTTTTTAGTAATAGCCATTCTGACTGGTGTGAGATGATATCTCTTTGTGGTATTGATTTGCATTTCTCTGATCATCAGTGATGATGAGCATTTTTTCATGTTTGTTGGCCGCTTGTATAGTATTGGAAGTCCTAGCCAAAGCAATCAGGCAAGAGAAAAAAATAAAAGGCATCCAAATAGGAAAAGAAGAATAACTATCTCTCCTCACTGACAATATGGTTCTATACCTAGAAAACCCTAAAGACTGCTGAAAGTTTCCTAGAGCTGGTAAACAACTTTAGTACAATTTCAGTATACAAAATGTACAAAAATCAGCAGCACTACTATACACCAATAATGTTCTAGCTAAGGACCAAATCTAGACACAATCCCATTTACAATAGCCACATACACAAAAAATGAGATGCCTAGGAATATATCACCCCACGGAGGTGAAAGATCTCTACAAGGAGAACTGCAAAACACTGCTGAAAGAAATCACAGATGACATAAATAAATGAAAAAAAGTCCACGCTCATGAATTGGAAGAATCAATATTATTAAAATGGCCATAGTGCTCAAAGCAATTTACAGAATCAATGCTATTCCTATCAAAATACCAATGACATTTTTCACGGAATCTAAAAATCTACTCTAAAATTCATATGGAACAAAGAAGAGCTCCAATAGCCAAAGCAACCCTAAGTAAAAAGAATGAAGCTAGAGGCATAACATTACCTGACTTCAAACTATACTACAGGGCTACAATAACCAAAAGAGCATGGTACCACTACAAAAACAAACACAAAGACCAATGGAATGGAATAGAGAACCCAGAAATAAAGCCACACAACTACAACCATCTGATCTTTGACCAAGTCAACAAAAATGAACAATGAAGAAAGTACTCCCTATTCAGTGGTGCTGGGGTAACTGGCTAGCCATATGCAGAAGAATGAAACCAGATCCCTACCTTTCACCATATAAAAAAATTAACTCAAGCTGGGCTGAAGATTTAAATGAAAGACCTCTAACTATAAAAATCCTGGAAGAAAACCTAAGGAATATCTTTCTCAACATCAGCTTTAGCAAATTATTTATAGGTGAGACCAAAAGCAATTGTAAGAAAAACAAAAATTGACAAGTGATACTTACTTAAATGAAAGAGCTTCTGCACAGCAAAAGAAATTATCAACAGAGTAAACAAACAGTCTACAGAATGGGAGACAATATTCCCAAACTATGAATCTGACAAAGGTGTAATATCTAGAATCTACAAAGAACTTAAACAAATCAACAAGCAAAAAAACAACCCAATTAAAAAATGAGCAAAGGACAAGAACAGCCACCTTTTTTATTTTTACTTTTATTTTTTTAGAGACAGGGTCTCACTCTATTGCCCAGGCACAATCATTACTCATTGCAGGCCCAAACTTCTTGGTTCAAGTGATCCTCCCACCTCAGCCTTCTGAGTATCTAGGACTACAGGCACATGCCACCATGCCCTATAAATTTTAACATTTTTTGTAGAGACACGTTCTGCCTATGTTGCCCAGGCTGGTCCTGGCCTCAAGCAATCCTCCCACCTCAGCCTCCCAAAGTGCTGGGATTATAGGTGTGAGCCATTGTGTCTGGCTCCATTCACATTTTTAAAAAAACTTCCTTTCTATGTTTCCCAATTGTTTTTAGGTCAAAAAATCCTTATCCTGAAAGGAAAGATCTCTCATGATTCATCCCATTACTTCTCCAATATCATATTTCAATCACTCCCGAGTTGGCATGATTTGTTCCAACTACAAAAAACTTTTCCTGCTAATATTCCATGCTCTCTTGCAAGTCCATACATTTGCACACAATATTCTCAGGGTTTGTAGCTGTTGATCCCTCCTTTCTTCATTGTGTTAATTGTACTGATGCATCATGATTCAGCTTAGGTATCACCTCCCCCAGAAAATTTTTCCAGAACCCTGGCACGAGCTGTGTCTCCTTGGTGTCTAATAGTTCCCTGTGTTTTTTTCTATGAGATAATTCACTGTATGTACATTTTTTTAAATAAAAATCAGAATTAAAAATTATGCCAACTAAAAATTGAAAAAAATTTGCATGGTGCCTCAAAGATCTCTGGGACAATATCAAAAGGTCTAACATTTATACCATTAAAGTTCCAGAAGGAGCAGAAAAAGAAATTGGTGCAGAAAGTAATTTTTGCATAAATAATTGCAGAAAACATCACAAAGTTTGATCAAAGTTATGAATTTACAGATTCAATAAATCAGTGAACTTCAAACTGCGTAAACTTAAGGAAAATCATTTCTAGACAGATAATAAAACAATACCAAAGAAAGAAAAACCTTTGAAGTACCTACAGAAAAATGACACATAATATATATGGTTAACAGTAATTTGGAATACTGTGAATTTCTTGTCAGAAACTATGGAGGACAGAAAACAGAAGAATAATGCCTTTAAATTAGAAGAAGATAACTGCCAAACCAGAATTCTATAACCAGTGAAAATATCCTTCAGGAATGCAGGCAAATACGGACATTGTTAGATGATAAAAAACTAAGAGAACTCATTGACAGCTCTAAAAGAAATAATAAAAGAAGTTCTTCAGGCTGAACATAAATGACACCAGAGAGAATCCTGGAATGTCAGGAATGAAGACAGAGAAACAGAAATCGTAAATAGCTGAGTAAATATTTTAAAAAACTATTTTTCTCCTCTTAAGTTCTTTAAAATACGTACTGCTATTGAAAGCACAAATTATAACATTTCCTGGTGGAGTTTTAAAAATGTATTTAGATATATGTATTTTTATGTGTATTTAGATATAAATATATGTAAACTTTAAAAGATCAGTGAAGGATCGTGAAGTGGTTATAAGGCTTCACTTAAAAAAATTTATTTACAGTACAACTCAGTTGAATTTTGAAAAACACACACAGTTATTTAACCAACACAACAATCAAGATACCAAGTAGTTCCAAGATAGTGAACATAATCATCACCCCCAAAAATTTCCTTGGGCCCCTTTATATTCCTTTCTTCTCTTCCCTTCCCACCTCCCCAGGCAATAAATGTGCTTTCTGTCACTATAGAGTACTTTGCATTTTCTAGATTTTATATGAATGAAATCAAGCAGTACGTACCCTTTTTTGTCTGAGGTCTTTCTCCCAGCATAATTATTTTGAGGTTCAATTTTGTTGTGTGTATCAAAGACATGCTCATATATATTAGTGCATTGATTTTTTTTTGGCAAGACCAAGTCTACCTACAGATGCTATACATACATGAAGTATAAGTTAGAGGTAAAGATTCTGAGAGAAAGTATTTGGTATGTTACCTGCACAGTTCTTGGTACAGTGCTGTGGATACACACTGTACCAAGGTTAGATGTCACTACCTTCTGGAAGACAGCATATTTCTATGGAAAATGCCCAAGTTCCGGAGTTAAATAAAAACAATCATACCAAAGCCATCTGTTGTTAATGGATGAACATCCATGAGCAAGTTATTTTGCCTCCCTCTTTTCCTTAACTTTCTTATCCTTCAAAAACAGGGATAATAACGGCACTCCATTTGGTTGTTATGGGCATTAAAATGAGATCACATATGTAAAGCATTGAATGTGGAGTTTGATACACAGCAGATAATTTAAAATGCTAGTTCCTTTTCTTTTCTACCCTTTTTAAATTTTTTAAAATTTTGTTTTAAGTTCTGGGATACATGTGCAGAACATGCATAGGTATACATGTGCCATGGTGGTTTGCTGCACCTATCAACCCATCATCTAGGTTTTAAGCCCTGCATGCATTAGGTATTTGTCCTAATGCTCTCCCTCCCCTTGACCCCCACTCCTCAACAGGCCCTGATGTGTGATATTCCCCTCCCTTTGTCCATGCATTCTCATTGTTCAACCCCCACTTATAAGTGAGAACATATGGTGTTTGGTTTTCTGTTCCTATGATAGTTTGCTGAGAATGATGGTTTCCGGCTTCATCCATATCTCTACAAAGGACGTGAACATATTCTTTTTTATGGCTGCATAGTATTCTATGGTGTGTATGTGCCACATTTTCTTTATAGAGTCTATCATTGGTGGGCATTTGAGTTTGTTCCACGTCTTTGCTATTGTAAATAGTGCTGCAATAAAGATGCATGTGCATGTGTCTTTATAGTAAAATGATTTATAATCCTTTGGGTATATATCCAGTAATGGAATTGTTGGGTCTAATGGAATTTCTGGTTCTAGATTCTTGAGGAATCACCACACTGTCTTCCACAATGGCTGAACAAATTGACACTCCCACCAACAGTGTAAAAGCATTCCTATTTCTCCACATCCTCACCAGCATCTGTTGTTTCCTGACTTTTTAATGATTGCCATTCTAACTAGTGTGAGATGGTATCTCATTGTGGTTTTGATTTGCATTTCTCTTATGACTAGTGATGATGAGCTTTTTTTCATATGTTTGTTGGCTGCATAAATGTCTTCTTTTGAGAAGTGTCTGTTCATATCCTTCGCCTACTTTTTGATGCGATTGTTTTTTATTGTAAATTTGTTTAAGTTCCTTCTAGATTCTGTATATTACACCTTTGTCAGATAGATAGATTGCAAAAAATTTCTCCAATTCTGTAGGTTGCCTGTTCATGCTGATGATAGTTTCTTTTGCTGTGAAGACGCTGTTTAGTTTAATTAGATCCCGTTTGTCAATTTTGGCTTTTGTTGCCATTGCTTTTGGTGTTTTAGTCATGAAATCTTTGCCCATGCCTATGCCCTGAATGGTATTGCCTAGGTTTTCTTCTAGGGTTTTCATGGTTTTAGGTTTTATATTTAAGTCTTTAATCCATCTTGAGTTAATTTTTGTATGAGGTGTAAGGAAGGGATCCAGTTTCAGCTTTCTGCATATGGTTAGCCAGTTTTCCCAGCACCATTTATTAAATAGGGAACCCATTCCCCATTGCTTCTTTTTGTCAGGTTTGTCAAAGATCAGATGGTTGTAGATGTGTGGTGTTATTTCTGAGGCCTCTGTTCTGTTCCATTTGTCTATATATCTGTTTTGGTACCAGTACCATGATGTTTTTGTTGCTGTAGCATTGTAGTATAGTTTGAAGTCAGGTAGCATGATGCCTCCAGGTTTGTTCTTTTTGCTTAGGATTGTCTTGGCTATGTGGGCTCTTTTTTGGTTCCATATGAAATTTGAAGTGTTTTTTTTCTAATTATGTGAAGAAAGTTCATGGTAGCTTGATGGGAATAGCATTCAGTCTATAAATTACTTCAGGCGGTATGGCCATTTTCACAATATTGATTCTTCCTATCCATGAGCATGGCTTTATTTTGCATTTGTTTGTGTCCTCTCTTATTTCCTTGAGCAGTGGTTTGTAGTTCTCCTTAAAGAGGTCCTTCACGTCTCTTGTAAGTTATATTCCTGGGTATTTTATTCTCTTTGTAGCAATTGTGAATGGGAGTTCACTTATTATTTGGCTCTTTGCTTGTCTGTTATTGGTGTATAGGAGTGCTTTGTGATTTTTGCACACTGATTTTGTATCCTGAGACTTTGCTGAAGTTGCTTATCAGCTTAAGGAGATTTTAAGCTGAGACTATGGGGTTTTCTAAATATACAATCATGTCATCTGCAAACAGAGACAATTTGACATCCTCTCTTCCTGTTTGAATACCCTTTATTTCTTTCTCTTGCCTGATTGTCCCGGCCAGAACTTCCAATACTATGTTGAATATGAGTGGTGAAAGAGGGCATTCTACCCTTTTTTGTCTGGGGAAAAATTGTCATCCTTGGGGGGAAAAAAAAGCAGTAGCATCTTTGAGCTTAATTGTAATACCATAGTGCCATCTGGTGACCATATGGAATGACTGCATTATCCACATGGGATATTTCATGTCTAACAAAAATCTACAACATGTAAATCTCTAGTGTGTTCTGGGTTAGTGTTATAGGGACAGACAGTGAGGGCTGTACTTGAGAACTGTTCTCCTGAGCTACTCCTTTGGAGATCCCTCCCCTGGTTAGGCACTTTTTCATGTCAGAAAGAAAAATAAGAATTTTCCCCTTTGCCTACCCTAAGATGGTAGATGGCAGGTTGTATAAGCAAATGAGTGAAGTCTTCACACATCCCTTCGGCTCTAAGGAAGATGCTGGGAAAGGGGAGTTGGTATTTTGTCTTGTTGAGAGATCTTCCCTTGAAAGATTTGGCTACTGTACCTATGGCCTCGAGTCCAATCCCAAATAGGAGTTTCAAACTCAAGTAACCCCGAATAGCACCTAGCTGTCCCTAAATATGAAATAAAGGCCCCTCTTCATTCTTCCAACTACCCCAGAATGCAAAGAACTGTACCATCAGAGTGTAGCCAGGGCTTTTGAATCCATCACACTTTTACCTGAGCTCAGATTTCATGAAGTACCTCAACCCCCACCTCCAGTGGCTTTGAAACAAGTCTTAACAGATGGTCACTCTTGCCATCCATCCCATGCCATCAATTCAAGTCAAGACTGATCAATGTACTGAATATGAACTTTATTGTGATTTGGTTTATGTAAGGCAGTGTAGTGAAGGCACTGCAGAAGTTAAACAGACTGGAAAACATGGTAAAAAATGAGCGAGCTAAAAATGAATGCTTGCTGGTCTAGGTAGGCTAAGTACTACAACTATGTTTCTTTTTCATCATTGCAGAAGCGTTGAAATATTGTTGAAGGTGGGGGTTTGGGGTGGAATTAGGGAAGGCTTCATGGAGGAGGTGGCATTTATACTGGGCCTTGAAGGAGGGGCAGAAAGTTGATAGGTTAAGATGGAGGGAAGTACATTTCATAATGACTGACTCTAGAGAAAATTCTGTAGAAGTACTGAAAAATGAGAGGGCAAACAAACACCCCCAGCGAGTGAAGCATCCCAACTGAGAGAAAAGTCTGAGGAGTCTGGGCTGGGACCAAAGTCTCAAGTCCCCAGATGGGGTCTTCAGTACAAATGATATTAGGAGGCACAGGACAATGGGCTTGTTTGTAAACCTAGCAGCAGCGAGAGGTTTCACATTGCAGTCAGGGGCCCCAAACTGGCTGTAATATGTCTGGATGAATTCTCTCATCTTTTAGGTGTGTATGGTACTTACTTATCTTTCCTCTTGCCCACTGACTGCCTGAATGGTAGTTCGTGCGCGCCCATGTGCGCGTGTGTGAGTGTAGGTGTGTGTGGATGGGTGGGGGACCGAGGCTTTGTCTCCCACTGCAGCTTCTTCCACTTTTCCGTCTTGTGGCACACAGCAGGCTTCCATTGAGCTGAAGCTCAGGCCCCTCTCACTGTCTAGGACTCATTGAACTCCAGCTCTTGATTAAGCACCAGGAAGCTTTCTCAACATGAAGGTAAAATTTACTGTCGGGGGTGACTTGGGTTAGGGCAGGACTACACTTTCCGGAGGTGATGATGGTGGTGAGTGGTGGTGGTGGTGGTGGTCGTGGTTGGTGGTGGTGGCAGTGGTGTCTGTAAGGGTTGGGGACTTAAAGCCGGCTCTGGCTGCTGGGTGAAATGCTGCTGGGAAGTCTATAGTGTTCAGTCAGGAGCTAGGATGTCAGGCTAGACCAGCTTGGCCTTGATCAGCCCTCCTCCTTCCTCAACATGCCCTACAGGGGAGATATATCAAACAACTGAAAACATCAAAGACATCTGTAGGGTGTCCAGCCTCTTGTTATTGTCCTACTTGAATCTCACCCCCGGAAGCCCCAGAGATCCTTTCTTGGCAAATGTGTATGATGTCTAGATAGGACTGTCGCCTCCCCATGTCCAGCTGCTGGAGGTATATAGGTTATGTAGCTACAGATGCTACTTGGATTGGGAGGTATGGGGAATTTATCAGAAGAGAGGAAGAGTTAATTATTGTGAATCTCATTCTTTCTAAAGATTGTGAATCTTAACTAAGACCTGGCACCTGACGGAAAATAAAAGGGTGGCACGCTTTGTCAGGATTCTCTGGGATTGCAGATTTAGAGCTCAGTGAGATCATCGCTGGAAATAACCTTGAAGCTGATGTGGCCTTGCTTGACTTTGGCAGTTGGACCACCCTTCTTACGCAGGTACAGAGACTTCAGATCACGGCAGTCGCTGGGGTCAGCATCCAGAGTAACCTGCCCCAAGAACTGATCACAGAATTTTCGGCTGTTCCAGACCTGGAAAGACAAACGAAGGGAGTGAAGATGAGCAGCCCTCAGTGAGATTAGCCTTTGCCCAGTGACATCCAGATCTAATGCTGAGCTTCAAAAGATTTGTTTTAAAACCAAGAGACTATTCTGTCCTTTCCTGATAGCCCATCAGTTGAGGGGAGGATACCTCAAAGAATATACATGAAAAGCCAGAAAACAGAATCTCCGGGTCGTTCTTGACCTGTGGGATGGTTACCTAAAGGCTGCTGGTCAGGAGTATTAAGTCAGAAAAACTGCCAAACTGCAGTGATTCATCCTGACCTAGCCATGTGAGGGTCCTCTGAACTGGCATAAGCTTTCCTCCATGGGATTTTATGATACGTGTGTTAACATGTGTACTGGTGAGCATGTGGGCTTTTGCCCACAATTAAATAAATGGAAGAGAGGAGATTTAGGATGGATGGTAATAAGGAAGTCAGTGTCCATGCTTGATGAGAAGAGTTTTTGAGTATAAAACAAACCAAAAAATACGATAATTCTTGCTCTGCATCCTAAACATATATAAGGTACTTGGGATCATCTAGTATCTGGTACAAAGTATGAGCCTTTCTGGCGACCCCTGTACACACTCTTACCTGTACTATAATAGGAATGTCAGTGGTCCTTCTGTAGAAAATGGCCTGGGTGTCAAAAATGGCATGAACTGTATTCTTCTGGACAGGAGAACGGACTTCCTCCTTTCCACATTTGATGACCAAATATGGGTTTACAGCTGGAACAAAGTGACATATGTTTTTAACACAGCAATTAAAGTTCCTTTTCTAGATAGACAAGAAGGTATCTCGCTAAGCCAATTCTGGGACTTTCAGCATAGCACTCGAGCACCAGAATGACTGAGATTCAACACTTTTATTCCCACTTCCCTTTCCTTTTCCATATTTTATATAGGAATATGAAAATGAATCTAATGTAGGCCTTGCTTGAAGTTGACATCCCATCCTCTGCCATGGTTGCCATCCATTCCCAACTTCTCTAGACAAAATATCGCTGGAGAAAATCATTTGTGATCATGTTTTCTAACTTATGTGCTATAAATGCAACTGAATTTTGCTTTCCCAGACATTCCTGCCATTCTTACTTTCATTGGCATACTTCTTCTCCAGGTCCTCAGCACTGTGAACAGTGATCTGAGTAACTACTTTCGGGTAGCCACGAGCCAGGTTCCAGCAGGACATTTTGGGCATGTCCAGAGTCAGTTCCCTAGAACATCAAAAATAAAATATTGTCATCATATGATAAATATCCTTTGATGAAATAAGCCCGCCAAAGCAGACATCATTGCTGAAAAGCATGAGACATTGTGTGACTTAGCCCATTCCTCCTCAGATATGTCTTATATATATTTTAAGCATGCTTTCCTTTCTCCTTTCTTTAAGGGCCAGGAGATAAAGATCAAAGTAGGCAGGGCTGGGACAAAAAGGTGGCTTTGGTGATCCAGCACACAGAACATAATAGAAGAGCAGGGAGGAGTGCTACCTACTTAAGAAAAGAGGCCATCAGCCAGAAAACAGAAGACAAATTTGATGTGGAAGAACTTAGACTATAGGCCTGTTCCTCTTTAAGGGTAGCTCAGAGCTCTGAAGTTCAGACCTTCACTGGGGAATTTCCCCCAACCACCCTTTGAGAAATATTTTTACCACCATGATTTCAGTGAATCAAGTCTGATTTAAACAAGTTGTCCCATTGAATGTCTGAAGAGGGGAGACGGGTGAAGGGGTTTAGGATTGGAAGTAAAGCAAAGAACAGGGGTTTGAGGGCTTGCGAAGGAAACTGAACCTGAGCTGGACAGGCACTTCAGAGAAGATTCTCAGGAGAAACTCGCTGGTGCGACCATGCTGGAACATGGTTGGGACAAGCACATAGTTGCCCTTCTTCAGGTACTTGCTCAGAAACACTGTGCGGGTGTCAATATAGGTGGAAGTCCCAGCACGCTCCTGGATGTAGAGGTGGTGGAGGCGGAATTTGCGGTTCATCTCCACCTGGAAATGAAATAGGGTAAAATATTCAATTCCACTCAAATCATGGTTTTTGTATGCTCTGTCTTTTTTATCCCTAGGCCTTCCATTCTTCCCCTACCATTAAATTATCCTAATTTTTACTCTGTTTGCCTTCATTCTCTCTGCCCCAAATGCCCATTTTTACCTTGAAGAGCTCAAAGCCAATGATGTAATTGTCAGGTCTTCCCATTCGGCGGTAAGTGCGCAGGTCCTTCTGCTGCAGTGACATAATGACCTTGTGCCCATCCTCAGGCACAGTGAAGATGTACTAAGGGAAAGAGACCACCACAGAGGTGAGTTAGCATTCCCATTTCATATGAACGAGCTTAAATTTCAGGGAATAAAGCTTGTCATTGGGAAGCAGAGCCTTGAGTTATTTTCTGGGCTTTCATATTTATCAGACAACAAGGTCTTGGATAATTCACTGACTTGCTAAGCGTAGACCATTAACACTTGTTTCTTTCTATGTCATTCAGCATGTGTTGAAGGACAACCTTATTCTTAGCCTTTGATGCCAAAGAGGATATGCTTTGTTCTAATAAGTTCTTGGTAAATTATTGTATTATTATTATTATTATTGTTATTATTATCCCTTTGTATTTAAATGCCATATATAGAAAAAGTTTGGAATCCATAAAGACAGAAAGGTATTTATTTGACTCAACCTGACACTACAGCATCACCCTGGGCTAGCCTCCTTTTGCCAGCCAGACATACAGCTTGTGGAAGGGCTCCTTGGAGAATTGATGTTTTGCTACTTCCACTTTAAGGAAGCTACAAGCCTGTGTCAGAGACTTTCCAAACATCATCTGGGGAATCACGGTGCTATTAGGAGATAAAACTAAAAGGCATCAGATTTTTCTCTCTGTCTCTGTCTCCATTCCTCTCTCCCTTTAGAAGGAAACATAAAACAGCTACTCAGGAGGCTAAGGCAGAAGGATCCCTTGAGCCCAGGAATTCAAGGGTGCAGTGAACTGTGATCATGCCACTGCACTCCAGCCTGGGCAACAAAGTGAGACCCCATCTCTAAAATGAAGGAAAGAAGGAAGGAAGGAAGGAAGGAAGGAAGGAGGGAGGGAAGGAAGGAAGGTAGGAAGAAAAGAAGGGAGGGAGGGAGGGAGGGAGGGAGGACTTAAAAACAGACTCTGAACTAAGGCCCCTAAGTTCAATCCTGTACATACATATAGAGTGAAGCCATTTTCCCAGCTTAGTATATGTGCCTAATACTTGAAACATTTCCAGAGTTGTAAATGGAGGTGAGGTGGTGTGTGTGGGGGGAGATAGGATATTTCTTTAGGAACAATTAAGATGGGAAGGGTGGAAGAGCAGTATGAGTTAGGTGAATCAGCCCACTAGTCTCCATATTCTCCTAAATGCCTGACCAATGAGATCCATGAAAAGAAAAGACGCACCCATGGGCAGTGAGGCAGCAATATAGTCAGAATTCTTGTTTTCTATGAGTTAGCTCATCAGCACATTTTGAGATGAAACCATCCAGGTTATTATAGATTCAGCCTTTAGATGTTTGGATTTTTTACTCTGGAGTGTGCGTGGACTTGACCCTGTTATGTCACCTGGAATAGCACTGTAATGGGAGATGGATGGGACAGAGTCGTTGACAGGGCAATGATTCAAATCCTGGGAAAAATGACCTGGATCTAGATGATAAAATGGAGGCATAATAATGGGGTTCAAAAGAGTCATCTGCATTAGAAAGAGGAAGAATATAGTAAATGTGCACCCCAGAGAACAGCTGGGCAGTAAAGAGAAATGAGGAAGAATTGAGGGAGCATCTCAAAGCAGATCTTCTCTCTCCAATATGGGACCATCACAAGGAAGCAGGGATTGTCAAAGAGCCATACCAGACAATATGGCCAGAAGAGAGGCAGCCAGAGGAGGTGATTCAGATTTGATACTGCTGCCAAAGTCTGTCTCTGCAAAAAGACATAGTCTGCTGTGTTTTACAAGCACCTGAGACAATCCGTAGGGATCCTGGTTGTTGAATATTACACAATAGCTGCAAAAGGAAGATTTGATGCTAAAGAAATACTCCAGAGATGACCAAAGCAAGATCTGAGTTCCTATTGACTGGATAACTTTGAGGCAAATAAAGTAATTGACTCAAACCTGGGGATTCTGCAGGAAGGTATCACGGTTGTTATAGCAGCCTCCTGAGCGGTTCATCAGGGGATCATCATCCACAGTCCAGCATCCCAACACCGATTCCAGCTCCTTTCGGCCAAAAATAGGGTTGTTCACATTGCGGCAGACATTCAGTTTGTGAAAGTTGCGGCAAAAGTCCTCCAAGCTCATCCTGAATGGAAGGAGCACAGGAAAAAAATAAAGATGGTATTTAATACTTAACACTGTAGTTCCATGTAGAAGCCCCAATTCCCTTAGTGCAGAAACCCCTCCTCACCAAAACTCTCCATCATCAGACATAACAAGCCCCAGGTTCTTGCGATCTGATGCAGTCAGTTGCTGCCACTCTTCAGAACTGAAAGTAAATAGAAAAAAAAAAAAAAGATAAATCATTATGTTTGCCATTGACTTCTTGTAGTAAGTAGGATGCCAGAGAAACAGAGTGCATGAGGATCAGTCCTGCTTTATTTCATCTGCGGCTGGGTCACAGACCCCGTGCCTGACAAAAGCCCACAGATGTCACTGAGCATTGACAGCACACTAGCAGTCTGGAGGGATGGGTCTGGGAGAACTACAGGGCTTTGGAGATGTAGCTGTGAAAGTGGAATGCAACTCACATTTCACTCCAGGGGCCACTCCATTCCTGTCTTCCCAAGGGGTTTCTCAGGCGAACCATATACACCTTCTCAGCACTGAAGACTTCCACAAGTCTCTCTCCAAGACGAATTTTGCGAATATCAGTCATGGTATAGGTATGGCCCTTCAGCAGACCCCAATCAGTTTCAACTTCTTGCTCCTCCTGATTGGGAGACTGAGAGCAAAGAAAGATATATAAAGGCACAGGAATTGGGAGACCCAATCCTGACTCCTCTTCTTCATTAATTGGCTTAACCCAGTAGGATTGAAGCTAGTTCTCACACAGATGGAAATTTCATCCTGACACCCAACTTGAAACAAAAACAGTAGAGGAAAATAAATAAAGAATGTAATATAACAACTCAAACAAGTCAGATTCAAACTATCCACTGTAGGACATTAATATGAACTGCCATAAAATTTGATGGGGCAGATTCATTTATTGAGCAAGCAGCCATAACCTCAAGATCTAGAAGCAGAGACAAGAGGAATAATTTAGCAGAGGCTACTGACACAAGCCTGGATGCTGCATTGGTTCCATGTGGAATGACTGGTACAAAAGGATAAAAAACTAAAGCACCTCAGCTTCCACACCAGGGCAAAATGTGTATTTTAGCTTTCCAAGTCCCATTAATAGTTTTTCATGGGTCTTCGGGTTAAGGGCGAATTTCCCTACCAAACTTTGTAGTCTCTTCTGCCAGGAATGAGTATACAGTGGTTGTTTTTCATGAGTACAAACCTCAATGGAACAGCAGATCAGACCACCTTTGGTAAATGTTTTGTACAGTTCTCCGAATAGCTTGTACTTCTCCTCAACAAGCTCAGTGTATCTTCCTTTCTGCATGTCAACAGTTTCAGCCAATGTGCCCGTGAAGTCCACAATAATATCAGTGATGGTCAAACCATCC
Source organism: Homo sapiens (assembly GCF_000001405.40). Lineage (NCBI taxonomy): Eukaryota > Metazoa > Chordata > Mammalia > Primates > Hominidae > Homo > Homo sapiens. The sequence goes on from NC_000023.11 coordinate 111,252,476, forward strand.
AGGGCCTCATAACAGCCTAGCAGCCTGAGGGCAAGTATGCAAGGTTATCTTTGTAAAATTGTTTTTCCAGGTCAAGAACATCATAATCTAAAGAATCAGAACATCCCCTGCCTAGACTTTACCAGATGGCTTTTCTCTAGGTATGAAATGAGAGATGTTTTGAAATTATATTCAGAAATTTCTAGGCTTAGGCTATGTTGATCAAGGACAGTCTATGCAGAAACTTCTTTCTACGGGGAGATATGAGATAAAGAAAAAATGAAGTGATAGTGCCATGTGATCTGCAGATAGCAGGAGGAAAGGGTACCTGGGAGCAGGTAAGAGTTTAAATGGAAACAAGAACCTCTGATTTCTCTCTCATCTAAGATTTCTGAGAGCCAGGCCCAAGTGCAAAGCAATGCCTTGGTTCTGACTGACATCTTACCCAACTTAAACTCCAGGGTTGGGCTGGGAGAGAATGAGCTCCCAAAGATAAATGTGGCTTTCCTTTCCTCATGTACCCTGATAGCAGACTAGTCAATCACCTCCTTACTTTGCATAAGCTTTTTCCAGCAGAGCATTCCAAAACTCATTCATGGAAGTGGAGAAAGAGAAGACCAGATCTCCGTTAATGGTGGGCAACAAGTCATCAATCACCACTTCAGTCCATTCTCCAAAATGCCAGAAACGAAAGTGAAATATCCCAGCGTATTTTTCTGTTTTTTGAGGGTCCCATTCCTGTTCCTTATGGTTGGGAATTGTCTAGAAATGCAAGAACATTTAATCAAGTGTTATTCACCAGACCACATCCAGAAACTGAGATTACAGTTTACTCCTGGCAAATCTACAGGGCAACAGGAAGCATGCCACATACACCTGGTTTGAGTCTGGATTGGAAATTCCTAGATATGGCATTTTGCCCACAACTTCTGCTTCCTCAGTTCAGTTTTGCTGAGGATGATATCACCATGCCTGTCTAAATGCACACAGGAGTACACAGTGTGGCTGGGACAACCAGTTAGTGGTTAAATGCTTTCCACAAATAATCTATAAACTAGATGTTGAGAAGCGGACTATATAAACATATTCATGATTGCATGTTTAAAATGCAAGGCATTCTAAAGAGCAAAACCAATCAAAATCAAGGCCCATTGTAGTTTGCTTTTTAAATATCCATTCTAGAGATTTTATATCAATTATATTAAATATGGATTTCATTTGCATTTTGAATAAAATCATGTTTAGGAATTTTTTTTGTATAACAGCTACACATTAATATTCTAAAATTATTTTTTGAGGAAAATGTTTTAACTTTGTCCCAAGTCAAGTTAACACTTCATTGCCTTGACCTCTACCTGAATGCTAAAGGAATTTTTGTACTATTAATAATTTATTAGAACTTTTCAAGTCCTACTTCTGTATTTCTCACCTTTTTTGTTATTAATATGTATTATTGACTTCCTGGCTTCTACTGACTTTATACCCCAATAGGTACAGATAACATAATATGCAGAGATACTGAGTCAATGCACGGCAAATGATAACCAAAGATCAGTGAGCATATATGACAAAGCAAGTAGAGTAAAATGTTAATGGTAGAATCTAGGTGGGTATATGAGTGTTCACTATAAAATTATTTCAACTTTTCTGTGTTTGCAAAACTTCTTATAATGAAATGGAGGGAAGTCGCCTAGTTAATATCTCTGCTTTCAAGAAATACAACAATCTAAGGAAGTTATGCGCTGATTTTTTTCCTAAAGTTATTAAAGAAGACAAGAAAGTGGAAACTGAATGAGGTCCCACAGGAGGGATAATACCTTTGTCCAATGAGACTCCTGAACAGCCAAACAGGAAAATGCAGAAACCATTGGCTTGTGCCCCAGTCTCCCTTGGGTCAGCTGGTGGTTGCTAATGTTGCCCACAATCAGATGGGGGTCATCACAGATGTCCTATGAATACAATAATTGGTTATATGAGAGTCTGGGAAGAGTTTCTCAAGAGTCACTGTGAGCTGAACTAGGCAGGACAGCCTTCATAGAGGAGATAAGGTTAGGGTTGAAAAATAAGTAGGATTTCCATAGATGGGATGAAGGGAAGGCTGAGGGGATTATAAGGAAAACCAAAAAACAGTTGATCATCTAGCCCCATGTTTGGAAGTGGCAGGAGAAATGAAAGGAGAGGGTGTCATGAGATTGGGTGCCATGCGGTGGTGAGGGCTCTTAGACATAGCTATCATTGGGGTTTGGGAGAGTTTTCACCACAGCAGTGAACTTTCCAAAAAAATAATAACTAGGAATTAGTACATTACATTCTGATCCTATTTTGCCAGGATGAGATTTTCTGAAGCACCTGTGCTTGGAAGGGAGATTGTATTAAAGAGACAAGGTCTAATGAAGGTTAACATTAATTCATCTCCTTCTCTAGGAAAACCAGTTAGGAGACCTTATAGGAAGCCCTTTTCTAACATAAAGCAAAAGCAACAGTGGTCTCCATAGCAACCAGATTTTTCTACATTTGTGGATGAATATAGATGACAGCAGCATTAATAGCAAGTGGTAATAAACCACTCACAGGAACACTTCAACCGACACTCTTCCCAGTGAAGGTCCTGAGGGGATCTGGGCAGAGTGGGGGCAGTATTTGTTTGGAATGTATGTGTGTATCTTCCCCCCAACATATTAACTGTGCCTTTCCCACTGGGAGTAGGAAAATGATACCTAAATGATACAATTATAACACAAAGCGATAGGGCACAGTAGAGTCATTTTCAAAGCATAATTCATGTCTAAAGGAAGAATCCCCATAATTCTCCTGATCACAGTCAGAATAGGATTCATAGTGTTGTTAACACTGGAGTTGACTAGAATTAGGCAGTTGGACAAGAGAGGGGTACGGTGGCATAACAGGTAGAGAGAAAGGCATGGGCAAAGGCATTGTGGCATACATGACACTACATAGTTGAAGACATAATTGGGTGACTCAGAGTATCAGCATTTGAAGAGTTCAAAGGCAGGAAATACCAATGCATTCTTGACTAGATGGAGAAAGCTTCACGAGGAGGCCATTGGCCGGTACCTTGACATTCTGCTTACGCAGCAGAAATAAATCCTTGTCTCAAATGGAATCTAGACATATATCCTTTTAAAAAGTATTAGAGACAGCTATATTTTTCTGGTCCTCAAACCTCTTTTTTTAATGGCCATAATTCTCCTTGACGAAGGGTCTGGTCTACAGAATGAAACATTCCATATATTCTTTAAAAGCCAAAATAACTCTGGAAAGAAATAGGCAGGCATTCTGGGCAAAGACAAGTCCAAGCTGGAGATTAACTGGGCATCCCTCTGCCAAAAGGAGATGGCTAGATAGGTTGTCAGCTTTGGATTCTCAGGTCTTTTTTTTTAGATGCATGCCTGGTAGTTCACAACTACTTTTTGTTTTAGGAGAATTTTCTATCTTAAAAAATATTTTTTATGGGCTGCAAACTGCCTTTGTTTTCACTTGTTGAACATAGAGCAGGTATGTTGGGTAAGTCAAACCCTGATGTTCTTTTTCTTCTCATTTTTTTGGCCTTTTCTAAAATGAAACTAAGCACAGTTTTTCCTCCCCAGGTCAGGTGTTTTCATTTTATTTTGAGCAAGATGTCAAAGTATAAAATAATTTCTGGCCAGGTGTGGTGGCTCTCGCCTGTAATCCCAGCACTTTGGGAGGCCGAGGCAGGTGGATCACCTGAGGTCAGAAGTTCAAGACCAGCCTGGTCAACATGGTGAAACCCCATCTCTTCTAAATATACAAAAATTAGCCAGGCGTGGTGGCAGGCGCCTGTAATCTCAGCTACTCAGGAGGCTGAGGCAGGAGAATCGCTTGAACCCGGGAGGCAGAGGTTGCAGTGAGCCGAGATCACACCATTGCGCTCCAGCCTGGGCAACAAGAGAGAAACTTCGTTCCAAAAAAAAAATAATGATTTATTTGACCTAGATAATACATATCATAGTTTCCTAACATGGAAAAACAATAAAGTGAACACTGATATATGAAAAAGTGTGCTTTTAGATTAATAAGGCAAATTATTTGCTAATTTTATGTAGAGTTATTAGTGGTTGGAGATACATTATGGTGTCTTGAATTTCCATAAAATTTTCATTTCACAGTAGGTATCTAGGCTTAGCCAACACTTTTGGCATGTCAACTTCTATTGAAGACATAAAGGGTCACATAAGTGAGCAAAAAGACATATAAACAATTCAAATTGAGGAATGGGGTAATTATTCTCTTCTTGACCCAAGATGGATATGATTATTATATATTATATGTGTCTATGTATATACATGTATGTACATATAATATATATATTAAAAGCTGTGTGAAATTCATGAGAGAATGTAAATTTGGGACCCCCCCCCCCACAACATTCCATTTCCTCTTATAAACTGGCCCATTCTCCAGTTATACTTTACCCCTTTTCATACGTGATGGCTATTTAACAATAGATTTAAAACATGACAAGTTAACAGTCATAGAATGTCAAAACTGGAATGAATTTTGGAGACTATCTAGTAAAGCCTATTTTTCACATGAGGAAGCAAGCTCAGAGAGGGGCAATAACTTGCTACTCTGATCATCTAGCTAGTCAGCAGGAGACCTAGGCCTAAAGTTTTTTATTTTTCAGAACCACATATGGCTAGAGAAAGAAGCTGAAGACCTCAGTCATCCATCCCTGTGCCTTTAGGCTCAACAATGGCCACCACATAAAGGATGATATTGTGCAACTCCTCAGGGACAGAGATGCTACTACCTCTTTCAGTCATTCATCCCAGTGTTTTATGCCTCTGCTTAAAACCTACCTAAACACTCTTCACTCTTTTGGGAAATTTACTTACCTCTTAGCTTTTGGTTCCAGGATGAATATCACTAATAGGCGTTAGTCTGCTCAATTAAATTCAATAAATATGAATCAATCTCTTACTATATGTAAGCATCGTGATATGAAATACGGGAAATAAATCCTTTATTAAGCCCTATCTTCTGCCTCTTTAAGGAAGTGAGGCATTAAAAGACTAGAAAGTAGCCAAGGATTTAGAAAGGGTAAAGGGTAATAAGCCAATGCAAACCTAGCAGCCAAACAGACTATTTGGTGACAAATTTGAAAACAACAAAATGACTGTTTGTTGACTTCTCCCCTAATTTTGGACACACTGGATATCTTCCTGTTGGGGTTAAGGATGTAAGACGAGAAATTTTTCTGTAACTCAAAGCTGAGATGCAGAGTGCAGATGGGACATTTCAGCTTGAGCTGTGCTGGAGTGGTAGGAATGGGGTTGGAGGAGAGGTCACAGCACACATATTCACAACATTTGGGTGGCTTAGGAGCAAGGAGGGATGCTGAGCCCCTAATGGCTCCCAGCTGTGCTGGCACAGTTGAAGTGATCATTTTGTCACGGCAAAATGATTTCTTAGGAAGAAACACACAACTAGGAAGTTGAGTACCAAGAGTAAAGCTGAAATGGTCCCCGCATGACCCCACTTCTGAGCCAAAACCTTCCATTAAGCAAAGCAGCTTCTCTAGGAAGTGTGTTCTCTTAGCTTAGTCTTAAGGGACTTCTCATTGTCCTTACTTCATCCTCCTTCCCAGAGACCTCTGAGCGGGAGGGGGCATACAGTTACAAGTCCTGTAGCCCTGCACAAGGCACTCTATGTGACTCCCTTTGCACCTACCACATCCAAATTCAGCATTTTTTTTACACAGGTGAAATTTACTGACAATAAACATGGAGGTCCAGGGTAAACCGCAGGAACCTCAGTAAAATGAAAAGCTGCCCAGAAAACCAGCAGCCAGAATAGTGGAAACACTTTCAAAAGTGCTACGTGCAATCTAGCAGTAGTGAGGGGGTAGGGGTGTGGACACCTACAAGTGAGGTCAGGCCTGCAGTAGGTATATTATGAATAAGTCCAGGGTCTAAATAGTCCCAGAAAGCTCAGGGGCTAATTTGCACAGAACTGCTATTCAGGAACTGAGGGTTTTGTGAGCTAGTCCAAGTAGTCGTTATCTTACTTAGAAAATTGAACCATCCCCCAGATGGAGCATTTATAGGTGGACTTAGGCTCAGGGACTAATGTTGCACCAGCCTCTCAAGAAGTCCACTTTTCCTACTGGGGAGTTTCAATTCTGCATGAAGATTTTATTATCAATAAAATAGTCTCTTCCTTCCTAACCCATCCAAGGAAAGCTCAATATGGAGAATAGAATAGGATCTTAGGCCCAACCTCCACTTCCAAACTGGGCCACCAAATCACTGTGTAATCATTTTCTCACTTTAACCTTCAGGATTCTGCTAGGAGACTCAAGGCACAGATCCCGAACTGCTTTTTTGGGAAGAATTTATATATCTATGCAACGGAATACTGTTCAGCAATAAGATGGAATAAATTGATACATGCTACAACATGGATGACTCTTGAGAACATTATGCTAAGAAAAAGAAGCCAGTTACTTTTATGATTCCATTTTAAGTGAAATGTACAGAATAGGCAGTTCTGGATAGAAACCAAAAGTACATTAGTGGTTGGCTGCAGCAGGGGTGGGGGTAGGGTGGAGGGATTACTCCCTTCAAATGTGCACAAGGGATCTTATTGAAGTGATGCAGCTCTTCTACAACTGGGTTGTGGTAATGTTTGCACAACTTTAAATTTACTAAAAATCATTGCTTTGTATACTTAAAACAGGTGAGTTTCACAATATATAAATTGCACTTCGATAAAGCTGTTAAAGTTTGTTAATGCATAATTTAAAATAAATAGGACAGTTGGAGAAAAGACTATGGGCCTATTCAACTCTCTTCAATTGTGTAAACAGTGGAAAACACTTAGGACTACTCACATGGGGTGATATAGTCTCTGGGAAGAAAAGGAAATTCTTGAGCAGACTAGGCCAAAACTACTATACCTAGGTGTTGCATTCAGCTGGTGGTTGGAAATTTCTATTAGCACAGAGAGAAAAGTGTTTCTTTCCTTACGGTTCCCTCATATGCTGTCACCCAAGCCTGTATATTCTGCTTCTAATGTCTTCCCTTATCTGCCTTTCCCTTCCATTCCTACTACCATAATTTTAATCCAGAGCCTCATCACCCTCCCACTCTCAACCAGACAATGTAGTAAAATGGCCCCAGGGGAATGTATTCTAGAGGGGAAGACTAGGCAATGGCAATGGTAGCGAAGGCTGAACTTAAAACTTGACAGGAGAGCTGACAGATCTTGTGCAGGTGCCCTTTTTTCCTCACAGCTGACAGTGCAAATTCCCATGAGGCTTTACTCCTTTTTAGTCAGGGATTAGATGTGTCTGATTTTAAGACACTATTGTAGGTAGATATGAGTCAGTAAGGAAAAACGCCAGAGGTGGGTAGGAGGGGAGAGTGGCTGGAGGGAGCTGGAGAAGAGATTTTCTGTGGGAATTTGGCAGGCAGATTTCAGCCTAAAAATCCTACCGGCAGTCTTATGATCACACTGTAACTCAGTATAAGTTAGACCTTATAATTTATGAAGACTATATATGTTGAGCTCCAGGAGAATAGAAAAGTCCAGGAGCACATGGTCTCAGGTAATATACCTGTGTATTCAGAAAGCTAGGACAACAGCTGAGGCCAATAGACGGCTGGAGAAATTAAGAAGAACTTTCCTCTGGAGGGTATGGGCAGATGATCTGGCATTGAACAATTGCAAGACATTCATAATTCCTGTCATCTGAAGAGGCTCCTTAAAACACAGCAAAGAAGTGGCAAGTGGGAGGAGGGGAACTCAATCCTGCCCAAGAATGGGGCGGCGGGGGGCCGGGGGGGCGCCAAGGCGGCGAGGGGCGGAGCTTGACTGGAGTCAGTTTGTTAAACTATCAGTGGTGTTTGCAGGCATGGAGGCTTACGAAGGCAAAAGCCTTCAACACGAGAAAGGAAAAAGACAGAAAATATCAGGTTAATCGTGTTGCTTCCATTTTGGAGACTTCAGAAAATAGCCCCAGTTAAGTGTGCAGCTACATGGCATGCCAAGGGACAAGATGTCTGTAAGTTTCGCTGCAAACCAGGATCTCAACCTTGCCAATGAGGTGGGGGAGGCCAACGGCTCATCTGGCCTTCCTGAGCCAATTCAGAGAGGCCCAGCTCTGTCTCTCAGCTTTCCTGATGGGAGGCCAGAGAACTTTGACGTGGTTCTTGACCACAGGCTTGGCCTCCACTCTGGCTGGGAAGGAATCCACAGCTTTTGGAGGAGGCTCAGATGGTGGTCCAGAACCTTGTTTTTTTCTCCTGCTCCCCACAAGAGGCCCCTTCTCCAACCATTCCAATCTATGGTAACCTCCCCTTCTTCAAAAATTCTACATGATTTACTGTCCATATGACTGAAAATAGCATTTCATACATCCAACATTCATTTCTTTTTTAACTATTTGATAGCTCAATATCCATCTCCCCAACTAGAATGGGAGTGCCTCACCACAGGCCATGTCTGTGTCTTGCACCAAGGCTGGCATAGAGTAAGTGTTCAGTAAATATTTCTCTAGTGACCCTCCCTTTGGGCTTAATAAGATTAAGCAAACACCATGCTCTCAAACGGGAGAGTGTGGAACAATTAATGGAAGTGTGGCATCAACACAGTGAAGAGGAATATGAGAACTGACTGGAGGGAAGCTACCTATTTTGGTGAAAACAGGGGACACAAACAACTAACTCTATCTATCTCCCTGATATGACAGCATGATAGAGTGAAAACTTATGCAGGCTTTGCAGTCAAACGTGGATGCAAATCCGAGCTTGTTAGCAGTCTGACCCTGAGCAAATACTTACCTTCTCTTAAAGACACAGTTTCTTTTTATATAAAGATATATAATGGGCATGTATCTACTGCTATTTTTTAAACTAGGAAATCAGAATTGCATCAAAGTAACTTTTAACATGCCTACTTTGCTAAGCCATGGTAAATAAGGGTGAAGTAAAATAATGTATAGAAAACTTCAAACACAGTATCTGGCCCATAGTACGCATGTCATGACTGTTGATTCTTTTTCCTACCCATCCCCACTGTTCAGCCTCTCTCTCTGATTTTCTCTCACTTTAGAAGGGCTATTGTTTGCCTTAGAGGCAAAATGCCGTGGTTGTTAAGACTTTTTCCTTCCCTGCTAATCCATCTAGGATTCAATCCACAGAATTTGGAGGATGAAGGCAAAGGACAATGGACTGAGCCAAGATAGAGGGGGAAGGATATGTCTAAAGACAGCCAGTACAGGAAACACTGTCTGCTTGGTGCACTTCTGGGGAATGGCTTCATGTTGGCTTGCAATTTTGCTGCCCATCGGATCTCCTCCCACCTCCTCCACCTCACCCCTATCAATCATCCCTTTTCTCTTCTGTGTCTTCAACCTCTTCTTCTTTACCATCTACTTCTTAGCCTATAAATATGTTCAAGTCTGTCCTATTTCAGAAAGACACCTACCCAATACACCTCTCTTAATTTCCTGCTTCCTTTTTAGCTACTTTTGCCCTATTGACATCTTTTCCTTCATATCCAAGCATCAGAAAAGAGGGATGCCCCTTATTTATCACCATCCATTCATAAGAGTGGCTCCCAGACAACGTATCTCTATTTTTCTCCATGTATTTTTGCAAATAAAAAAAAAAGCCTGTCTGCATACCAAAGTATTGGTTAATGAATTCTGCTCATTTCCTAGATTTTTCTTGCAGGTCAGCTAAGTGATCCGCTGGAATGTCAATAACTGCAGACACAGAAAGGCAGGAGGAGTGTAATTTTCCTTCAGACAGAGCGAACTTCTCCCAGTCTCATACTTTCAATGGTTGTCATTCTTTATAGGCAAAAACTAAGAGATATCCTTTGAGTTGCATAGTAAACAAGTCTTGATGTAACCAGTGTATCTTGACACCACATGGTAGCAACGTGCATAAACAGAAGTAGCTCTTGGCAGAACTCCATTTAGGAATTTAAGCTGTGGAAATTGCAACTAAAAGTGATAGTTGGTAAAAGGGTTACTTGAGGGAGGCAAACATTGAGATGATGCCTGAGATGGTTCCATAATAGTACACAGAAAGGAACCTCATTAAATAGGACCTGAATGTCTTCAGGATATTATGAAGTTCCAAGAACTTGCATTTCACAACATCCTTCTGTGGCCTATATACCTCATCACCTACATTGAGAAGGAGTTTAGGTACAATATCCTTCTATCCAGTTATACCCTTTAGGTATAGCAAGGTTGCAATTTATTCTCCAGACTCCATCATCCTATTGTTTTATACACTGAGCTCCTGCTCATGTAGGACTAGTGAAAGGGTTCTGAAACTTGCTTTAGAGACACAACATACAGATGATGCACAGAGAACCACAACAACTATTAATAGTTACTACTAATAGGTGGTGAAAGACCTACAATTCTACTTGAAGCCCACTTGTCCAGTTGTGGGATGATACAGATGACAGTGTCCATAGAGCAGCAAAGAAGCCTTCTTGCCCCCATGAAAAATTCATCTTCTCCCTTTAAAATTTGTCTCATTTATGCTCACTTTATAAGGAGTTTTTCTCCTCACTGGTCTGAAATTACATTTAAATTGTTATGACAGGTAACTCAGTAAAGAGGCAAGAGCATAGTTGCTTTTTGTGTTACCATATTTACTCAAATGAACTTCCAAGAGAAAATAAGGTTGGCATATCTCTCTGTTTTTTGTACAGAAATATTCATAGCATCTTTATGTGTAACAGTAAAAAATACTAAAACCAACCCCAATGCCCTTTAGTGGGTGACTAGATGAACAAATTTTGGCATATCCTTATCATAAATTACTACTCACCAGTAAAAACAAAACAACTATTGATACACAGAACACCTTGAATGGATCTTAGATTAATTTGCTTAAGGTTAAATAGCTAATCTCAAAAAGGTACAGTGTATTTTTTTGTTGTTTTTTCTAAGTAAATCTGTCAAAATTTGACTAAAATTCAGGACTCCAAGCTAGAGCCAGGAGCACAGATCCATGGAACTTTCATTATAAAGTTTTCTTTATGTGAGGTGATGAATACGTTAATTTACCTGATTGTGGTAATTATTTCACAATGTATATGTATATCAAAACATCACATTGAACACCATAACATACACAATTTTTATTTGTTAATTATATTTCAATAAAGCTGAAAAAAAAAGAAAGGAAGGAAGGAAGGTTAACTTCTAAATTGGTCTACACAGTAGGCTTTGTAAGTGAAACAGTGGATCACGTAGAAGTATGATGAAGGAGGTCAAGGAGACAGAATGTGTAAAATAGAAAGTTACCTGGGGACGTTTCCACACCACCTTTCCAGGAAGCAGTCGGTTGTAGAAAAGAGAATCATTCTCAGGCAGAAATGTTGGATCACAGAAAAGTCTGCTGTCTTTGATGCATTCCTGCTTCAGTTCCTGGTATTTCTGGTTTTTGAAGAGCTTCAGAGGAGGACCCATAGTGTTGAACTATGCCTAGAATGAGGAAAATTTTTGTCTTTGAAGGAAGAATTTCTCAGGTCTTTTAAGGGTTACCTGAGATTAGACAAACAGCCGTCATCCCAGTGACTTCTTCCCAGAGCTAGGCACTTCTAGTTTGGCTTTAAAGGAAATGTCACCATTTTCAAAGAAAGAAGTGTCCACACTCCGCAACTAATTAGTATGGGGCCTTGGGTAAGGCACCTAACCATTTTGGGTCTCAGTTTCTTTATCTGTCAAATGGGGCAATATGGGCCTTAATCTTATTGGGGAAAAATCAATAATAAAAGTAAAGATTGTGAATTAAATGTGATTCATTATAATTTAAAGAGAAGTCTTCCATTTACACCAGCAGGGAGTAGTTCAAGGCAGAGAACAACTTGAAGATAAGGGAAAAATCACTTTACTGTAGTCAGAATAATTTGGTGCCCTGGAGAGTCGCACACTTTGTGCATGAGGGGAAAAGCAGCCTCTTTCCATTCCAGCAAGTCTTTTTACACAATTTCTTCCGTCTTGTCATTTAAAGAGCTTTGCATTTTTTATTATTGGCCAGGAAGACTACTGCAAGAAACAGCTCAGCAGATGGCCTCCAAAGACAAGGAAAGACAGAAAGATTGTATGGTCTTTCTTCTTAAAAGTCTAATGTATAATCCTTTGCCTGTGATAAAAGGCAGACTCTGAAATTCAATTACACTAATTTGGTGGGCTATAGATTGTTATCCCATGGCAATACACTCTTGCTTTCTTTTCTTTAAAAAAAAAAAAAGGAGGAAAAACAAAAACCTTACATGGCTAAACAGAGAATTCATATAGTGGCTCTTCAAGCAATGTCTATCAGAGTGCCCCACACTCAAGTGCTCTTAACAACTGGTTTTTAGGAAGATAATTTGAAAGGCAAATTTGATTTTCAATAGCTTTGGGGTGATAATAGGGTTTTCAGTGCTTTTTCTTGATTCACAAAGATTTGTAATGATTTTAATGATCCTCTCCTGGCATTCAACAGTAAATAAGAATGAGATTGTGAAATTTACATGGTGTCAACTATTTCAAAATGTATTTTAGAAATAACTAAAGTCTATATTCTATAATCACAGGAGGGTTGAAACAAAAAAAACCTGACTAAGCTACAGAATGTCTGCTAAAAAATAAGGAGAATACGTTAGCACTTTAAGGAGTATCTGTGTGGTATATCTGTGAGGCAGTCGCTGTTTTATAAAAAGTGAAATATTGATCAGACCTCTCTACTAGTTCATTTTATATCCTTTCAGTATCACATTGAAATGCCTCACTGGTAAAGAAGTTTCCCCATTTGAAAACCATAACAATTTTTAATTTAAATGTTTGCAATGTTATTACAATGTTATTTGCAATGTATGTACAACAAACTTACCCTTTCTCTGAATCCAAGGAATAAGAAGCTGAGAATAACCACATTTTTTTCATAGCCTTATTTATTGGCAATTGCTTTTAAAATTGAGAGCTGTGGGGACACTGCAAAATACTGATGTCCCTTTTTTCATCAGATTTGTCTGCTCATGTGTTTTAAATATTAAAGTGTACTTCATTGTATTTGAAAGCATGGATGGTATCAGTAAAAATTTTTAGTTATGCAGCATCAGAGCCAACCTGAATGTTTGCCCAGACTCCTTTCTGGAGGCTGTTACAAATGGATCCCAATTTTCTTGTGTGCTCAAACTTACAACAAACACTACTGCGCCTCTTGCTTTCCCTAGAAGGTTTGGTGAATTGCCAGAGCCTGGGGACTGTAAATGTGGAAAAGCCTGGGGCAATTAGAATATTTAGTTTGCCAGAACCTCCTAGTCCCTGGACATTCTGGATAAATGAGTATTTCCTGTTCTGCCTTCAAAGGTCTTCCTTACTACTCGGTCAAATGGCAAGGCAGGCAAGATCCTGCAAAAGGAATCCCTGTTATAAAGAGGGCCTGTGTACAGACAGAAGTAGCACCAATTGAAAGGAAAATCAGGTTTGATTTTTAAAGCCCATGTGATCCCAATAGACTCTTTCAGAGGCAGAATGTACAGCTCACATGGATAGATTACAGCTTGACGGAACACCTTTTGGGTCAGGGTGCCTGTGTTCTGGGGACACACAGTAAATAAAGAAGAGCAGACTATGAGCCTGAACTTCCACTACAGTACAACTGTAGTCCCAAGTCCTCTCGGACTTGGAGAGTAGAAGTGACCTTCATGTGGAGGTTGCAGTGAGCCGAGATCGTGCCATTGCACTCCAGCCTGGGCAACAGAGCGAGACTCCGTCTCAAAAAAAAAAAAAAAAAAAAAAAAAAGTGACCCGCATTTCTGACTGGGCAACAGAACTGTGATCCATTTGCTCTGTGACCTTGTTCTCTTTGTGCCTCAAATTTTTCATCAGGAAAGTGAGGTTATCTACCCTGCCCCTCTTACACCATGGGTGTACCTAATGAGATGGTTGGTGTAAGAGGAATTTTGAATAAGTAGAAAGTGATCCATAAATGCAAAATATACACTGAAGCCCTCTCATTGCCTAGCATTGAGCTGGGCACACAAATATTGTTCAGAAAATGTTTGTTGAACAGATAAATGTCTTATGTGGAGAATTAGTGATTGCATGGCAATTTCTTGTTTGAAATGTGCATTTTACATTTTAGTTCGGGTTCTCATCATAGCAGTCATGTTTAATGAGATTATCTGTGCCCTTCATTTTGTATCTGCAGAAATGGCAGCTCAGAGAAGCAGTAGCTAGAAAATGGCAGAGTTAACTCAAATCCAGGTTCTGTGCAATGCCAGATTCAGTGTGCAGCTTTCCATCACACCACACTGCTTCTTTTGGTCACTGCCTTCTTAGAGAAAGGATTTTTTAGTTCAAATGAGGAAATCCTCCAAAGCAAACATGATACTCAACTTTGAGGCATTCTGCCTAGAATTTATTGCCATGGTAGACATTGAAAAGGTTCTTTATTTTCATGGTTTGATGTTCATGGGAGAATCTGAACTCTTTACATCGGCGGGTTCATCATTTAAACATCAGAATACTTTTGGAAACCCAGAAATTTGTAAGTTGAGTTTGTCATAAACAACTTACTCTGTTGGAACGGATGAGTGCAGAGAAGGGAACACTCCCTCCTTTCTGTTCTATTGCACCCGATGGCGATGGGGAAGGGAGAGCCCTTACGTTAAAGATCACATATTAGGAAAGTCGGGAGACAAGATAAAAGTTAGGGCTTTGAGTATAAACCCAGGGATTTGAATATAAACCAAGGAGAGCCTCTAGCTAACAAAGGCAATGTGGACATTTGAGAAGAGGGACCCTGTGGCCTGAGGGCTAGTGGAATGAGCGGTTGGGTGAGGCAGAGTGTGGTGGGGCTTAGCATTGAGGTAATGGTCTTAGGCAATATTATTATAATTCAGATCCACCACTTTGAGAAAGAATATGAGGACAACCGTGTCTGCCAAGGCAAAGGATAGGAGCGGGCCCAGAGTGCAGAAAGTTGAGAATTGCCAGGGAAGTTGAGGGAGACTGCCACGTAGAATACAAGGCTGCAGTTTAAAGAGAGAGGTATTTTTTTTCTACTCACTGGACTGGAAAGCTTGAGGAAGCTAGGCAAGTCGTGAAAGCAAAATCTCTTGCTTCTTAACCTGCGGGTTAGCCTTAGAGCAAAAAGCATATTTTGCTCTAAAAAAATCTGATAAAATACATCCTGTCTGTGGTTCACAAGCCACTTTGGATTTAGGTGAGTGGGAGAGAACATGAGGGAACTTAATGGGGAGAGGGAGAGAGGGCATGGCTGAGGCATTGTTCCTGCCTAGTTTCTCCTTTTCCTCAGTTTCATCCCTGTTCTGTACTTGGAGCAAAAATCAAGATAAAATCAATAAAAGTTTGCAGACAAATTGAATACAGAAGACCCAATTCTGCCCTGGCATGAAGTAGGCACCACTTTTACCCACAATCCACATCCCTTATCCCCACACCTGGGGGGTGGTATGGTGAGAGAAAAGGGACTTGGATAGGAAAAAGTAATACAAATTCAGCATCCACATGGTATACAGAGAATAGTGCTTTTCATAGGTACACAGGCAGAGTCATAGCTTACATACATGGGCACGCATTTAACCACAGGACTTATGTATGGCTGTTCAGATTCAAACTTCTAACCAGATATTCTGGGTCTAAAAAGGACCACAGAGATCCTCTGATCCAGCCCACTGCCTTATATAGGATGTACCTACTGGCCCAGAGAGAAGAGTCTGTTCAAAGCCATTCAAAGGAAAAAAAAGAGGACACAATTTTAATTCGGTTGCTCAATAACTCTATCAAAAAATAAAAAGCAATTCAAAATGATAAAAGGAACACAGGTGGTTACAAGATCCAGAAACAAATCCAAAATATCACCATTTAGTATACATAACATCTCAGTCCCTCAGTTTCCACATAGCACAATGGGAATATGTTAGCTTCCCTGTCTACTTCAGAGTGTTATTGGGAGAATGTAATGAAATTATGTATGTGAACATACTCTTTATTGTTAAAGATAAGGCTAAAGCAGGGCAGTAGTATTAGGAAGCACTTATTTTAACAAGTTAAATTTCTTTTCTGTCTTTAGGGGAAACTAATGAAATTTGATCATGTGCTTTAAATAAGACATGCACCAACATTTAAAAGACTAATATAAAAATTGCCCCTCCACCATTCTCTACACCTCCCTATTTCACCCCTCCTTTTTTGGCTGACTTGCCCTTTTGGCCGAATAAGCCCATCCTATATGTCTACTTTTCCAGCCTTTCAAGAATCAAATTCTGATTTTATAGAATGTTATGTTGGAAAGTCTGTTAGAAATCACTTAGTACAACTTCTTTCTTTTGTTGTAAGGTAAAGGCACTTGCCCAGGGTTATGTAGTTAGTGACAGAGCCCACACTAAAACTGGGACCTCCCAACGTTTTTTTTTAAACCACAATTTGTTGTAAGGTGGGGAGGAGGGCAAACATGCAGACACAATATGTCAAGCAAGACGTTGCTTTTAAAAATTCATATTGTACTCTTCTCACAAGAATGCACTTAGAAGTTTTGTTTTTGAATTGCAAGCTGTCAGAAGGTGAGATGATTTCAAATCAAGGCTAATCAAAGAAACACTGTTTTGGGGTCACAAAGGGACTTTTTCTGCTTTTAATTTAGGAACTGAAAACTCCCAAGGATATGGAAAGCCTGCTTTTTAACCTATTCCTGACCATGTAAGTGTTTAGACTTTTTCCCTAGACTGCTAGGGAGTCTAAGGACAAATAAAGAACGCTATTTGAATACAAAGTATTCACACACACCCAGGCACACACGTGCACATAAGCATGCTCACACACACACACAAACTTCCAGAGGAATAAAAGAGTTAATTAGCAGTCCACAAATAATTTTTTTGTTTATTACTTCAGACTGTAAAGTGTTCTTACTTTCACAATAAAGATTAGCAAATGAGGCATTAGCTGAATTTCAATACACCAATAATACAAACCAGGATGTTTTATCCTGAAGCCAGAAGTAATTGTTAGGACAGCAGAATTTGCTGAGTTTTCCTATGTGCTTTTCAGCAAACTTACAGTTCCAAATCCTCAGAACCAATTGTTTCCATTACAATGCACCGCTCCTTTTTCCCGTCCCCCACCCAAAGCCAGTTCTGATCAAGTGGTCCAGTGAAGACCCTAGAACAGTGTACTTGGCCTGGGAGTGGAGGATGGAGCCCCATCTTGAAATCAAAGTTTAAACCAAAGCTGGAATCAGAGGGGAACAAAGCCAGGCCAGAGGCTGAAAATGGAATAGCCAAGATCAACCTGTCACCAGGGCAGGAAGACCACTGGCTGTGCAGACAGGGAGTTAAGATAGACTTGGCCACCACTTCCTCCTGTACAACACTGCACAGCCTGCTCACCCTCCTACCAGAGTTCACAGGCCTTTTGCACACAGTGTGGCTCCAAGATTTTGCTCGCATTTCAATAATTTTCCCACAGCTGTGGGTCAGCAGAAGCTAGAAGGAGGCCCTGAAAGGAGCCACGCTTCTCCCCCTCAACACCATCCCCTGTGATTTTTCCTCACTTACCAGGTATTTTGGGTAGCAGAAGGCAAACACATACACATGCACGCGTGTGTGCACACACACAAAAAACTGACCAGATATCCCCAGAAAAGTTTCATTGCCAGACAACCACAATCATCACCCCACACACCCCTCAAAATAACCAACCAAAAATTCCATTATTTTTGAAGTTCTCAAACTGCTATTAACGGGCACATATTTGATCCAGACAAGCCATAAAATATAGCTGTGGAGTTTGGTTAACTACAAAGTTGAAGTTTCTTCATCTTTCTTAGACGCTAAGTTATCCAGGAAATAAAACTCCAGGGTAAGTTTGCGAATTCCCTCTCTACTCACCTGAGTTATCCCAGGAGCCCTGCTGCTGCTGCTGCTGCTGCTGCTGCTGCTGCTGCCGTTGCCGCTGCTGCTGTTAGCCAGGTAACCCCACTAAAAGTCTGTTCAGTCAGTGTGGCTGAACAAAGATTCTGGCTTTCTTAACCTGAAAACTATTTGGGCTGTACCAAGCTCTGCTCACAGGGGGAGGTGCCTCGCAGCAACTTCAGGAGGCTTTGCCCCGCCCAGCAGTCAGAAACTGATCCTGAGTCATGAGGAAAATGTGGAAAGTGCCTCTACCAGATGTGCAGACGGGATGCCCACTCCAGACCCACCCACCAGCAAACTGAAAAACTCAGGAAGCCACGTTTGAAAGCTCTTTCGGTTTCAAGGAGAAATAAGACTTTCAGCGAGGATTCTGATAGATTTCTTACTTTTCTGTCCCAGGGTTAATATCACAGACATGCACATTACTAGAGAGAGGACATGCAGAGAAAAATGGTGAAGTGTTGGCAAAGTTAATATGGGCTAGGCTGCAGACATGGCCCTGGTCAGACATGGCCCTGGTAGGCAGATCTGTGATAGTGATGAGGACTTCAGGAAGTGACTGGGAGTGAAAGAGCAGCTAATGGGGTGCAATGAAGAAAAGGTCACTTCGTGAAACAACAGGTAACATTTGGTCAAAGACAGAGAGAAGGGATTGTTAAGAGGAAAGTGAATGGAGTTTATTCCACAGCAGCTATAAGAACCCTAATTTCTAGCAACCAGGCTATGAAGATTCTGCACAGCTGTGTTAGGTGAGAGGAGAGAAAATAATTGTTTTTGCTCTGAAAGGCCAAGCAAGATCCCTATAAATACTATACTGCATCACAGTCAAAGTCCTGGTCCCTTCAACCTGAGACATTCATTTGGACACAATTCCAGGAACATGATTCTCAAGTTGTTTTGTTTGTTTCATTTTCACAAACTGTAAAGATGCTCATCATCTCATTCCTCAGCTTTCCTGACCAGTGTACTGTTAACCCTTGAACCTGAAATTACTTCCTTCTACCCCTCCTCCTGCACCAACCCTCCTGCTGGCTAGTTGAAGATGTAAGAGATAAGGGGGGTTGGGGATAACAAGTGAGCAACATAGAGCTCAACAAGGACAGGAAGCATGTTCTCTCTCCACTCACTGGGCCCATACCAATGTTTTCATAAAACAGTTCTGAGCATTTCTATAACTCTGGTCTCTGAGATCTCCTTCTTGGCATTTCCCTACAACTCCCTCTGTACCTTCTATGCCAAGATGGAAATTCAGCTAGAGGTAGGGCACAAGGAAACAGGGGTCCAGGGCAATTAGGCCTCTAAATATTGGCAACCATTCAGCTAGACAGTGAGATAGTCCTCAAGCAAATATCCCTGGTATGGAATTTTGGTTTTAAAATCAACGGAGGATGTTTTGTCTGGGCTCATATTCTTTAGCCATCTTTTCCACCTTCATACTTGTAAATCTAGCAGGGAATCACAGAACCTGGGAATTGGAAGGAACCTTAGAAGCCATGTTTATCCTCTTGCTCAGTGCAGAAATATCCTTCTGACAGTCTGAGAAACTCATCCCTATGCAAAACAGCTTATTCCATATTTGATCATTTCCTAATTGTTAAAAGGGTCTTCCTTAGGTTGAGGAAAAAATAGCTTCACACAAACAATTTCTAATTCCTCTTTCACATGACAGCCCTTTAAAATATCTAGCATGTCACGCCAAGTCATTCATCCTCTGGGCTAAATATCCTCAGTTCTTTCAAACCATGCCTCATAGGACATGGTTTACAGACTTTTTGCCACTCTAGTTGTCTTTTGAGCATAAATCTACTCAGTGTGCAGCCCGTAGCTTAATCAAAATCCTCTGTTGTTTCTTGCATGAACTACTACTATGTGCCTGATTCTAGGTTTGTACAATTGACTTTTAATTTTACCTGGATGCTGGGCTTTGTATTCATTCTCAAAAACCATTGCCTTGTTTATTTTAATCTATCTCCTTAAGATCTTTCTTTATCTTGAGCCTCATATACAAAATCATATTCTCCATAGTAATGTTTCTCAATCTTTTTTTATCATTATCACGGTCCTAAAGAGCCTTTTTAGATATTTTTCCCAATGTCTCTCCGTGAAATTTTAATACCACAGATATGCTGTCTATCTGTTTATTTGCTGTCTATCTGTTTATTTGCTGTATGTATATCTCTGTTTCATGTAAAAAAGAAATTTTTTTTTCACTCTTCAAGAATCAATTTTTGCCCTCTTGGGGGCAATATCACCCCCATTGAGAATGCATGATCTGTATCAATAAATGTTTTATATGTGTATTTGATCAGCCAGACTGATGAAAGTATTGAATGAGAGGGTCCAGGACAGAATACTGCAGCATAACCTTAAGAGTCTTCCCCTTTTGATAAGGTTGTTCAAACTTGAAACAATCCATATAACTCCTGCTACCACCCAGCTCTGACTTTTCCATCTTCTTCATGAAGATATCATAAGACTTTTTCAAATGTCTTGCTGAAATCCAGATACAGTATACTATGGTATCCCAGTGATCTATCCTTTTAGATACCCTTTTCAAAAAGGAAACGGACTTAGTTAGGCATGTCTTGCTTTTAGTCATCCCATGCTTACCCCTAGTGATTTCCGCTCCCTTTCTAAAGCCTCACAAACGATCTGCCTAACAGTGCATTCTACACTTTTGCCAAGGATAAATGCCATGCTCATTGGTCTTCAGTTTCCAGGATCTATATTTTGCACCCCACACCACCACCACCTACCTTCACTAAAAATTGGGATATTTCCCTGCCTCTTTGCACCCCTCATGTCTTCTCTTTGCCATAATTTCTCAAAGGTTACCAAGACTGGCTCTGTGATCACATCTGCACATTCTCTCAGCAGCCTCAAATGTGATTTGTGTGGGCCTGGAAACTCATTGAAGGCAGCTAAGGACTCCTTTATTATCTCCTCATCTATCTTGGGCTTTAATTCTCTTTCCAGTTCAAAGATCATGCTCCTTGATGGAGAGGTTAATTAACTTGCCCACAGCCACACACCTAGTAAATTGGCAGAGCTGGGATTTAAATCAGGCTCTATTTAACTCTGAAGACTGGCTCTTAACCAGAATGCTATGAGATTTCAAACACCAAATGAGTGGTATGGCCTATGGGTGTTGTATGAGTTCCAAAATGGGAGAGAACTATTTTAATAAGAGTAGTCGAGGCAGGCCTTATACAAGAGGTGAAATTTGAACTGGATCTTAAATAATGAGTAGGATCCCAATAGGAACAAAATAATGATGTGTGCATATGTTGGTAGGAATCAGGGAAGAGACTGAGGATGGCATCCCAGTCAGAGGAAATAACAAAGAATAATAAAGGATAAGAATTGCCACCTTGGTCTGCCTCATAGTCTACTTGGTTGATCATTATGAACACTAAGATACCACAAATGGTCAAGAGAGAGCCAGAGTGTTCCTGCCTTACCTTAATAATAGTTTATTAAAGCTCTGATGCTTGCTACTTGTATATTCTAGGGCAAGGCACAGCCCTTCTGGTCCTTGGTTTCCTGCTCTATAAAATAGGAATAAAACAGTCCTATTTTCAATAAGCATTTACTGAGCTCCTACTATATACCAGATACTATGCTAGTTGCTGGAGTTATAATGGCAGGCTATAATAAGAAACATGATCTCACCCTCAATAATTAAAAATCAGTCATGTATTTGCTTTGTGGAAGTTTTCAGTCCATACTACTATTTTGTTCCATTATCTGGGTAATGTGGCACATTTTACTTATCTTAAAATGACCTCATTTAAAAGCTTGTGGGGATAGTGGTAAGGAGGCTTTTGATATGGTAGCCTAGGATTTGTGGAGCAAGTTGGTGTCTGCTGTCTCCAAGATGTTATAGATTCTGGTTAATTCCATCTCAGCCCTCACCCAAGTCTTGGATTCTGTTCTTTTGCTTCCTCTAGCCTCATTCCCAGCCCAATATTTTCCCCTATATTGGGCATTTTCCATCCCTAGATTGTAAAACTGAGTTCCCTGAGGGAGAAAAAAAAGCCAGCTGCACCCAGTATGCCAAGTGGTTGGCAGGGGCGGGGGTTGCTGTACATTGGTGTAGTATGGCTCTGCCGTGTGGGGCAGTGTCATTTGGTTTTGGCTAGCTAACTACAGTCCTTGCCTCTTTTTAGCTTGAAATCCTCTAAGGCCAGTGAAAGTGTGAACAGAAGCCACGGAAGAGGATGGACTGTCAGCTTCCAAACCAAATAGCCTTGGGGTGGAGTTCAACCAAGATTTTGGGAGAGTGTAAGTTGGATATCTTCTCTGTTGGCCTGGTTAACACAAAAATATGCTTCGCTGGCTGGCAGCAGAACTTTTTTTTAATCAGGGGAAGCAACTCATTTGCCTTGTCAACAAAAGGGCTCTAGTTTCTCAATATTAGTCAAAGGAAACCTCTGTCCCTAGTAATTGAAATAAATGGTTACAGTGGTTGCTGATCTTTGACTATATCAAATCCATACCCCTCTGCTTGGTCATCAAACCTCTTTCTCCACCAAAAGCTTGGTTTCACCACTACTTGGCACTAGTCTAGCTGGCCTTTGTATTCCATTTCTCAGGGCTGAACAAAACTTTCAGGAACATAACCTCCACTGGGCTGGTGTTAGAGTAGGAGACTCAGGGCTGGAAAAGGTTGGGTGGAGGGTGATACTTAAAATACAGATGTCATCCAAGTCTTAGGCATAAATTGTAGCTGAGAAATGGTCAGCCCTAGAGAATTGAGCATAGGGTACCAGGTGAGAGTGGGCAAGGCCACAGGCAGAAGACAAGGCAAGAAGTCAGGAATTGAGGTGATCCAGAACTCACAGGTCAGGAAGTATTGTGTAATGTGGGATGGAGCCAAATAATGCAAGGCAACAGCTAAGAACAAAGCCACAGATCAGGTACTCATTTTTAATGGAGGTTGGAGTCCCAGCATGATTCAACCCTACCACCATATTTTTACTCAAGTTATGCCCCCGGCTATGACTGTTCTTTCTCACCCTTCCATCTACCCAAGTCTTGCTTATTTTTTGATTCTCCAACCTTACTTTCTCCACGAAGCCTTCTCCCTCCCTGAGTGATCTGCACTCTTTCTGAATAATCATCTCACTTTGAGTCAGTATCATATCACACAGGGTTCTAGTTAATCATTCTTCAATGTTTCATGTGTGTGCTTGGATTTCCTCAGACTACAGACTCCTTGAGGACAGCAGCTCTAGCTTCTGTACTTCTACACTCCCCACAGTGTGAAGCACAGAGCCAGGCACCAAGTAAATGTGCAGTAAATACTTGGCAAGGAATTCCAGAGATATTCAGAATGGAAGTCAGTAGCAACTTAGCAAGAGACTTGAAATTAGCCCACCACACACGTGAGCACATACACGCACGCACGCACACACATACACACACACGTGCTTAGAAAACCAAGTAAAACTGTCCTAAATGTGGAAGTCATGGAGGATGGTATTATACTATCCCTTTGTCAGAGCTAGGTATACATAAAGAGCTCTTTGAGAGCTGGGAAAGCTTATAGAATTAGAACAAAATGGGAGGAGGCAGCCTTGAGTTGTAATTAAGCTGGAGGGTGAAGTAAAGATAGGGAGGGGGTTAGAAGCAAACAGAAATATGAAAAATTTCTAACATGGAGGCAAGGGACTCTTTTTCAGTCCCCGTAATATGTCATTCATCTGGCATCCACTAATTTGGGATTTTTGAAAAATCGGACTAAGAGAGGTTGTAGCTTGTTATAGCCAGATCTTGAAAGAAAAAGAGCTGCTAAATTAATTAAGCCTCCTCCATGATGGGAGAGACAGTGGGGCATAGGGAAAAATCTTGTTTGACTTAGTTAAAAGTTTCCCAGTTCCTTCCTAGAGCTCTTTAGAAACCTCGTTAAGCTACTTGTAAATCCTGGCCATTCCTGTCCAGTTTTTTCCTTATCATAAACACTTTGGAGTATTAAAACTACATTAAAAATTTACAATTCCAACTTTTTACTATCTTAGACTCCTTCTCCTCCTTCCCTCCTCAGCTGGTACCAAAAGAGAAGAGACTAGGTATGGAAAGCCTCAAAGTACTGGGAGCTTTCCTGTGCTATCTCATTTCGTCTTCACAGAAATAACCCTGTAGCAGAGATAATTTTTTCTTGGTTATCAGAGGGGGGCACCTGCTGGGTGCTCGGGGGTATGTTAAGTAACCAGGCTAAGGCTACACAAGAAGGAAATTGTGAAGCCCCTGCTTCTAAAAAACAATTCTTCCAACTCCAAAGACCTCCTGCTTTCTCCTAGACTATGTTGCCCCTAAATTGAAAATAATCATTGACTAACAGGAGATTAAAATATTTTTCTTGGAAAATATTGCTTTATTAGTCATTTAAGTGGCTGTGAATTCATGAGAAGAGCACATGTTCAAAAACAGAGGTCATATTCATAATAGACAAAAACTGGAAATAGCCCAGGTGTCCTAGTTTTAGAAATGGAGAACTGATTAGCATTTGCCAGGGTTTGGGGGTGGGGAGAAGCTGTGTTGCGGGAGGGAGGTGGGTGTGGTTATAAAAGGGCAATACCACGAAGGATCTTTGAGGTGATGGCACTTTTCAGTATCTTGACGCTGATGGTAGATACATGAACCTAATGTGTTTAAAATTATATAGAACTAAATATATATGCACAGATGAATATGAGTAAAATGAGAACTCTGAATAAGACTGGTGAATTGTATCAATGTCAATATCCTAGTTGTGATATTATACTAAAGTTTTGCAAAATATTATCGGGGAAAGCTGAGAAAAGGGTAAACAGAATCTCTCTGTACTATTTCTTACAACTGCATGTGAATACACAATAATCTTTTAAAAATTCAATGAAAAAGGAGATAATATGTAGTGGCTATATATATATATATTCAATATATGTAATGTGTGCATATATATGTGTAAATTCAATATATATAATGTGTGCATATATATAAATTCAATATATATAAGACAATTCAATGAAAAATGAGGTAATATATAGTGGGAACATATATATTTATATATACATAAAATTTTATAATAAATATATATATATAAATCAGTGTATTATCTCTGATCTGACAGAAGTTTCTTTTGAAAGATACCTAATGCTAGATGACGAGTTAGTGGGTGCAGCGCACCAGCATGGCACTTGTATACATATGTAACTAACCTGCACATTGTGCACAGGTACCCTAAAACTTAAAGTATAATAATAATAATTTAAAAAAAGAAAGATGATGTTACAATAATCTTGTAGGTTTGGGTAGTTCAGCCAAGACTTGGAGACAAGGTGGTGGGAATTCTAGCTCAGGGAAATCGTTCCCCAGGGAAAAACACAGGTTGCTGAGCCCGACTGAGTGCAACGGAATGGGAGTGTGGTGTGAAATTTGAAGGAGTAGGTTTCACGCTTCATTCAAGGCCATAACTTTTCAGGTTCCTCTGCTCTTTGCTGAGAGAATAAGCTCTGCTCCCAGAGGCCTGATTGCAATGAGCCCCAGCTAGAACCAGCTACATAATTTGCTGGGCCTAGTACAAAATGAAAATGTGGGGCCTCTTGTTCAAAATGTATTAGGAATTTCAAGATAGCCACTGCAGAACGTTAGACTAGGTGTGGGGCCCCACCAAGCACAGAATGCTGTGCAACTACACAGGTCCTGGCCCAAGTTAACATTTCTGCTAAATCCCCACAGCTGCAACATCTAGAGAACACAGACCATCACCCACTTTGCAGCCCTTCCCTGCTAGTCTGAATTGACTGAGATGACGGAGGCCCAAGTGGCTCTTTGGGATCCATTCACTGTTTAGTCACAGTTCTGAGCACTGGTAAATCCCTGCTGACTGATGGACTGGACTGCTGTTCCATAGACCAGATATAGAGCAAGAGAGGGTGGAACCCAGAGGCAGAAGGCATGCTGGAAAACTCTGGTGCCCATTGACAAAAAGGAGGCTGGTGAGAAGCAGATCAGGCTGGTGGCCATTCAGAAAGTGTACAATGGATGGAGCACTAAATTATAGCCTGGAGACCTGGGCTCAAATGCCAGCTTTGACACCCTCGAGATCATTAATTTCTGGGCGTGTCAGTTTCCTCATGTGTGAAATGAAGATAATATAAATAGTATTTTTCTCATTGGGCTGTCATGAGGATCAAATAAAATCACGGATATGAAAGCACTATGAAAACTCTCATGTGAACAGAAATGTAAGACATCTCAGAATGACCACCAGTCTGATTATTACATACACATCCCTAAGCCTTTGCTAGCAGGTGGTGGCTGGCCTGATCTGGATGCCTGAAATAAGAAGTAAGGTTAAAATGCATGGGCCAGATATCCAGTTCTGGCCAAGACAGAGGAGTCCCATTCCCCACCCTCAATCCCAGTCCTGGCCAAGACAGAGGAGTCCCATTCCCCACCCTCATTCCCAGTCCTCCTTCTTACAATTAAAAAATGCTGGCTATAACACAACAAACAAACATAAGAAGGCTGAAATGTGGGAAGAAGAAGGCAGACAACCTAAGCACCTAAGGACTTGAGAAACAACACAACCTTGAATACCCTGGGTTTTCTTTTTTCCTCCCATATATCTCAGATAGGATGTTGTAGAAGACTCCAACCTGAAACGTCCCACAAGCACAGATGAAAAAAGGTGTTCCAAGCAAAGCCTGTTCACTGTAGCCACAGGACTGGGGAAAAGGTTACCTAAAAACAGAAAACCTTTTTTGGCAATACTCACTCTATTCCAACTAAACATCAATGGCACAACTGCATACCACTCCTCTGGGATTTCAGTGGGGCTGAGTGGAGAGCTGATATTCTATCCCCTGCCCGGCAGAAACAGTTAGTACTCTTATTCCCCCATCAGAGTATGGTCAGCTTAGCAGTGAGCTGAGCTGCTGGTTAGCTCCACTACCAGCTAGCAGCAAAGAGACTGAACAAGGTGATGTGAGGTAGGGCTAGTTAGTTTCAACAAGCAATTACTAATTCTCTGGAAACAAAGGAAAAACTGGATAATCTCAGCAAAGAAATAGAAAAAGTTAACAAGAACCAAAGGGAAATTATAGAACTTAAAAACACAACAACTGAAATATAAAACACTCACTGAATGGGCTCAATGGTAGAGATAACAGATGGTAGAATCAGTGAACTTCAAGATAGGCCGATAACGTTTACCCAATGTGAAAAAAAAAAAGAGAGAGAGAAAATGACTGAAAAAAAGTGAACAGGGACCCAGGGAGCTGTGAGACAATAATAAAAGTGCTAACATGTGTATCATTGTAGTTCTGGAAGGAGCAAGTAAGGAGTGTGGGGCTAAAATATATTTGAAGAGGTACTGGCTATGAATTTTCCAAATTTGTCATGACATAAACCTAAAAATTCAAGAAGCTTAGTGACCTGAAACAGAATAAACTCAAAGAAATCCATACTAAAACACACCATAATTAAACATCTAAAAATTAGAAGTCATGGTCCAAAAGAGATCACTCTCTGCCACCCCATGGGTTTTGGGGAATTCAGTACAGAAGATCTTCAGAGCTGTCAGCCTCCCCTTTCTGCATCATAACAGGGAAGAAGGGCAAGTCCCACCTACTTCAAACCCTGGCTTCCCCAGGCTTAACTATCAAGCCTATCATTCATTCATTCAACAAACATTTATGAGCACCTAATATTTACTAGTCATTCACCTCATTGCTAGTGAGACAACTGTGAACAAGCTAGAGTCTCTGCCCCCATGGAGCTATATTCTAATAGGTGGAGATAGACATACAGGGCATATGTTGAGAAAGAGGGTAACTAAACAGAGCAGTACTTATTTAGACACATACTTTTCCCAGAAAAGGATCTTACATCAGCCACCATTTCATTCACTCAATATTTATTAATCACTCAAGCACTCACAATGTCTAAGAACCTGCTCGGCCTTGGAGACACAGTTCCTGCCCTCAAGGAACAAATAGTGTTCTTGTAGGACACGGTTGCTTAACCACAATACTGTTGACATTGGGGATTGAATAATTCTTTGTTATGTGTGTTGAGGTGGGGGCTGTTCTGTGCATTGTACAGTGTTTAGTAACATCCCTGGCCTGTACCCTCAGAAGGCAGTAACATCGTTCCTCCAAGTTGTGAAAACCAAAGATTTCTACATACATGGCCAATGTCTCCTGGTAGGCAAAAACACACCCAGTTGAGAACCACTGTTGTAAGGTAAACTGAAAAGTGGACCAATAGTTGATATAAAATGTGATAACTGCTATGGTAGAGAAACCTCCCTTGGCTCCACCTTGCTTCCAGGCCCTTTAGAGGTGGCCTTACTCCACTTCCAGCCTTATTTCCTTCCATGTGGTCAAGCCCCCACTATACTGCACTCTAATCATCCCCAGAACATGGCATGCCTTTTTCTTTCCCCAGACTTTTCCATATGCCCTTTTCTCTACCTTGAATACCCTCCCCTGGCCAGCAACCTCAAGTGGCATAGCACTCCTTTTAAATCTTTATTTGAGGTATTTGTCTCATGTTGAGGGCAGAGACTATGTCAAGCTGATCTCTGTATCCCTAGTGCTTAGCATAGTCCTTACTTCCTGAAGTAATGCAATGATGCAGAAAAGAGAGAAGATATAATTGTCCCTAGCTCTCAGATTGCTTCCATTCTCCTTGTAGGAGGAAAGAGAAACAGAAGTGAACATTCCCATTCTGTACAGCCCAGTTTGTAGTAGAATTAAGTGTGAATATGTGCAAGATGTATTACAAATGATAGAACATGGGCGGAGGATTCATGAGATGAAATAATTGAACTGGGCCTTGAAGCCGTTGATCATATGAAAGGTATGGAGGAGTAGCTAAGAGATGGGAGTGGGAAAAGATAATAGAACACACTATTCCCCAGACAGTAAGAAAACCAAACCCCAGAGAGTACAGACCTGACACCCACTTCATGTACATAAGAGGTCTACTCCCACCCTGAGGTTTGCTCCTACCCTGATGTGTGGATAAATCTTGAATCCTTTAAGCAGGTAACAAAGGGAAAGGGTTAAAGAATGATGGGAGTTTTGGACTGCTGGAAAGCACTGGGAGTGACAGGTTTAGAGAATTAACACAGGCACACTGCCACCAAATAAGCTGATATTCCAAGCACAGGAAGTGAACTCTTCCTTAGCACTTCTGATTCAGCTAATTTAGACTGAGCACCAATCATGTACAATGTGCTTCCTATATATTGTCTTGCTTAGCTTTCACAATAGTAAGATGGTGAAGTCTCAGTGGCAAAATAGATTCAAACCAAAGTTTTCTGGTGATGACAAAGCCTGGTTACTTTCATTGTGCCATACTGCCATGGTTAGCTCGGTGGACCCAAGTTTGGGATCTGGAGATATTCTTAGTGAGCTACTTCCTTCCTTCCTTCGTTACTTTTCTCCCTCTCTATAAGCTTCTAATCCTGAGATACCCCATCCAAAAGAGCATGGACAGTCTCTGGAATGGGGCATCCACAAATACTTCCAAGACTGGTATGACAATTTTGCCCAGATACAAAGGCTCCTCTGGAGGGTTTCTGGGGGAACTTCTTTGTGGAATAGGAGAGACTTGAGCTGGGCCTGAAAGGATAATAGTGCTTTTAGACAAAGCAGGTATTTGGGGTATAAGGTAGAGCGATCTATAGATCTTAAAGTCTTGAGTCGGGGGAAATGTCGTGTGTGTTAGGATGGCCTTCAGGGAAGAACAGTGAGGAAGACTGGTGGGGCCGGGCTTAAGAGTTCATGTTGGCAAATAGTGGGAGATCAGACCGGGTAGAGCCTAAATGTAGAGGAATTAGGAGTTTACGTGAGTTCTGCAAGCTGGTATGTGTAGACACAGGAGCCTGCCTAGACAAATATAGCTGTAGAGACAGTCATGGATTAGTTGACTGGGGCAGCTGGGAAGGCTGCCACTGGGGGTGGGTAATGTAATTGAAACTTCTTTCATGCCAAGATCCTCTGAAATGGAAATGGTGAACAAGGGCCCACCAATGACGAAGTTGTGTGCCTTGGGTTCCTTCACCTCCATTTTCCACCCTCCGTTCTCTTTGGATTTCAATAGATCCATCTTGCCCTTCTGCACACAGCGCCCTCACTTTCTGTCACCAGCAGAATCTCACCCAGAACCACCTTCTTTAGGAAGGATCTTTTTCTCTCACTAACTAGTTCTCTTTCCTTCCGCCAAACAAACCGTATCATTTTTTCTTAGGGCTCCATCATGTTACTAGCACAAACCTGATTAGACAAATTCACAGAAAATGTTAGTGTTTTGATAATGTCTTAATAATGTTCAAATTTGAACGAGAGCCTGCAATGCCTTTGCTAGAAGCAAGGGTCGCCATGAGACTTTAGGCTTAGATAAAGGGAGATTGTGATGGGGTGAGAATAGGGTAGGGACAGGAATTTGAGAAGGGGACCTTTTCATGACCTTTGCATAAAGATAGTCTTGCTTGTTTCTTAAATATTTGAAAAGAGGCTTCCCTCCATTCCCCTCCATATTCTCCCTACCTTGTTCCTGCATTCCAGGATCCTACCAGAAATAATTGTATTAATTAAACAGCATTTAGGTGCAGAGAAAATGCCCAGTTTGGTTTGGGGATAGAAACTTTTCTTGAGTTGTTAAGGACCTCACAGAACTGTAGCTGCTGCTATTGGAGCCATGTTCACAGCTCCCTTGAACACTAAAATTAACAGATGGGACACTTCAATCCAGGGCACAGTTGTCAAAAACCACAGTTTAAATCAGTCACAGACAACTGTTTCATTCCCCACACTTGCCTGGGTGTAACAACTGCAGGAATGCCTCTGCTTAAATCGCATCCAGTGACACCACAGAGAGAGACATGTCTAGGCTGCATTCATTCTCAGGACTTTCTGAGCTTCTTTTAGAGCAGGGGTCAGCAACCTTTCCAAAATGGGGTGCCAGGGTTCTGACCCATGTTCTTTTATAGGACTAGTGCGTGTGGACTTATGTATGCAAACAACGGCAAGGTGGGAGGGTGGTGAGGTAGGGAGAAAAGAGGGAGTTATACTGACTCTTGAAGAAGGAGATATGGTGGCCAACTATTAGCCAGAGACAGAGCACCGCTGGGTGACAACTTACAAAAATAAATGGTGAGGAAAGGGTTTTACCTGTTGCTTCTGACTGGTGTGCCTGTAATAGCCGGTCTATGGGTCATCCCTGGGTATACAGCCAACTCTTTGATAATGACTAATCCATTTATTCATTCACTCAGGCACTTGTTAAGTGGCCACACTTTGTGGAACACTGGAAACCCAGACACAAATAAGATGCTTTCTTCCCTCAAGGAGCTCACATCACAGTCTAGTTTCTGTTCCCAGTAATTCAACTATTCATTTGGTGAACTCACTGTCATGTATTTCACTAGCACTTGTTGAGTGTCAGGAGCCATCCTGCACTTGTGGTATGCAGAGATGCCGAGAAAAATCAGACAAGGTCCTTGACCTCAAGGGGATTCCAGTCTAGTAGCATAAAAGGACAAGTAGACATTTCCATTTCTATTCAGTGTGGTAGGAGACATTTGGCTTAGATGAGCCTCTGAGACACCTTCTGATACAAGATCCCTGATCTAGAGGGAGTATACCTTAGATTTGGGGAGAATCAGCCTTGGGGGAGGCAGATCCCTGTGTCTGAGAGTTGTCTTGTCACTGTACCAGGATGAAAGAGATGTTACCCAAAACAAGAATAAAAACTGTTTACCTAGATGCTTGGTAAACATTTGTTATTCTTGTTTTGGGAACCATTTCTTTCATCATTCTCTTTACAGACGAGAAATAAACTGAAGTTAGTGAAATGAAATAGGGAGGCCTCCTGATCAACAGATTATGTTCTACTTGTGGTTCATGGGCTCTGGAGCTTCTTAAGCTGATAGTCATCCTGTCAATGTCCTACTACCTTGTGCTGGCAGGTCTCAATCTGGGGGTCTCTAAAGGCAGCAAATGATACCCTTAAGCTATTTTTCAATATTAAAAAATCATAGAAATTGTACTTTCAGCCAAGACAAAGCCACAGAGAGCTAAGTACAATATCATGTTTCTTTGCTTTTGACTGAAATTATATTAGCTTTGGTGTGGTTAGCTCATGTGGATCAGAAGCCCTGAGTGAGTAAAAAATTGGAAAAACGAATTATTCCATAATAAATGCAGTTTCGCTAGATAAAAATTTTTCCAAATGTGGGGGCCACAGGGGGAAAAATAATAAAAGGGATCCTTGGTGGTGTAAAGGTTGGAAATCACTGGCCTCCACGTCTGGATGCCAAAGTTTGGCTGCAGATTCAAAGCCTGTGACCACAGAATCCTGGGATTATTGGCATCTGACACCCCTGATGTGGTTCCTGTTGGAAAAGCAAACATGCTCCCTGCCCAGCTTTCTAAAGTGTTATACATTAACTGGCTTACAAAGCACCATTCACGAGTGGACAGGTTTTTTTTGGATCGCGGTTTACTGTGTTTTTGTACCTGCAGTGAAAGAACGTTTCAGAGGAAGCACAGGCTTGCCTAAAATCCACAAAGCTATGCTATTGCCAGACAAGCACAGAACTCCTTATAACTCACAGAGCTGGAACAAGCTGTCCACATCTTTCTCCTTCTCATTGACAGCCTTCATCCAGTACCTCTGAGAACGCACATTCCATGAACACACGCAAAATAGACTAAGAATATCCATTGGGTATAAGCAAAGAAGGAGGGGCCCTGCAGGCTAGAGAGTGAGGAAGGAGGTTTGAAGGAGACTGGTTAGAGAATCATTCTCACTCTTCCCATTGACTGAAAAAGCTTTCTGCAGGAGGCTTAGGAGGAGAGCTCAGGAAAACTTAAGGGAGAGGAGGCCCGAGGCTTCTGGAGAGAAAAGGGATTTCCAGTAACATTGATCCTAGCCTACATTTAAAAATAAATTTTTAATTTAATGGTGATAAAATACACATAAGATAAAACTTACTGTCTTAACTATTTTTAAGCATACAATTCAGTAATGTTAAGTATATTCACATTGTTGTGAAACAGATCTGCAGAACTTTTTCATTTTGTAAAACTGAAACACTGTATTCATTAAATAACTCCACATTTTCCCCTCCCTTCAGCCTCTGATAGCTGCCACTCTACTTTCTGTTTCCATGAGTTTTCCTACT
Source organism: Homo sapiens (assembly GCF_000001405.40). NCBI lineage: Eukaryota > Metazoa > Chordata > Mammalia > Primates > Hominidae > Homo > Homo sapiens. The sequence goes on from NC_000023.11 coordinate 111,285,579, forward strand.
TTAAATACCTTATATATGTAGAATATATAGTATTTGTCTTTTTGTGACTGGCTTATTTCACTCAGCATAATGACCTCAAGTTTCATCCATGTTGTAGCATGTGTCAGAAATTCCTTCCTTTAAAAGGCTGAATAATATTCCATTGTATGTATATATTACATTTTGTTTACCCATTCATCTGTCAATAAACACTTGGGTTGATTCCATCTTTTGGATACTGTGAATAATGCTGCGATGAGCATGGTTGTACAAATATCTCTTTGAGATCTTGCCTTCAGTTCTTTTGGATATATACCCAGAAGTGGGATTGCTGAATTGAATGCCAATTCTATTTTTAATTTCTTGAGGAACCACCTTACTATTTTCTATAGCAGCTGCACCATTTTACATTCCCACCAACAGTGCCCAAAGGCTCCAATTTCTCTATATGCTTATCAACATTTCTTATTTTCTTTTTTTAATTTTTAATTTTAATTTTTGTAGGTACATAGTAGGTATATATATTTATGGAGCACATGAGATGTTTTGATACATGCATGCAATGCATAATAATCACATCAGGGTAAATAGGGTATCCATCTCCTCAAGCATTTATCCTTTGTGTTACAAACAATTCAATTATACTCAGTTAGTTTTAAATGTACAATTATTATTGACTATAGTCACTCTATTGTGCTATCAAACACTTTTTTTGATAATAGATTTCCTGATCGATATAAGCTAATATCTCATTTTGTTTTTGATTTGCATTTTCCTAATGACTATGGATATTGAACATCTTTTCATGTACTTGCTGGCCATTTGTATATCTACTTTGGAGAAATGTCTGTTCAAGTTGTTTGCCCATTTTTGATAAGATTATTTGTTTTGTTATTGGATTTCAGAATTCTTTATATGTTCTGGATATTAATCCCTTATCTGATATATGGTTTGTAAATATTTCTCTCATTCCATAGGTTACCTGTTTAGTCTGTTGATTGTGTCTTATGGTGCTCTAGCCTACATTTAAACTATTTTTAATTGATAAAATACAAGCTGTATATATTTATGGCATACAATAAGTTTCAAAATGTGTATACATTGTGGAATTGTGAAATCAGTGAAATCAAACTAATTATCACATGCATTATCTGTCATGCTTACCTTTTTGTGTATAGTGGAAACACGAACACCAGCCCACATTTTTGAAAATTATACTTTAAGTTCTGGGGTACATATGCACAACATACAGGTTTGTTACATAAGTATACATGTGCCGTGTTGGTTTGCTGCACCCATCAACTCGTCATTTACATTAGGTATTTCTCCTAATGCTCTCCCTCCCTTGCCCCCCACCACCCCTGACAGGCCCTGGAGTGTGATATTCTGTTCCCTGTGTCCATGTGTTCTCATTGTTCAACTCCCACTTATGAGTGAGAACATGCACCAGCCCACATTTTTAAAAACAGGAAAAATGTGATAAAATGAAGAACAAACCCAGCAAGAATGATGCTCATATGCCAGGGGCCAGATGAGATGATTTCTCCAAGTCCTTTGGAATCGATGTTCTTGAGTTCCAGACCTCCTGGTGATGCTCCTCCAGAGCCCCTCCAAAGCTTTTGGGGCACCACTTTGTCTTTACACTATTAGCTCTAAGCTGCTTCTACAGAGAATGGGCCCCTTTCTAAGTAACCTCTTTAACACCCACAACTTTCTTGTTGCTTTCTCCATACCTACACAATCTACCTTTTCAGACAACAGCATCTTCAGATAGCAGGCTCAAATCTATTTGTAACCCCTTTGCTGTTCCAGTTAGGGAAGAGGCTAAACTCTAATTTTATGAGAGCCGTAATGGCAGGACTTAGACATATGAAAATTTTTGCAGAGGCAAGTTGGTCTAATGTAAAGACTATCAGACCATCACTTTCTTGCTGTGCAACAGTTCACAGATCACTTCCTCTCCAAGCTCCCATTTCCTGTCTGAAAACATGAGGATAACCCCACCCCATTCTGCTGGGGTTTGGTGAGGTTTGTTCAGGAGAAAGTTTGTGTGCTGCCTGGCACACCACAGGAGAACTCAACTATTGGTAAGTCTTTCCACTGGGCCTGGACTTTTCAGCCAGAGCAAAGCATGCCCAACCAAAGCCCATCATGATACCAGCCCCCAGTGCATGACTTGTCTCTTGTTCTTGTGTGCCTCTGGTCCAGTCTCCACAAGGTTGCAGCAGAAGTGATCTATTTACAACTTTTATCTGCTTATCACACTCTCCTGCTTAAAACTCTTTAATGACTCTCTGAGTGCTCTTCAGGGGGAAATTCAAACTTCTTAATGTGGCTAAAAGACCCCACGTCGTCGCCTCTGTCTGCCTTTCTCATGTCACCTCTCACCACCTCTCCACCATAACACTCCATACTTCAGCCACATTGGACTTCTTTCAGTTGCTTCAACAAATGGTCCTGTTTTATTCAGGGCCTTCACATATTCATTTACTCTCATCTGGAACAGCTAACTTTTACTCATCTTTAAGTTCAGTTAATATGTCACTTCCTCTGGGAAGGCTTTCTTAACATCCCTCAGGTTGAATTAGGTGTGCCATGGGGCCATTCTATGCTTCCTCATGTCACAGCACTGGGCATACTGTGTATAATTACATCTACCTTAGCTATATTTGGAGCTCTGTGAGGTGAAGGGCCATGTCTATTTATCCCCTAGAGCCTAGCACAGCACCTGGCACATAGCATGTTGCACATGTGTCAAACAAAGGAATCCTATTTTACCTTTCCAACATTGTCTACATGCACTCACTCCCCCACACTCTACATCTTAGGCTCTTCTACCTCACTAGAAGCCTTTCTGATCTCCAGACACATTGGGCACAGATCATACCTCTTTAACTTTGTTCATATGGTCTTTCTGGCTGGAAGTCTCTTGTTCTTCCCTCTTCTCTTCCGCCCCTCCCCTCTTTGCCTAACAAACTCCAACTTATTTAAGCCTCAGCTCAAGTTTCACCTCCTCAGTGAAGCCTGTGCTTGAAGAGAAGCATTAAAATAAAGATTTATCCTAGGCAGGATAATTCTTAGCTCATTCTTCATCATTAATGCTTTATTATACCAAGTCCAATATCTAACAGCCTTCATCACCCCACCCTAGCAGTTAGACTGCCCTCCTCTGGGCTCTCTCAGCTCCTTACAACACCTCCATCATAGCACTTCCTCAATGCTTTGGGGGATAGATTTTGTTTGTTTAGTTTAGGTTTTTCTCCTGAATGAGGTAGGAGGACATTTCATGTCCTTACCCACTCCCCACCCCCTGCCGACCCCTTGTAAGAGGACCTTAGTCTCATTTCTTCAATTAAAACAAAACATAAATTCTGTCCCCTCCCCCCTACCCTTTGTCTTTTTTTTTTTTTTTTTTTTCCTGCCAGTGTGCCCACTCATTACTGAGACAAGCCAGGGCTGCTTCCCTTTCAGGAAGCATAATTTTTTCCAATTAGCCTTTGATTGGAAACAGTACCATTGCAGCTGGGCTGCTTTTAATGCCTGCTGATGGGCTGCCTGGTCATACGGAAAGAGCACTGGCCCAGGAGTGGAAGCCCATCTCTGCGCTTAACCAAGGGTCTGAATGTGAGAAACTTCCTTTCCTTCCTTGGGCCTCAGTTTACTCTTTTTCTGAACAATGAGGAACTTGAACTTAGTGTTTTGCTATTTTAAAGTGTGGTCCACAGACCAGGAGCATGAAGTACCAGTGGGCAGCTTGTTAAAAACACAGAATCTGGGCCCCACACCAAATCTCCAAAATCATAGTCTGCATTTTAGCAAGATCCCCAGGTGATTCTATCCACAAGTTTGGGAAGCTCTGTAAGCTTCGCAGATGAAAGATTCACTGAAGCTCTTGTTAAATATTCAGCTTCCCAGGCCACTGTCCTGGAGACTCAAATGAGGTGGAACTGGGATGGGGTCCCTGAAGTTGTATTTGTAACAAGTACCTGAAGTGACTCACATCCCTAGAGGACTTTGTGAAACGTTAGACAAGTGGTTGATAAAGGCCCTTCCACCTTTGACATTCTGCAATTCTATATGCACTTGTTCATTACCAAGGATCGTAAATAGTGATACCTAATTCAGAATTCTGGGACTTACCCCTCTCTCCATTAGGGTAAACATTTTTTAAAACATCCAGGGCTGTGCCAGTGGGAAAAGGAAGAGAGATTACAACAAATCAAGCCAAGTCTTCTTCATTGGAAAGAATCAGCACCTCTGGGATTCAAAGAGAAATTAAATTATCTGCTTACTCAAGCCTCTCTTTCTCTGAAGCATTCAAGCTTGATATAATCAGATGATCTCAAAGACCTTCTTGGGTATTGAAAAGGGGATATTAGAAATGGAGGGTGCAACACCTGTCCCACACTGGCAACGGAATCCAGGAGAGGGGTTCCAGACAAGTTGACAAGGAAACCTGGAGAAAGCCTCTCCCTGAAAGGAATTCTATTTTCCAAGCCCTCAGTGTGGATGCATGGCCTGTTTAAAAAGGGGTGTTTTCTGATTTGTGAGTGTATTTATATAAATTATATATATAGTTGTATGCTTAACAAATCACCTTTATTTGGAAAAGGAAAGAAAAATTACATAATTTACATAAGATCACGACTGCCCTGGAAAATTCAGGATAGAAAGTTGCCAGTTTTTCTCCATGTTTGGGCTTGTTTTTCTTATAAATATGCCCTAAGTTCCATTGCTGGTAGCTTTATGGCAACATCTGAGATTTAGACAGGTGGAGAGAATGTGGAAGGGCATTCAGAGGGTATTTTTCTAGGCAGGGAAAGAAGGGTAGGCTCTGTCAGCAAGAGTGAAGTGTGATTGAGCATTGCATAGCGAGAGCTGAAGTCGGGGAAGGAGATGCATGAGAAGCTATTGGGCTGTCCGGAGCAGAGGCCCAGGTCTGGGAACAGGGGACGCTCAGGCTGAGTTGCTCAAGTCAGGGCTTTCTGTTCTTCCCATTTCCTCCCTACATCCAATCTGTACATCAGCTTCTGACAATTCTATATGGACAACTTTTCGCTCTTATTCCTCCTCTCTACCACCACTGCTCTGGCCTTAATTCAGAATCTGCTTTTGTCTCTATCTGCACAGCTTGCAACAGCTGTGAAGACCCTTTCCAGAGTGTCTTTACTGGTGTAAGTTTCTTCTCAAGCTTGAAAAGGCTATCTTTCTCTACAGAAACTAAATATATAGACCTAACTGAAATAAACAGTCTCTTGCATCTTTTCTTCTCCTGGGAGAAGTGCAAACTAACCCAAATGACCAAAAAGATCATATATGCTGCTTAAATTCTCACTGAGTCCTCAATGAAAAGGAAGCAGAATTCACAAGAGCAGGGGGTTCTCAAACTAGAGAGGGTCTCAGATGCCTCATGGAGAGCTTGTTAACACGGGAATCGCTGAACCCCACGCGCAGAGTTTCTGATCCAGTATATGTGGGTGGGGCAGGCGTGTGTGTGGCCAAGGATGTGCATTTCTGACAAGTTCCTAGGTGGGGCTGATGTACTGCTCACACTTTGTGGACCAGGGGAGGACAACGGAAGAGAGGCTGAGGAAGGGAAGAGGCAAAGCTGAGGGAAGAGAAAAGGGAGATGGAGAGAGAACTGAATGCTTTCAGGAGGAACTTCCTTCAAATACCAAACACCTTTTTCCTCATAACTCAACCCCTAGTGGTTTCTCCATTTCCCCATTTCTTTTAGTCTAAACTAGTGCTTGCTAAACTTATTGACCTCACAGATTATGAGAATTAGAAAAAGAAAAGAAAGAAATATAGATTTTATTTGAGGCCCCTCCTAGGATTAGTCACTTTAAATTTTGCCTAGTTAGGACATTCAAAAACAAATACATACCTATCTTCTACCATGACCAAAACTTCATATAAGGAAGGACATTTTTAATAACCAAAAGTAAAATGTTATGATCTCAAAACTAAAGATAGTTATTTAAATGAAGTACATTTACTTCTATGAAAAAAGCATACTACATTGTCCTTAGTTTTCTCTTTATATCACAGCCTGGTGAAAACTTTATTACAGACCACCATTGGCTGCTGTACCAGCATTTGGGAACCACTGATCTAAATCACCGAAATTGTAATTCTCAGACTACTGCACTTGTGTTTTCCTGCCAGAACCATGTGTACTGGCTCTGTAACTTTGCCACCTCAGGTAATCATCAGTTCTCAGAGAGACCCTTGCTTTTTGGGACACCTTTCATGCTATTGCCTCTATTTAGATGGCTCACTGCCCACCTGGAAAGCTCTTAATCTGTTTTCAAATGCTGCCAGCTCCATGAAGTTTTTCTGAACCTCATCATCCTGCAGCAATCATTATTCCATCATTGGTGTTCCCATAGCACTTGCTCCTTTGCACTGGACTCATTTATTTACAGATCTGTCTTCACTATGCTGGAACTCCTGGAGGCCTAGGTCCAAAGCCTAGCAATTGGCAGGGTACCTAGAACATAGTGCTGTAGTGATGTCTTAATAAAAACCATGAAGAGGAGTTGGACTTGATTTAATGGTCAGAGAAATGAGACAATCGAAAATATTTTTATTGTAGTAAAAAACAACATTAAATTTACCATCTTCACCATTTTTAAGTGTACAGTTCAGTTGTGTCAAGTATATTGACATTGTTGTGCAACAGATCTCTTGAACTTTTCCATCCTGCAACACTAAAACTCTATACTCACTAAATACTACTTCTCCCTTTACCCTCCCCAAGCTTTTGGTAACCACCTTTCTACTTCCTGCTTTTATGATTTTCACTATATTAGATAATTAATATGAGCAGAATCTTATGGTATTTGTCCTTTTGTGACCAAAATGTTCTTTTAGAAAGATTTCACTTGCAGGGGACTGCAGGATAGACCAAGGTGGATGAAAAGGATGTCATGAGTAATCAGGGACAAGGAGAACCTGACGGTAGTGGGGGTCATGAGTAATCAGGGACAAGGAGAACCTGATGGTAGTGGGGATAAAAACTGTCAGCAAGAGGCCTAGCCAGTCTGATTGTTGTATCCAACTTTTCTTTGGATTAGAAACACCAAGAAGTCCCATTTCCATCTACTTTCTTTGTCTCCACCAGAGTGATGGTCATGGAGCCAGGTGGTAAAATACTGCTTAGATGAAGAATTCATAATCATCTTGGTCCTTGGGAGTGCCTAGGGGAAGCTGGCATCGTTGCTTCTCTGAACACGGGTCAGCTGGGAGCTGCAGAGTTGGCCTCACATAACTGTGATGTTGGTCAAACTGTTTCCTAGAATCTCAGCCTCCTGTGTTTGTTTGTTTGTTTGTTTGTTTGTTTTGAGATGGAGTCTCGCTCTGTCACCCAGGCTGGAGGGCAGTGGCACCGTCTCGGCTCACTGCAACCTCCGCCTCCCAGGTTCAAGTGATTCTCCTGCTTCAGCCTCCCAAGTAGCTGGGATTACAGGTGTGCACCACCACACCCAGCTAATTTTGGTATTTTTAGTAGAGACGGGGTTTCACCATGATGGCCAGGCTGGTCTCGAACTCCTGACCTCAGGTGATCTGCTCGCCTTGGCCTCCCAAAGTGCTGGGATTACAGGTGTGAGCCACCATGCCTGGCCTCAGCCTCCTGTTTTCTACGTCCTTTTCTCTTTCCCTCTCCATCAACCTCTTCCCAAGCCCAGTGCTTTGTGTTCTTTATCCCATTAAAACCTGATCTGAGAAAACTATGTCATCAGTCATTTACGTCTGAGGGTAAATAAGATATCTCCGTGTTTCCTCTCACAGAGAGTAGCTGCACCATCAGCCTATTGAAGAAGAATAGCCACACTGTAAAAGAAATTGCAAGCAGCAGGTAGAGGTATTTTGGGGGGCATGGAGTGTTTCTTGGGCTTCTGAAAACATGGTACTAGAAGTCACCACCTGATGACACAGGCTGACATTGGCCAAAGCATCTTATGCATAAAAGGAGGTCACTTTATTCCTGCTCAACTCTGGGGGGAGATCTGAGATCTTATTTTTTGTAAATGTGCTGTACCAATAATTATGGTGTTTCTATCATACATTTACTCTCAGCTTCTTCTTCTATAAAATTAAGAGGTTGGAAAAAATAATATCTAAGTTCCCTGCCAGCTTGGACATTTTGAGGTTATATGATTATTGGTTCAGTGTTTTTTGTTTTTGTTTTTGTTTTTAAAAGAATGTCAGCCAGAAATATTGAAATCAAATTTTATTTTTGGAAAATGACATTACACACATCTTGCAAATGTACACAGAAATGAGAATGCGATGAAGAACAGAGCTTGAGAGCCAAAATAATTGCAAGAGCAGCTCTTTGGCTGCCTGGTATTGAATGCTGCGAATCTTCAGCACTCACAGTTCACAGCACCTTACACACATGGCAAACTTCTCTAGACAACCTTGAAGTCCTCTGACCCAAGAAAGCCCTCATTGAATTGCGGAGGGGGTGGGGGAAGAGGGGTGTTACAGGCACAGGAGATGAAAAGGGTCTGCTCCAGCTGGTTTATGGGGGCCTCACCAAACCTACCAGTCCAAGTGGGGTCAGCAAACCAAAAAAGGAGAATGCCTCTTGAAATACTGCTTTTGAATCACAATTTCAGAGTAGGTTAGGTATTGCCTAGGACACTGATAGTAATGCATTTGAACTCATGCCCTTGTTTTTTTTTCTGGCTATAACTATTCTAAATAGGTGGCTAAAGTTCTTAAATATCTGTTTTATTTCTCTCATTTTTTCTTTTTTTTTCAAATAATTATTGGTCATCGGTCAAGCAGAGTCTTCTGAGGTCTCTATCTTAAAACAGCTGCAGGGATAAGGGACATCACTACCTACTGTCTTTGGATTACATGTGATTCTGAAAACTATTCAATCCTGAAATGTAATCAAATGGCCAAATACAACCCCAATTTACCACTGATTTTTACGTAAAGTTGAGTCTTTGATCACAATGCTGTTCCTTAAGAAATGATCAATAACTGCTGAGAGATGGTTGAGAAATGCCTTTTCCCCACATTTTGGTTTGTTTGTTGTTTGCTGACTTTACTTGGCAAGAGTTATTGGGCCTCAAATCAGATATTTACAACTGTAAGACAACTGGGAGCAGGGAGAGGGAGAGGGCAAGGGGGTGGGAAGAAGGACTACAAAGAAGAATATATTCTTTTCAGAGGTTAAAACGAGTTAAGAAATGTGATGTACAATACCATGCATTTACTCTCCAAAGCTAGTCACTAGCAAGCTAACACCTCTAACACTACAACCACCAATTACAGCTGTTTTGCTACAGGTACTCAATTCTAACTACAGCTATAGGGCAGAAAGGGTGGGCTGTTTCCATTTTAAACTTTCTCCCTTTGAAAATGGCCATAAAAACATTTTCTGTACAAGTTTAATGGCACAAAAAGGTGATCAAAAACATTTTAAAGAACTTACCACACGTGGGAAATGCAAAATTCAATAAAACATGCATTAGTTGTATACAAGTCATAAGGGATCATTGGCTTCAAGCTGCAATATATTACAGGACCATACATTGGAGACATTTTGGCATAACCTCTTACTTGTTCAAATCCCTTTTGGATAACTTATAAAGAAAAGTCATTGTAAATTTTGGCATTCCATATGGTATTGCCAAGCAGTGACATTTCCAAGGGCTTTGCACTCTGTTTAATAAATTAACACCTACAATCTGGCTTCTTTAGGTCCACTAATTTCTCTTATATGGACTGTCTATTCAGTATCATGAACAGTTGGTGTCAAGAGTAAATGTTTAGGTGACTCAGAAGGAAAAAATACATGTCAATTAAGCAAATGTCTCTTTTTATAGTATAGATTTGTTAAATTATCTTTTCATTTAAATCAACTCCGATTGCCTACCAGTTTAGTTAAAACAGCTCAACAGTTAGCAAGCCCCAAACAAGATTATTATAGAGAGTTTAATGTGTAATGGTAAAACTTTAAGCAATTACTCCCCCACCCCCATCCAGCCAAAACAAATGACAGGAGAAATTACCTGTGGTCCCTCATTATATTATATTGCAGCTTTAAAAATTATGGGCACATCAAACAAAATCAATTATTAGTATTTAGCTGATATAAATCCATGGGTGGATTTTTTCTCTTCAGCTGATTATGTCTCTGAGCACGCTTCACTGCTCCACAAAATGTCAGACTAAAAAGGAACCACAAAGTATTCTGTACAGTGCTTGGAAGGCAAAGACCTAAAGATACATGAGCTATAAGGAAACTGCTTGTAAAGATCTGCTGAGGGGGATTACGAATGAAAATGGAGAAGAAGAAAGGGCCAGGATCAGGTTGATTCCCACCAACATACTTCTGATTGGACTGGGGTAGGACCAGGGCTGATTGAATCTGGAAATAATTTATCATCAGTCCCAAGGCAAAATCACAGGCTAAGAAGAGGCACATGCCCAATGCCTAGACAGGGAGGAAGGAAAAAGTACAAATAAAGATAATAAGAGGGAGAGACAGAATTGCACAGGAGAAAGGATGGATGTTTGTACTGTGGAAAGAGAGACTGATAACATAGAATATAAACTGAGAACAGAGGAAACTAGACAGAGAAAGAAAAGTCAAAGAGATACACAAGAGGTAGAGCGGCAAAAAGCCATTGATTCCCTCAGGTTATTGACCTAGTAATGAGAAACGCTAATGCCTTCAAGTCTTTGCCTTACTTACAAGGTGACTTCTGTTGTGCCATCTGACCTCTCCCAACTAACCTGCCCTTCTGATCAGGAGCAGAAAGATGCCTTAATTACCAATTGGAATTCTATACTCCCCTAGTCTCAGGCATCCAAGGTAAGAAAAAATCACCTCTGATTCCAGAAGATGTTGAAGCCAATAAACCAAGGGATAAAAAATTAGTCTTGTCAGCTGGGCATGGTGGCTCATGCCTGTAATCCCAGCACTTTGGGAGGCCGAGGTGGGCAGATAATTTGAGGCCAAGAGTTCAAGACCAGTCTGGCCAACATGGTGAAACCCCATCTCTACTAAAAATAATAATAATAAAAAAATAGCCAGATTTGGTGGCGCACGCCTGTAATCCCAGCTACTCGGGAGACTGAGGCAGGAGAATCGCTTCGACCTGGGAGGTGAAGGGTGAAGGTTGCAGCGAGCCAAGATTGTGCCACTGCACTCCAGCCTAGGTGACAGAGGGAGACTCAGTCAAAAAAAAAAAAAAAAAAAAGTTAGTCTTGTCAAATGATAGCCAATGTCACGCTAGCTAAGCCAAAGCGGGAGGTCTGCATAGATCCTTAACAAGGAAACAAGGCAGGACGCAACACTAAGAGTCTGGGTGTATAAAGACCATACTAGACTTTTGGAGACAAAAACAATTTCTGGGGACCAGGCTTTAGGAGAAAGGGAGGGAAGGCACCTTTTCCTGAAGGGATAGATGGGGCAACATTCTCATGCCTCACCCCAGATGAGCTCCAAAACACTTATGGTTCACTTGGGAGACCAGTCTGGGACTTAAAGCCAAAGCCCTTCAGTGAAGGCAATATATGAGTAAGGCCTGGAAATGGATCCAAGTGGCCCTATGTGGCCAAAGACAGGTTCCAATCATCTTTTTAAAAAATCAATGCCTTTTATTTCCATAGCAAACTGGACAACCATAAAAGAAGTCGTTCAAACCACTGTCCCAGTGTTTCTATCTGGGGAAGTCTCTTGGCACAGACGTTTCTGAGGTGGGGTGATCTTTGGGATCATTCCCATCAGTGTCCTGGAGCTCATTTTGGGGATATAGGCATCCTGTTCTCTTGTCCTAGGGATATGGATTTTTAAAAAATAAAAGCCATTTAGAATCAAATGTGCAGGGTGATTGGGAGCATTGTACCCAGAGTATTGAAGGGATTAGGAACACAGACAAAATTTTGTTCAAGGTAAGCACCAATCACTGGTCTAAGACTTGGACTAGAGGATTCAAAGAAGAATCTCAGGGTTCCTTGCCTTCTTCAAATAGCTACACATCCACTTTCAGGTTCCTTGGTTACTTGTGACTGTGGAGGAGAAGGAGGAAGGAGAGAGAAGTACCTGAGGAGTGGGGTAAGCCCAGAAGGAGGTCTCTTAGAACTGAACTAATAAATACCCCCTTAGTTCCCAGGAAGAGCCTTGCAGCAAGGAAAACCATGTGTTTGGACCCTTTTGCCCTGGTTTCTGCTGTGGAAGGCCACAGGAGCAGTGTACACAAGACGATGGGAAGAGTGTATAGAGCACACAGCTTGCTATTTTGGTGCAAACACAGGAGCCAATGTTTAACATCAGCCAGGGTACATTTTTGTCACAAAGCCCCTTGCTTATACCTGGAAATTGTCCTCATCAGAGCAGGATGGCTTTGGGGACATTGTGGATGAGGGCAACCACAGTGAGACCAGGTTATTTTCTCTAGCTCATCTTACTCCCATATTCTAAAAGAAATCATTGCCAGTGAATGGTAGCCACACTAGTTTTTTTAAAATGTTGAAAAGCCATCTCAGAAAGTTAGGATGAACAAAGCTATTGTTCCACTCTTTCTTTTTCTACTCTGGAAACAAGAAACATTTCCCTCAGCCTGGAAAGACCAACCATTATGAGATGACACAAGGTGAACTGATGGAGAAAATCAATCTTCCTCCATTCCATTTGGGCAAGGCAAGCATTCAGTGGGGGGCTATTCAGAGGGCTCCTCACGATGGAGCAGTGATCTCCTGAATCAGATGGACAAGGCCAGGGACCCCATTGCTCCTATTGGCCCTCAATGCCTCACTCTCTTCAAGGACATCTGCAACCCATGTGGATGGGAACCAGGTGAATGCAGGGAAAAGGGGCTGTATTAGGTTGCTGGGTGGATTTCCCACTGAGATCAGGGCAGCAGCATGTGGCTCCAAGATGCAACATGACCCTGAGAAATAACTCTCAGGAGCCTAATGGAAGGCAATACTACTTAGTGGGAAAAGGCCCTGGAATAAGAGCCAGGAGATGTGGGTTGTAAACCCAATCCTGCCCCAGCCAGCTGTGTGACCTTGGGGAAATTACTTTACCTCTGTGTCTCGGTTTCCTGGCCTGAAGAATGAGAAATTTGGAGTAGAGGAGTAGATGATGTGATCTTAAGGTTCCTTCCAGCTAGAAAACGCTATAATTCAATCTAGGCTAATACTAAAGTCCATAAGGACACAAAGCAGTCATGCTAATGGCTATCCTTTCCAAAACAGTGAAGAGAAAAGGAGCTTTTCTCTCAATTTACCCCTAGTTAATACTACTTATGAAGTTAGTTGTTCAGCCCAGCCCCAATATATACATTTTCCCCTTCTTTGTCCCTATTTCTATTTCTGTAGGGAAGAAAAATCAGGAGGTAGGAACAAGCAAGAGATGGATTGTGTGTGTGTGTGTGTGTGTGTGTGTAAGAAGGAGGGAGAAGTATAGGGAGTGGTGGCAAATGCTTGCTGACTTGATGTTTGTTGACCGTGCAGAAATTAACACAATGGAACTTGAGTGCTAAAATTGGATTGGGTAAAATTGGAAGTGAATGACAGGGGTGGAGGAGCTCAGTTACAGACACACAAAAAAAATTGCCTTGAAAGTGGGCCAATTTAAAATGCAATTAATTATTGGAGACTTAAATTTTGGACTATGCCAAGCCTCATCCCCTGCTCCCTCCAAAATGGCCATAAAGAAACATTTCCTTATACTCGATTAAAAGTAAGATGGAAGATGTACTATTGTTATTGAAGATTGTTGGTTCAAAGGTTATCCTAAAGAAAATATATCCATTTGGTATTTTCTAGTAGTACATATACCGCAATCAAGGAAATACTCAGAGAGCTAGTGTGAGGCCCAAGCATAAGGAAATCTGGATTCTTCCTCTGGTCCTGCTCTTTACCAGCCTCCACTTCCTCAACTTAAAATAAAGGTGATGGACTAAATGAGACCTAAAGTGAGACTATGGGTGGAGTCATTGGGGGTTCTGGCCTGAAGTTTAAAATCAGGCCTCCCACCATTCTTTATGCCCACACCCCCTAATCCAAGTATCACTTTTTCCCAATTAACTACAAAATGTTCTGGGAGGCACTAAGAAAACCCTGAGCTTCTAGAAAGAAATAGGGGCTTAGTAAAATGGGCTTATTAATGGTTTTGAATGGGTCTACAAAAAAAGGAGAGGGGGCAAAAAGAGATCCTCATCATTTGGGGTTCTTCAATTTCACCAGAAACCAGTACTACCATCATCTCACTTTTCCTGAACCGAAAATGTTTCTGGTAGCTACAGACATCTGAAGCTTGTCTAGGGGCATCTGAGCTACCCCACCACCACTGGGTTCCCCCCTACACAGTGCACATCAGCAGTGCCACCCAGTTGCCACCAATCCATTACAGGGGTGTCCTGTAGTATTTCCTAATTTTGAAGCAGCTGCAGATGCACACACACACACACACATGCACCACCCCCTCCCACCACCACCACACACACACACAGCAAGCTCATTCCATTTAGAGTGGAGGAACAACTGCAAGCCATTCAGTAGCCAAACAGCAGCTTGGCTTCGAATGCTGTGCCTTTCAAAATATCTGCACAATTACAAAGAAATAAGGAAATCTTCATATCTGCTAAAAGCAAACACAGAATTGGCATGCATGACCTTCACTTAAATTTAGTTGTCTTTGCCATTATGGGCTATGATTACAGAAAAAAAAAAGCAGTGTTATAAACCTGTATCTCAAAAGACTGAAAACTATTTCAAATGATCAGTCCTTAGTAAAGAGAAATCCTTTCTAATGTTAAAGACAAGTGAAAGATTTCTGTGTCTTCAGTATGAAATATTAGGATTATAGATAAAAAGAGTTGCTTAAAATATGCTGTAACATTTCATTTAAAATATAATTAGAATGTCTGGTCCACATTGAAATTATTAATGCAAGCATAACTGTTAAAAAGCTATCAAAAAACTGATTCTATTGAATTGGCCTCTGCTATTCATCTTGTTTTCTCCTGGAGGTTACTGTTTGGCAGTGACAGCATAATTTCTAAACTACATTATTCTTCTGCTTTTTTTTTTTTTTTTGGTAAATTTTCTTCATGTGTTTTTTAGACAAAAGAAAAATCACCAGTTTATAAAAAAGGAGCCTGAAGAGTTTGCTCCTGAAATACAGACATGAATTTTTATAAAAAGGATATTGATTTCTTGCTATAAAAAGAGACTGAAAGGTGTCAGACCTGAAAACAAATTCTCACAGTGTTTTCAGTGTTGGCTGTTAACAAGGCATTCAATAGAACAGAGATAGATGGATACCATACAGTTCATGTAATCATGTGGTATGTTAGACAGCCTTCTAGAGGAATCAGGTATATGAAGTCCCTTACTCCAAACTATTATCAATTGCTTATTGATTCCAAATTGCCTCAGTGGAGAGATTGACCAGGAATTCACTGTGCTTTATAAACTCTTCGGAAATGTCTGCAGTATTTTCCAATTCTGTCTATTCTCTTAGCTAACCCAGCACCAGGATCCTAAGCATCTGGTGTCACAATTATAAGTTGTTGGTTTATTTCTCCCCATTGACAGCCAGAATTGGTGCTGGACAACAAACCCGGGCCTCAATCAGGAGTGAAGAGTGAGGCTGGGGAGCTGCCTTGCTGTCCTTCCAGGGTCCTCCACCATTCTTGAGATCCAGAGAAAAGGGGCACTTGTGTTTGTCATTCTTGGATCTGCCAATGAGTTTTTTTTTTCCCACACAAACATTTTAAGTGCTGTATATGTAAACAGCCCTCTACAGAAGGAAGACTGTATGGGCAAAATTAGACAGGGCAAATATAACGCAGGCACCTAAGCTTTCCATTGAAAGGTCATGGACTAGCACATTTTGCATCCCTGGAATGCTGCCCCAAAGGATGGTTATCAATCTATCTCTCATAATTGGTAACTGTGGATCAGTGGCCCAGAGGAGAAATCACAGGAAAATAAACCCAACATATTACAATGTGTTTTTCAAAATAACAACAACAACAAAATAAAAACTTGAAAGCACCAATAGCCCTGTTGGACACTTGAGCAGAAGTACCCTACTACAATGATAGGCTTGGATTTGTACTCTGGACTCTGAGCACTCTCCCCTCCTTTACATGGAATCACCAAGCGAGTCCGAGTCATCCAAGGACAGAGGCAGGTACAGGTCCTATAAGAAGAGAAGAGACAAAGTTAATTTTCCTTTTCTTGATATCTTGAGCTCTGGAATGTCTGCTTTAGTTTTTTTTATTAATACTTTAATTTTTACAACATAATAATTATAGATTCACAGGAAGTTGAAAAAATGTACAGGGAGGTACCCTTGTACCAATGTACCCTTCATTCAATTTTCCCTAATGGTACCATCTTGCAGTTTAACATGTGATCATTTGTGTGTGGGGTGTGTATGTGTGTGTGTGTATATTCCTATGCAATTTTATCATGTGTGTATATTTGTGTGACCATCGCCACAGTCAAGATACAGAACTGTACCTTCAACACAAGGCTCCCTTGTGCTACCCCATTAGAGCTCCATCCAACCCTCCCCTCTTCCCTGAGCCCTGGCAACAAATAATCTGTTTCCTGTCTCTGTAATTTTGGAATTTCAACAATGTTATATGAATGAAACCATACAGTATATAACCATTTGGGATTGGCCATTTTCATTCAGCATAATTCCCCGGAGACTCATGTAAGCCATTATATGTATCAATAGTTTGCTTCTTTATATTGCTGGTGTAGATGCACCACAGTTTGTTTAGCCATTCACCTGTTGAAGCACACGTTGAATGATTCAAGTTTTGGGCTATTGCAAATAAAGCTGCCATAAACGCTCCTGTACTGTACAAGTTTTTGTGTGATCATACATTTTCATTTCTCTGGGACAGACACCCAGGAGTAAAATTGCTGAGTCATATGGTAATTCCATTTTCAGTTTTGTAAGGAATGCCATATTGCTTTCCAGTGTGGCTATACCATTTACAGTCTCACCTCCTGCCAGCAAAGTATTAGTAGTTTGGTTTCTCCACATTCTCTCCAGTATTTGATGTTTTTATTATTTTTCATTTTAGCCATTCTTGTGGATTTGTAGTGACATCTCATTGTGGTTATAATTTGCATTACCATGATGGCTAATGATGTTTAACATCTTTTCATGTGCTTAGTTTTCATCTGTATTTCTTCCTCAATTAAATGTTTCTTCATGATTTTATTCATTTCTGAATTAGATTTTTTTCTTACTGGTAAGTTTTAACAGTTATTTTATATTCTCTAAATAAGCCTTTAATTAGATATTGGGTTGCAAATATTTTCTCCCAGTCTGTATCTTGTCTTTTTACACACCTTCACAGCTTTTGCATGGTCTTTGGCAGAGCAAACATTTTTAATTTTTGAGATCCAATTTACCCAATTTATCAGTTTTTATTTTATGGATTTTACTTTTGTTGTCAAGTCTAAGAATTCTTTGCTTATAATCCATTTTTAATTTTTGCATATGATATGAGGTCTAGGTTAAGAAACTTTTTTTTTTTTTTTGACAGAGTCCCTCTCTGTCACCCAGGCTGGAGTGCAGTGGTGTGATCTCCACTCACTGCAACCTCCGCCTCCTGGGCTCAAGTGATTCTCCTACCTCAGCCTCCCGAGTAGCTGGGATTACAGGCGCCCACCACCACGCCTGGCTAATTTTTTATACATGTTATCAGTAAGATACCAAAGAGAACTGGAAAGTATAGAATCAATTCTGTGGCCACTTAAGAGCACCCCCACCCCCACCGCCTTGCCACTGCTTTTGTATCATAAGGACAAGAACTTCAGTAGAAGATTGTTCAAGAAAATTGGAGAACATAGCTTCTCCTTGAGGTAGAGAAAAAAGTGGAAATGAGAAAGAGGGACAAGAGTGGGGAGGAGAAGGACTTATTTATTTAACATTGGGAATTTATCTAACATTGAAAATGCTTTTTGCTGAGAAAGAAGTGACAGGAAAACCTGTAGGCACCTTAGAATGGAAAGACGAGTAAAGCATATTCAGAAACCCGAGGTTTAACTCTGGCTAATTAATGCTATGACATTGAACAAATCTTTGAGTATTGGTTTCTTTATCAGTGAACAATCTGTAAGGTTTCTTCCAGCTCTGAGACTATAATTTGGGGGTCCTAAAGGGATATTGAATGATTAAGAAACAAAACAAAGGCAACTACAGCAAATAGACTCAGTTCTCGTCAACCTACCATCCCTTCACTGTAAGTCAGGGATTAGCAAAATTTTCTGTAAAAGATTAGATAGTAAATATTTTAAGTTTTCTTTGCTGGTCACATATGGTCTCTGTCACACATTCTTCATTATTTGTTTGGGGTTTGCTCTTTTACAACTCTTTAAATATTTAAAAAAACATATTTTAGATGGGGTGGGTCATCCATGCAAATATAACCAAGACACAGGCAGGATCTGGCATCCCTGTTCTAAACTACCAAACAAAAGTTTCTTAGAAAACTGATAAACAGGTAGGATGTACAATGCCAAGGAAATACTAGAAATGCAACAAATACATGTAAAATGGAATTGAAGCAAAGTGGCATACAATGGAGTTGCATCTCTGAAGGGATTAATTCTGAAGTACTGGAGTAAAGTGAACATAGTCAAAAGTATTTTTGAGCTCTGGACTTCCAGAAAGGTGGCATAAGCCCCTCTGAAAATCTGTTCCTCAACAAATGCAGTAACACTGGCAAAACTGTCAAAATTAACTTTTTCAGGACTCTAAAAATCAACCAAAAGCTTGCAACAATCCAAACAGTGTTGAAGAAAAACTGATGAATCTTGTAAAAATACTAAGATTTTTGGTGTTTCAACTTGCCTTATTTCCATTTTTCCTCTCCCCAGCTCCATGGTAGCCTTGAAAACCAACAGTCACAACTACTGTACCGGTGAAAAACAGCAATCTAGTAGTTACTGGAGGACACAATTGGGGGTTTGGAGCTCCCCAAAGAACTCATTCCCAGAGAATTGTCAATCTTTGACCTGTGGGGTAGCTCCCTGGAAACTCCCATTTGCTAGGTTCTTCTTTTTTTAACCTGACTCAGAGCACACTCGCTGTGAACAGCCTTTTCAGGGGGCATTGATCAGTTGCAATTGTTTAAAAATCACAGCCGTATGAGGAAGAGGGCAAAAGTTGGAGCAAATCAAGCTGCTGAAAACCTTGAAAGGAAAAAGTCATAGAATTATGTGCCTATAAGGATCTTTGAAAAGCTCAGACATATTCCTGGGAATCTAGAAGGTCAGGCACAAGTTCAGGACTGGGTATATTCTTAGAAAAGAAGCGAGATGGCCCTAATCTTTCCCCATTGACTGACCCTGAGGCCCTGTGCAAGCGGCAAGAGAATGCTAAGATGGAGTTGTAAACTGCCTGGCAGAGCATTGAAATCATGTCCCAACACAGGAACAGAGCCCCTCGGCAAAGGCTGGGAGTCTTACTGGATCAAGGCATTTAAGGTAAGCAAACAAAACTATCCTATTCATTCAAAATTATCATCACAAATAAAGGAGAAATTAAAACATTCCCTGATAGAAACACAGAATCCATTGCTAGCAGACCTGTCTTGCAAAAGAATACTAAAGAGAATCATCCACAGAGAAATTAAAGGACACTAGAAAGTAATTCAAATCCACATAATTAAAAAAAATAGTAAATGCGTAAGTAAACACAAAAGACTGTACAAATTTATTTTTGTAACTCTTTTCTTCTTTTTTAAAAATAAATTTTACTGTGTATATTTGAAGTTTGCAACATAATGTTATGGGATACATATAGATAGTAAAATAGTTACTATAGTGAAACAAATAATTACTTTTTTGCTGACAAGAGCAGCTAAAATCTACTTACTCCCTAATACAATTTTATTACCTATAGTCCTCATATTTTATATTAGATCTCTAGATGTTCATCCTACATATCTGTTATTTTGTATCCTGTAACCTACATCTCCTCATTTCTTCCCTTTCTATCCCCGGCTTCTGGTAACCTCTGTGTTATTCTCCATCTCTGTATATTTGACCTTTTTTTTTTTTTTTTAGATCCCTCATATATGTGAGATTATACAATATTTTTCTTTCTGTGTCTGGCTTATTTCAAAAGACAACTACATGAACTAGATGAACTAGTAATTATAAGAATGTGTTGATGGACTTACTATGTATAAAGATGTAATTTGTATGTCAGTAGGAGAAAAAAGGAGTGGGAAAGAAACAGAGCTATGCTATGGCAAAATTTTTATATATAATTTAAATCAAGTTTGTATTAATCTTAAGTAGAGTGTATTAAAATGTAAATTGTAATCCTCAGGGCAACCACTAAAAAAGCTACTCAAAATGAAATTAGTAAAAATACAACAAGTGAATTAAAATAGTGCACTAAGAAATATATTTAACACATAAAAGGCAAGCATCAAGTAATGAACGAAAAATGATATAACATATATAGAAAATCGCAAAATGGTAGATGTAATTCTCGCTTTACCAGTAATTACATTAAACATAAGTAGATAAAGCAATCCAATTAAAGGCAGAGACTGGCAAAATAGATTTTTTAAAAACATGATCCAACTCAATGCTGTCTAAAAGAGAAACAATTTAGATTCAAACCCACAAATATGTTGAAAGTAAAATGATGGAAAAAGATTTGCCATGCAATCAGTAACTAAAGAGAGCTAAAATTGCTATACTGATGTCAGAAAAAAAATAGACTTTAAGACAAAAATTATTACTAGAGACAAAGAACATTTTATAATGATAAAAAGAGTCAATATATCCAGAAAACATAAATACAAATATTTATATATCTTAACAGAGTACCAAAATACATGAAGCAAAAACTGATGGAATTGAAAGGAGAAACAAACAATTCAACTATATTAGGTGAAGACTTAAATATCCCACTTTCAATAATGGATAGAACAACTAGACAGAAGACCAACAAGTAAATAGAGGACTTGAATAATACTATAAACAAATACACATCTATGGAATATTCTATCCAACGAGAGCAGAATACATATTCTTTTCAAGCTCCCATGGAACATCCTCCAGGATAGATCATATGCTAGGCCATAAAACAATTCTCAATAAATTTAGAGGGATTTAAATGATACAAATTATATTATTTGGCCACAGTGGAATTAAATTAGAAACAATAATGGAAAGATATTCAGGAAATTCATATATATGTTGAAATTAAACAACGCACAGATGACTAACCAAAAAAGAAATCACAGGAAAAATCACAAAATACCTTGAGATAAAGGAAAATGAAATCACAACACACCAAAACTTATAGGATTCAGCTAAAGCAGTTTTCAGAGGGAAATGTATATGAAATGTTTCAAATATGCTATCCCATAGAAACAGAATTGATTAGTGGTTGGTTGCCAGGGGTTGGATGAAAAGGGAAGGGGCTGCGACTGCTAATGGGTAAGGGGTTTATTTTGAGGGTGATGAATATGTCCTAAAAGTAGATAGTGGTATACTAAATTACCTTAAAAACCACCAAACTATACCCTTTAAAAGGAGTGAATTCTATACTATGTGAATTATATCTCAATAAGCTGTTATTTTTTTAAGTACCTTTGAAAATCCTTTATATTGACAATTAAGTACTGTTTATGTGATTTCTGAATATGCAGCCGTACACAGCAATATGCTGTACATATATTAATATATATGATATATACATATATATATACACGTGTATATATATGATATATACCATATATACACGTGTATATATATGTATGTAGTGATATTCAGGATGTAATGATGTGTACAAATGTAAGAGAAGGTTTTATAGTTGTTCGCTCTATTACTATGTTATGACTATTGATGAATTCCATTAAGTTAAACTTGCATATGATGAAACAACACTGTAATATAAAAAGCACAGGACTAAGAGTCTGGAGACTTAGATTCTAGGCCTACATTTTCCATTTAACTTCCCTTTTCAGGGTCCTTGCTTCTAGATCTTAAAATTGAGGAAGATCTTTAAGGTTCCTTCTAGTTCCAAAATTCTATAAACTGCAATCATTCTATCTTTTTCTTTAGTTACCCCAAAGCAAGAGAAATGGTACAGACATTGCCAAGTTAATGAACTCCCTGGGTATTTTTCAGGCCGTACAAAAGGACCTTTTAATAATATGGAGGCCACTTTGAGTCCCAGCACACTGAACCACTGGGCTTTAGTATTATTCATGTAACAGACCCTTCAGTGGAGTTGCTTGGTTGGTGGAAAAAATTATCTGAGAAGATTGTTCCAGACCTTTATCTCAGAGGAAGCAGGGATAAGGCCTGAGGGTAGAATCCTGAAGAGATTTCACTTGTAGCTGCTGTGAGACTCTGAATTAATGGCGTGAGATGCAGAAGATGGAGAGAATTCATAGAACTAGGCCTAATTATGAACTTCTGAACACTGTATCTCCATCAATTTATTTCGTATTCAGAATGTATTTTCCTGTATGGGTAGAACAATGTTCAGGAAAAGGAATTATCTCAACATTCTGTTTTTGTTGATTGATATGTAGAAATACAGAAACACACATATTGCTTAGCAATACAAATAATTTGCACCTGAAATTCATTTGCTTATTCCCTTGGAGCCCTACAGAACAAAATGTTTGTAACAAATACAGCTGTGCTGGCGATACTATTGTATTAGAGAAAACAAAAAGTTGGTCTCTGGTCCAAGGAGCTTATAGTCCAAAGGAAGTCAGGGAGGAGTTTTGAGAAACCTGGCTTCTAGTTTGGGTTTTCTATTTCCCAAACGTGCCCTGTGCTTTTATGATGGTGTGGTTTTGTTTCTTGCTAATTTTTTTTTAAAGCTGGCATGCCTGTTCTCTTCACCAGCCACTTAAATGTCACCTCTGTGAAAAGCTTTCCCCATCTCCCACTCTCTCCCGTCTTTCCCACCCTCCTTTGTGCTCATGCAGTCCTTTCGTTAGCTCTTGATCACACTACCCAAAGCCACTTATATTAGAGTTAGTTGCCTTCTGTGATTTAAGGGTCAGGACCCTACTTTACTCATCAAAGGGCCTCTCCAAGCACGTATAAGAGGACAAAAGAAGTCTGGAAACAGAGGAAAGTGCATATTTAAATAATGTTATTTATATTTTCAAATAATATGTTGAATATACTTTCCTCTAGTCTCTAGACAACTTTGCATACAAAATGCCTCTAAATTTCAAGCCATTGGTGCAATCACTGATCTGAAAATTTAAAAATTAAATAAATGAAAGAGTTTCCTTACGTTTCTAGATTTTTTTTTTTTTTGAAAATCTTTACTATGTACTTTCTTCAAAGGGGATCCTTAATAAATTTTTGTTGAATCACACTGGGACTGTCTTTCCTCTGTACCTCTTTTTTTCTCATCTGTAAAAGGGAAATGCTATCTGCCCTGTCTCTTTCACGGGGATATCACAAGGGTAAATGATAAAATGGCTGTGCGATAGAAAAAAGCAGTATGAAAATGCAAAATGTTGTTCTCATTAACTATCCAAGGATTTACTTCGTGTCCATATTGTAACACTTAAGTATGCGGACTTTGGCTAACCCCATTGCAGCTGCATTAAAGAAGATTCTCCATGAACTGCTTAAAAGAAGAAGCCAAGAAGCTGATTACAGCTTAGGGCCCCACCACAGCCATCAAAAATTACCAAAGGGATGCTGGGACTTCAAGTTTTTTCCAGTTGTGCAGGAGGAAAGTCATGGCCTCAGCCATCTGCTTCCTGTCTGCATCATGACTCACATCTTTCAGGTCCACTTGGACAGAAGTTCAGATGAGATCTGCTCAGGCCTGCTGCCCAGAGACTTGATGGTGCTAAGGTTCAGGTAGCTGTGTGAAAGGAGGAGCATGAATCTAGGACCTGAGACCTAGGGGGACTGAGACAGGGTCACAAGCTTTTTATCTTATTCAGAAAAACCAGTTCAATCTTCATTACTGGTGGTGTAAGCATGACACTATTGCTTCTTGATAGGATGCACTGAAAGGATACAACATCACTCCTATGATATTCCTGCCCCAAATTCAGAATCTGAATCTAATCACAGAGAAACATCAGACAAGCCCAAATTGAAAGGCGTTCTACCAAATAACTGGCCTGGACCTTTTATTTCTATAATATACTGTACTGAGAGATAGAGAGTCTCAGGAACTTTTCCAGATTAAAGAAGACTAAAGAGACATGAGAACTTGCAACATGTGATTCTAGACTGGATTTTGGACCAGAAAAAGAACATTATTAAAGCAATTGATAAAGTTTGAATATGGACTGCAGAGTATATAATAGTATTGTGCCAGTGTTAAATTTCCTAATTTTGATGATCATGCTATGGTTATGGAAGAAAAAATCCTTGTTCTTAGGAACTACATACTGACATATTGAGGGATAAAGGGGCATAATGTTTGCCTGTGATATTAATCTCAAATTGTTCAGAAAAAATAGGCCCAGTGCGGTGGCTCATGCCTGTAATCCCAGCACTTCGGAAGGCCGAGGCAGGCGGATCACGAGGTCAGGAAATCGAGACCATCCTGGCTAACACGGTGAAACCTCGTCTCTACTAAAAATACAAAAAATTAGCCAGGCGTGGTGGCTGGTGCCTGTAGTCCCAGCTGCTCGGGAGGCTGAGGCAGGAGAATGGCTTGAACCCGGGAGTGCGGAGCTTGCAGTGAGCCGAGATCGTGCCACTGCACTCCAGCCTGGGAGACAGAGCGAGACTCCATCTCAAAAAATAAATAAATAAATAAATAAAATAAATAAAAGAAAAAATAATAACATGTACTATATGTATTTATTTGTGTATTATTATGTCTACATATATTATACATAGAGAGAGAGAACATAAAAAATAAGTAAATGAGGCAAAATATAAACAACTAGTGAATCCCTGTAAAGAGATACATAAGTTGTTTATTATTTTTGCAACTCTTCTGTAAGTTTGAAGTGATATAAAAATAAAGAGCTTTAAAAATAGTGAGAATTATACCAAATTTAAATGTTTACTTTATTTAAAAGCTTGCTCTAGAAAATGATATAATGTATTACTTAACATTTGCTTGCTTAACTGTCTTTAAAAAGAGTAATTTTAAAAATAAAATGAAACACTGAAAATTCCACAGTTAAGAAAACAGTGAAGCTCTGACAATGCTGCCACCTGTGAGCTTGTTCTAGTCCTTCAATGGTTAGAATTGAGTCAATAAACAAACAAGCTATAAGTGTCTGCAAGCCCAACCAGGAAAAATAGTTTAACAATGCAAACAACTCACCTTGGTGGGCTTGTGGATGATGGGTCCTCAGCATAAATGACCTGAACATGTCAGTTGAAAAACTGAATAACTTGAGTGTGCAGAACAAATGTCCAAGCTGCCTTCACACTTTAGGGAAGGTACCAATGGAAGGTGCTAGGGTAAATCATGCTTACCAAAAGGAAGGTAAGGGCAGAAAGGCATATAGGAGGTGCTGTGTGGACAGTGGAACAACAGAGGTAGACTTCCTATCTTGGCATGTCCATATTTACAAGCTTTACTGCTCAGCAAAGAATAACTAAAAGCCAACTGTAAAAATAATTTTCATCCATCTCATAATCTCTAGGTAACACTGGTTACACAGAGTTCAGCAAATACTTCTTTGGTAAAATGAAATAGCTCAACAGGACAATCAGAAAGTTCTGGAAGGTTCAATAGCAGAAGTTAAAGGGGCCATTAAAGCAATGGAACAGACATTAGAAATTATGGGGCAGGCAGTAGCCAGATTAGCCAGGAAATTAAAAGACTGATATAGAAAAAATAAAATGAAAATGGATGTCGGGCAGTGGTATGCTATTAAATGTTTAGCAACTGGCTGTGAGAAAAAAACAACCTTGACTTATAGTATTTGTTAATGTCCATGGTGTAAATATTCCCACCATGGCCAAATTCAAGTTAAAAACGTGATGTCACTCAATACAGAGTTGAGAAGCAATGTACACAATCAGCTCTCACCACCTACTGTGAGCTGGCTCTGGCACACCACTGGTGGTGACTTGGGTACCACTCTTATAGCTAGATATGTTACCCTAGTAAGTAACTTAACCTTTTGGCTCTCAATTTCCTCATCTGTAAAATGTCAAACCTCATAAGATTATTTAGAGAATCAAATAAAACTAATTTATCTCCATCTAAGGTGTCTTCCAGCTCTGACCATCTCTGATTCTGTGATGCAGTTAGTCATATTGGTGGCTTTTTGCCTTTTACCATCTCACACCAAGTCTTATGAGCAGGAGAAAGATTAGAGAAGGCTAGAGGAAGTTGCTCCACAGTATGGTAATCAGAGAAGAAGCCACATCAACACTGCCTTAGGTATAAGAGATTCAAGGCAGTAACCACTCCACATTTTCTACACAGAGATTTCTGGGTGAGAATCTGTTTGGATAGCGGGGCTAGGGAATTTATGTGCTTTTGTTATTTAATGATATACTTATTTGGAATAGTTTAAGGGGTATACATGGTGGCCAAGGCCAATGCAATGTGTATATGTGCTCTCTTCCTATTCAGCATCAGAATCTGCCTGGTAATGAAAAGTGCACAGCAAAAGTAGGAGCTATTCATTTGTTGATGTCCAGTAAATCTAAATGGAGTAAGTAACTCAGTGCAACTTTTTGGGACTGCTATCTTTGTTATTTCCACTGACTGGTGCCTGGTGACATAAAGTGCCCTGAACACCCCCTTTGCTATGTCTCTGAACTGGGGAGACAAGTGTTCAACCCATGTCCCAAAGCATGGTTTGGTTACCTCATTAGCTTTGGAGACCTTTTGGAAACCCTTTGGAAGAAGTGCTAGAATGTAGCAGGAAATAAGTCAGGAATTGGAGGAATAAATAAAAGTGACTAGAAGCTTGCTCCCTGCTTGGATTCGCAGAACTTCAAGCTAATGAAGCCAGATGAAGAAAATTTCTGGCCTTAATGTGCTGTTGAGTTAGAATGGAAGAGAAAACCTTCACCAAGCCATTCAGGAAACTGAGTGCAAAGAGGTTTAGTAAGGTATAAGAGACATAATACCTTGTGCTTCCGGAGGCTGCCAGGACTGGTGGGCGTAGAGATGGGAGACTGCTTAGACTTGGGGGTAGAGAGCTGGCTGCTGGAGGTTCCGTTTGCTAGCCCAAAGCAAGAGAAAAGGAAGGGATAAAAATCAACAGCATACAAAGGAGCAAGTTATCCTTCCCCTCAGAAGACACTAAGAACATTCAAACAAGGTACACAGACAACCAAGTGATTTGGTGAGTAGAACAAAGGTGAAAAGAAACACATTCCTCAAAAGGGCAAGAACTGCAATCCTCAGTTAATTGGATCCCTATGCAGTGCAAGGCCGTCATCCTCCCACCCTTTCCTCCTCAGTGCTTCCCAATCACAGGGGTCTGTTTCTTTTCAAACATTTTTCATATTCATTCCCAGGTTTGCCCCTAACATCTCTGGGAGGTAGTCTGGGAAGGTATTATTTTGCTTTAATTTTATAGAGGACAAAAGTGAGGCACAGAGAGGTTATGTGCCTTACCTTAAAGGGGAAGAAATATGGGCAATTTGGACCAGTGCACATTTCCTTTGGTGCCAGATGATGGGGTAGGTGAAAGACAGCCCCATTGTTAGTCTCTCCCCCTCTCTTTTCCTGCTCATGCCACACCATTGTGCCTTTCCTACCTCATTCTGCATGTGTGAAAAGAACAGGAGGAAAGAAAGAGAAAATAGGCTAGTCAGGAAGAATGAAAGAGACAGTGGAGGAGAAACAGAAGGTGAAACATTAAAAGAAGGCTCAAGCAGCAGAATGGGCAGAGGAGAAAATCAAAAAAGAGAGAATGACAAAGAGATTGGGAATGGAGGAGAAAAGAGACAAGGAAGATGATAAGATATTAAAAGAGAAGGAGGAAGTTGAAACAGGAAGAAAGGCATAGAGACACATAAAGATCCAAAATGGTAGCCAGAGTCAGGGTTCACCCACATTTGGCTCTAGCCAAGAAAATGCTGAAAATCAGAGTTTCTTTTTAAACATCTTTATATTCTATTGTGTTGCTAAATTGTTTTATATTCCCTTGCTAATGAGCTTTTTAATATCCAATCATGAAGAAAGAAAAGTGGAATATTAAAATGGAACAATTAAACAGCTTTCAAAGTGGATTCTTGTTCAGACACTTCATACTAAAGTATTTTTTTTTTAATCTTAAGACCTAAATTGTTAAACAGAGATATTCTAAAATGTGCTTTAAAAACAAAGGCAAATATCCTGAGGGTGTGTGGAGAGTGGGGGAGAGGAAGAGAGAGGGGGAGGGAGAAAGAGTGGGGGGGAGGGAGACAGAGAGAATAAATAGAAAATTGAAAACATTAAGCAGAAAGATGGCCTGATAGTGTTCCTGTCAGTCCCATAGGTAAAGCTTAAACTGCTGTATCATGAATATTTCCTGAGGATACATTCCTTCTGCACCACTTATGGAAATATTTCCCTAGGTTCTGGAACATGCACATCAACTGTAGAGATGGAAGAGACATCAGTGTAGTGGTTGGTAAGTTTATTTAAGCGCAAGTGAGCTGAAAAATGGACACTTAAGCATTCACTGTCTGGCTTATATCCTCACTCATCTCTCACCCACTCGTTGAGAAGCCCTCCTCCCTGTCATTCTTTCATTTAGCCAGTAGCTATGGAGCTCTACCTATGAGCCAAACAAAGTGTTAGACATCAAGGTTTCAGAGAGGAGTAAGCTACTTCCTGGGGGAGGCAGGCAAGAATTCAGTGAAATAAACGCTAAGACATAGCCTTGCATAGGGTATTATTGGAATTCAGAGAACAGACTTTGAAATCTGGGGCCTGGAAGACAAACAAGAGGAGGCAACACCTGAGAAATCTTGAAAGATGAATCTGAAATAGGCAAATCAATAGAGACAGAAAGTAGATTAATGGTTTCCAAGGGTTGGAGGAAGGGCAGGAGTTTGAAAGTCTGCTAATGGGTACAAGTTTTCTTTGGGGAAGGCAAAGATTCTGACATTAAATAGTGATGATGGTTGTACAACTCTGTGGTCAAACTAAAACCCACTGAGTTGCATATGTTAAATTAGTAAATTATATGTTATGTAAATTGTATCTCAATAAGCCCTTAAAAAAAGAAGAATCAGAGATAGAATCATTCCCATAACAACACATAGGCAGAGAGGATAGGAAGGGTATTCTAGGCATTAGAATTGCCAACATCCTTTCATGTTAACAACCCACAATAATCTAGGCATTGAAGGAACACACTTCAAAATGTTAAGGGTCGCAAAAATTTTTTCCCATGTTGTAGGTTGCCTGTTCACTCTGATGGTAGTTTCTTTTGCTGTGCAGAAGCTCTTTAGTTTAATTAGATCCCATTTGTCAATTTTGTCTTTTGTTGCCATTGCTTTTGGTGTTTTGGACATGAAGTCCTTGCCCACGCCTATGTCCTGAATGGTAATGCCTAGGTTTTCTTCTAGGGTTTTTATGGTTTTAGGTTTAACGTTTAAATCTTTAATCCATCTTGAATTGATTTTTGTATAAGGTGTAAGGAAGGGATCCAGTTTCAGCTTTCTACTCATCTGACAAAGGGCTAATATCCAGAATCTACAATGAACTCAAACAAATTT
Organism: Homo sapiens; assembly: GCF_000001405.40. NCBI lineage: Eukaryota > Metazoa > Chordata > Mammalia > Primates > Hominidae > Homo > Homo sapiens. The sequence goes on from NC_000023.11 coordinate 111,315,228, forward strand.
ACAAGAAAAAAACAAACAACCCCATCAAAAAGTGGGCGAAGGACATGAACAGACACTTCTCAAAAGAAGACATTTATGCAGCCAAAAAACACATGAAGAAATGCTCATCATCACTGGCCATCAGAGAAATGCAAATCAAAACCACTATGAGATATCATCTCACACCAGTTAGAATGGCAATCATTAAAAAGTCAGGAAACAACAGGTGCTGGAGAGGATGTGGAGAAATAGGAACACTTTTACACTGTTGGTGGGACTGTAAACTAGTTCAACCATTGTGGAAGTCAGTGTGGCGATTCCTCAGGGATCTAGAACTAGAAATACCATTTGACCCAGCCATCCCATTACTGGGTATATACCCAAATGAGTATAAATCATGCTGCTATAAAGACACATGCACACGTATGTTTATTGCGGCACTATTCACAATAGCAAAGACTTGGAACCAACCCAAATGTCCAACAATGATAGACTGGATTAAGAAAATGTGGCACATATACACCATGGAATACTATGCAGCCATAAAAAATGATGAGTTCATATCCTTTGTAGGGACATGGATGAAATTGGAAACCATCATTCTCAGTAAACTATCGCAAGAACAAAAAACCAAACACCGCATATTCTCACTCATAGGTGGGAATTGAACAATGAGATCACATGGACACAGGAAGGGGAATATCACACTCTGGGGACTGTGGTGGGGTCGGGGGAGGGGGGAGGGATAGCATTGGGAGATATACCTAATGCTAGATGACACGTTAGTGGGTGCAGCGCACCAGCATGGCACATGTATACATATGTAACTAACCTGCACAATGTGCACATGTACCCTAAAACTTAGAGTATAATAAAAAATAAAAAAAAAAAAAAAAAAAAAAAATGTTAAGGGTCATCTACAACAAACCTATAGTTAACATCATACTGAATGGGCAAAAGCTGGAAGCATTCCCCTTGAAAACCAGCACAAGACAAGGATGTCCTCTCTCACCACTCCCTTTTTTGTTGTTGTTTTTGTTTTTTGAGACGGAGTCTTGCTCTGCCACCAGGCTGGAGTGCAGTGGCGCAATCTCGGCTCACTGCAACCTCCACCTCTCAGGTTCAAGTGATTCTCCTGCCTCAGCCTCCCAAGTAGCTGGGACTACAGGCATGCACCACCATGCCCAGCTAATTTTTGTATTTTTAGTAGAGATGGGGTTTCACCATATTGGCCAGGATGATCTCGATCTCTTGACCTCATGATCCTCCTGCCTCAGCCTCCCAAAGTGCTGCAGTTACAGGCATGAGCCACTTCGCCTGGCCCCTCTCTCACCACTCTTATTCAACATAGTATTGGAAATTCTGGCCAGAGCAATCAGTCAAGACAAGTAAATAAAAGGCATCCAAATAGGAAGAGAGGAAGTCAAACTATCTCTGTAGGTGATATGATTCTATATCTAGAAAACCCCATAGTTATCTGCCCAAAAACTCCTTGATCTCATAAACAATGTCAGCAAAGTCTCAGGATACAAAATCAATGCACAAACATCACTAGCCTTCCGAGACACCAACAACAGCCAAGCTGAGAGCCAAATCAGGAATGCAATTCCATTCATACTTGTTAGAGAAAGAATAAAATACCTAGCAATACAGCTAACCAGGGAGGTGAGAGATCTCCACAATGAGAATTACAAAACACTTCTCAAAGAAATCAGAGAAGACATAAACAAATGGAAAAACATTCTATGCTCATGGATAGTAAGAATCAATATCATTAAAATGGCCATACTGCCCAAAACAATGTACAGATTAAATGTTATTCCTATCAAACTACCAATGACATTCTTCACAGAACTAGGGAAAACTATTTTAAAATTCATATGGAACCAAAAAAATAGCCCAAATAGCCAAAGCAAGGATAAGCAAAAAGAACAAAGCTGGAGGCATCACATTACCTGACTTTAAACTATACCATAGGGCTACAGTAACCAAAACAGCATAGTACTGGTACAAAAACAGACACATAGACCAATGCAACATAACAGAGAGCCCAGAAATAAGGCCACAAACCTACAACCATCTGATCTTTGACAAAGTTGACAAAACTAAGCAATAGGGAAAGGACTCCCTATTTAATAAATGGTGCTAGGATAACTGGCTAGCAATATGCAGAAGGTTGGATCTCGGCCCTTTCCTTACACCATATACAAAAATTAACTCAAGGCGGATCAAAGACTTAAATGAAAAACCCTGGAAGATAACCTAGGCAATACCATTCAGCACATAGGACTTGGCAAGGATTTAATAATGAAGACATCAAAAGCAATTGAAAAAAAAAAGCAAAAATTGACAAATAGGATCTAATTAAACTAAAGAGCTTCTGCACAGTGAAAGAAACTATCAACAGAGTGAGCAGACAACCTACAGAATGGTAGAAAATACTTGCAAATTATGCATCTGACAAAGGTCTAATATCCATCATCTATAAGGAACTTAAGCAAATTTACAAGAAATAAACAACCCCATTAAAAAGTGGGCAAAGGGCATGAACAGGCAGACACTTTTCAAAAGAAGACATTCATGTGGCCAACAAGCATATGAAAACATGCTTCACATCACTAATCATTAGAGAAATGCAAATCAAAACCACAATGAGATACCATCTCACACCAGTCAGAATGGCTATTAATAAAAAGTTGGCCAGGCACGGTGGCTCATGCCTGTAATCCCAGCACTTTGGGAGGCTGAGGCAGGCTGATCACAAGGTCAGGAGTTCGAGACCATCCTGGCCAACATGGTGAAACCCTGTCTCTACTAAAAATATAAAAATTAGCTGGGTGTGGTGGCGTGCACCTGTAATCCCAGCTACTCGGGAGGCTGAGGCAGGAGAATCGCTTGAACCAGGGAGGCGGAGGTTGCAGTGAGCTGAGATCATGCCACTACACTCCAGCCTGGGTGTCAGAGTGAGACTCGGTCTCAAAAAAAAAAAAAAAAAAAAGTAAAAAAATAATATGCTGGCAAGGTTGTAAAGAAAAGGGAATGCTTATGCACTGCTAGTGGGAGTGTAAATTACTTCAACCATTGTGAAAAGCAGTGTGGTGGTTCCTCAAAGAACCTAAAACTGAATTACCTCAGTGTACCCTAAAACTTAAAGTATAATAATAATAATAATAATAATAATAACAATAATAATAATAATAAAACTGAATTACCATTTGACCCAGCAATCTCATTATTGGGTATATACCCCAAGGAATATGAATCATTCTACCATAACAACACATGCATGTGTATAATCATTGTAGCACTATTCAAATAGCAAAGACATGGAATCAACCTAAATTCCCATCAATGATAGACTGGATAATGAAAATGTGGTGCATATACACCATAGAAAACTATGCAGCCATGAAAAAGAACAAGATTATGTACTTTGCGGTACCATGGATGAAGCTGGAGGCCATTATCCTTAGCAAACTAACACAGGAACAGAAAACCAAATACTTAATTTCCCACTTATAAGTGGGAGCTAAATGATGAGAACACATGGACACAAAGAGGTGAACAACAGTCAATGGGGCCTAATTGAGGGTGGAGGGTGGAAGGAGGGAGAGGATCAGAAAAGCTACCTATCAGGTACTATGCTTATTACCTGGTTAACAAAATAATCTGTACACCAAACTCCCATGACATGCAGTTTACCTATATAACAAATGTGCACATGTATCCCTGAACCTAAAATAAAAGTTAAAAAAATGCACCAGCAGGGACAAAGATATGAATGTGTGAGAGAATACATTATGTTTACAGAAGTGCAAGTAACTCATAATGGCTCAAGCACAGGGTGCCAGCAGAGAGTTTCAGGAGATGAGGCTGGAGACAGAGGATAAGGGTCAGCCCCTGGGGGCCTTTTTGTGTAGCCTGTTAAGAAGTTTGCATTTGGTTTCTGAAGGAGAGTCACAGAAGAATTTTAAGCTGAAAGTGATATGATCAAACTTGCATTTTAAAGCTCCAGCTGCTGTGGTTGGTTAAGACTGAGGGTAGAGTGGGAAGGGGTAGGGTAGAAGCAAAGAGGTTGGTTAGAAGACATTGCACTAATCCAGGTGAGGGATGATGATGGTTCACTAAGGCCACGGGGGAGGGAGAGAATGAACACCATGGTAGATAGGGACCTAGAGGCCAGATAAGCATAGAGTAGTGTGTTTATATACCATACAACCACCCAAAGAACATACATACATACAACCACCCAAAGAACATGACCTGTGCCAAATAGCACCAAGAATGTGGGCACTAGACTTTGTCAAGGCACTAGGCTTTTTGTGAATAACAAATGCACTTTGGAAAAGGCAAGAGTCTGTGGAGTCGCAATGGGGCAAAGCAGTCAATTACTCTTTGTAGGAAATGAAGGAGTTAATAGTTGAAACAGTTAATGGACCACCTACAGTGCCTGAGGGCTTCCCCAGCAGGACCTGACCTGTCGCACTCAAGGTAAGAAGCAATCTTGGAGACCTATATGAGCTGACACAATAGAACTCTTCCAAAAGAGCTGTGACCTCGGCCATAAAGTCTGAGTGGTGGGCAACCCCGGTAAGTTCTCCTCTGGCATTTTGTTTTACATGATTGCTATATACTTTACAGATTCTAGTGTCCCAGTATTTGTTAGCCAAGCTTTATAGCCTCTCTATATATTCTCTGCATATGTGTACGTTTATATATGTTCCCAATTCCCCTCCACCCATTACTCTCCCTTTTAAAATTAAGAATTAATCTTAAGCTGTCTGTAAATAAAGGACTTAATTTTGTCATCAACATTCAACAAGCATTTTGGAAATCAGCTTTTAATAATTTAACTACCATTCACTTCACTGTTGTAAAAATGCAGACACTTTGTCAGACGTTCCCAGAGTTCCCTGGTAGAATGAAATCCAAAAGTGGACATAGAGAAATTAAGTAATGTAGACTTGCACAGTTAAATGTAGATTCATTACAAGCTAAAGGAGGCCCTACATTTACAGACTAGATAAAATGTATTCAAGTGCACACTTTGTCTATGGATTCTGTGGGGAAAAAAATCTGGAAAGGTGCCATTTGACATGGATTCTAGAGCCAATTCACATAAATGTCAAGTAAAAGAAGCAGCAGGAAATAATACAAATAGGGTCTGATGAACTTTGTGTCCTTGGATTGGTAAATCCATGTAGATCCACATTTCATTTTAAGAGTGGCTGGAAATGGCACCACTGTTTGATATCCTTCATTTTCCTTTATTCTTCTTTGCTAACCATCCTTAGCTCTTGTCTCTGAGCTTTCATTTCTAAGCGGCAATTAGGAAATGCCTTGGTGGATCTTCTCCTTAACTTGTCTCTCTTTCTCATTTCCCTTCTCAGAACCACAGCATTGTCTCACTGTTCTGACCTTTTATTTATATATGGTACAAATTCTCTCATCTCTTTCAACTCTTTTATAGTCCATTTTTCCCCTTGGCAACAAGGGGCATCAAAAACTTTTCTATCTCCTAGGCCACCTTTTCAATCTTATCAACAAAAATAGGATAAAAATTACTCTTTATTGAGTGTCTATGATGGGTCAGGCACTCTTCTTTCTCTCTCTTTCTTTCTCTCTCTCTCTCTCTCACACACACACACACACACACATGCACACACATGTTCCAGCTAGGGGTAGCAAACACAAGATTTGAATGTAAGTCTCTTTGATTCCAAAGCCTATATGGTTTTTTTGTTTTTGCTAACATAGGCTCTTTAAAAAATAATAATAATAATTGCTTCTGAAATTCCTTCCTGTGACAATTTTCTGATGGAGGCTAGGGAGGAGGGTGAAAGTTGTGGCTGAGAAAAGAGAAAGTAATGAAAAGAAGATAGACACCAGAGCTGACACCCATCTTCAGGGCTTCTATACTATTTGTCTGGTTTAGATTTAGAAAGTGGTTAGCAAGAGCTTTCTTTCATTCACCGAACCAGCTGGGTATCATACACAGTGTCATAAAACAATAGCAGACAGAGCATTAGCATGACATGTAACTACCCTCATGTTACAGAGTTCTCTGGGAAGATAGTATCTATGCCCTGCCTGTCAACCCTCTCAGTTGGTGCCCTTCAGCTACGCAGCACAATTGCCAAGCTTGGTCCTGCAGTCTTGGTTCACTGGCTCCTCTGAATGATTATGCCTGTTCTTGCCTTTGTACTCATCTTTAGCTCCTTGGCTCTGTCTGCCTTTCCTGTCAGAATGGAACAGGACAAGCCCAAACAGGATGGTTGGTAAAGAAACTAGGCTGACTTATCTAGATTTACAGAGATTTAAATATATGGGGGAAAATGGGTCCCTGGGGGATGAGGAATAAGGGGTATGTGTGTGGATGGGGTAGGGAGAGGTTAGTTCCCAAAGAACAATGAGAGAGTCCAGTTTTTGGTGCGAGTGGCCAAGGACAGAGTGGGGTCACTAGCCAGGCAGAGTGGATGCTAAACTCCCAAACTGTGGATACCCTTGTCTGGGAGGCTGGACCAATTCCTGGAAACTAGGAAGCAACTGAGTACAAGTTGGGCATAAGAGGCCCCAGGTGTAGCAATTATAGAGCTGCCTAGGCAGCAGGTTACATGAGTCATTATACTTTCTGGGCTCAAGTTTGCATGACCAGAATGGTACAGAAAATAAAGGGACAGCTTGGCATCTACTTTTCTCCCAACCTTTGACCACAGACCAAACCAAGTTAATGCTCATTCACTTAGCCCTGGCTTTCCCTCCCATCCTAAGCCCAACATTTGAGCCCAACTCAAAATCAAGCCTCGTGGTTTTTATTTGATGTCATTTTGAAATATTGCTCATTGAAAACAACCCCAGTTTATCAAAAGAGCTATGATAATAATTTCAGAGCCCTTTTTATAATTTCAGCTGTTTTTCTGCAGTTATTTTTAGAGCATTTTACCATACATGAACTCACATTATTCTCCTGATAGCTCTAAGAGATGGTGGCCAGGTATTACTAGTCTCCTTTCAATTAACAAGGATATAGGGGCTCAGAGAGGGTATGGCTTGCGTAAATGGTATAAACTCTGCCCCTTCTCACTGGATAGTGGCTTCTGGACTTGCTCACAGATTCTATTTCAAAATTTCCTTAAAGTTAGCACACCACATACCTCCCACTGTGAACTTCTAGTGATTCATTTTCTGTCTTGTGTTCTGTAACTCCCTAATGCCTTGCAGAGGGAGATCTCAACACACAATTCTGCCACTTCCTCATTTTTCTCATACTGAGATGCTCTAAGATTTTATTCATTCCAGTCCAAAGATACCTTGTTTTCCCCTTACAAATAGAGGGAATTTTCCTGGAAGGCCATCCAAGTGGATCCAAGGTGGTTTCAACTTACTTCAGAACAAGGTGAAGAGACAGACCCTGTGGTTTTCACAAATACATTCCAAAGAGCCCTTGGGCAGGGTGTCTGGATTGCTTTGGCTAATTGTTTCTGCTCAATGGAAAAGCTTTTGTCCCTCTCCCTAGACCCATCCATTAGGGGAGCAAGAACTGAGAGCCTGGGAATAGTTCTTCAATGATTTGATCATAGGGTTTGCTCTCAAGCCAAATTCAATTGTAGGTTGTGAGACACTGTAACTTCAGAAGATGGAATTTGAATTTTAAATATATTTCCTACGGAATCTTGGACAGCATGAAGTTATGAATCCTTTAAATAAGGGGGAGAAGTAAGAGTCTTCCTTGTTACAAAACAAATGTATATACCCAATCCTGCAATATTTTGACACAGATGAGTTTCCCTCAAGAAGAGGACATCTGTAGAGGGGCTGATGGAAGTGCCAGAATTGTTTTCTCAGGGTTGACAATGCTGTCAACATTTATTTCCTACTGAGAAACAGAACATGTTTCTGGTGGAGCTAGCCTGTTGTCAACGCTGACTGCTGGTTTTCCTGGTGCAGGGACTAGGATAAACTGCACTGTTCTTAATTTGTGAAAAGAACACAGGCTTTGGAATCAGTCAAAGTTTTAAATCCTGGCTTAGCCATTTCCTAGATTTGTGATCCTGGGGCTAACCTAACCTCTCTGAGTCTCAGTTTCCCCATCTGTAATATTTGAATAATAATTATCTCAATTGTTGCTGTTTTGATGATTACATGGCAGACTATACATAAAATGCTTATCTAAGTGCCTGCCACATAGAAAAGAGTTCAATAAATTGTATTTTCTGTCAATATTACTACCACCACTACTAGCACTGAGTAAGTATTCAATTTATAGGCACTGAGTTAGGAAATCCTAGCCCACAAGAGATGAGATATCATTCTATGTAGGCTGAGGGCTAGTTCTTTGGCTAGTTGGTCAAGTATCAGATAATCGAAGCTTTCCTTAGGTGAAGCCTATTATTTCTGTTTTTTTTTTTTTTTTTTTTTTGCATTTTACTGCTGTGCTCCCCAAAGCAAAATGATTGGCCCTATCCTGTTCTCTCTTTTTACCCTCTCAGCATTATTATGGCAGGGGAAGCTGTGTTGGTCAATGAACAGTGTGGAGCCACTGAAAGTTTTGGAGCAGGGAAGTAGCACAATGAAAATGGTGTTTTAGGATGAGAAATGTGGTGGCACCACACCACATGGATAAGTGGACAGAGATTTGAAGCAGAAATATTGCTAAGGAGTCTGCGAAATAATCGAGACATCAGGTCATAAGAGAAAGGAAAGGACTGCTGTATAAGTCACATGGAGATGGTTCACATGTCCAACAATGATAACAACAGCACACAGTGGGTATGCAGGATTAATGAGTGGGAAGTCAAAAATAGCACCAGGGTGTTGAACCCGGGAAGCATGATAATTCTATTGTCAGACAAAGAGATGGGAGGTGGAAATGCTTTTGATTTTTAGATAGCTTGTATTTGTCACATATAAGCCATATACACAGGATTGTTTAGTAGGCATTATGGGTCTGACATCCAGAAGGAAGATCGGGGCTGGAGAGGTAGAGTTAAGAGCCTCCTTTGATAAGCCATATTCATCACCACCTCTGCCCCTTTGTTCATGCTTCCCTGACAGCCAGAAGTATCCATCTCCTTATCAATTTACATATAGCCCTTCTTCAAGTTCCAGTTCTCCCAGGAATTCCTCCCTTAGCACCTTAGTCCCTAATGAGCTCTCTCCCATGAACTCCAATAGTTCCCATAATACTTACTACCAGTATCTATTATGCATTTTGCATTTAAATAAGTTATTACCATTAACATGGCATTAATGGTTCAGTGGTTAAAATTGTGGACTGTGGAGTCAGATTGCTTGGGTTTAAATTCCAGTTCTATCATCTTACTAGCTGTGTGATCTTGGGCAGGTCACTAAACTTTTGTATGCCTCAGTTTCTTCATCTGCAAAATGGGGATAATAGTAATTGCCTCACAAGGTTGTTGTAAAGATTAAATTCGTTAATACAAGTAAAGCGATTAGAACAGTTGCCTGACACATAATAGGAGCTATATAAGTATTTGTAAATATATTTTTAAAATTTACATGTATACTGGTTACCCAAATAAATCATAAATTTCTTAGTGGCAGGGAATTCATCTTAACATCCCTTTTCTTCATAGCACCTAGCACTACTAAGTACTTTAGAGGGGTACTTTGCACATTCAGTTGTATGTAAACACAAGTCCCAAGCCAAGACTGGCTGATAAGACTCATGTAGGGAAATATCACCATATACCATGCACTATGGGGTGCTCACTGGCACCCACTATACTGCTTGCTCCAATCATTTTCTAAGCAGGTTTTAGAAGAATCAGATTGGAGGAGGAACTGGGGAAGTTTTTCTCTTCCCACAGCTCTGTCAAGGACACCACTTCCCTTTGGAGTTGCTGGTAGGGGAGCTAGGGGAGCTGAAGGAATGTCTAAGCTGTCTTGTTTCAGTGCTCTGTAGCACTGAAAGGCACCTAATTACTTGTGGGACTTTGCTCAAAGCAGCACAAAGGAAATGACACAGACACCAACCCACCCCTTGCCTTTCCACCTCCCTAGCCTGGAGATGGGAGAAGGGGAAAAGAAGCCAAGAAGCAAGGACCATCCAACGTAGACCTTTGCATTCACCAGACAGCACATCCCACATACTAACTACTGTGTGTCAGTGGGACACTGCGAATAATGCTTGTTGGGAAGTCAGGAGAGCGATGTTCTGGCTCTTGGGTGCTAAGTAATGTGTGACATGGAAGATCCCAAGATCCTAAACTTTGTATCTTAGTTCCCCAATGAAAAAAAAAGATAATTATCAATTTCCAACTTAATTCATAGTGCAATTATGAGGAACAACTGAGGTAATAGATTTGGAAATATTTTGCAAAGTGCATAGCATCTAATTCACGTAAAAAGATTGTTATCATGAATCTCTCTTAGCTAGAGAAGAAAGGTATTCTTGTGCTGTTTAAAACAGTAGCCAATAGTCACATGGCTGTTGAACATTTGAAGTGCGGCTAGTCAGAACTGAGATACGTTGTAAGTGTAAAATACAACTCAATTTCAAAGAATGTGTAATTTATTACATTAATTATATGTTAAAATGATAATATCTTGAATGTATCATTATATGAAATATGTCAAAATTAATTTTGCCCATTTTTTAACTTTTTAAGATGTGGCTACTAGAAAATGTAAAATCACATACATGATTTACATTTATGGCTCACATTCTATTTCTATTGAGCAGAGCTGGTCTAGACAGTCACTTTCAGGAAGGTCAGAATGACCAAGTCCCTCTATCTTAGGCAACCCAAAGCAGCCTACTAGTTTCAGAAAAGAAGGACCCTGGGATACAGGTCTTTCATGAACCCTGCTGTTTTGTGTCCCTTGACCTCCCCTTCTAAAGGCTGTATATTTTGTTAGAGAAGGCTTTCTTTCTTATGAATTTGGGAACGGAAAAGATCGGACTTTCAGAAATAGGTGCACATGAGTTGGGGGAAGGGGAATGGAGAACATTGGATTGCTACAACAATGACTTACTGTTGAAGAATAGCAAACTAATTATCACATTACAATTCTCTCAGCCTACCAGGGTGGGTAATTAGCTTCCTTCGGGGGCTCCTTAAAAAAAAAGAAAGAAAGAGAAAGATTCCTTCCCAGCAACTAGCTATTTTGTCCTTTTAATTCAATTCAATTCAACTGGGGACAAAGTTACATAAAGGGAAAATTAACACATTAATGGCTGAAATGGAAACAGAGAGAGACATGTCTTTCTTTAGTTCTGAAGCCAGGCTTACCTTCGCTCATCAAAATGGCAAGTCCGGGGTTAATCAAAGTGTGGCACTGCATAAGCTTTTTTCAAATATCCCATAGGAGCCTCCTGGGCTCAGATTTTATCTTTTTTACCACAGTTCCATGGCCTGATTTAAAGACAGACATAGCTAATATGACTTGGATTCTAAGAGTCCATCAGTTCTGCCCGGTGAAAATGAGCTCCTTACAGAAATATTATATAGACAACAAAATCCTTACTTAACTTGAGTTTAGGGCTTAGCAACAGACATTCCATTTGGGGCAAACTCAATATTGGCAGAAGTGAGGATTGAACTTGAAGGAAATAAAGTAGAAGGATTTGATTTATTCATGGGGCAGAACAGGAAAGGGACAACTTAAGGTCTAAAGACTAAGGAATAAAGAATCAAATTATAGCACAAATTACAGACCAAATAGCATCAATTTACTAAACCTCAAGTCAGAATGAACCTAGCTATTAACTGAACCATGAATTTGACCATATAGATATAGATATAGATATCTAGCAAACTTGTTCAAACCAGAATCAAACCTGTATATTTTCCAATGAAGTAGAACATCAAAACATTCCTTAAACTGAACCTGAACCCAGCCAATGTTTCATTTGGTTAGAATTCCTGCTAAAGAGGAGCACTTTTGGTCTTTCTTTTGTCTTCAAAGGAAGACAATCTTCCATTGGTCTATCTTCCATAGACTTGGATTCTAAGAGTCTTTTGTTACTCAGGTTGAAAGAAGTTTTATAAATCTGTTCACAAGTTCCACATCCAAGACTGACTAACACAGGATGGAAACAGGGTGGTACTACCATGTCCTAGAAATGAACAAAGCCTGTTTGCCCCACCTAACCTATTATCATTTGGTTAAGTGTATTTTAACCTCTACATGTCCCTGGCTAACAGCTAAAAAAAATTGACATTTTATGAAACAATTGTTACTTTTTAAATCTCAAATGTCTGTAAGGAGAAATTTATGCCATATGAAAAGTATGCACTGTCTATAGCTTATCATTCTGGTTATCCGCTTTTGTTTCTGTGGGAGCTATTTTACAACTCTGTAAATTGTAAATAACTGATAACAATGGAAAATTATCCTTATCTATAGAGATTCAAATTCTGAATTATCTAACGATGATATCGAATCTCAGAAAAGGCAAAAATCTTGCACAAATCACAAAGCTAGGAAGTGGCGTAGCTGGGACTTCTTAGAGAGTCATCTCCCTCTCCTCTTTCATATCTTACCAATCTCCTCGTCCCAGCTTGGAATGGTCCTGAGTGAGGTGGAAGTGGAGAGGGAAAATGGGTATAGCAAATCCAAACTTTAGCTAAGGTACTGTTTTGCCTGAGATCAGCTTTGCCCTTATGGAATGTTCACTGAATGGATGCCTTGGACTAGGCTTTAAACAAACTCCGATGAAATGGGCTTGGTTATGTTACAGCCCTTCAGGGTTGGAATCATGAGGAGGCTATAGACACATTATCTGAGATGAGCCCAAACATTCTGGCAATTGCCATAAAGATTGTCTAGACTAGGGTTTGACTTCATTTATGTTCATGAACATCAGAATATAAATGAATATTCCAATTCTTTAAACTGAGAACACCATGTTAGATTGGTGGTAGGAAACAGAGGTTATTTGTAATTCTGCTATCTGCCAAGCAAATTCCCCTCATACACCCAAATTGGTTACTCTGTTTATCGTGTGGGTTGGAATAAATCCTCATTTCTTTTTTTCTTTTTTTTTAGTGAAGGAGTTATGAAAAAGCAAGAGCAGATCTTGCCTGCCAAAGCCTGGGTTGGGATCTCTTATATTGTAACTCCCTTCAATTTGACAAATATTCATTGAGTTCTAATATATTCACGTTATATCTCTGATATTTTAGAGTCACTGAGGTGCATATTTTGTAGAAGGGAAATTCTGTAGGTGGCATTCTGGAGATCAATGATTTGACATAGATTTAAACTGTGTAGTTATAGGTAGTTGTGTTCATGTGTGCTGGGTAACCAATTGGATGCAGTCTGCAAAGAGGATCTATTTACTTCAAGCTGATACCACCTGAGAATTTCTAACTGATGGGTTATATGGTGGTTTAAAAACAGATCTACAAATTCTTCAACACTCTTTCCTTTAATAAATAGAGTCTGGTTCCTCTCTCTTTGAATGTAGGTTGGACTTAGTGACTGCTTCCAATGAATATAATAAAGGAGAAGTGACAGTGTTGGCTATGGAGACTAGATCACAAAAGGCAATACATCTTGTTCTTTATTCATTCTCTTGGATCACAAACTAAGGTAGGAGATCTTGCCAACAGCCATATTGTAAGTGGATCCTACAGCCCCAGTTGAGCCTTCAGATGACTGCAGCCCCTACTAATATTTTAATGATACCCACATGAGAGACTCTGAGCCAGAACCACCTAGATAAAACACTCTAGAATTTCTTGCCCACCAAAACTGTGAGATAAAAAAAAAATGCCTTTTCTTTAAGCCACTAAGTTTTGGGGTAATGAATTTGTTTCACAGCAGGATACAAGTAATACAGGTTAGAAATCCCAGAAATAGCTACTGCTGTTTCTGAGAAATGATTAGCTAAGCAATTATTGCCAGACTTTATTAATCTTGACCAAGTGTTTTAAAGTGTATTTTTTGCAATTCTCTGCTTAAAAACTGTCAAATTTTATTCTCAGCCCAGGTGTTAAAACCTAGGTCTTTGTAGTTTCAGCAATATAAATTTGCTTAGATATAGATTTATGTGCTCTTCTGTACATTTGAACAAGATAGCATCAAGGCACATGTATTTTTTATTTCTTCAGCAAACATTATCTAAATGCTTGATTGGTCTCTAGCACCATGTTGGGTAAAATAGGTACTGTTGTGCATCTATTTATTCACAAATATTACTGGAGCATCTACTAGGGGCCAGGCACTATGCTCTGCACTGATGATATGAAAATGAACCTACCACATTACCTTTGAGGGGCTCAGCATTTAATTGGGGAAGTAGACAGGTAAACACATACTTGACAACACAGTGTGGTGAATATTACCCCAAAGATATGAATGGCATGCTATGGTATTGCAGAGACTGGAACAATTATCTCTATGTGAGGTCTTGAAGGATGAATAGGAGTTTTCAAGCAAAAAAGGCTGATGGGTTAGAGGATGGCATTCCAGGTATGGGGGAACAGGGAGTGCAAAGACATGGAAGTACTAAAAGCCTGGGTTGCCTTTTCATACTTTAATTTCCTCAACCCAAGAATAAAGAGATGGCTGGTAATATGCATGCTCCTGGCAGTCTGATGCAGGCAGTACAGGCTATTCATCTTGGCACCAGCATTTCATAGCCATCAGGCTACTCATGATGCCCCAAACTGAAGGGCCCTTTTGTTTTCCCAAGGCTCTCAGACTGCAAGAATTCTCATGATAAATTCTGAGCCTTGGGATGACAAATGTATAAGTATTTTGGACCATATAGTTTCCTTAGTGTGAAGAACCTCAAATTGTGCATAAATCTAAGCTTCTGAACTTGGACTTCTAAGGCCTTTTATTTTTGATATTTGTTATAAAAGAATGGAAGACATTGCCTCTTAGATCAGTGTCACTCAAACTGTGGGTCCAAGACAAGATAGGGTTCACATCAGAATGCAAATCAACATACTGCTGCCTTCATCAATAAAATCAGGCTCTGAAAAAAAGGCAGCTGAGCTAAATGGTTTGCTTAATGGCATAGTTTATTTACATTTGGCACAAGCTCCTAATCTTGCCACAGACTGACTGGTAATAAATAGTTCATGGGTTGGCAGTGATCAATAGACGACATGTTTTAGATAACTCACTATCCACTAAATAGAATCTTCTATGGCAAATCTCTTTGTTTTCTTTTAGAACCTGGTCTGTGCTTTACTTTCCGGTTGTGAGGTTTATACAATTTATCTTGTCCCCCTATTTATATGGCATATATATGTAGTGTACTTGTTTCCCTTTTTGTTTTGGCTTCTAATTACTTCAGAGTCAAATTTGAAGCTCAAGTGAGTCAACTATGTTGACACTTTGGGGTGTTGTTTTTTATATTCTTTTTCTTGATTCTGATTTTTAATTTCAGGTTTATGGTTAATTTGATTATTCCATTGAATATGTTTTTGCCACATGATGTTGAAGATGATGAAAATGATGACAACCATGAAAATAAACATTACAGCAAGCATAGACAATGGGCCAGGCTTCTGGTTTGCATCCATTTGAATGGAATAATGGTTGTAGCTGTGCCTCCATGACTCCAAACAAGTTTGACTGTTTTAGTCCCTGAATTGATAGAATAGGGTTTCATGGAGACACAGTGGTGTTCATGAGGAACTGATTCCTCTGCATGCAGAAAGTATTGTCCTCCATAAATGAAGTCAGCGTGCACAGTTAGGAAAAGAGCACTCACCGTCTTGGTCGTTACCTGAGTCAGCTGGAGACTTGCTTCGGCGCATAGGACCAGGGCTCTTGGCTGAAGTCTTCTGAGGTGTTGGGGATGCCTTTGGGCCAGCTGTGGCTGATGGGTTTCCCTTCATGACTCGGCATTCTGGGGCAAAAGGACACAGACAGCTTAGTAGAGGATAAAACAGGCTCAGCATGTTATCAGCCTCTGGAAACCGCAATAACCATCACAGGCCAAAGGACCTAAATGGGTCAGGACTACAATGTGGTCCTTATTATTAGTAGGAGCCATGGTTCTGGGGAGGGAGGCATTAGGGAAACCTTCAAAAGCCACCTGGGCTAAGCTAGGTGTTTAAGCCCCTGAATTACGAAAACAAGGGCAAGAGTCCATAAACAGGTCAAGTAGGCAATTAAATAGTCAATTCAATCATTTATGGACAAGCTAGCTATGTCTCAGAATAGCACCTATTGATATAATGTTTAATTAATTTCCCTGAATTAGAGATTAACAACTCAGAGGTTACAGCTACACAGATGAAACATCCATTGAGTAATTTGAAGGAGAGGTAGAGAGCTACCACTTACTATTACATGCCACACGTTGATAGACACATGATGGATATCATGTCACTTTATATAAATAAGCACTATGACCACCACCATCTTGCATTTATCAAGTTCTTTTCGATTTCCCATGTATGTTATTGCCATCCCTTATGGGGGGTTAATGAATAAATGGGCCAGCAGTGACTCTGCCACTAAAAACTTAAGAAAGCTTGCTGGTGTGTGGGAGAGTCTGCCAAATGTTCTTGTATTTGCCCTAGCCTCAGTCTGACACCTTTGGAACACCCTTTCTATGCAGGTCACTCAGCATCCCCTTCTATGGTCATTTTGGGCACTAATAGTGCTAATTTATTAGAAGGATTATTATTCTCATTTTGCTGATGAGAGTACAAAAAACTTAACCCCTTTGCCTAGGGCCACAAAACAAGAAATTAGTAAAACAAGGTCTAAAAGTCAAGTCCCCTGAGTTCCAGTTTAGTGCTCTTTCTACTACAGTTTTTCCAACCTTGTGCTGTGATGCACAAAGGGGAATCAAACAGCAGAGTAGAGGATATAGTCTCTCCTTTCCTTTAAACACTTTCTTGTTGCCTCCTACTTAAAGGTGCATTGAAATATAAATTAAACAGAAAGATTAGAGGAGCTTTTCTGGTAAATTGAATATTTTAGGAAACTGAGTTAAGCAGAAAGCCCCCTTTTGTTTGTTTCACTTCTTGTTTTGGTTGGTGACCTTTAGTGATCACTGTCCAGAGCTGAAGATACAGAAGGTATAGGAAATTGGACATAACCTGAGGTTTGTTTAGCTATTCTATAGTCATTGCTTCTTCCTAAAGGGAACACAGCAGAAATGCCACCTCTTACAGGGTTCTTGTCACTTGAGTTGTTTATAAAGTCTATATTAGCAAAATTCCCTTTGATTTTTTTTCACACTTTGCTTCTCCTAAATGGGAAATATGCTCTGAATGTATCTTTCTATCAGCATCACATTCTACCCTTGTTGCTGCGTGAGCTAATTAACCTTTAATGTATACCTGGAGCTTGGACTCAAACCAAGGGAGATGGGAAGACGATTAGATCCTTCTTATTATTAACAACCCTCTGTAAACCTGAATCACAAGGCAGACGAATGGGGCAGCAAGTCTGATGGTGTGAAAAGGGTTTGACACTAAGAATACTGTGGAAAAATCTCTCTAAATTGGAACCATAATCACAAGCTAAATAGTTGGAGGACGTTGAATGGAGAAAAAAGGATATGTACAATATCCAAGTTCTGACTGAAAATATTCCTTCCTGTGGTCTGATTGTGCCTGTTATCCCATGTGACACAATATATGGTTCAAGAAATATGGTCACTATTGGGGCAGATAGTGAGTTTTATTGAGTTTGGAGCCTGGGACTCTGGGATATCCAGTCAGTCTTTCAGTCTTACATGGGTCATGACCCATGTATCCAAATATACAGGAGAAAGACCAACATTATAAGCCCTTGAAGGATCATGCATAGATGTTTTCCACACCATACAAACCCATGGAAATCCTAAAGGATAGAAGGGGAGAGAACAATGGAGCAATAAAACCCAGTGGTTATGCTTACCATTTTCATCCAGAGAAAAATCATCCTGAGCATAGCGAAATTTTTCAGGACCACAGGCAATAAACACATCATCATCACCAAAGAAATCATGGAGACAAGTTACCTATGGAGAAAGCAGAAACACTGATTGTATATGATGGTCCTGTGACAATGAACCTCACACTACACTGACAAGGAGAAAAGCTTCCCATCTAGGCCATCATCTTCAGCTCCCAGGAGTTTTCTCTTTCTTAAAACACCTACCACATTCATAGTCTGAATCATGACCCCTAGTGAGGGATGATATACTGAGTACCATTGTCTATCCATGTTTCATGTATGGTACTTTCAATTGCATCAAGAGTAAGACTGAGACCATGTCCAAATGGAATGCCGTTTTCTGAAGAAAAGTCAACCAGCAGATGGCCCTATAAATGTCACCTTTTCTCAGAGCCTCAAAGACGGGAAGCTCCTGGCCCAACTCTAGGGCAAGGGACTGGGCCAAGGAAGATGAGAAAAATCTTCTGCAGCCTGACTGTAGCTGACCCAGAAGTGGAAATGTGCTGCTTCATCTGAATGAGTTCTAAAAGAAGGACATCATTTCTTAACTGCTTTGGACACACAAAAATTGAACTTTTGCTAAAAGCTGGCCGAAAACTTGGTAGTGGCCCAGAATACCATTTCTTCCTGTGAAACCAGAAGAGGAAAACTTCATCATGAGCAATGGGTCCCAATAGGCCTGAGTTTCTACTGGTAGAGCCATGTTCCCAGGACCCTCATGCCTGCTAGCATCCTAAGCATTACTGCTTCTCAACAACAGACAGACAGTCTCCCCAACCCCCTTTCTGCACAAAGAGATGAGGGTCCCTGGGAAAGTATGCTGCTTCCTGCAGTCTCCCCACTTCTCAGCTTTCCTAATTACATCTGTTAATTAGTCCAGCACATCAGGGAAACCCCTGGAGGAACCATAAAGTCAAAACATGCTTATACCACCTCTTAGTTTGAAAGTGTTCAAAGCCTCTAATTGTTCTAAGTTTCCCATTCAAGCTGCCAGCAATGGCTTTCCAAAGGCATGGTGCTCACAAACTAACAACAGCTTGCTGGGTGCAGAGAGCAATATGTTACATTAGAAAAATATTTATATTAATAACATCACCCCCACCTAAGGTTAACTCAATCCCTGTTTTCCCAATCAAAACGATTGCAAGCCTTACACAAAAGGAGATATACTTAAAGATTATCCCCATTGTGTCAGCCTCCCAATCATCCAAGAGATGCCCAGAGAAGAGAAGGTGACTTGAAGGACTGCAGGGTCACTCTCATTAAGCCTCTTTCCAGTCCTGGGTCTTGACCTCATCAAATTGGCCAACACCTTTCTTCGGCCCACTTGTCCTTCATCCATTCATTCCATGATCACAGAATGACAATCAGAGCTACCAACTAACTGAATGCTTACTCTGTGACAGGCACTCTGGTAAGTACTTCCAAATCTGTCATCTCATTTTACCCTCACAAGAAACTCTAGAAGTCAGTATTTATTGTCATTACTATTTTAGGCTTGAGAAAACTGTGACCCAGAGACAATAAGTAAGTTTTCCAGGTGGAGAGCAATGAAGCCAAATAAACACAGATCTATCTAACTTCAAAGCCTGTCCTTTTAACCACTTGGCAATACAAAGCACTTACATATAGATCAGTCACTGGGGAGACAAAGATGAATAAGACTCAGGCCATGACTTCATGGAGCTCACAGTCTGATGAGGTGAGATACATCGAAATAGAGCATTTCAATTTAGTGTCATGAGTACTAGGATGGGATTATCTGTTGGTGCTGTGAGAGCTATTGATTACCATGTCCAAATGACCCTAGTCACTGGTTAGCACTGTTAGTTCAATAGGCATCCTGCATATTGTCCTAGTAGTGGATCCAATGACAGAGGCTACATGGTTTTGAGCCTAGCTGCAGACCTCCTACCAATATCTTGGACCTTGGCTCAATAAAACACAGAGCCCTTAACTCTGATACACCAAATATCTCTGAACTATTTACCTGCCGCCACATCCTTGACCCTGAAGATCTCTGCCATATCTTCCTATTTGAGGCTGCCTTTGACCCTGACTAGCTGACTTTATTTTTGGTCATGAGTCAGGAATACCTCACCTGTGAGTGTCCCTCTGTTAGTGGTCTCAAGGATTTGGCACTTTGTTTCAAGACCTGCCTGTATTTTCATGAGGACTCACTTAGTTCTCCCCACCGGATCACAGGTTTCTGAATCTAACAGCCAAATTCATACCTTCCTCTATATCTTCCTGTGGTTCCTTGTAGAGAGCTTATCACATAGTGAAAATTTACTTAGGGCTGTTTCTGCCTCAGCTGCATGCAAAGAAGGTAAGAAACAGGAATATTCAGGGGCTTTGTAAGGATACACAAAGACAGAAAAGTAGGAATAAGAAAGATGAAATCAATTGTGGCAGACAACGGAGATTAGCATTTAGAGACTTTAAAAGGCAACACAAATATACAAATTTAGGAACAAGAAAAGTAGAAATAATGTGAATTCAGAAACTATTCTTCACGTAACTATGCTAATTAGTTTGAAAACAAATGAAATGGATGATTTTTAAAGAAAAGTCTAGGCCAGGTGCAGTGACTTACGCCTGTAATCCCAGCACTTTGGGAGGCCAAGGCAGGTGGATCACGATGTCAGGAGATTGAGACCATCCTGGCCAACATGGTGAAACCCCATCTTTACTAAAATACAAAAAACTAGTCCGGCGTGGTGGTGCACACCTGTAATCCCAGCTACTGGGGGTGCGGGGGAGCTGAGGCAGGAGAATTGCTCGAACCTGGGAGGCGGAGATTGCAGTGAGCCGAGATCACACCACTGCACTCCAGCCCGGCAACAGAGAGAGACTCCGAAAAAAAAGAAAGAAAGAAAGAAAGAAAAGTCTCAATAATTAAATTAGTTCAAAAAGAAATAGAAAATTGAAACTAGCTAATAGCTGTAAAAAAAAATTAGTAAATGCTTCAAACAGCAACCTTCCCTGCAAAGTCACCAGAGCATTCATTTTGGAGGTATTTGTGGAAATTGCTTCCTAAGAAGAAAACCTAAAAGCTCCAAAGCAGCCATCTCAGACACATGCCATGATATCCTATTGTAGGACAATAATGTCTTACATATTGCTCTAGGGGTTGCTGTTACAATGATCCACCCTCCTCCAACCACAAGCCTCTCTACCCACACCCAGGCTTTGGGAAAAGCCTTTGGATAACCCCTCTTTGGGGGAGCCTCTAAGAAAGGCAAAGTCCCCTGTGCTTCTGACAGACTCACAATGGTGTGGCTGGCTTCAAACACAATCATGCTACAATCCAGCTGTTCAGCATCAGATGTCTTTGTGTGATCCCATTCCACATTTTACTGGCTCCCAAATGCAGACAAATGCACTTTGTGCATGTGGATACCCAGCTTTTCTAAATGTCTTGGCTATTGAGACACGGCAGCCCCCCATCTTTGTTACAGGGTTGGGAAAATAGAATGCTCTCCATCTTAAATAAGAAGAACTCAAAGCGCAGAGAGTCAAAGTGTCCCGAAGATACACAGCTGGCTCATGGCAGAGTTGGGACTAGCATTCAGGTGTTCTGCTTCAATTCAGGACAAAATAACTCAATTGCCTGAAAGAACATATTATCCTAAAGCACTGACTTCAAAGGCATATCTATAGCCTAGACAGGAAAATCTATATTTGTCCTAATCAATGCCTGCTATGCATTAGAACATCTTACTGGATTGAAAAAATAAGCTTCTTTAAGGATATGTTTAATCTATGGACAACAAAACTCCTATTCATTACTGTAACAATAACCAAGTATATGGTGGAGAAGGAGGACAAGGAGAGGGAGAAGGAGGGAGAAAAGAAAGAAGAAGAAGAAGGAAAAGAAGGAGGAGGAGAAGAAGAATGGAATATAAGAAATAATTCTCAAATGAAACTCACACTCACTTAACACCTGCTTTTTAAAATTCTATGGAGGTAATGTGATACAAAGTCCACCTTAGCTAACATTACACATGTATGATTTTCCAAGTTAGTTTTTTTGAGATATAATTTCCATTACAAGGGGGCAACAGAAATAGTAAATATAATAATCATCATAATATCACTTACAGCATTACAGCATCCTCAGGGATCAAAGGTCTTGCTGACATCAGCTTCAGTATGAATCATACTTGGATTTTTAAGTCAGGGAAGAGAACACAAAGGCATGACACCTACCATTATAATTAATCAACTTCCAGCACAAAATCAATAAAATCAACTCACATTAACATTGAACCATTAACTCAATGCTCTTCCTTTGAAAAAAAAAACCAGCAGGTGTTGGGGGAAGGGAAGCCAGCTTGGTTGTGCATTAGCATGAATGATAGATTATATGGATAGTCCAGTGGCTTAAATGTCAAATTACACATGGGGAAATGGAGACAACAGATCACGGTGTCAGAGAAGTTTGAGTCTATTAGCTGCAAATAGAAACTTCACTGTGTGACTTGATTTAAGCTTGATTAGATTCTCCATCCACATATTATAGATGCTGGCAGTTCGTTTTTGAACATGCCTGGTTCTAGTAGATTCTACATTTCACTTACCTAACTATTCAGAAATAAATGTTTTCTCGAGAAGTAAGGTCTTGCTCACATTATCTATGATGCTCACTTTTAACTTGTAAAATACTTTCTTCAAAAGTTCAATTCTACTAATATTGATACATTAAGCACTTACTAGGGCAAAGGAACTCTGTAAGAGATACAGAAATGTGTAATAAAGGGCCATGTCTTCAAAGAGTTGACAACATAATAAGCAAGTCAGGATTACACAAATAATTGGAATACAAGGCAGGCTGTTGTTAGCACTACTATAAAGATGCAAAGAACAAGGGAAGCACAGAAGATAAAGAGAACAATTCTAATTATGAACTGGGGAAGGCTTCACAGAGAAAAACTGAGTCTTGAAGGATGAGTGGGATATAGGTTGATGGAGGTATTCCTGGCAGAGGTGATTGCAAAACAAAGGTAGGTACCTTTTTCTTAACAGCCCTAGGAAGAGTTGCATCCTGTTGACTACAGTAAGGCATTCTGATTTTCCAAAGCTGTGCAGAGCACAATTAATTGCCTAGACTCACCTGCCAACCTTCTGCACAGGCAAAACATAGAGTTATCTATTGGTGGAATTCAGGGTGAAGAGGAGGGCAGAGAGTGTCTATGAGGAGGAGTGGCCAGAGTGGTAAAGAAGAGGGAAACACCGTGGCAAGGAACACAAACCACACTGATTTTTCAGTCTTGCCAACAGTGTGCCTTGCCTATCAAGAATGGCAGGGAAATTTTGCAAAATGAGTTAATAAAATCTCAGTAAACATAACAGATGAGGCTTTTTCTAAATGTTACTGCTACTCGTATTTTGGAACATTTCCCACCTACCAGCCCTGGACCAGCTCCAGTCAGAGGTTGACACAGAGTTGGCTTGGTGAACTGCAGCAACCTTTCGGAAACAATCCTGACTTTTTTTTTTTTTTTTATCAAACTCATGTTTCTGGGGTTATCTTGAAGCCTTACTTGGGGGCTTTTTATGACAACATTTTTGCCTGCGCAACAAGTTCCTTGGTTCTGTAGTGCCTTTTTTTTTTTTTTGCACAGTTCTCTTTATTCAATGCCCTGAACTTCCCTAAAATCTGTGCTGAAATAATAACAATGGCACTTACATTTGTATGGTATTTTTACTGTTTTTGAAACACTTCCACATTTATGGTATTTTATGTTTTCTTTCATACTTGTAATTCTCCTCTCAACTCAATCCGATCAGGCTTCCATTCCCATTGCTCCACCAAGGCTGCTCTTGTTAAGGCCAACAATGGCTTCCATGTTGTCAAATCCAATGGTCCTTCCCTGGCCTCATCTTACTCAACCCATCAGCAACACTGGATATAAGTTGATCGAGTTCTTTTCCCTAAATACTTTTCCTTCTTTGCTTCTGTGAGATCACCATCTTCTGAATTTCCTTCTGCTTCAATCTCTTTTGCTAGATTCTTTTCCTTTTTTAGACTTCCAGTATTTGAAAGCCCCAGTGCTCAGGTCTTACATCTCTTTTATTTTTTATTTACATATTTTTACTAGGTGATCATATCCAGTTCCAAGGCTTTACACACTGCTATGGTTTCAATGTTTGTCCCCTCCAAAACTCATGTTGAAACTTACTCCCCAATGTGGCATTATTGAAAGGTGGGGTTTTTTAGAGATGATTGGGTCATGAAGGCTCTGGATGAATGGGTTAATGGATTAATGAGTTACCATGGGAGGAGAACTGATGGCTTTTATAAGAAGAGAAAGTGAGACCTGAGCTAGCATGTTCAGTCCCCTTACCATGTGATGCCCTATACCACCTCAGAACTCTGCAGAAAGTCCCTACCAGCAAGAAGGCCCTCACCAGATTTGGCCCCTTGACCTTGAACTTCACAGCCTCCAGGACTGTAAGAAATAAATTATGTTTCTTTATATATTACCCAGCTTCAGGTAATCTGTTATAAACAACAGACAATTAACTAAGACACATGCCATATATATACTGAATACTCACACATTGATATCTCCAGGTCCTTCTTACCCCTGTACTCTAGACATGTATTTCCATCCAACTGCCTGTTCAATATCTCCACTTGCTTGTCTGATAGGCATCCCATGTTTAATATGCCCAAGACTAAACTGTTATTTCTCTCCTCCATATTTTACTTCCCTTCAGCTTTCCTTATCTTAAAGAAAAGGCACAATTCTCACAATTACCCAAACCAGAAACCTGAGAGTCATTTTTCATTAGGAGCCACTTTTCTCCCTCTCCCTGGTCACGGTACTAGTCTAAAATACACTACAACATAGCCTCATAACTGTTCTCTAGGCAGCATGCCCTCCCCATGCCCCACAAATACCTATTCTGTGTTGCATAAAGCAGTCAGAGTAGTATTTTACAATTTTAATCAGGAATATCACTCTTCTGTTTAAAACCCTTGAAAGTCTGCCCATCACTGATAGAATAAAATCCAAACATTTTAGCTCCCTGGGTCGGGGAAGGGCAGCACTCATCTCTATAGCTCCAGGCCACACTTTTCCCTTGCTGGAGCCAGGGAGCTGTACTGCTTGGTCCCAAGACATGTCCACAACAGCCCAGCACACTGGCTGTGGCAGACTGTGGCCAGAGTGCCTCTTCAGGCCTGACCCTGACTCATCCTTCCTCACTGGGTGGGGATTCCCTGCAGGAACTTTATTAACTCTAGTCAGAGGCTCAGGGGCAGAACTCTGATCTCCGTGGGCCTGAACCTGTAGGAGTAAGGGGGTCTGCAGTCTCTGTAGACCAGCAGACTTAGCCTTTCTTCCTGGTAGTTCTGAGGAATCAGGGCAGCCCAGATGAGTGGGTTTTCCCCCAGTGAGGCACACCCCTTCCACCAAGGGACAAAGTGCTTCATTAAATGGGTCCTGTTCCCCATGCCACTCGACTGAATGAGACCCTTCAACAGGGGTTGTCAGACAAACTCATACAGGAGTGATCCTACTGGCATCAGGTTTGTGCCCCTCGAGGTCAGAGATACCAGAAGAAGGAAGAGACACCCATCTTTGCTGTTCTCCAGCCTCCTTGAGTGACATCTCTAGGCATGGAGTGAATCAGATGAATAGGGCCTGAAGTGAACCCCCAGCAAAAGACAGCTACCCTACAGAAGAGGGACCTGACCATTGAAAGAAAAACAAACAAACAGAAAGCAACAACAACAGCATCAACAACAACCAAAGAGCCCCCACAAAAACCCCATGTAAAGGTCAGCAGCCTCAAAGATCGAAACTAGACAAACTCATGAAGATGAGAAAGAATCAATGAAAAAATGCTGAAAACCCAAAAGCCCAGAGTTCCTCTTCTCCAAATGTCTCTTCAAGGGCACAGAATTAGAAGGAGGGTAAGACTGACGAATTGACAGAAGTAGGCTTCAGAAGATGGGTAATGAAAAAACTATGCTGAGCTAAAGGAACATGTTCTAACCCAATGCAAAGAAGCTAAGAACCTTGATTAAAGGTTAGAGGAGCTGCTAACTAGAATAGTCAGTTTAGAGAGGAACATAAATGACCTGATGGAGCTGAACAACACAGCACGAGAACTTCATGAAGCATACACAAATATTAATAGCCGACTCGACCAAGCAGAAGAAAGGATATCAGAGTTTGAAGACCACCTTACTGAAATAAGGCATGCAGAAAAGACTAGAGGAAAAAGAATGAAAAGGAATGAACAAACCCTCCAAGAAATATGGGACTTCGCAAAAAGACTGAACCTACGATTGATTGCAGTACATAAAGGAGACAGGGAGAATGGAAACAAGCCAAAAAACACACTTCAGGGTATTATCCAGGAGAACTTCCCCAACCTAGCAAGACAGGCCAATATGCAAATTCAGGAAATACAGAGAACACCACTAAGATACTCCATGAGAAGATCAACCCCAAGACACATAATCATCAGATTCTCCAAGGTCTAAATGAAGGAAAAAATGTTAAGGGCAGCCAGAGAGAAAGGCCAGGTCACCTACAGAGGTAAGCCCATCAGACTAACAGCAGACTTCTCAGCAGAAACTCTACAAGCCAGAAGAGATTGGGGGCCAATATTTAACATTCTTATAGAAAAGAATTTTCCACTGAGAATTTCACATCCAGTCAAACTAAGCTTCATAAGCAAAGGAGAAATAAAATCATTTCCAGACAAACAAATGCCGAGGGATTTCATTACCACTAGGCCTGCCTTGAAAGAGCTCCTGAAAGAAGCACTAAATATGGAAGGGAAAAACTGGTACCAGCCACTGCAAAAACACACCAAAATATAAAAACCAATGACACTATGAAGAAACTGCATCAAATAGTGTGCAAAATAACCAGATAGCATCATTATGACAGGACCAGATTAACAGATATCAATACTAACCTTACATTTAAATGGACTAAATGCCCCAATTAAAACAACAGACTGGAAAATTGGATAAAGAGTCAAGACCTATTGGTGTGCTATATTCAGGAGATGCATCTCACGTGCAAAGACACACACCAGCTCAAAATAAAGGGATGGAGGAAAATTTACCAAGCAAAAGGAAAGCAAAAAAAAAAAAAAAAAAGCAGGAGTTGCAATCCCAGTCTCTGACCAAACAGACTTTAAACCAACAAAGATCAAAAAAAGACAAAGAAGAACATTACATAATTGTAAAGGGAACAATTCAACAAGAAGAGCTAACTATTATATATATATATATATATATATATATATATATATATATATATCCATCCAATACAGGAGCATCCATATTCAAAAAACAAGTTCTTAGAGGCCTACAAAGAGACTTAGACTCCCACACAATAATAGTGGGAGACTTTAACACCCCACTGTCAATATTAGACATATCAACGAGACAGAAAATTAACAAGGATATTCCAGACTTTAACTCAGCTCTGGATCAAGTGGACCTAAAAGACATCTACAGAACTCTCCACCCCAAATCAAGAGAATACACATTCTTCTCAGGACCACATGGCACTTATTCTAAAATCAACCACATAATTGGAAGTAAAACACTCCTCAGCAAAAGCAAAAGAACTGAAATCCTAACAAACGGTCTCTCAGACCACAGTGCAATCAAATTAGAACTCAGGATTAAGAAACTCACTCAAAACCACACAATTACATGGAAATTGAACAAACTGCTCCTGAATGACTCCTGGTTAAATAATGAAATTAAGGCAGAAATCAAGAAGTTCTTTGAAATCAAAGAGAACAAAGAGACTACGTACCAGAATCCCTAGGACACAGCTAAAGCAGTGTTAAGAGGGAAATTTACAGCACTAAATGCCCACATCAGAAACCTAGAAAGATATCAAATTGACAACCTAACATCACAATTAAAAGAGCTAGAGAGGCAAGAGCAAACTAATCCAAAAGCTAGCAGAAGACAAGAAATAACTAAGATCAGAGCAGAACTGAAGGAGATAAGCACACAAACTCCCCCCCACCCCCAAAATCAGTGAATCCAACAGCTGGGTTTTTTTTTTTTTAATTAACAAAATAGATAAACAGCTAGCTAGCCTAATAAAAAGAAAAGAGAGAAGAACAAAATAGACACAATAAAAATGATAAAGGGGATATCACCACTGACCTCACAGAAATACAAACTATCATCAGAGAATACTATAAACACCTCTATGCCAATAAACTAGAAAATCTAGAAGAAATGGATAAATTCTTGGATACATACACCCTCCCAAGACTAAACCAGGAAGAAATTGAATCCCTGACTGGACCAATAACAAGTTCTGAAATTGAGTCAGTAATTAATAGCCTACCAACCAAGAAAAAAAAAAAAAAAAGCCCAGGACCAGACAGATTCACAGCCAAATTCTACAAGAGGTACAAAGAGAAGCTGGTACCATTATTTCTGAAACAATTCCAAACGACTGAAAAGGAGGGACTCCTCCCTACCTCATTTCATGAAGCCAGCATCATCCTGATACCAAAACCAGGAAGAAATACAACAAAAAATAGAAAATTTCAGGCCAATATCCCTGATGAACATAGATGCAAAAATTTTCAATAAAATACTGGCAGGCTGGGTGCGGCAGCTCACTCTTGTAATCCCAGCACTTTGGGAGGCTAAGGTGGTCAGATCACCTGAGGTCAGGAGTTTGAGACCAGCCTGGCCAACATGGTGAAACCCCATCTCTACTAAAAATACAAAAATGAGCTGGGCATGGTGGTGGGCACCTGTAGTCCCAGCTACTCAGGAGTCTGAGGCAGGAGAATGGCTTGAATCTGGGAGGCAGAGGTTGCAGTGAGTGGAGATCGCGCCACTGCACTGCAACCTGGGCGACAGAACGAGACTCCATCTCAAAAAAAATAAAATAACTGGTGAACCGAATCAAGTAGCACATCAAAAAAACTTATGCATCATGAACAAGTCGGCTTCATCCTGGGATGCAAGGCTGGTTGAACATATGCAAATCAATAAACATAATCTATCACATAAACAGAACCAAAGACAAAAACCACATGATTATCTCAATAGATGCAGAAAAGGCTTTGATAAAATTCAACATTCCTTCATGTTAAAATCTCTCAATAAACTAGGTATTGATGGAACATATCTCAAAATAGTGAGAACAATTTATAACAAACCCACAGCCAATATCAAATTAAATGGGCAAAAGCTAGAAGCATTTCTTTTGAAAACTGGTACAAGACAAGGATGCCCTCTCTTACCATTCCTATTCATCATAGTATTAGAAGTTCTGGCCAGGGCAATCAGTCAAGAGAAATAAATAAACGGTATTCAAGTAGGAAGAGAGGAAGTAAAATTGTATATGTTTGTAGATGACATGATTTTACATTTAGAAAACCCCATCATCTCAGCCCCAAAACTCCTTAAACTAACAAGCAATTTCAGCAAAATCTCAGGATACAAAATCAATGTGCAAAAATCACAAGCATTCCTTTACACCAACAATAGACAAGCAGAGAACAAAATCATGAATGAACTCCCACTCACAATCACTACAAAAAAAGAATAAAATACCTAGGAATACAGCTAACAAGGGATATGAAGGACCTCTTCAAGGAGAACTACAAACCACTGCTCAAGGAAATAAGAGAGGACACAAACAAATGGAAAAACATTCCATCCTCATGGATAGGAAAAATCAATATCGTGAAAATGGCCATACTGCCCAAAGTAATTTATATATTCAGTGCTATTCCCATCAAACTACCATTGACATTCTTCACAGAATTAGAAAAAAAACACTTTAAATTTCATATGGAATCAAAGAAGACCCTGTATAGCCAAGACAATCTTAAGCAAAAGAACAAAGCTGGAGGCATCACGCTACTTGACTTCAAACTATACTAGAAGGCTACAGTAACCAAAACAGCACGTTACTGGTAGCAAAACAGTCATATAGACTGATGGAACAAAACAGCAACCTCAGACATAATACCACACATCTACAACCATCTGATCTTCGACAAACCTGACAAAAACAAACAATGGGGAAAGCATCTCCTATTCAATAAATGGTACTGGGAAAAACTGGCTAGCCATATGTAGAAAACTGAAACTGGACCCCTTCCTTATATCTTACACAAAAATTAACTCAATATGGATTAAAAACTTAAATGTAAAACCCAAAACCATAAGAACCCTAGAAGAAAACCTAGGCAATACCATTCAGGACATAGGCACGGACAAAGACTTCACGACAAAAACGTCAAAAGCAATTGCAACAAAAGCCAAAAATGACAAATAGGTTCTAATTAAACTAAAGAGCTTCTGCAAGGCAAAAGAAACTATCATCAGAGTGAACAGGCAACCTACAGAATGGGAGAAAATTTTTGCAATGTACCCATCTGACAAAGGTCTAATATCCAGAATTTACAAGGAACTTAAACAAAATTTACAAGAAAAAAACAAACAACCCCATGAAAAAGTGGGCAAAGGATATGAACAGACTTCTCAGAATAAGACGTTTACATGGCCAACAAACATAGGAAAAAAAGCTCAACATCACTGATCATTAGAGAAATGCAAATCAAAACCACAATGAGATACTATCTCACGCCAGTCATGCGTCTTTATAGTAGAATGATTTATAATCCTTTGGGTATATACCCAGTAATGGGATTGCTGGGTCAAATGGTATTTCTAGTTGTAGATCCCTGAGGAATCGCCCTACTGCCTTCCACAATGGTTGAACTAATTTACATTCCCACCAACAGCGTAAAAGCATTCCCATTTCTCCACAGCCTTGCCAGCATCTATTGTTTCTTGACTTTTTAATAATCACCATTCTGACTGGTGTGAGATAGCAACTCGTTGTGGTTTTGATTTGCATTACTCTAATGATCAGTGATGTTGAGCTTTTTTTCCTATGTTTGCTGGCCACATAATGTCTTATTTTGAGAAGTCTGTTCATATCCCTTGCCCACTTTTTCATGGGTTTTTTTTTTTCTTGTAAATTTGTTTAAGTTTCTTGTAATTCTGGATATTAGACCTTTGTCAGATGGGTACATTGCAAAATTTTTCTCCCATTCTGTAGGTTGCCTGTTCACTCTGATGATAGCTTCTTTTGCTGTGCAGAAGCTCTTTAGTTTAATTAGAACCCATTTGTCAATTTTGGCTTTTGTGTTCAATCTGGAATGTTTCATAGACTGTCAGAGCTAGAAGAGACAACAGATGAAAAGGATAAACAAAATGTGGTATATCCATACAATGGAATATTATTCAGCTACAAAAAAGAATGCAGTTCTGATATATGTTACAACATGGACTTTGAAAACATTATGTTAAGTGAAATAACCAGACAGAAAAGGACAAAGATTGTGTGATTCCACTTGTATGAAATATCTAGAAGAGACAAATTCATAGGATCAAAGACTGGATTAGAAGTTGCCAGCAGCTAGTGGGAGGAAGGAATAAGAAGTCATTGCTTAATGGTAACAGTTGGTTGTCATGTTAAAAGTTTAAAAAGTTCTAGAACTAGATACTGATCGAACGATACTGTGAATGTAACTAAAGCCACTGAATTGTACACATAAGATTATTAAAATTAATTGCACACATTAAAATGGCAAAATTTATGTTACACATATTTGACCAAATTAAAAACATTAATAATATAATATACCCAAACCATTGAATTATACACTTTAAATGGGTGAATTATACATTATGTGAATAATATAACAATAAAACTGTTAAAAAAAGAAATGTAAAAATGATTATTAAAATTTATTCAGAATTTACTTATATTGTAGCCAAAAGGCCTTTTAAAATACTTATTCTGACATATTACAGTAACAGAAGTCAAAGTTCACCTATATGGAGATGTCTTACCTATTGCCCAATATAAACTAGAACCACCACCACCATAAGAATTTAGGCTCCACAAGAGTAGAGACCTCACCTGTTTGTTCACCATTCTATCCCTACTAAGTTAAAGTACAAAAAAACACATATTTAAAAATTATTATTAGTAGTAGTAACAAGCAAGAGTAAGAAGAATCTAAAACCCATAATTAAATCTTAGTTTCATAATTAAGGATATTGCAATATAATAAGGTTATCTGTGGACTACTAGTGATCACTGTCCTCTGCATCTTATGGAAGAGTAAGTCATAAGAGATGAAACTGACTTGCTTACTTAATTCTTGATCTTTTTGTTTTCTGATTATTTGCTTAAAAACAACACAATGTCACCCCCCTTCCCAACTAAAATCCATTTCTTTGAGTGCCTGGATCATTATATGATGAGTTTTGTCTTTTCTCCCTCTTTCACCCATCAAAGCATCCATTTCTTGAAGACACCGATTTCCTTTGGCTTGCCTTGTGGGGCTTAGCTACAGAAAATGACCCATCCCAGGCCCTTAAGAAAAAGTGTTGACTAGCTGATTGTGAAGGGAAAAATTGATATTCTTTTCCTACTATCTGTATCATTTTCTGGGAATTCCCAGCCCCTGTGCAGCCAGTTTACCTATTCCTATAGCAAGTCATATTGAGACTGACGCCCGTCTGATCCTCCAGCCACTAGATCTGACTGAATTTCTCTCCACTCTTTCCTGGTGAAGAGTGACTGGTCCTCAGAAGCTCTTTACATTGGTCTTTTGGCTGTAAAGTGCCATAATAAACTTTTCGAATAGATCGTGTTCTGTCAACTCATTTTTCCACTGATCTTCTTAGCCCCATAGCCAATGGTGACTCTCCTCTCCCCATTTTAGAATTTCCCCCAGGCAACCCAGCTATATTAAATCTGGGCTGTCAGATCTCAGCTGAGATATTGGTCTTCAAATTTATTGTTTTCAACCTTTAAAATAGTTTATCTTTGAATGGTGAAGGGCCATAATGATCCTACATAGCTTTTGCTGTTTTACATGTGTCAGGTGCCCTTATCTTCATTACCTCATTTGGTTCATTGGCCTCATTTTTAATAAATGAAATGTCAAGGTCCATGAAGGTTCAGTGACCTGTACAAGGTCACATTGCTGGCTAATGACAGAGCTGATACTAGAACTCAAGATTGTCTAATTTATTCTGACACTATAGGTACCTAAGGTATACTGCAAAGGCATTTCCTAGACAGGGGAGACCCAGGTAAGGAAAAACAGCAGGAGACTCTGAGTAGCATGAAAATACCAGTGGTATGGGAAAGAAGGGCACAGAGGGGAGATGTGAAGGAATAAGACTTTCTACCCTATTTTACCTGGAGCTAGTGGTGATTTAATAACCTGAGCTAGGCAATACCAGCCTGATTGGAAGGCTGGCAGCCCCTCGATGCTCAAGGGTGTTCTTTCCTTATTTTGTCTTTGCCATTTTTCCAAGAGTCTGTGTCAGCTCCCACTGGGGGCCTCTCAAGGATGAGAACAGCTGCAGAGGCGCTGGAGTTGGGCTGTTGAGTACATGCCCAGGACTGACACCTGCCCTTCCACAAGGCCCTGGGGACAAATTGGCTCAGAGAAACAGAGACGAGACAGAACTCCATTCATCAGAAAGAACTGGGGTGGAAAAACCCTGCTTGATCCCTTGGCACCATTAAGCCCTAAGGTTGGCTCTGGGCCCCACACAACTCTAGGTTCTGTTTAGTAAGGTCAATTAAAATAAGAGAGTGTGCTTGTAGGGCCCATTACAGTTATCTGTTGCATTTAACAGTTTCCTGGTGTCTGCTAGACACAAAGCATGAGAGGGATATTGCTTTTGAATCACGTAGGGGAAGGAAAGGTTTGTTAAAAAAAAAAAAAGAAAAGAAAAGAAAAGAAAAGAAAGTTATTGTCTACCTGCATTCTAGGTTACAACTTGACACTGGCTCACTGCTTTCTCTCTGGGTCTGTTTCTTCTGCTATAAGGAGAAGGTGCTGATCTAGAGCCTTTTGAGATCTATATCTTTTTTGTGTCACAAGCCCTTTAGAGAATTTGATGAAAGCTGTAGGTCTTCTCCCTAGAAAAAATGCATATATGCCCATAGATAGCTAGTTTTCTATATAGTTTAGGGGGGTTAAGGATTCCTTTGAAGCTTGTCTATAGATCCCAAATTAAGAGTCTCTAGACTAGTTGATTTCTGAGGTCTCTTCTAGCTCAGACAGTCTATGAAACATTCCAGGTTGGACACAGTTAATGAGCAGTGACACCCGGGCCAGAATGCTGGCAGCTGTCGTGGAATCCCAGAGGCTTAACTGTACCCCCCTTCCCAGGCTTCCTGAGACTCCAGTCCAAAGGAAGCAAAAGGATATAAGCTCATTCTCTGCAAACTGAGTCCAAGGGAAGCAAAGGAGTGCAAACTGATTTACGGCAAACCAAAGACTAGAGTGTGCATCAGACCCATTGCCTCCCAGGTTGCTAGAATTTAGGAAGGATGCTAACTTTTCAGGAGAGTGTAGGCATGAGAGGCATGACCTCTAAATGTTCCTTAGTGGTTGGTTGAGGACAGGAAAAAAAAAGCATGACTGCCCAGTTGGTAAGGGACATACAGCTTGATTATAGATATTCTGAAATTGTTACTTAGGAGCTGACCTCAACATGGCTGGACAGAATACTAATGACCATAAACATACTGCATTTCCTTACATAATATCCCCTACTCTGTAAGTGTATATTTTGCTATGCAAGAAGAAGGTTAGGAGAGAAGAAAGAACGAGTTCTCATGGGTACATCAACCATCAGTCAGTGTACCAGTAGGAAATATATGACACTCCTAGAGTGGATAAATTGAGTGGAGTTTACTAAAGGGGATTGATTACAAAAGTATGGGCAGGGTATAGAAGAACCACAGAGGGCACTGTAGAATTTTAGGAATAGTAATAGTGAAGTTCATTACCACTCTTAGGCCTCAAGGAGAGAGGGGAGGTATCAGGAACCAGAACTCAGAGGGAAGGAGAGAGAATGACAATTAGATATAGAGAACACTCTGATAAGAGCTATGACCTTCAGTCAAGGAATGCCCAGCAACCTCTCAGGCAGGGTGCCTGGAAATAGATAGCCTAATCTCACATTTCTCCTTGTTAGTGCTCCCCATTGGCTAAATACAACTGGAATCCAAAAAACAAGGGAGCCTGTTGATAAGAGTCAGCTTCCCAGGACACAGAGCAGGGTGGAATAGAGTAGAGAGTAGAAAGGAGATCTGGAGGGGAAGTCCT
Source organism: Homo sapiens (assembly GCF_000001405.40). NCBI lineage: Eukaryota > Metazoa > Chordata > Mammalia > Primates > Hominidae > Homo > Homo sapiens. The sequence goes on from NC_000023.11 coordinate 111,350,271, forward strand.
GGAGAGTAGATCTGCCACTGTAAGCAAAAGGAAGGAGCTGTTGTTATAGCCTAGAATATAGGAAATGTGTGAATAGTGATTAAGCAATAATAATAATACCATTTTGCATTTGTAAAAGCCTTTACGCATTTTGTGCTTCAGTCACCCCATTGTCTCCTCTGAACCATATAGTTACCATGTAGGCAAACAGGTAATTTATTTTATGGATAACGAAACTGAGGGTCAACCAAGTTTAGGTGATTTGCAAAGACCAAATGTCTACAAAAAAAGGACATGGACTAGAACTTGGGTTTGAGCTCCTGGTCTAGTACAATTTCCACTATATCATGTTATCTCTTCTGTACCCTTAGTCCACAGAGCTATTCTGATAGTTCTTCAGCGATCTCCTGCTTCTTCTGACACACAGTCAATTCCACCACAAGAGCAACGATAAGAGGGAAAATTATATACACTTCTTCCTCTCATTTTTGGGAAAGGGTTAGTGTATTAGTCCATTCTCACACTGCTAATAAAGACATACTGGAGACTGGGCAATTATAAAAGAAAGAGGTTTAACTGACTCACAGCTTCACATGGCTGGGGAGGCCTTACAATCATGGTGGAAGGCAAGGATGAGCAAGTCACATCTTACTTACATGGTGGCAGAGAAGAGGGAATGAGAACCAAGTGAAAGGGGTTTCCCCCTTATAAAACCATCAGATCTTGTGAGACTTATTCACTACCATGAGAACAGTATGGAGGAAACCGCCCCCATGATTCAATTATCTCCCACTGAGTCCCTTCCACAACATGTGGGAATTATGGGAGCTACAATTCAAGATGGGATTTGGGTGAGGACACAGCCAAACCATACCAGTCAGTATGGGGGCTCATGAGGGAACAAGCTGAGTTGGAAGATAGGTAAGAGGATACAGTGTTCTTTGCACTCACTATTTTCCAGAACAGAGGTTCTTAGACCCAGTTTTTGCCAAACGACTTTAGTCAAGATTCCCTATCCTGTCTCCCTCTTCTCTCTTCTGGCCTCTGGGTGTTACACCTTATCGACTATATACTTCCAGTGTAACAGATATGATTGAATGGAAGTAGGGAAATAAATGAAAATGAAGAAATGACAAGCTCAAGGTAAACAATAAGAAAACAGAAACAGTATATCTTTTAGAATTCAACTGCAAAAAGTAAAAAGTATTTACACATGTGTTCCAGTTAGCATGTAAACCATCTATTAAGTGCTCAGAAATTGAAACCATGAGCAGATTCACCACTGAGTTTGCAATTAAGTGGAATTTGGGGAAAATTCTAAGTGTTCAATGTTATTAGGAATTTCAACAGTCTAGTGGAAGTGATGAGCCAAGCACTAGGTATGAAAAAGCATTTGGGAAGTATGAGATTGCAGATGCCTATAGCTGCTACCTTAGTTTTCCTGGTTGGGAGATAATTTAGTAAATACAGAAGGCTCAAGGCCAATAAGCTTTCAGAATTCACAGCTTCTGTCACTCAGACTGGAGTGCACTGGTGCGATCATATCTCACTGCAACCTCTGCCTCCTGGGCTCAAGCCATCCTCCCCACTTCAGCCTCCTGTGTAGCTGGGACTACAGGCGCAAGTCACCAGGCCCGGCTAATTTTTGTATTTTTCGTAGAAATGGGGTTTTGCTATGTTGCCCAGGCTGGTCTGGAACTCCTGGGCTCATGCAGTCCGCCTGCTTCAGCCTCTCAAAGTGTGGGGATTACAGGAGGGAGCCACTGTGCCTGGCCTGCAATGGTTCTTAACCAGGGGTGATTTGCCTCCCTCCAATAACCTCCTCCCAGAAAATATTGGACAATATCTGGAGACATTTTTGGTTGTAACAACTCGGAGGAGGGGTGCCACTGACATCTAAGACATAGAGGCCTGGAATGCTGCTAAATGTCCTACAATGCACAGGACAGCTCCCTACAACAAAGAATTATCTGGGCCAGAATGTCAATAGTGCCAGGGTTGAGAAGCCCTGTCTAGGGCATTTGATGCCTGTCAAGATATTTACCTTAGCCCTGGCCATTATACTCTTCACTCTCCACCTCTGACGATGGCTTTATTGCTTCCACCTATGAATCCCAGGCTGACCACTCCAAGAACCAGCTCCATCTCAGCAGGCTTCTGGGCTAAGGCAGAATTTATCTCATTTCCCAGGGTGTTGCTGCTGTTACTATTGTTCATTGCTATTTAGTTTTTGACCCTTGGTCTTGCGTTAACCCTAATAGAAGCTTATTTCCTAGTTGCTAACTGTTGTATGGTTAATGACTCAGCCTGCCTAGACCTCTGGTTTTTGCAAGCTGTTCTAGTCCTGGCATCCTTCCCAGGCTCTGAGGGCCAACTTCATCTATGGTTTCAGTACAACACTGCTGTACTCATTTCATTAGGGAACACCAAATAGGGTTTGGGCTGGCAATTACACTAGACCTGCTGCCTTTTGAATCTCTGTGAGAAAGGTGCCAGCCCCAGGGAAGAAACAACTCAATGAACTATCAGCTAGCACAAGAGTTGCTCCTCCTGTGACTGTCAGTGAAAGCTGAGGCAGACAGACAGACAGAGAGAGAGAGAGAGAGAGAGAGAGAGAGAGAGAGAGGAGGCAATGCCTTCTGGGTAACAAATTTCAGAAGACTTTTGTGTCAACTGGCTTAAGTAGAGGTAGAAAGATGTCCTACACAATGGTGTTTTAGAGGCAATTAAGCATCAACTCTGTACTGAAGAAGGAAAAAAAGAGAGTAAATTGAAACCCCAAAGTTGAGATAATGTCTGGCTTGGCCATTTCTCAAGTGTCAGCTTCATATGCCTAGAAAGGAGTATAAAGGAGGAATTTGGAACAACAACAAAAAGTATGACCATGAAGGCAGTAGAACCAACTGCTGTTTTTCAAACAAATCTCCATCCCTGAATTTTGAGACTTAGGTAGTATTGTAGAAAGGGACTGGCTTCTAGTCCTTGTTCAGTCACACAATGCTGTGTGATCATAGACTTAAACGGTGTATGCCTCAGGTTCCTGACCTGAAAAATGGAGTGAATACTACTTTGAGTGCTTCATAATTTTTTGTTAAATTTTAGAACAAAAAGAAATAGTGCATATAAAATGCTTTGAAAATCATTAGTGCTATATGAATACAGATTATAATTAACCATCACAAAAGATGTGTGACCTGAGGGAAAATGAATTTGGATAAGATGAGAACAAGAAAGGCTGGCAAAGTGTATCTTGTTTTGGCAAAAAGAAAAAAAGATAGAGAGAAATCTACTGTCTTTTTCTCTGTCCCTGTGAAGCACTTTTCACATTCCTGGCATAGTAGTAACTATCCTTTTTATTATTATTTTATAAAATCTATATGATAAAGGACTCCCCAACATTATTAATACACTCTAGAATTGGTCTTTTATTCAAGGAAGTTGTCTTAATTCATTCACTTACTGAGTAGCATTCATTCAGTGCTCATGATAATTCAGCCACCACGGTAACTGTTAAGGGCCCAGAGAAGAACATGGCATGCCTTCTGTCCTCAAAGAGCCATTAGTCTGGTGGAAGTTTCTCATTTGAGTCACTTCTGTTACAATTTAATTCTCTTCTTGCATCTGACCTACATTTAATAGTCTAAAAAAATTGACTTTTGGACCTTGTTTATACAATCATCGAAACTGCTTGGCTACTCCAAGTTTTGACTCATACCAGTTACTTTTTGAGCCTGTTAAGGATTGTGTACTTACACAATTAAGCTCGTTTCCCTTAAGAATGGAGAAAAAGATCCAAGTCCAATATATTGGCAATGAACAGTAACTGGTTACTGGGAAAGGATGAGTCAACTGCAAATTTTTGATGAGCTAATTCATGCTAGAATGTTCAGTTATGGTTCTCTCTAGGCATTCCCCCAACCCTGGGTAAGATGTGGATACCTAGAAAGGACCAAAACTGAATCTGAGAGAATAAATCTCTAATAGCGGACATTCTCATATCCCTTAAAATCTAGTGAAATATATCGAAGGCCTTTGATTGTCCTTTTGAATCACCCTTTGTATGTAAACCATCTTTAGAATTCTGTCTCTATCTCCCTATAGTTCATCTTCCCATTATGCGAATTACCCTTTAAAAAAAATGAGCTAAGTTTGTTCAAGCTCAGTCAAAAGTAAAACACATAAAGAAATAAGGCTGATGGCTGTGTTAAAGAGAGTTTCTGTCACAACCCTCAAAGAGACAAAGAGACAAAATGTTTCTCTGAAGACATCTAGGAGGAACAGCTAGTGAAAGTCCTGTATTCTCCTCCCTCACAAAAAGGCCTTTCTTTTTATCCTCCAAATCCATCCCACCTCCCACACAGAAAGGCAGGACTAGTGGCAAGTTTCAGCAGGAATGCAAATTGAGGGATGTGTACAGGAAGACAGAAATAGACTGTATAAAATGGCAGACAGTGTGATTGCCTGGAACGAGCTCAACTCAAAGCTTTCCACTTCAAGCAAAGCAGCCCCTTTTTATATTCACCTCTTGCATAGGCTGCTGGGATCAGAATTCCAGTTTTCAATGGTTTATAGCAGCAGGACAACCTGTTGGAGGGCCAAAGGCCCCCTTCTCACTGTACCTCTTACTGAAATAGGTAGTAGGATTCACGCCAGAGGGAAAGGAACCTTAGCTGGACAGAACTTGCATGATGAGATTTCCTAATCCCAGTAAGGACCAGGCCTGTTGCAGCCTCTACAAAGCAACCCACAGCACTAAGCGAAGAGACAAGCTGCAGCCTTTTCAGTCTAATTTTCTTTGCATTTATAGTAGATCAACAGTTGTTTAACCTACACATAGTTGAAAGAAAGAGTTTGGATGAATTTCATTTTCTAGTAATTGGAGGCTAGCCTTCTAAAAAGTTCACATATTTTGGTTCTTAATCTTGTTAAAGAAAAAGATTTTTTTTTAAATTGAACCCCTGTTTGTCATTCTCTTATTAAGGTAGAAAAATATTTTTAAATTATTGCTACATTTTTAGGATCATGTCTTTGTATCCACCCAGAGTCTAGCACAAGACTGGGCACTGGTAAGTCCACAAAAAATTCTTTTGTTTTTAAAATTCCAATGAATCATCATTTTGTGGTATTTTGTGTGTGTCTACATAGCTGATATCCTCTCTTTTTCAAACATATACAGCCTGAAATACATCTATTATTAATCTAATATCTTTAATTTCTTAATTAAAGATAACATTTGCCTTTAATGGGTAAAAGTTCATTAATATCTTTAATGTCTTGATATTATTTCCTGTTTTGCTTATCATCTCTGTCACTAACAGTCACTGACCTATGCCCTAATCAGAAATTCAAGGGCAGATGTGCATTCTTCTGGTCATTTTTGTACTGAGGCTACACTTTAGCCATCCAAATTCAGCTCAGAGGAGATGAAGTACAGCAAAGAGAAGAACACAGAGCCAAGAGAAGGGGAAAGGAAGACAGACAAGGGAGGGCCATCCAAAATGCTTATTGGGCCATGGTTCAGAGAAAACTGCCTTCCTAGACTTGGCTCACTTTCTAGGCCAGGCTTCTGTCAATAACACATTTATTGGCCATCCTGACTTCAGCCTCTGATTTGCCCAATTCAAATATACTTTTTCCAAGAAACAGATCTCCTAGTCATGGCCCCTGACCATTACAAACAATACTGTTGAAAGGTCCGAGTGAAAGAGGCCATTTTCTCCAAATGAGTCACCACCACCTGGAAAGTTCTTGGAAAATGGAAGGGGTGCCAGAAGGCTAAAGACAAGGAAATGTTGTCCTAATTTTTGCAAAGGGGAAGAAGTATATCTCAGGAAATATAAACCAATAGTTAACTTGATGCCGATACCCAGATAAAAATTTTAAAAGGGATATTAGAATACAGTTTTTGAGGACTCAAGAAAAATTATAATCAGTATACACAAATAAGGGTTGATGGAAGGCATGCCCTGCCAACTTTTCTTTTGATAACTATACTAGACATCTAGGAGTGGGCATGGCCTGGGTTAGGACTGGCAAAACATCTCCCTTCAGAGTCCATGGCAGAAATCATTAACCCCTCACAGCACTCTTGTCATTGAGTTCTTATTCAACCTCACATTCCTTCTCAGTAAGCAGTCACAGCAGACCAATCTGCTGTCCCAGGCTCAGGGCCTGGGGATGCAGAGAATACAGAAGATCCTTAGGGAATGTACAACATAGTAGAGAAAGTATGTAGGTATTATAATTTTGTTATCTTACAGAAATGGGACCTATCTATTTTGTTCTAAGGACGGGGAGTGAGAGCTTAGGAGCACTTCACAGAGGAGGTGACATTTGAAATGGGGTTCAATAGTTGAATAGGAGTTCTCCAAGTAAAGGAGGAAAAATGCCATAAAATATGAGTCTGATGTTTTTGAAGTGAGGAGTCAATTATACACTTGTTGGCAAATTAAACTGACAGTTGAATGTGAAAGTTATAACAAAGAATTATAACTTCAATTGAACAGTCCTGTCAAAAGAATCAAAATCAATCAAAAGATTGATGTTGAATGACAGAATCAAGATTTAGAAAGTTTCTAAACTTTGCGAGACTGAGGCAAGAGGATTACTTAAGGCCAGGAGTTTGAGACCTCACTATATAAATGGGCAATATAGCGAGATTCCTGTTTCTACAAAATACACATAAATAAAAAGCTGATAACAAAAGAAAGTTTTTAAAAGCCAGAACTTTGGGGCCAAAGCAAAAGATTTTTAAAGCCCCTTTGGGTTCTGGGAGAGATTACATGTAATATATTTAATAATTGTAAGTTTTCACATTTAGATTTTTAATATTAAACTGTATATGGTAGAGAAAAATAGATATTAACAGTAGTTCTAGGATTTTAGTTGAGCCCAAGGTTATTATGAATCATCAAGATGGGTACAGTGGTTAATAGTGAGAAATAGCATGACATAGTGCAAAGATCTCTGAAATGGGAAATAGGAAACCCAAGTTTAGGTCCATCTAGTCCACTAAGTAACTATGTAACCTTGGTAAGTCATTTTTTCTCTCAGGATCACACTGTCCCCTGAAGAACTTGGACTCAATTCGTGGTTTCAAACTATGTTCTTTGGTTCCTTAGGATTCCTCTTTGGCTACCTTTGGGGAGAAGAAAGATGTTGAAATGATGAAGGCTCTGCAGCCTCTCACTCTCTTCATTTCAATGAGAGGAATTCTACTTTTAACTGTTTTAAGAATTGGAGTTCTGTCCCAGCACAGGGGCTCACACCTGTAATCCTAGCACTTTGGGAGGCCAAGGTTGGGGGAATCACTTGAGCTCAGGAGTTTGAGACCAGCCTGGGCAACATAGTGAGCTTTTGTCTCTACAAGAAAAATTTAAAAAATTACACGAGCATGATGGTGCATGCTTCTAGTCCCAGCTACTCAGGTGGCTGAGGTGGGAGGATCCCTTAAGCCCAGGATGTCGAGACTGCAGTGAGCCATGATCGCACCGCTGTACTCCAGCCTGGGCATCAGAGCGAGGCACGTCTCAAAAAGAGAAAAAAAGAAAAAAAAAAAGGAGCTGAAGCTCTTTTTATTTTTTATTTTTATTTTTGCAGACAGAGTCTCACTCTGTCAGCCAGGCTGGAGTGCAGTGATGTGATCTTGGCTCACTGCAACTTCTGCCTCCTGGGTTCAAGGGATTCTTCTGCCTCAGCCTCCTGAGTAGCTGGGACTACAGGCGTGTGCCACCACGCCCGGCTAATTGTTGTATTTTTAGTAGAGATGGGGTTTCATCATGTTGGCTAGGCTGGCCTCGAACTCCTGGCCTCTGGTGGTCCGCCTGCCTCAGCCTCGCAAAGTGCTGGGATTCCAGGTGTGAACCAACGCGCCCGGCTGGAATTGGAGTTCTGACTAAGATTTCATTTCTAAAAAGATTCCATTGCAAAAAACAATTTTAAACCATTTAGCTCTAACATTGCAGTCTTAGACTACATTGATAGAAGCATTGTGTGCAAATTAATGAAATTAGTTTCTCTATACTCTGCAATGTCAGACAATATTTGAACTCTCACTCAGAACACCATGTTTTGAGAGGAATGTTGACAAAATGAAGTTTATATAGGGAAAGATGACCAACGTGATAAAAGGATCTGGGAAGTCACACCACATGTTTAAGGTAATAGAGTTGCTTATCCTGGAAGTCAGAAGATGTGAGGAAGGACATGATAACCATATTCAAACATTTCCAGAGTTATCCTGTAGAAGAAGAATTTGCCTTATTCTGTTTAACTCTAGAAAACCAATTAGAACTACTGGACAGAAAATTTTCAGAACAGATTTTGAGTCAAAACAAGAAGGAACATTAAACATGTAGCCTTTGGAGAAATGATCTTGCCATAAGGACAAAAAATGAGGTATAAAGTTTCCAAAACAGAAGAAAAAATTATCACATCTTCATAGTCTGTGATTATCCACTCACAAAATCCCAGAAACGAGCTTTAAAATTGCTGCAATAAGATAGTTCAACAAGGCAAGAGCAACATAAAAAGTAATCGTTTTTCTATACTCCAGCAATATTCAATTATATAAAAGCTATGAAAAAGTATCACAGTCACAACAGGAAGCAAAATTATAAACGACCTAGGAATAAGTCTACAATAAATCTATTATACCTATTTGGTGAAAATTATATAATCTTTACTGAAGAAAATAGAAGATATTTTAATTTTTGAAATACTTTAAACATGTCAGCTCTCCTTAAACTTGGATATAAAATTCAAAGCAGTCTAAATCAAAATCTCTATAGAACTTTAATGAAAATTGACAATCTGATTCTACAGTTCATAGAGAGGAGAAAATGCACAAGAATAGTAAATAACATTTTGAAAAAAAAATCACAAGTGAAGACGTAACAGTAAATTATACAAATAGATTATAGTATCTAAAACAGGATGGTATTAGGCCAGGAGCAGGCAGAAATAAATCCATGGAACAGAGATTATGGATGAATAGAGAGTCCAGAAACAGAACAATGTACACATGGAAGTTTATTGTGTGATCAAGGTGGCATCAGTGGAGAAACAATTATTTTATAAATTGGATTCAGAGATTGCCTATTTGAAGAAAAGGTAGATTACCCCCCAACTCTCACCAAACACCAAAAATAGAGATAAGCATAATAGGAAAAACAATAAGCGTATTTGAAGAAAATATAGATGAATTTTTTTATCATCTTTGGGTAAGAAAGGCATTCTTCAGCAAGACCCAAAACCGAAGCCATAAAATTAAGGAATACTTTTGATTATGCCAAAATCTAAAACTTTTATACAAAAAAGATGTGGTAAATAAATTAAAAACACAAGGTACAAAATGAAAGAATATTTGCAACACATTCAACAAAGAATTACCTTCTAAAATACATCATATACATTTTTAAAAAGAACAAACAGTCCAATAGAAAATGGGCAAAATAAATAGGCAGTTAATTACTTAATTAATTAATTTGAACATGCTGAAAATTATGCTCACTCAACTTTGACAGTATCAGGACAATGCAAATGAAAGCAGCAATTTTATTATTGTTTACCCACCAGACTAGTACAAATTTGCAGGTTGATGAGTAGTGTTGTTGAAGGTATGAAAAACAGCACTCTTAAACACTATGGGTATAAGTATACATTTATAAAGCCTTTGGGATGGAAATTTGGCAGAATCTATCAAAATGGAAAATACCGTTTGATCCAGTAATTCTTCTAGGAATCTATTTAATAGACAATATGTGTACAAAAATGCCTATTGCAGTATCGTGTGTAATTGCAAAAATTGGAATCAACCTAAATATGCAACAATAGGGAATTGTTTAATAAACTACAATATATCCATACTATAGAATATTATACAGCTGTTAAAAGAATGCAGGGGTTGCAGCACTGTTCACAATAGCAAAGACTTAGAAGCAACCTAACCATCCCTCAATGGATGAATGAATAAAGAAAATGTGGTACTTTACAATGAAGTACTATTCAGTCATAAAAAATAATTAGAACCTGTCATTTGCAACAGCATGGATGGAATTGGTGGTCATTATGTTAAGTGAAATAAGCCAGGCACAGAAAGACAAACATTGCATCTTCTCATTTATTTGTGGGATCTAAAAATCAAAATAGCTGAACTCATGGAGATAGAGAGTAGAAGGATGGTTACCAGAGACTGGGAAGGGTAGTGGGGGTGGGGTTGAGATGGGGATGGTTAATGGGTACAAAAAAATAGAAAGAATGAATAAGACTTACTATTTGATGGCACAACAGGGTGACCATAGTCAACAATAATTTAATTGTACATTTAAAAATAACTAAAAGAGTATAATTGGATTGTTGTAACACAAAGGATAAATGCTTGTGGGGATGGATACCCCATTCTCCATGATGTGATTTTTACACATTGCATACCTGTATCAAAACATCTCATGTACCCCATAAATATATATAACTACTCTACACTCACAAAAACTAAAAATTAATTAAAAAATTAAAAAGAATGCAGTGGAAATATATTCACCCACATAGAAAGAGCTCTAAATGGTACAAAAGTAGATTACAGGAAAATAGAGATTATGTGATTCAATGTATTTAAGTAGAAAAGATATATTTATACACCTCTCTGTCTGTATATGTAAATGAAGTTTTCTCAACCTCGGTGCTCCTGACATTGGAGGCTGCATAATTCTTTTTTGTTTTGGAGATCACTTTAAGATGTTCAGCAGCATCCCTCCCTGGCTTCTACCCACTAGGTGCCAGTAGCGACCCACCCCAAACTGTGATTACCAAAACTGTCTCTATATATTTCCAAATGTCCCCTTGAGGGGCAAAACAGCTTTGGCTGAGAAACACTGATATCAGTGTACAGAAAAGTGCTAGAAGAATGTGCATGAAACAATTAACAATGGTCACCTCCAGTGAGAGAAAGAGGCAGCGGGGAAAGAGAGAAGAGAGAACTTTTACATATTCTCTACATACTTTTGGATTGCTTTAATTACCTAAAAGTGATAATGAACTAATATATTATGTGTACTTAAAAAAATAATAAGGAACAATGAGCTTTCTGTCTCTGGAGATGTTCAGAGTTTAAAGAATCACTAGTAAGAGGAATTTTTGTTTTGCATGGGACATGAGACTGGGTGATCCCATAAAGTTTACTCTTTAGCCTCAAAAAGTTGTATACTTCTAAGGAGAGAATTGCCAGACTTCATTTACTCTCACTTCGAAACAGTTGAAACAGTTTGATTTTTGGTTTTATTAATTTCACCTAAACTCCTAAACTGTTACCATTATTTCAATATTAGGTCTATTGGGAACTATCTCCCTGTAAAAAGGGAAAAATAAACCAATCCCAAATACCCAACAAACAACGAAGTTATTTTCCATCAAAGGCTCATTTGTAGCTTCTTGTTTCCTCTATAACTGGCTTTAAATCATCTGTACATTTCATTTACAGTAAAATTTACAGCTACAATGCACAATGTTAATCTAGGGTTTACCCTTATCATAGCAGACTTGTTCTTGTCCCTCAATGAATAATGGTAAATATAAGCATGAAAATGAAATTAGTGATACCCAAGCCAACTGCTTTATCTAGTTCCTGAGTTATGGGATTAGCAATTGTCTCACTGGAAAACTCTCGGTTGGTTTTCATGAATTAGGGCTATTCCAATTAGTAACAACTGTGAAGCTGCTGTGGTAAAAGCATTTGTGGGTTCAGCTTGCTCCTTGTTTCTGCATCAGGATCCTGGGTCATATGAGAGGGACTGGGGATTCAGTTGGAATCTTATTTTTGCTATCAATGGACAGAGGTATAAGGCCTTTCAAGAATTCAGGACAACAGATAAGAGGTCAAGAGAAGGATTGTGAAAAAAGAGCAAGGTTTGAAAAGAGGTGAAATGAGATGGATGAAAAAAGATGGAGAAAAAACCATTGCTTGAGTTCATAAGAATGCCCTTGAATCAGAGCTTGAGTCGAAGTTTCCTCAAAATACTATCTTTGTTCCATTTTCAGCATCTTTGCAACACCCTTCATTCTTCATCCTCTCCTCCTTGCATGTCAATTCTCTTCAAAAGTGATATATTGGCAATATATCACTGGAGCAATTATGATACAAGAAATGCGCTAGTGTGTCTTTGTTTCAAATTTAATGGAAATGCAGTCCCCAAGCCATTCAGTTCCCCCACCATCCTAGCTCCACAACTCATTGGCGTAGTTTTCCTCCTAGCCTCCAAAGAACGAGATGGTGCTGTGCCTGCTAATGAGCATCTGTCTTGGAGAAGACAGTGGCTTTGAGATCATGGGAAAACAGTAAACTATCAAAGGCAGGTTTCATCCTCAGTCATTCCCAACCTTCCTAGGTTAGAAGGCACTGTTGGCAGATTCAGGGGATGCCTGGGGCTAGAGACAGCCTTATGCAAAGGTGGACTGTAGAGTCTCAGGGTGAGATGTCTCTCCTGTGAAAGTAGAGAGATGAGGAGATTCCCTGTCTCTCACAAATGCCTTTCCCCATCCTCCTGCCTAAATATCTGGCTTTCCTCCATCCTAAGAACATCAGAGCCACTACTGTTTGTTTATTTAGTCAACAAATGCTATTTATTAGCACTTATGTGATAGATACCTGTGCTAAGTGCTGGGAATTCACTAATGAACAAAATAAAAGTTAAAAAAAATAGATTTGGCTCCTGTTCTCATGTTGTTTACAGGCTGGTAGAGGAGACTGATATTGACCAAATAGTCACCCAAACAAATGTAAAGTTACAACTGTGGTAAGGCTACAAGGTGAGGTAATTGGTGCATATGACAAAAGAATATGATATAGACCATTTATCTACCTATCTCCCACCTTACCTTCCACTCACTTAGAAAAGACCATCACCTTGTTAATGGGCAGGAAGAGCCTAACCTGCCTAAACTCAGGCTAAGGGACAGAAAGCCCTGCCCTTTCCCTGACACCTCTTCTGTAACTGGTGTGAACAGTTTTGACTCTGTCTGCTTCACCACAGAACACAAGCCAATGGGGAGGGTGATCAGGCAGAAGATGTCCCCCAGCCATTGGGGGAAGGGAGGCAGACAAACAACATGTTGGTAGCAGGAATTTAAAGTGTTTTAAATCTGTAGTCCTCCAGCAGAGAACAAGGCCCCAAGAAAACAGTTCAAGAGGGTGTATGGGATGGGAGCAACCAACAGTGCTGCAGGGGATGAGAAAGGCCAGATTGGGTATGGCCTGATTTAGCCATACCCAATCTGGCCAAAGCCTTGTTCTGTTTGAGTTTTTGGAACCCCTTCTTCTGATCCTGCAACTCACCACCACTGAATTAATCATCTTCTTCACCACAAAGGGGCATGTCCTACAAACCTCCTAGTTTCAAATAATGCTGAACATTCTTGAAGAAGCTTTCCATCTAGTTTTATTCTTTAGCCACCGCATTTCACATATTATACATTTTCCTTGTCACATCTTTTTTCAGTTTATGCCCAAGGTGGGGAAAAACTAGTTGATAAAACTACCTATTTGCAGTGGTCACAATCACCCAACCTCATCTTTGGTGCTCTCATTGGCTAGACAACAGATGTTCTCAATGAAGATTAAGTGAAATTTAATGGTACTAATTGCCATTTGCATGGGCTGCAGATACCATCAGGTTCACACGCTGCCTTTCATGGTCCTTTATGCCTTACTACATATCAGGTTTGTATTTGACTGGAGTGAATCTGACTGGCAGTACCTGCTGGATGCTCAGCATGAAGACGCAAGCACGGTAAAGGCACACAGGCCAGAGAAACATAGTGCAGTGGTGGAAATAGGGCTGGCTAATTTGTTTCCTAATAATAACTGCTTTCTAAGTTTCTTAGTAATGGCAAGTAAGGATCATTTTGGACTGGGTGGGACTCAGTATCTGCCTAGGGAGGATATACAAGACACTAGGTAGGCTGACTTCTGTGTTTTTATACAAAACTGATCCTTTTCTCTTTTGTTCTTAAAACTATTGGAAGGCCCTTATAATACAAAAGTGAGCAAAGGAGGTGAACACCACTGTTCACACAAGAGAACATGTGACAGTTTCAACAAATACATGAAAAGGTGCACAATCTAATCAGTAACAAGGTAAATGCAAAGTATATAAGAAAGATACTATTTCTCAACTATCCGATTGGCAAATGTGGAAAACAAAGATAAGTATCGGGTATTGGTGAGGATGTCAGGAAATTAAATCTGTGGACATTCTGGAGGTCAGTTGATAGTAGCTGATAAAATTTTAAACATGTGTGTTCCATAAACCAGCATTTTTTAATTTCCATACCTACTCTAGAACACCTTTGCAAGCATGTTCAAGGAGATGTGTACAATATACCATTTTTTTGTAATAGCCTCAAACTGGAAGCAACCTAAATTTTCATCAGTAGGAAAACAGATGAACTACAGAATAACTATCAAGTTGTAAAAAGAATGAGATAGTTTATATTTTGTATGACTGCACATAATATACGTGTAAATGCATAGACAAGCTCTGAAAGGCCACAGTCACAAAAGTGGTTACCCTTGGGAAGTGGACTGAGGTGGGAGAAGCTGGGTTAGTCAAAGACATTTTCAGTCTTATTTATCTTGTTTTGTTTTGTTTTGTTTTGTTTTGAGACGGGGTCTCACTCTGTTGCCCAGGCAGGAGTGCCATGGTGCGATCTCACTGTGAGGCTCACTGCAGCCTTCACCTCCTGGACTGAAGAGAACCTCCCACCTCCACCTCCCAAGCAGATGGGACTGCAGGCGCACACCACCAAGCTCAGCTAATTTTTGTATTATTATTATTATTATTATTTTTATTTTTATTTTGGAGAGACAGGGTTTTGCCATGTTGCCCAGGCTGGTCTTAAACTGCTGAGCTCAAGTGATCCACCTGCCTCCACCTCCCAAAGTGCTGGGATTACAGGTATGAGCTACCATGCCAGGCATAGTCTTATTTGTGATACTGTAATATTTTATAAGCAGAACTGTTCACTCATTATTTATGTAATTAAAAATTAATTTAAAATTATATTAAAATTTTGTGTGTGTGCTTTTTAATTTTTTTAAAATTAAAAAAAACTTTGTGGGTACATAGTAGGTGTATATATTTATGGGGTACATGAGATGCTCTGATACAATCATGCAATGTGAAAAAAAGCACATCCTGAAGAATGGGGTATCCGTCCTCTCAAGCATTTTTCCTTTGAGTTACAAAGAATCCAATTGCACTCTTTAAGTTATTTTAAAATGTATAATGAAGTTATTATTTACTATTGTGGTATCAAATAGTAGTTCTTATTTATTCTGTTTTTTGTACCCATTAACCATCCCCACCTCCCCCGCTTCCAGTCCCCCACTACCCTTAACAGCCTCTGGTAATAATTAAAAATTTTAAAGGCAATATAGTTATATTAGAACATTTATAAACAAGAAAAAAAGAAAACAAAGATGTATAGTCCTGCCACCTGGACAAATCCACTATTATAAGTGGGTGTGTTTTCTTCTAGTCTTTTTATCTTTACATTGTATATAATTGTTATCTATAATTTGTATCTTGCTTCTTTGTTTAACACTGGGTTTCTCAGCCTTGGCACTATTGACATTTTTGGGTCAGCTCACTCTTTGCTGTGGGGTTGAGGGGCTGTCCTGTGCATTGTAGAATGCTAAGTAGCATCCCGGGCCTCTACCCACTAGGTGCCAGTAGCACACCCACAGTCATGACAATAAAAAATGCCTCTGGACATTGTTAAATGTCCCCTGTTGGACAAAACTGCTCCTGGTTGAGAACCATTGGTTGAATACATAATTAGCGTAATGTCATTATATAAATCCTTATAACCTTGCCCAGGCCTTCAAACTTAATGCCAGTCTCTGTTTTTCTCCCAGATCTTGATCTATGTATGTCTAACCTTGGCCTTGATAACCTGACCTTGCTTTCTGACACCTCTTTTCCTAGTTGGTTGGGGATTCCTCAGCCCAGACTGTAATCTGACATCACCATTAAAGCAATTAAACAGTAACAGCCAGGCTTCTTCCCCTGACATTGTAGACTGATTTCAGATCATGTGTCAGAAAACAGGGATAGTAATCAGGAAACCCATTAACACGGTAAAAAGTAATCAGTCCAGAGACAGAGCTGAGGGTTCAAGTCATAGGGCTAATGGTCAAGTCTAAGAAGTCGAAGGCAACCAGAGCCCACCACAGGATCTGCTCTCTAAACAATCAAAAGCCTGGTTGCTTGGCAAACAATGCTTCCTTCTTCCCTTTCTGCTTTATCTAGACATTTCCCAGGCTCTCAGGGCATGATCAATCCAAAGGGCAGACATAAGGATAAGCCATGGAAAAGATGGCACTTGCCTGATGAGGACAAGAGACCGAGACCTCAATGCTTATATTCCCAAGGAACAAGGAGAGGTCAATGCCAGGTGTCAGGCCTAACCTTAAGAAACATTTAATGAGTGTTGCATATCAAGCACTGTGCTAGGCTCTGGCAATGCAAAGATGACTCTGGAGTGACTTAGTCTAAAATCCATTTACCACATAACTTCCAGAGAAATATATCTATCAGGAATCAAAATATAAAGGCAGTGACAACACTCCTCATTTTGAGCACTTAATTAGACTATGTATCACTATCCATGCTTGTCCTCCAAAATCCAGTAAGATATGGAGAATGAGAATAGTATCGTGAGTCTCTGTGGCTCCAAGACCCCAATTCAAAGAGAAGACTGAGTTCATTTACAGAGCACAGAGGGCAGTATCAGATTTCATCATGTGAATTCACTACGTTGAAAATGTAAATTTCCTGCTCCCCAAACTCCAAAAATTCTCATCTGGTCCAGGTTTCTGCAGTCTGAGCTAAGTTGGAGGTAACCCCTCATGCATCTTTGTCTCTCTGGTTCTTTACTCTCTGGTGCCATGAGGGAGCAGAGATAGGCTGAACACTATTTCATCAGGGACTGAATCACTTCCCTGCCTGCCCATCTGGCCTTTTCCTGACAAGATGGTCCCTGATTATTTGAGATCTGCAGACACAAGGAAATGGAGCCAAGGAAGACTGACCCTGGTGTGAAATCTAGAGAGATGATAAAATCTCTTCTCAGCATTGCAGGATATCATTATGCCTTGCAAATAACCCACTGTCTTCTGAAGACTGAGATGAGTTCAGTCAGAGGAGTTTCCACAATGCTTTCTTGAAAATTGAGGTTTTATTACACCCAGGTCAGTCACTGGCTAAATGCTGGACTACCTCCAATTGGCATCCAATAGAGATAATGCTCTGCTGTAAAATGCGTATTTAATAACTGAATGCCTATCCCCTTTGTCTTTCTATAGTCCTTCCTTTGTCCTGGGTTTCTGCAGCAATAGTAGGGCCTAAGGGAGTGACAAATTATAAGCAATGTGCTGTGTAGTAGGGTACGTGGCGGCCCTTTGAGGCAGACGTTATAATTCTGCATAGCAATGATAGCCCCCTCTCAATTTATATTTCCAAGTCTAGGAATTGCTGGCCATGGTCATAGCCAGGGGAAGTCTAGAGCAAAACTGAGAAAAATGAAGTTTGTTTTGTTAGCCCCCAACCTCTTAGTTGGCATCATCTTGCCCCAGTGGTGGGCCCTTTTTCCCCCAAGTTAGCCAAACCATCATGACCCACTCCTTAGAGTCTTAATTCAAAATGAGATATAAACATTGATAATAGCTAAGTATGCTATTTTTTCCTCCTCAAACATTTCAAGCCACAGGCTGCGGGGTGGAAGAGTTCTTTACCATGTTTGAAACCATACTACTTGTGTGTTCAACTAGCATGATCCCAGACCTAGGAACAGAGGTTCTAGGTCCTAGGCCTGCCATTTCTGTTTTCAAAACAGTTTTATTGAAGTAGCCTTGCAATTTATGCCCCAATTGTGCCATACCACCTTCTGAAATTACAGTGGGTTCATGGAAAGCCACATGTGGAAAGACAGGGGTTCTCCCTCTGTGGTTTTAAAGCCTTTGGCCACAAGGCTATATGAGATAACTGTGGTTTTAACACCAGCTCTTCCAAAACCATAGTCTGCACTTCAATGAAAAAAGTCCAATTTTCTCAGACCTCAGGTCCTGTACTTCTTTATAGAAAGCAACCGTAGTCTGAGTGGCCTGATCTAATTTAAAGAGCTTCCAGAACGCGGGGGTAGTGCCAAACCCTATGCTTCATTAATAATACCACGATTATTTTATCTTAGGGGAACTGGCTTTCTTTCTTCACTATATTCAAGCATTTCCTGGCTGTTTTTCCAAGCAAAGAAGCAAATGTTGAACGACTTAATAACATTGGGATCATTGGCAACTGGTTTTGAAAGAATAGAAATGAGTTTACAGAGAGTTAAAAAATGGAAGATGAATTCCACTTCTTGCCCTGTATCTCTTGTTTCAATGTTTCTCTTTCTCTGTCAGTCAGAGCATTCTTTCTTACTTTCCAGGTGGCATTCCAAGGTTCCCCTAGTTATCTCTTAAATTAATCTGTATTCCCTAATTTAACCACATTTATATTAATATATTTTTATAACCATTTTATTGAGATACAATTCAAATACTGGATTAATCAAGGTTCTCTAGAGAGACAGAACTAATACGGGATATATATATATACATACACACACACACACACACACACACACACACAAAGGGGAGTTTATTAAGTATTAACTCACATGATCACAAGGTTCCACAATAGGCTGTCTGCTTGGCTGAAGAGCAAGGAGAGCCAGTCTGAGTCCCAAAACTGAAGAACTTGAAGTCCAATGTTCAAAGGCAGGAAGCATCCAGCATGGGAGAAAGATGTAGACTGGGAGGCTAGGCCAGTCTCGTCTTTTCACGTTTTTCTGCCTGCTTTATATTCTAGCCATGCTGCCAGCTGATTAGATGGTGCCCACCCAGATTAAGAGTGAGTCTGCCTTTCCTAGCCCACTGACTCAAATGTTAATCTCCTTTGGCAACACCCTCACAGACACACCCAGGATCAATACTTTGCATCCTTAAATCCAATCAAGTTGACCCTCAGTATTAACCATCACATACACTATACAATTCACTTATGAAAATTATACAATTCCATGGATTTTAGTATATTCTCAAAGTTGTGCAACTGCCTCCACAATCAATTTTAGGACAATTTCATCAATCCAAAAAGAAACCCCTTAGCAGTCAATTTCCATTTCTCTCCAGCACTAGGCAAACAACCAATTCACTTTCTCTATATACAGTAATTCATATATTTTAACAGAGACCTCTAGAAAATCTGCATTATCCAAGGGGATGGTCCCAAAAGGGGTGTTTTCAGGTACCATGACAGGGAACATGTGAAAAAGTGGTGGCCCTACGACTGGCACACTGCAAATCACATAATCTATTAGCACATATTTCCAAGAGTCAAAGGTAGTGGGCAGAGATACATTGACAACAGATTAAGCCAGTACTGCAGCTATTTTAATTGATCTTGCTGCCATCCAGGGGGTGAGGAGGAGGGTGCATTCCCAAAGGATGCATCTTTCAAATGGAAATCTGCTGAAGGGCATTCTTTTCTGGCCTTTTAGGGTCCACAACAGAGTCCTGCCTCAGTAGATAACTTTGCTTTGTTCTCTAGCAGCTATCTATAGAGCTATAGGCAATTTGTCAATTGGTTCCACAAACAGGTTTTGATCATCTACTTTGAGCCAGGCACTGCACTAGGTATCAGGGATGTGAAAATAAATAAGACCATTTCCATAAATTCAGCCTGGGTACACCTGACTTTTGTGGAAAACTGCTAAAAAAATGTTGCCCTATTCCCCAAAACATACCCAAAGACAAAATATATCTCTTTTTGACTATGCTTAGTTCCTGAAAATTTCATCCAAGTTAGTCTTTAGCTTAAGGCTTTGATGGCCCCACTAATTACAAGAAACACATTAATATATTTTCAGTCATTTTACTCTTTAGTAGTATATTTTAATAGCCAATCTTAGAGTCTTGAGAGGATGGAACTCTGAGATAGGCATGATTTGGTAGAAAGATAAAGAGGGAAATTATAGGTCTCCATTGCTCAATGAGTGGTCTATAGGCCAATAGCATGAGCATCACCTAAAGGCTTGTCAGAAATGCAGAATCTTAGACCTCACCTCAGACTTACTGAATCAGAAGCTGCAATTTAACAAGATTCCTAAGTGACTCATATACACTTTTAAATTTGAGAGGCACTTGTCTATAGCATGATATCTCAACCTTGGCACTACTGACATTTGGGGCTGGATAATTTTCTCTTGGAGTAGGGGGTCAGTGGGGAGAGGGACAGTTCTGTGCATATCACTCACAATAGCGTCAGAAATAATTAGTCTGTCAGGACGCTCTCAGTTCGGAACTGGCTTTGAGAACCTAGTGTTTGTTTTGAAGCCCTAAGGTACATTATTCATAAAGAAGTCCACACAGCAAAATTGGGCTTACCCTAGCACTGGTTTTCAACCTTGGCTGGATGTTAGGAACACCTGGAGAGCTTTAAAAAAAAAAAAATACATGTTCCCTACTCCAGGCTAATTATTTCTGAAATTTTGAAGAAATCCCCAGCATCAGTATTTTTTAAAAGCTCCACAAGGTGATCCAAATTTTTTTCTAACATTTTAAATGAACATTTTCAAACATAAAGTCTGTATCACTTAGATTCTACAATTAACATTTGCTATATTTGCTTTATTACATAGCTATCCCTCTAACCACCCCTCTATCAATCCATCCTATTTTTAATGCATTTCAAAATAGGTTACTGATATTAGAATGCTCACCCTTAAACATTTCTGCAGGCATATCATTAGTGTTCAATATTTGTTTAACACTCTTTTTATTAGTCAACTTTTACATACAGTGAAATGCATAAACTGTAAGTATGTCATTTGATATTTTTAGTTTTGTGACATACATACACCTGTATAATACAAACCTTTATCAAGATAGAGAACGTTTTCTTATGCATCTTCCCAGTAAACACCCATCCCTGCCCCTGAGAGGCAATCACTGTTCTCTTCTGATTTTTTTCTAGGTAATTCCAAGTTGTAGCCAGGGTGGAAAATGCCTTAAAGGGTGATAGGCAAATTCCACTTCCTCAGCCTTCTGTAATTGAGGCAGTGGAGCCTTTTGGTTAGCAGCTCTAGAGTCCAAAAGCTTGAAGCCAGGTCCAGCTCAAACAATGCTATCAGTGAAACTTTAGGCAAGGTAACCTGTGAAAATCTCAGTTTCTTCATCAATAAAATAGGAATCATAATAGTACCTACCACAAAAGGTTAGTTGGGAGATTTAAATAAGATAATATAAGTAAATTAGTAATAAGGTTAATGTTTATTAAGGGCTTACAATTTGTTAGGCACTAAACCAGTTGTATGGATTATCTCATATAATCCTCTCTACTGTTAGATCTCCATGACAGATAGAAAAAATAGGCTTAGAGAGAATAACTTGCCCAAAATCACATAGCTAATTATTGGAAGAGCCAGAATATAACCTAAAGTGGTTTGATTCTAAGAACCACATTCTCACACTGTTAACTACCACACTTCCTTTTGTATGCATTACACACAGAGTAAGAGCTCAAAAACTACTATGTATTAATTATATGCACATTGTATTATATATATACAGTATTATATAGATATATGTGTACACACACACACACACACACACACACACACACACACTTCCCTAGAATTTGTCTAATCTATTCAGTTATAGAGTCCAAATGAAGCCATGGAGCCTCTGACCCAAACACAGAGAAAGCTTAGAAATCTCAGCAGCCCAATGTTGCTGGTCCACACCTTGGTACAAGCATCTGTATCTATTGTGTTCTTAACAATGCCATTTCCATCATGACTTTGAGAAATACCAGCAATAAGATAAGCCATCATGCTGACCAACACACAAAGCTCTCAGTGACAACATCTCTGTGGAATAAAGAACTGGGGGAAGCGCTTTTTTTTCCCCATTAACACATTCAGCTCCCTGACGCTCTGTTCTGCAGCTGTGCTGCAGTCGCTCAAACAAAGGGTTGCTGGAAAATTGGTTACATCATCGGCATCAGCTCTGACAGACTTTCCAGAAGCAGCATTATTAACATCTCCACAGAACGAGAGAATGGGCAGGGCTGGAGCTCACTCAAGCTACATTATGCTACCCTTCCTCCTAATGAAAATCCCATTGTACTGGGCAATTATCCACACCCCATTCGAGGTGGCTGTTTATGCACATCAGAGTCGTCCATTTTTTCCTAAGTGAGGCAGCATCACATGGAGCCATCTTATTCCTCAGTCTCCCCTATTGGGCCACTCAGTCTAATAGCCTACCCTCACAGGTTAGATGATAGTTGTTTGGCACCAAGAAGAGAGTGGCATGCCCTGGGCAGGGCAGAAGATGGATATCTAGTAGTAAACTCTGTAGCTAAGTCTTAAGAGGAAGCATGGTGACAGCTGAAAACAGAACTTCTTTTGTCACTATCAGGAAGCCTAAAAATGGCTGGAAAATCAATTTCAAAG
This sequence comes from Homo sapiens, assembly GCF_000001405.40. Taxonomy (NCBI): domain Eukaryota; kingdom Metazoa; phylum Chordata; class Mammalia; order Primates; family Hominidae; genus Homo; species Homo sapiens. Next base: position 111,372,801 of record NC_000023.11, read on the forward strand.
TTTTGGAATCTCAATTTAGCCGGCAGGCAGCAAAGGGAGTGAGAAGAGGATGAGACAAGGTGCTGAGACTTCAAGCTTTGTGGCTCCGTTGGAATATCAGACTGCCAGGGTTATTTTAATCATGTGAGGGCTTACAGATACTCTTCCACCAGGGAGGGGATATCGCTGGCAATTTAGCTAAATGAGTGTCTGGGGTTATGATGAAGTCAGCAATCAAGGGATGCTTTCTAACAGAGGAAAGCTGATAACACAATGAAATGAAATGAAATGAAATGAAATGAAATGAAATGAAATGAAGTTTTCTGTTAGGGAAGTCAATGTTCCATTATTGCAAAACCCATAGAGTTAATGTCCCCAGTGTAATCACTACTATGATTTGACACTTTCAGCTACTGGACTTGTGGCCAAAATACAGCAAGGCTGACCTTTTATCATTATCCTTCTAGCCCCAGAGGGGCTGAGCACACCATTTAGATATAGGGATGAAGGAAGAGAGAGACCAAGTTCAAGCTGCAAGAAATCCCTTCCCTGGTCCCTGATTCCACAGAACAGATAGAAGATATTTGTGTGAATATTGATCATCAATAACTGGCTCAGTCTTTTAGAAGATTTTGCCTGTGGATACCTTGACTCTCAACCTAGAGATTCAAGTATTTTAGGGATGGTGTTTGTCGTCATTCGGGAATATTAGTACACAAAATAAATGGTGTTTGCTGAGCCAAGAAATAGGAATAATTGGTTGTGTTCACTCTTGTCTCCAGGAATAACTGTGGTTCTGGGACACATCTGTCAGACATGCCAAGAGTTAACATTAGGCAGGATCAACTCCTGGCCAAGAAGAGAGTCTGAGGCACCATGCATAGTCCAAATAAATCCAGGTCTCCCTACAAGTGGAGTAAATATTTGTTGTCAATAATAATATGAATATATGCCATTTTTGAGTGCTTACTATGCACCAGGTACTTTACAACAGCCATATCTTATTATCACAAGAACCCTCTGAAGCAGGGATAGTGTCTGGTATATAGTAACTACTCAACAAATAGTACCTATTCATTATTACTGTACCCATTTTTATAGACAATAAAACTGAGGCTCAAAGAAACTTAGAAACTTATTTAGAGTCACAGTATATAACTGGATGTGACACTTTAAAGAGATTTGGAATTAAATGCATTCTGTTTTATTCTGTCTTAGACAAGTCCAAGCTCCTTAAAATAACAGCTATGGGCTCCCTGAATCTGTTCTTTTTCTATTTTGATCCTCCATGTAATTGCAGTGTTCATGAAATTACACTAAAATCTGAGAGTAGGTGCCCATGTGGGGTACAATGCCACTATGGATGCACAGGAGCTTGCTCCAGAAGTTATTAAAATAGAGCCCATGCCATAATGAGAACCCCAAAGGAAGTGAAGTAAACCAAGGCCCTGTGGCAGGACTGAAGGGCATGTTATGGTTGGGCTATTCCCTTCTAGCTTTCTGGATCCCATTATTTGCCTATTTGAGCATAGCCTAGAGTAGCTTTAAGAAGCTTTCTGTTATCCATAGATGATCCAAGCATTGGAGAACAAATTAATCCATGGGATCTTTTTTATATTGCTTATGGGGTTATACATTAATACAATACTTAAAAACACTGTGGCATTATCTTGTAAAATTGTATACTCACATACGCTACTGTTCAGATCCTGGGCATGTTTTCCCTCAGATCCATTCCTCACTGTCTCTTGATATGCTCAGTTTTGCAGCAGGGTGACTGCTGCAGGCTACTCATCTTGGGCAGCCAGGTTATCTGCCTTCCAGTTGAGTTCACCCAATGGAGGGAAAATGACAGGCAGCAGGAAGGGAAAAACCAAGGTATTTCTCAACTAGCACCTTTCTCCACCCTCACCTCAAGTAGCATACCCTGTGGTGGCCACAGCTCTCACATGGATTCAGTTCCCACAGGAGAAGTTGGTCATGATTCCAGCTTCTACCAGGTAACCCTGGCCCTGAGCTCTGGTGACATTAACCCTTTGTTCTGCCAGTCCTAGGGAGGAGTGGTAACAGTTGCTGCTATTGTTAACTTATAGGTTGTCTCGCCACCTGCTGTTAGGCTTCTCAGCTATTGGCCGGCATAATACTCAGCAATAAAAAGGAAGAAATTATTGACACATGAAACAACTTAGACCTCAAGGGAGTTATAATGAATGAAAAAAAATCTCAAAGTATGACATACTAGATGATTCAATTTATATAACCCTCTAGAAATAACAAAATCATTGAGATGGAGAACAGATTAGTGATTGCCAAGGGTTAAAGGCAGGAGTGGGGTGGGTAGGAGGGTGCATGTGACTATAAAGGGGCAGCTTCTTGATGCTGGTGATGGCTACACAAAAATCTACACATGATAAAATTTTACATAGACATACAACTACATAAACACACACACAAAAAAGGAATGTATATAACACTGGTGAAATATTAATAAGGTCTGTGGATTGTACTCATGTCATTGTCCTAGTTTTCATACTGTACTATAGTTATGTAAGATGTTACCATTGGGAGAAATCTGGGGGAAAGGTACATGGTAGCCTTTTTTGTACAATTTTTACAACTTCTTGTGAATCTATTATTATTTCAAAATAAAAAGTTCTTAAAAATAAAAAGGAGCTTTCCATGAGTAGTCTAGACAGTACTAGGGCAGCATGCTTGGGTCTCTTCATGCTTAAGGCTTCTTGATGGTTAAGATAATTTGAGTCCCACTCTAGGCTCTTGATTGCTGACTTTATATCCTAGTGTTCTCCTCTCTCATTCATATTTACAGTGAAGTACTTGGAGGATGATCCATTGTTCTTAAGCAAAAACATACTTTACATTAAGCTCTCTATGTCAGAATAAAATCAGTTACCCAAGCCAGGAGTACCTTTCTCTGCTCCTCCACTAGAAAAGCACAAGAGAAAGGCACTGGCATATTAAACAACATAATTTCCCTGGCCATCTTGACTAAGTGGCATGATGTGATTATCAAATTCATTAGGTTTTCTCCATTGGGAAATGAAATAAGCAAATGACAGACTACCACAACAATCCAGCTTCCCTTCCTTTGCCTGCATTTCCTACGAAGATTTCCAAGTTTAGGAGCAACAACCATATTCAGCACCATGGACAACACTATCAGATGCCAGCTATTGAGAGAAACAAGCTCTGAGGTTTATTAGCTCCCTAAGTTTCTCCTCTTGATTCTGCTTTCCTCCCTTTAGTAAACTGATATTTAGGAAGACAATAAGGTGAGGTTCTTACCGTTTTATAGGAAGAATCAGGAATGAGCCAGGGGAGGGGCTATTGAAAACATCAATTTTTTAAGGAAAAGTTAGAATTGAAGGCAGCTGTGGTTCAAAACAACTTAAGCAGATTGAGGTGTGTCCTTAGCCAGTTATTCCTGTGTAGTAACACACCCCGCACAGAGTCCTTTGTCTAGTGGTAAGATGAAGCATGCATGCAGCAGTCAGAGTCTTTGCTGATTCTTGCAGAAACCTTCACCTTGGCACCAGCCTGCTGGCAAAATAGACCTTAGAAGTCTTTGCTGTATGAAAATGAGAGGCTACAAAATTAAATGAAGGTGAAAATATAAGGGAAACTTCTGTGGTATGATATAGAGCCCAAAAAGAACTAATTATGAATAAGTCCCTGAGGAAGGTAGGAATGAGGAGAATATGCCATTTCAAATAACTAGCTGACCACTGGGGCTTGCTGATCAGTAAGCAGAACCAATGAAAATAAGAGCTGAATTGTCCCTTAAAGATTCTCTAGCTTAGTGGTTCTTAAACACGAGTTTGCATCAGGAATTACCAGGAGGGCTTGTTAAAACAGATTTCAGAGCCCAGCCCCCAGAGTTTGTGATTCAGAAGGCATGAGGTGAAGCCTGACAATCTGCATTTCTAACAAATTCCCAGGTGATACTCATGCTGCTGATAGAGGAGGGAGCATGCTTTGAAAGCCACTCTCTAGTCCAACCTCTGTTCGCGTTTCTATTACTCTTTTGGTAACAATCCCATACAAAATTCATTATCAAGTGCATTGCATAGTAGTTAGGGTTGCCAGATTTACCAAATAAAAATACAGGATGCCCAGTTAAATTTGAATTTCTCATTGCTTATCTAAAACAAATTTAACTGTCTGTCCTACACTTAATCTGACAACGCTAATCTGAAGAAACTGCTGGTAAATTTGAAGAAAAGGACTTAACTTCTCAGCTCATGTTTTTGCTATGTCCTTCCTGCCTGAGGCACTAAAGAGGCTAGGAAACACCTGACCCCTCCTCCTCCTGCCTCCACTTCCAGCCTGACAAGCTTGTTGGGGCTCTATTGAGCCAGCGTAAAAAGGCTGTGATTTGAAGAGCTGCAAAAAATCAGCAGCAGCTAAACTGGTACCCTCCAGTATCTCTCATTTCTATGGAAAGTTTGATTTTGGTTCCCTGCCCTGTGATTAACCAAAACAAGAGGAGACAAATAAAAATTCTTTACAGCTGTTTCACACTGATAGACCTGACCTTCCCAGCTGAAGGTTCTTTGTGCTGAGAAATTGTTACCTAGCAACCAGGCCTTGCAGCTGCCAGACTCCAAACACTGAAAGCATTACTTACAGAAAAGAAGCCAGGAGAAGGGTGGGGTGGGGACTGCATCAATCTGAGCTTTGTCTTGGGGTCTAACGCCGCATTTGAGTGAGAAAAGATAAGCAGAGATCGAAGTCCCTTCCTGTTGAGAATCAATTTCCCAATCGGACTGCTTGGGTTCAGCTTTCTGTCACCTGCATCTGCTCTACCTACCACTCCTACGTGTGAAAATGAGAGGGTTGAAGGAGGAGTGGGAATGCTTCCCAGAGATGCCAAATACTCTGGATGGTGCACATGGTTTTTATTTTTTGACAATGGAACACATTTTCACTCTTCAATGTACATTGTCAATGATTGGTCCACTTCCTTCCTTTCCTCTTCCTCCCTTCCTCCTTCTTCCTTCCTCCCTTCTCCTCCTTTTCTCCTTCTCCTTCTCTTTCTCTCTCTCCTTCCACTAGAAACACTTGTCTTCATAATATAACTGTGGAAACTAAGGCACAAAGAGCCCAAAGGACTTAACTAATCTTGAACACCTCATAGAATCTTTTCCTTCTTAGCAGTGTGTAAGACTTGGGCAGCAGTGAGAAGGCAGGACCAGGAAACCAAAGAAAGGCCCAGGACAAAACGTAGGGGCCAAGCACCAAGCATAGGAGCAAGCCTGACATGGTAGAGCCTCCAAAATCAATGGTTGAGATGAGACAATGGGCTAGATTCAGGCAGGGATCAAGGAATCAAGGAGCATAGAAGTCAAACAAATGCATTGAACATGTATATAAAAGGTTTAATGTAATTGATCTGGGGAGCGGCCAACCATCTGTATTTTTAAAACTTCACAGGTGTTCAGAATATGTAGCTAGTGTTGAGAATCTCCCAATATTGCAGAAGGTAAAGGATTAGCTTAGTGGTTTTCAAACATTAGCGTGTACGTGAATTACCTGGCTAGCTGCTTAACATCCAAAGTCCTGAGTCCTATCCTCTAGCAAATCTAATTTAGCAGGTCTGGGGCGAGGCTCAGGAAATCTGCATTTTTAACAAGCTACCCACATGAATTCTGATATGAACAACACACTGCAAAATACTGGTTTATGGTATCTCTTTGACATAAAGTTTACTTTTATATAATCAAATAATATTCTTCACACCTCCTTACCAATCTTCTCTAACAGACAAACAACTTCCAACTTTCTAAAATGTGCAACTAGGTAGCGACCAAATTTCTGTATATGGGCATGGAGATTCTCTTCAGGGGCCATTAGTAGCTTGCCCCACGACTATACCCACAGTTGTCTGTCTAGTAAGCATCCATTTTATCTCTGTCTGCAAGTCCACTGCCCTGAAACAAGGTCAAAGCACTCCCATGTGCTTTGAATTGACTGCTGCTAAGATATGAATGTGTTCCCTCCAAAATTCAGGGGTTGCTAATGTGATATTATTAATAGTTGGAGCTTTTAAGAGGTGATTAAGCCATGAAGGATTCTCCTTTGTTAACGTGACTAAGGCCCTCCAAGAGGCTTCACATAGCATTAGGCTCTCTTGCCCTTCTGCCTTCTGCCATGTGAGGACAGTCTTCCTCCCTTCTGGGAAATTCATCCCTCACCAGATAAGCAAACCTGCCAGCACCTTGATCTTGAACTTTCTTGTCTCCAGAACTGTGACAAAATAAACGTCTGCTTTTTATAAATTACCTAGTCTAAGGTAGTTCGTTATAGCAGCACAAATGGAAGTTTTAGTTGATAAGCACACACTATAATTCACGCATAAACTATATTACTGAACTTGAATATCTTTAGAAACGTATTTAAGTAACAGCTTTATTGAGACATAATTTATATACCACGCAATTCACCCATTTAAAATGTACAATTAAATGGTTTTTGGTACATACACAGAGTTGTGCAACTATCACTGCAACCAATTTTAGAACATTCTCATCACCCCCAACAAAAACCGCTGTGCCCATTAGCTGTAAATCCCTATTTCTCCCCAAACCTCCCAACCCTAGGCAACCACAAACCTACTTTTGTTTCTACGTATTTGTCTATTCTGGACATTTAATATAAACAGAGTCATAAAATATATGGTCTTTTGTGTCTGGTTTCCTTCACCTATCATAATGTTTTTATTGTTCATTCACGTTATAGCATGTCATCACTTGATTTTTTATGCCTGAATAATATTCCATTGCATGAATACAGCACATTTTCCTTATCCATTCTTTCATCGATGGGAATTTAGTTTGTTTTCACCTTTTTGCTATTATGAATAATGCTGTTTTGAATATCTGCGTGCAAGGTTTTCTGTAGACATACATTTTTATTTCTCTGGAGTAGAATTGCTGGTCATATGGTGACTCTGTTTAATCATTCAAGGAACTGACAGACTGCTTCCAAAGTGGCTGCACCATTTTATATTCCCACCACCAGTGCATGAGGTTTCTTTCTTTCTTTTTTTTAACTTCCTTGCCAATGCTTATTATTCTCTTTTTTATTATCACAACCCTAAGGGTGTAAAGTGGTATCTCATTGTAGTCTCGATTTGCATTTACCTCATGGCTAATTATGTTGAGCATCTTTTCATGTACGTGCTCCTTGGAGAAATATCTATTCAAGGCTCTGCCATTTTAAAATTGGACTATTATCTTTTTATTATTGATGTGTAAGAGTTCTGTGTATATATTCTAGGTACAAGTCCCTAGTCAGACATATGATTTTCAAATATTTTCTTCCATTTTGTGAGTCATATTTCCACTTTATTGATGTATCATGTGCAGCACAGAAGTTTTTAATTCTTATGAAGTCCAATTTGTCTATTTTTTCTTTGGTTGCTTGTGTTTTTGGTATCATATCTAAGAAACCATTGCCTAATCTAAATTCAAGATTTATACATATTTTTCCTTAAGAATTTCATAGCTTACATTTGGGTCTTTGATTCATTTTGAGTTAATTTTTATATATGCTGTGAGGTGGGGATTTAACTTCATTCTTGTCCATGTGGATATCCAGTTGTTCCAGCACTGTTTGCTGAAAAGACTACTTTTTTCCCTATTGAATTACATTGGTATTTTGAAAATCAATTGGTTGTAAATGTAAGAGTTTATTTTTGAACTCTCAATTTTATTCCATTGATTTATGTGTCTATGTCAGTACCACACTGTTTTGATAACTGTAAACTTGTGGTAAGTTTGAAATTAGGAAGTATAAGTTTTACTTTATCCCTCTTTTTTTCAATATTGTTTTTGCTATTCTGGATCCCTTGAATTTCCAAATGAATTTTAGGATTAGTTTATCAATTTCTGCAAAGTCAGTCAGTATTTTCATAGGAATTTCATTGAATCAGTAGGTCAATTTGGGGAATATTATTACATTAATAATATTATAAATTCTCTTTTGAACTGGTTTATAATATCAGCCTGGTTCTCTCATTTATTATGAGTTAAATAAATTTTTAACACATGTTCATTTTTATATTTGCGTGTTATGATATTATCTTTTTTTTGAAAATTATATTTTAACATCTGTGATTTAGGTAAAGCAAGGATACTTCCTCCATTTCATAAATGTGGATACTGACACCCCAAGAGGTTAAGTGACTGGCATGGGTTGAACAGCAACTTAATGATAGAGCTATGACTAAAACCCAGGTATTTTGACTCCCAATCAAAGATGTTTTTACCATCAACATTTTGTTTCTTAAAAATTTTTAAATGGTAGAAATGATGTTCTGGAAAGAATTCTGTTAGGTTTCTGCTTGGAATATAATTTCTTTTTTTTTTCTCTTTTCTATATTCCAAACTCTACTCTGCCAATATGATGTCCTTGTGTTTTCAGTATATATTTATTTTAGCTAAACTTAACAAGGTTGAATTATTTGTGTGGCATTTGTTTCTTGGATCAAGGTATGGGGGAATCCAAAATATAGTGCAAAGGATTAGACAGGACATAATGTTGAATGAAAGTACTAGTGTAGTATAGTCCATGACACAGGGAACCCCAAAGGAATATATATCAATTGGGACACTAAACAGAATTTGGGATGACAGAGAATTATCTGTACATAATGGTATGGGTGTAAGGCTTTCATGGGAGGAGGTGGGGAGGCTGACATGAAAAAATGCAGAATTGCCCTGAAGATTTAAGAAGGCAGCCATTTGTTCTGCCCATTCTGTGAAGAAAACAACTCTACTCAGAACCTATTTCAAAGAAATCCTATTTAGAAAACAAGCATATTTTCTCTCTCAGTCTTTTGTGTCCAAGCAGAATATGTCATTCTCCAACATTTACTTGCAAATTGGAAATGTCTCTATTAAGACGTAACTCCCAGTAACTATGGTTGTCCAAAGTTGAAATTCCTCAACACTCACTTACGCTGAATATTAGGCTATGTGTCGTAAAACAAAAATCAACAAAGGAGATGAGGCCTACAGTTTCAGCTTGTATTAAAGATATAGGTTCTTATTTCTAATCCATTCTAAAGGGCTATTGATGATGCAAGAATATTACTCTGGTTTTCTAATGTAGCTATCTAAAGCAAGCCTTTGATTCTTTTTTTTTAAATCCACTGCACCATCCCTGTACCTTATTTTGAATATTATTTATAGCAGTCGTTCTCATGCTTTGGCAATAGTCAGAATTACTGGCAAAGATTGTTGAAACCCAGAATGCTGGGCCCCACCCATTTTGAATTCAGTAGATCTAGAGTGAGAACTGAGATTTTGTATTTCTAACAAGTTCCCAGATGACGCTGATGTTGCTAGCACATGAACCACACATTGAGGACCACTACCTTCTAGCCTTCTTTGGTCTTCTGGCCCACAGTATCAGCATCACCTAGGAACTTGTTAAAAATGCAAAATCTTGTACACAAATTAAAGTTTGAGACGCACTAGAGAACATTGAGGCCAGTGGTTTCTAGACCTGGATGTTATCAGAATTGCTTGTGGAGCTTTCAAATTTCTAGATTTCCAGGTCCCTCCCCCAACAATTCAGTTCCCAGTGATTCTGATGCACAGCCATGTTTGGGAAACATTGCTTTAGACAAGTGCTATCCCAAAATACTTTTATCACAACCTCTCCACCTCTCCTCACATACAGTCACATGTTATCCTTTAGCAATTTCTGTGAATGGCAAATGAGCCCAGCAGAGAAGCATTTTACTAGGGCTTTGAATGGCCTTAAGCAACTGGAAGCTGTTCACACAAGTGGCTCAAGCATTGATTTTGTAAAAACAACATGTTAAATACTGGAACTGGGGGAAGGGAGAGATACAAGAGAGTGCAAGACAGGATCTGTTGGGGAGATAGACCTAACACACATAAAAAAATAACTGCAAAACAATGAAGTGATAAACTCTCTGGCATTCTCAGTATGCCTGATGTTCAAACAAGGTATGTGAATCAGAAAACTGCTCAAAAAGAGGTGACCATGGGCATGCATAGGGAATCATCTCACATTTTTTTTTCATTTTCTCTTCTAGGAGTCATTCAACAAATGGTCTCTGAGACAAAGAATAACTCAACAATATGGAGCTAAATAGGGGAATAGAAAATGCACTTAACGCTCAACAAATTTTGTATAGAAGGATGAATCACAGAGAGTGCATCCGATTAAATAAGGAAAGGGTGGGAATGGGGACATGGATCTTGAATAAAAATTACTCTTGGTTTCCATCCTCTACAAAATGTGGCATCTACAAGCTGAGTGTAAGCCAAAGACTCCCAAGCCAGGAACAAATGAAGGCCCTCCTAAGCAAAAATGCCTGATACCATGCTAAAATCCCCAAACCTCATTCCTTTTCTTCCAGACATGATTATGCCCCAAACAGATGATGTAGGCTAGAAATATGCTAGAACTAGACTAACAGCACCCCCAGCTATAGATTTATGTCCTTGTGCAAGATGTTTATGTTTCTTCTTGGTGAAAAATATAAATTTTCAGGACATATTCATTTGCCAAAATTTTAATCCAATAATCTATATCCTAGCTTTTGAAATGGAGCACTTACTCATTTGATAATTCAAGGAGACCTGGGAAATGAAAAAGAATAAAAGTTTTATCCATTGTCCTACTAGTATAATTTATTGACAGAGCGGATGCTTTGCCTGGTTACCAATTAGTATTTTCTGATTCTATTGGCATGATCATCCCTTACAAATGAATAATGGTTATGTTATTCAGAGCACCTTCACAGGTATTTTGATGTCTACAGCTCTAAAGTTATATGACCTAATATTGTCCTTTATGGCCCTATGAGGTAGGTTAGGCAAGGTCCCTTAATCTGTTCTGTACCTTAGTTTATTCATCTATAAAATGAGAGGGTTGGACTAAAACAATAGTTCTCAATATTGGCTGAACATTGACTTGCCTAGGGAGATTTAAAAAATACTGACACTCGTGCCTGGGTCTCAGCTCCAGAGGATTTTGATGTAATTAGTCTGGAGTCAGGTCTAGGCATTGAACCTTCTAAAAGTTCCCCAAGATTTCTAGTGGACAGCCAAAATTGAGACCCACTTGATTGGATGAGGACTAAGGTCTCTTACAGCTCCGATATTCTGAGTCTAGATGCCATTTTAATTTTAAGGATGAGGTAACTGAGACACAGAGGGGTTAAAGGACGGCTGAAGTTCAAAAACTAAATCACTTCTAAGATAGATGATAAACCCTAACCCATGTCTTTCTACTTCAAAGCTTAGACCTTTGTTTCCAGCTGCCTTTAGTTTACCAAATGTCTAAATCTGTATGGTTATTAACCCTGACTTTAGCCTTTATACCTTTATCTATAGAAATACAACATTTCAGAAATATTGCCCTTGGACTATTGCCTTCCTCTGTTGAGCTCACTATACCTTCTCCTCCATTAGAAGGCCTTCATGAATTAGCCTCCACCTGGCCCTAATCTAAGTGCGTATGCATTATTTTAGTACTTACTAATTATTAAGTCACTCTCCATTCATTCGTTCATTCAATATATATATTGAGCATATACCATGTTCCAGGCACTATTCTAGGTCCTGAGGATATATCTATGAACATGATAATGCCTCTGCCCCTGACAGTTGTTCATATGTTACTCTAAAGATATAAGACTTTACTCTAGGTATGGAGTTTGTCTTCTTGACTAGATTGTAAGCACCTCAAAACTAGATACTTTATTTTCTGGTCCCTATAGAGTCTCCCAAAGTGCTAGTACAATACTCTGCAAATAACGGATGCATTGCGGTTTAATGATTATAAAGGACCATCACAGTCAGCTATTAATGGAACCTACTATTAAGAAAGTCACTAAAAATTGGAACTATTGGGCATTTTGTTTATTCTTTATATGATAGATAATTAAAATTTACTGATGTCTGGGACTCTTGCCAGCATGGAATTATTTCTAGACATTGACAGGAAGCAGCTTAAGATTGGCTATTTTGGAAAGTTTGAAATTTGAGTTATGTTATCATGGAACTTTATGTACAGGGAGGACTGAAGTGCACAGAATGTTTGCATTGTGGAAGGAACTTTTGGGAATATATTCTACCAAAGTAGAAACTGAGATCCAAAGAGAGGTTGTGGTTTCTCATAGATTATCCAGCTCTTTAGTGTCAAAGCAGGAGTCTCTGAGTCCCTTGACCAAAGCTCTTTTCCACAATTTATTCCTGTGTTGCGGGGCTTGGCAAATGCCCTGGAAAAGGCAGTGCCTTTGAACTCCAGATTGAAACATCAACTCTTCTCTGCGTCTCCAGCCTGCTGGCCTGCCCTGGATTTGCCAGCCCTCACAAACTGTGTGAGCCAATTTCATAAAATAAATCTCTTTATATACATCCTATTGGTCCTGTTTCACAGGAGAACCCTGACCACAAAAAGCCCATATAATAAATATGTTGGGTTTTCTGGTCCTACATTTTCTCTGTTGTATATTTTTTGTCCTGTTTAAAAAACCTATAGCTTGCTGACCTCTGATTTATTGTATTTTGACTAATGGAAAATCAAGTTCTTGGCTGGGTACAGTGGCTCACACCTGTAATCCCAGCACTTTGGAAGGTGGAGGTGGGCAGATCACCTGAGGTCAGGGGTTTGAGACCAGCCTGGCCAGTATGGTGAAACCTCGTCTCTACTAAAAATACAAAAATTAGCCAGGTGTGGTGGTAGGCACCTGTAATCCCAGATACTCGGGAGGCTGAGGCAGGAGAATCACTTGAACCTGGGAGGCAGGGATTGCAGTGAGCCAGAATCATGCCACTGCACTCCAGCCTGGGCAATAGAGCGAGAATCTGTCAAAAAAGAAAGAAAAGAAAAAGAAAGAAAGAGAAAGAAAGCAAGAAAGCAAGAAAGCAAGAAAGCAAGGAAGGAAGGAAGGAAGGAAGGAAGGGAGAAAGAGAGAGGGAGGGAGGGAAGGAGGGAGGGAGGGAAGGAAGGAAGGAAGGAAGGAAGGAAGGAAGGAAGGAAGGAAGGAAGGAAGGAAGGAAGGGAAATCAGGTTCTCCTTTGTATTCCAAAGGGAAGTTTCCTAGAGACTGTAAACTCTAATCAGCCTTAATTCTTTCTAATTATATTTCAATCTGATTACTCTTGTTTTCTATCTCTCACTAGCTCTGCCTTTTGTATGAAGATTTCCAGGATCTAGAATCTTCGTGTTTATGCTGTGTGTGTTACATACACAAACTAGCTACCCCACATCATTCTGTTCTGTTTCAGGCTGGGACTTGACAAGGGCAAGGGCAGTATGGAGCAGATACTGTCATCCTTGAAAGCCACATCCAGCTAGGGGGATGGGAACCTATTGATTGATTTAAACAATTTTTTTTTCTTTGCTTGGCAAGATGGGAAGGAGAATGATTGCTGTCTGACCTCAGGTCTCAGCAAGGTCCCTGTGGAGTAGCCAACCTCCATACCGCTCGGTGAACTGAACCACAGCCAGCGCTGTTAAGCTGAGTGGGAATGTGTGTGTGAATTTTTTTAGCTTGCTCAGTAACAGTTATTTCCTCTGGAGTCCAAGTGCCAGCCCCGGACCAAGCCAGAAAAATATCTACAAGCAAAGTGGCAATGTAAAGTAAAACCCCATGAGAGTGTCCCCTCTAAATTCTTATCTTCTATTTACATCAGTTCGTGTCTAATCCCAACCACCACCAGCTTCCAGATAGGGTTTATTGGTAAACCGTTAGGAAACAGACTCTTCAGCAGTCAATGTGACAGCAGTGGTCAGATTCAGAACCCTACTTCAGGGTGGGGTGGCTGTTGCTAAGGAAGATTACAGTTGGGGTTGACATAGAGCTGCCTAAATTAACTACCACTAATATAGACATGGATTAAAACCAGCCCTACCCTCTTTTCTCTGGATGAACTGCAGTAATTCATCCCATTGCTAATCAACTTTCACTCCACCTTCACTCAGCTGCCTTCTGTAGGACCACAGGCTAAATGACAGAAACAGTTTCAGCTTGAAAATGAATGACACCATCCATCATTCCCAGAAGCCTCTCCTGGAAGATGCTGAGGACGCAGATTTCTATTCCCAACTCTGAGTCCACCGAGCCAGAAAAAAATGCCGACTATTGACAGCGTTTTATTACCATGCTTTGAATAGCGGGTAACACATGTTAGAACAAAGGAAGGGGAGAAGCACTCCTTGGTACATCTCAATTAGTAGCTGGTACATCCAAGAAGCTACCACATTCTTAGACTAAACCTTCAGTGAGTCATACCATTCTTATTCATTGCTTAGCCCATGTGACCTCACAATGCCAGCCCAGAAATCAGATAGCTCTGTATATCCAGGGCTGATTATCTGTTAAGTATGGTAGGCAAAGTGCCTAGGGCCCACAGCACTGTTATGGACCCATGAAAAGGGTTTAATTTCTTTGAAAACCAGAAACATAAATAAACGTTTAGGTTGGTAAAAATGCTTTAAAATGTAATATTAATATATACATCTTTATATCAGCACAATGGTAGTTTGTTTTTTAGTGGAGGAAGAGATCCACAAAGGCAAAAGTGCCTAGGGCCCACCAGAAGCATAATGCATTCCTAAGTTTATCAACTATTCCTAAAGATCCAAAATCTAAAGGGTAGGATGACCTGCTAGAGAACTCACACTTCTTTTAATCAGAGAAATCTGGGAAAGCACAAACATCAATTCCCAACAGGAGACAAGTCAAACACTTGAAACTCCAAGCAAGGCAAGGCTCCATTCTCTTTGCAAAAGCAAGAGGAAGTTCACCTATCAACTGCCATATTAAATAAACTGTGGAGGCAAATACTGCCAGAGGGAGGCTTTTTATCAAGGCTGTAATGTCTCTGGTGAGTAAGACCAGAAATGTTCTGACATATAAATATTTATATACGACTTCATCAGATGAGACAGCCAATACTTAAAAGAAACAGGGGCACAAGTGTGTGTATGCAGACACAAAGAGACTTAGAGAGGTGCTGGTCTCTGGCTCAAAACCTCTTTTAAGGGATATTATCATGCTGTGCGAGCCATTCAGACCCCTAGGGTCTTCCAAATTATTGCCAGCTGGAGAAGTATCGGCTTGGTGCAATAGAAAGTGTGCAGTCTATTTAAATGGTAAACACTACTTATGGAAGTTAAGTCTAATTAGTAAACCTGACTGATTCCTCCAGTGAGACTCTGCAGCATGGTGTGGTGAGTGGAAGGAGTGCTTGTTTGTATAGGACTAAATCTATTGTGAAGGTTCTAAACCTGGCAATTGATATTACTTCCTCTTTACCACTAAGGCTAGAGAAGCCAGACTTTAATGCCTATGATCAATAGGATTTTCCTAACCTCTTACAACTTTGGGGGACTATTCAAACATCTTCTAGAAAATTTGCCCCTTTTGTTCAATTTCTCCTTTTCCTTCTATAGTTTATATCAGAGATGGATGCTCTGAAGTCCTGCCTTTACCATGGGTGAATAGGTGTTACCTTTGCAGTGATTGTTGGTACTCTATCAACAAAGCCCTTTTTGATTTAGTTTATAAGCCCTATCAAAATGCAGTGGTGCCTGTTTTCTTTCAATTTAATTATTCCTTTCAGCCTTGAAGGTTTTTCCTTTTCAAGATTCTCTAATTAAAATACAAATAAATACCTGAGGCAAAGACCAGTGATTCCCAAAGTGCATTCTACCCTATGGTCATAGATTTATATTTAAGGTTTGGTGTTCAAACAAGTTTGGGGAATACTGGTCTAAACACAAGCAGGTTTCTTTGTAGAGGGATTCTTGGAGTCTTTTTTCCAAGAGGAGACTATACTATGCAATGTTACTAAACTTATTTGACCACAGAATATTTGATCAGACTAGTGTTACATATAGCGTAATTTGAGAAATGTGCTCTAAATTGATAGGAGCTAACACAGTGAGGATTGATTTGTTAGAGCCTTACCAACTAAATCCATGAACTATGATGAAGGCTTTGAGAAAATCAGACTCAGAAAATGTCTGATTTATCTGAGTTAGGACTTTAAGTGATAAGATAAGACAAGAGCACACACTTGGACTAAGGGCTAGCTCTATATGTTATAGTGTATACATGACATAAGTAAGTTACATGGGACATTTTAGCAACCAACTACATATAAAACAAGAGTTAGCAAAGAGAAAATGGGACACTGGACAGACTAGTTTTGATAGATCTGGAGCATGGGAAGCTGCCAAGAAACAGATCCAACAGCCTGACCCAGTCATAGCTCCATCTGCCTAGTCACCTCTGAGAGTCTTTATGAGCCAAGGTTTGCCCTCTGGTCTACTGGAGAATTTTGCTTTCTGTTCCCAGCAATAAGGACTATTCAAATCATCTGGATTTTATTGATTTACTATCCTAAATCTTTATCTGAAACAGACCCTGTCTGCTACATTTGACACGGCTGCCCGCACCTGCCTTTTAATGTTCTCTGGATACATCTTCATCTAGTTCTCCATGGTTTTCTCTAGCAATTCCTGGGCTCTTATGCCTACCCACCCATTTAATGCAAATGTCTACAGGGCCTTTTCCTTGGACAATTTCTCACATGCACCCTTGGTAAGCTCATCTACTTACCTGATTTTAACTACCATTGTTTGAAGATTACTCCCAAGCCTATATCTCTAGCCAAGACCTCTCTCTTGAGTTCCAGATCCATATCTATCACTTTCTCCTTCTGGAGTCTCCACTTAGATGTAGCAAAGTACCCCAACTTCAATGCATCTAAACCCCATAGCCAGGTGTGGTGAGACACGCTTGTAGTCCCAGCTACTCGGGAGGCTAAAGTGGAAGGATCACTTGAGCCCCAGAGTTTGAAGCAGCAGTGAGAAAGGATCATGCCACTGCACTCCAGCCTGGGCGACAGAGCAAGATTCTGTCAATACATAAATAAATAACCCTACTTCTTGCCCTGGCTTTCCCTGCCTCAGTGAGTGGCCCCACCATCCACCCACATAACTGAACCATAAACCTCAGCCACCTGAGTCCTCCAATTCCCTCACTTGTGGTAGGCAGAATTCTAAGAATGACCCTTCAATGACCCTGACCTTTGTATATTCTCCTCTCTTTGAATTATAATTATGAGTTGCCATTCCCATGATTATGTTATGTTTCATGGCAAAAGGGCTTTTTTATGTAATTAATGTTACCAAATTAGTTAACTTTGGGTTAATCAAAGGGGAGATTATCCAGTTGGGACCAATTTAATCACATGACCCCATTAAAAGCAGAGAATTTGCTGAGGCTGGTGGCAGAAAAGGAAATCAGAGAGATTCTAAGCATGAGAACAATCTGATGTACGTTGTTGGCTTGAAAATGGAAGGGGACATGTGAGAAGAATGTGGGTAACCTTTAGAAGCTGAAAACATTTCTCAGCTGACATCTAAGAAGGACATGGGAATTGAAATCTGCCCCAAACCTGAACAAGCATGGAACCAGACTCATTCCCAGAGCCTCCAGATAAAAGCCTATCTTATCTGACACCTTGACTTCAGCCTTGTGAGGTCTTAAACAGAGAATCTAGTCAAGCCTTCTTTAACTCTGACCTACGGAACTGTGACATAATAAATGAGTGTTGTTCTAAGCTGCTATGTTTGTGGTAACTTACTACACAGCAATAGACAATTAATACACCCTCAAATTCAATTAATCACTAAGTTCTCCAGTTTCTACCTCACAAATATTTCTTGGCTTTGTTTTCTCCTTTTTAATTTCCACTACTGCTGCCTCGATTTAGATCCTTCTATTCTCTTGCCTGTACTACCACACAGCCTCTATCTGGACTCTCTACTAGTTATGTCTTCCTGAAATTCAAAACAACAGTGACCTACTCAAACTGCATATCTGATCATATAATTCCCCTGCTTAAAATCCTTCAGTGGGGCCTGGCATAGTGGCTAACACCTGTAATCCCAGCACTTTGGGAGGCTGAGGCGGGCAGATCACTTGAGCTCAGGAGTTTGAGACCAGCCTGGCCGACATGGTGAGATCCTGTCTCTACAAAAAATACAAAAATTAGCTGGATGTGGTGGTCCATGCCTGTAGTCCCAGCTACTCAAGAAGCTGAGGCTGAGGTGGGAGACTCGCTTGAGCCCAGGAGGATGAGGCTTGCAGTGAGCCAAAATCATGCCACTGCATTCCAGTCTGGGCAATAGTGATATCCTGCTAAAAAAAAAAAAAAAAAAAATCCTTCACTGGCTTCTGTTAACACATGGTAACAATCAAGTTCTGATATGGTTTGGCTCTGTGCCCCCACCCAAATTTCATGTTGAATTGTAATTCCCAATTTTGGAGGCGGGACCTGGTGGGAGGTGATTGAATCATGGGGACAGATTTTTCCCATGCTTTTCTCATGATACTGAGTGAGTTCTCATGAGATCTGATGGTTTGCAAGCGTTTGGCACTTCCCCATTGCTCTCTCTCTCCTGCCACCATGTGAAGAAGGTCCTTGCTTCCTCTTCACCTTCTGTCATGATTGTTAGTTTCCTGAGGCCTTCCAGTCATGCTTCCTATTAAGCCTGTGGAACTGTGAGTCAATTAAACCACTTTTTTTCATAAATTACCAGTCTCAGATAGTTCTTTATAGCAGTGTGAAAATGGACTAATACCAGTTCCTTAACACAGTTTACAAGGTCATTGCTAAATATTGCCTTTGCCTTCCTTTCAGCTTCATCTTCTGCTGTGTCTGCCCGGCACCTTACCTGTAATGCAGGGTTTCTCAACTACTATAGACATATGGGGCCAGATCACTCTTTTTTTGTGGGGGGAAGCGCTGTTCTGTGCAGTGTAAGATGTTCAGCAGCATCCCTGGCCTATACCAACTAGATGTCAGCAGCACCCTTTCCCTAGTTGTGACAACCAAAAATATATCTACCAAGTGTCCCCTGGACAGCAAATTGTCCTGGTCGATGACAACTGGGCTAATGATGAAGACCTGCTGTGGCTCCCTACACCCAAGTTGTTTTTTATCTCATGAGCTAACATCACAAGACCTGAAGAGGGTAGAATATGTGGTATCGATTATAAAAGTATTCTAAATCTAGGAAAAATTGATAGACTGGAATTCTAGAAGCTCCTTTTTCTGTTCCTTTTTCAAAATAAGAAACTTTGGTGGTTTGGGGGAGAATCTGTGACCCACTGGATTGAAGGTCCCAACTGTTTAGAATGCATCTTTGATTCTGGAAGGTTAGGAGGGCCAAGG
The DNA here is from genome assembly GCF_000001405.40 of Homo sapiens. Lineage (NCBI taxonomy): Eukaryota > Metazoa > Chordata > Mammalia > Primates > Hominidae > Homo > Homo sapiens. The sequence continues at coordinate 111,392,036 of NC_000023.11, forward strand.
TAGAACTCAGATTAAAAAGAACAAGAAAATAGCTTCTTAGGATTTGTTCTAGCTTTAAGAAAAGTTAATAAAGAAACCTTCATGTTTCCTTCTATATTGTTTAGGAAAGAACTCTGGGGGACAAATATCTACATAGAAAAAAAAGATTGTGAATTTCTTTGTTTGGAGCATGCCTTGGGGTACATATTTTAGAAACATGAGTTTGGTGGTTGGGGGACAGAACATCAAGAAACCTCAACACCCAGCAATTCTATTACTAGATATATATTCAAGAGAAATGAAAATATATGTCTATACCTAAATCATGCCCAAATGTTTATAATAGCATTATTAATAGGCAAAAGATGGAGCAACCCAAATGTTCATCAACAAATGAATGGATAAACAAAATGTAGTATATCCATACAATGGAGTACTATTCAGCCATAAAAAAGAACAAAGTACAGATAGATACATGACAGAACATAGATGACCCTTGAAAATATTATGCTAAGTGAAAGAAGCTAGTCACTTAGCATATATACATGAATCATAAAATATGATTCATTTATACAAAATGTTCAGAAAAGGCAAATCTATAGAACTATGAAGTAGATTAGTGGTTGCTTAGGGCTGTGGGGGATAGAGGGTAGGAGAGGTAATAAAAATATTCTAAAATTGACTTTGGTGATGGTCACACATATCTGTGAGCATATTAAAATCATTGAACTGTACACTTTGAATAAGCAAAATATGTGATATGTGAATTATATCTCAAGATGTTACAAAAGAAAATAACCCCAACAATTTTGGACATCTCCTTACTCCCCTCCCCCAATCCTGTTTAGCATCACCAGAAGTGTATAGGATATTTGACAGGGAAGTTCAGATAGGTCTGGGTGGGAACTCTAGGAGTCTAGAACATGGCAGGGCACTGTCAAGGAACAATAGCCCATTTTAGCTTCTCCTATCAAGACCTCTTTTTTCCCTACAAAATAAGACTAAGCCAGCCTTACTGATACAGCCTTAGAGTATTGTAGAGTACTTGTATTGTAGAGTATTGTAGAGTAGAGTACTGTTCCACAACATCTGCATAGGAGAAGCTCCTGTGTTACATTAGTTCACACCCACAGTTCTTAGAAATTCTAAAAACCTTCAGAGGACTCGGCTATATGAACCACTGTTCATATTTAATTTAAATTAAGAAAACTGTCTTATCTTTTCTTTTCAACAAATAGTGCTAGAAAAATCAGATATCTATGTGCCCCTCCCCCAAAAGAACCTTGACTCTTATCCTGTACACAAAAATTAACACAAAATGGATCAGAGATTTAAATCTAAGAGCTAAAAATATAAAACTTCTAAAAGAACACATGGGAGAAAATTTTTGAGATGTTGGGTTAGGTAAAGATTTCTTAGATATGACCCCAAGGTATAATGCATAGAAGAAAAATTAATAAATCAGACTTCATCAAAATAAAAGCTTTTTTTCTCTTGAAAAATTAAGAAAACCATTAAGAAAATGAAGACATGCTACAGACTAGCAGAAAATTCTTGCAAATCACATATGTGACAAAGGACTTGTATCTAGAATATATAGAGAACTCTTACAACTCATTAATAAGAAGCCCAATAACTCAATTAAAGAATGGGAAAATGATCTGAACAGACATTTTTCCAAAGAAGATATACAATTGTCCAATAAGCATGTGAAAATATGTGTGATATCATTAATCATTAATCACTAGGGAAATGCAAACAAATCAAGAAAAACCACAATCAGATACCACTTCACACCCACTAGGATGGAGCTAATAAAAAAAAAAAGATAACAAGTGTTGGTGAGGATGTGAAGAAACTGGAACTCTCATACAATACGAATAAGGATGGAAAATGGTGCAGCCACTTTGGAAAACCATTTGACAGTTTCATAAAATTTTAAACACACTATACAGCCCAGCAATGCCATTTTGAGATATTTACCCGAGATAAATGAAGACATGTATCTACATAAAAATCTGTACATGAAGGTTCATAGTAGCATTATCACAATAGCCAAAAGATAGAAACAACCCAAATGTCCATTAATAGATAAATGACTAAATACAGTGTGGTAAATCCATACAATAGAATGTTATTCACACATAAAAGAAATGAAGTACCAATATATGCTACAACATGGATGAACCTTGAAAACATTATGCTAGGTCAGGCAGGCCAGGTGCAAAAAGCCACATGATTCCATTATTATTAAATGTCATGAATAAGACAATCCATAGAGCAAAAAGCAGATAAGTGATTGTTTAGGGATGGGGAAGTGGAATCGGAGAACTAGAGGGCAATGTCTAAAGGGTACAGCGTTTCTTTTTGGGATAATCAAAGTATTTTAAAATTGATTGTGGTGATGGATGCAGACCTCTGTGAATATACTAAAAGCTGTTGAATTTTATACATAAGATGAGTGAAATATATAATGTGGGGATTATATTTCAATAAAGCTGTTTTTAAAAACTGTTTTTGGAGACAATGCTTTTTCTCCCACTTTGAGGGAATGACAATAATGAAACAGATGAAAATAAAGAACTAAGAACAAAAAGACCATTGCTTCAACAGTTTTAAATGGAACAGCCTGCATCCCTGGATAGATCAATCCCCACTTGATGAATCTCTTCAGTCTACTCAAGAAATAGCAAGGCATTTAGCACCAGTGCTAACCACCCCCATTAGTAATAATCCTTCCCTAGCACTGAAAATAGCACCACTGTGATATAAATAGCTTAATAATGGCACTGTCAAACACTTGCCACAATTTTAGCAGGCTGGCTTTTGCCTTGCTTTGTTTTGTGAGTCCTCTGCCTTCTGCTCCTTATACCATCCACAGTGTAAAGAAAAGGGGGTCAAACGAAAATTACAAGTTTGAAAATATTCTTTGGTGATGTCATTGCAGGCAGCAAGAAAGATCTGAATATAAGAATTATGCAAATACCTTTTAGAGGCCATCCTGGAAAGCAATGTATCCACCAAAGTAAGTACGACATCACATTGGCAATCCTTAGGAGCATAGAGAGGTAGAGTACATTCAGAAGAGTGAAAACATGTCTCGACAGAACCAACACTATGAGGTGGATACTCTGTTATTGTGGAACTAGAAGGACTCTTACAGGTCATATACTAAGGCTCCTTAAAAAATTAAGGCCCAAAAAGAGACGTGATTGGCTCCACGTTACATAGCTAGGGAAGAACAGAGTGAAGACTAAAACTCAGGCCTCTGAATCCCAGCCTAGGGCTCTTTCCACTTGCTGAATGCTAGACAGTGACAGACTAGTCAGCACAAGAGACTGGAATTCTATGCCAAAGCTTTTGATTGAATTGGCCAAGTCACACCTCTGTCACTGCTCAGAGCCAGGAGCATCTCAACAACAATAAAACTCTAAGAGGATAAATTACTGAAGAAATAACTGATCACCAGGCTACACTTAGTCTTTTCTTTCCAGAAGGGCAGTATATTTGATGTTTGGCCACTCTTTTAAAGTGTGAAATCTACCACCACATATGACATGGTAGTTTGCAAACTGTCTCCTTTCACAGAGCCCAGCCTGGCTTTTCACCTTTGTTCTATTTCACTTCATGCTCAAGCCAATCCTCCCAAAGCCTTTCTCTAGGAACCTCTGAAAGGTTGGAGAAGGAGAATTTTGGTAATAAAAACATGAACTTTCCAGCCTTGATCTTCTCAAGTGAAGGCCAATGATAAATGACCTCCCTCTTGAGGCATAATTTATGCCCATGTGGCCTTTTCTAATGAGCCCAATGTTGACTGACAGGGTCATAACACTAGGAGAAGAGAGAGGTTGGCTCTGAGAGAGCCGGAGGCCAGGGAGTATAAATAAGATCAGATATTACTTGGGAAAGCAGAGATAACAGGGGAGAGAAAAACTGGCTATGTAGGCAAAGGAAAAACACACCTACCTTGGTAAGTGCATTCAACATTTCCAAGGTTAAATCCAATCTGTCTTGCTGTGTTTCCTGCAATTGCCTTTGTGCTTACAGCACCCAGTTCTTTTGTATGGCAACGTGGAAAGGGCAAGTCTTTCCTAGAATACTAAGCAGCAATTGAAACATCCCTCATGCTCTCATCTGTGTATTATGCATCAACCATTTCCTTAAAACCCCTGTACTAGTTTCCAAGGCTATGGATAATCTTGGAATCGGCTTAAACCTCTCCTCTGTTATTCTGAGACCTGTAATCCCAGATCCAAGTAGTCGGTGCTATAAAGGTACAGACAAAAACATAAAATAAATCCTTCCAATTGAAAATTGGCCTAACAAAGCTAGAACAAGCACTAAAGGCCATACTTATGTCTTAGGCATGTATATTGAGGCAATAATGAATCTTCACTTGCACAGATTCTGGGTGTGGACAAAACTGAATCTAGAGATGTCAATCAGTGTAGCATGAAAATGGATGTTGTGAAGACCAGCTGCACCACTGTGTATGATGCCAAAAAGCTGGAAGTCTATTATTAAAGCTCTGCAATTAATTTTAAGGCCAGAACATGTATCTATTAAACTACTACTATCATGTGAACCAGAAATTTGGGTCCCAGTTTTTATGTATCCATCACTTTTATGCATGAAAGTCAATGTGTACTTTAGTTATGGAAATTAATAATTGGATAATTTTGTCAACACTCCACAACCACTCCAGCTGCCAAGGAATCAAAAGAACAATTTTCACCTGCAAGTGAACTAATATGCATCACCATCCAATCCTCTATCATGTCCTCTTTGACCTCCTAGAAGTCCATTTTAATCCCTGGGAGTAGCCAGAGCCCTACCAACTACTTCTTATATCATTAATAACTTCTTATTGAGGTGAGGAATCAATTGGGGTGTCTTCCTACTAGTGGTGGTTGGCTTTCCTGTCTACACAGACCCCAAATATCTCAGAGGCAAGAGGTCAGGAAACCAAACTTCTATAACATCAAACATAAGCCCTAGAAAGATCAAGGGCTCTAAAAGACACATTCAAACAAAATAAAAACAGAGAGAAAGAAATGAGCCATGTCTGCAGATTGCTTGTCAATCAGTGTGAGCCAATCAGTCAAATGATACACACAATTACAGAAGCAACAATAAATTTGCAATAACCAACTGGGCTCTTTTAGCTGATCATTATTTATATGAAGAGGGAAAACCACCTGGTTTGGTCGATTTGGAATCCAGTTATAGTGAACACTGAAATCAAGCGATGGCCTTGATTTCATGAATAAATCATTCCATAACAAATAGTCTTGACCATACTTTGTTCTTTACAAATAAGTGCCTTGTGTCACGTATAGCCAAAAACATGCATTGGAATCTCATCCAAGCAAGTCAAGCTATTGCCATACATGTGACTTCAGCCTCCACAAAAAAGATTATATTCGCAAGCAGTACGAATACCCACTAATAATCAAAGTGATTGACAGGTGTTAACTTTAGTGCTGTCATCACCAGACCTGGGAAATGAGCTGAGCTCCAAAATTTTGAATTTGGCACCAACTTTCACTATACCCAGCATCTATTTTGTAATTAGTAGGTTTGTCCATGTACCCCCAAATTTTATTTAATGTCTTTGCTGTAACAAAACAACGTTTAATTTGTGGTCACCCTGTGCATACCAATATTACCATTAAAGTTACGGTAGTTAGTTCTTAATTATCAGTGTTTTATGTAAACAACATTTTCTAGTGCACTCTGTGCATGTGTGTGTGTGTATATCTACATATATGTGTGTGTGTATATCTACATATATGTGTGTGTGTATATATACATACATATACATATATGTATGTGTGAGTATGTGTGTGTGTATATTTCATTAAAAATGTTTGTGGTTAAGTAGGATTGGGATGGATTTCCTTGCTGTAGAACTTCTCAGAGCATTCAATGTGCCAGTGAGCACTGGAATCTCTAAGAATGGCACACAATTTGCAGCATTTTACTGCAAATAAGGCAAACCTTATTTGCCCACAGAATTCTCTTTGGAGAGCTTTTTGGGGTGGGGACATGGAGACATTTCTCCTTAGAATGTATTTAGGGAAATGTTGCTTTAAATGTCTGCCCTCAGTGACTTCCAAGTAAACCACCAGATAGAAGCCACCTGGTGGAATATGCACTCCTTTGGAGGCCCCCTATCTCTTCTGAAAGACCTAAGGATAATGTCTGGGGAATTGAAAGATGGGTCCTCAAAACATCTACCTGGGCCATCTGAGAATCTGTTTATGTCAGTTCATTCAATCAAAAAACATTTATAGAGCATCCATAATATACCAGGAGCTTAGCATTAATTAAAAAAAAAAAAAGGTTTGGATTGCTTTTACCCTCCTTAGCAGAGACAGAAATTTTCAAAGATAAAGTGATATTTGAACCAGGTCTTATAAGATGACCTCCAGGGGTCAGGGTGGGCAGAGGAAGACATTTTAAAGAAAGGGAATGTATATACAGAGGTACAGATGCCTGAAAGGGCATGGTTCAGATCCACTGGGCACCACTCTATTTCTCTATATGAATGTCATATCATATGCTGGTATTTTGTAATATGTCCCCCAAAGAAAGGGAACTGATGTTTAAAGGAGTTTGAGAGAGCTTGCCACTCTGCATGGCCTGCTGTAGGACAAAACCCTATGCATCACTGGACTGGAGCTTGCTTCCCTAGGAGATGGAGGTGTCCCTTTATATATTATTTGGAACAAAAGCAGAATGCCAAGGCATGGTATATATTCACAAATGTTGGAAATTTATAATAAGAATGATAGAGATAAAGTAGGGGGAAGAGGCTAGGCATGGTGGCTCATGCCTATAATCCTAGCACTTTGGAAGGCCAAGGTGGGCGGATTGCCCTAGCTCAGGAGTTCAAGACCATCCCGGGCAACACAGTGAAAACCCGTTTCTACTAAAATACAAAAAAATTAGCCGGGTATTGCAGCGTGCGTCTGTAGTCCCAGCTACTTGGGAGGCTGAGGCAGGAGAATTGCTTGAACTCAGGAGGCAGAGGTTGCAGTGAGCCAAATTCACACCACTGCACTCCAGCCTGGGTGACAGAGTGAGACTCTGACTCCAAAAGTAAATAAATAAATAAATAAAGTAGGAGAAAGAGAGCTAACATTTATTAATATATGAAAATTGCCATAAATCTCATTTAATGATGAATTATATGCATATATATATATATACATCCATGTGTCAATTTACAGAGTGCTTTCATATCCATTATTTGATTTAATCCTCATAAGAGTCCTGTGAGCATGCTCAGGGCAGGTGTGATCAGTCCTTTTGTACAGAGAAGGAGTGTGAGGTTCAGGACAGTTAAGTGGTTAAGTGACAATATCAAGACTAAAGTCCAAATCTTCTTAATCCCAGTCTTATGTTTTTGATTTGCATATTCCTATATTACTTCAGAAGGCTGAAGGCACAGGGAATCAGATTTATGCCTAATATAAAGAAACTCTAAAAATCACAGCTGTTGAACAGTGAAATAGGCTGTCTTATAGTCTTATAGAGTGATTGTAGAGGATATCCATGCCTTAGGTGGAAGATTAAATGTCATGGCTTCTAAAGTCATTCTCAACTCTGTGATCCAATGATTCTAAACTTTCTATGTCCTATTTCTCTGAGATGAGGCTTTGGCAATCAGGCCTATACTTAGACAGCTCCTGTTTATTACATACATGGTGCTTAGAAGATAGACACTCTTAGAGAAATGCTTGGGAATTGGAGATTTTCCCAACATCACAGACAAACCCATTGCTTCAGTACAACAAACAGAAGTCAGGTATAACCAATGTGTCCAGGTAGCTCTCAGATCGCAAAATGATGGGAAACAAAGCCAAATATTTCTCAAAATTGCAAAGTACACAGTACCTGGGTGAGTTTTCCCTGAAACTTAAAATCTTGGAGCACACATTACTATCAGAAATTATAGGAGGAGGCACAGGTCTGCATTTGAACACTCATCAGTAACTTTGATATATAGTGAATCCGCCTTTTAGGAATACCTTTTCTATATAGTTGTTTAAACACCAAAGGCATTTTAAGAGGTAGAATATATGGACTGATACTAATCCACACTTGTCTTTTCTGATGGGAGACCAGAATTCTCTTTAGAGCCAACAGAACCAGCCACTGTTCCAATTCCCTTGGAACATTTTTGTTGTATATTTACAGCTCCCTATGCTTAAGAGAATGGTGCATCTGTCTGATGGAGACGCCTGGCTGCATTCTTTCCCAGATATTAATATAGGTGGCACTTTAGTAGTATAACCAATGACATGAAGAACCTGATTTGGAGGGGGAACAGATGGCAGCATCTTTCTTGGGCTAATTTTAGGATCCTGAAATAGTCCCTTTCTCACACAAACCATCAGTGGAACCAAATTAAGACAGCTATGTCATATGGAAAAGAGAAAGAGAATAAATATGGTTTAGTGTGAGGCAAAGACAACGAGCCAGAGGCTTCAGTGCTTTCCCCGTATCTGACTTCTTTCAGAGCATATGAAGGTCACTTCAACTTCCTTTTATCAAAATAGATGCTGAGCATCAATGTGAGGGTATCTAAAAAGTAATGAATGGGCAAATATCATTTTCAGTCACATGTATTGAACAATGAAGGTTGCATCATATAATAGCTAAATTCATATTCATAAGAATTCATAGAACCTAGGTTCTAACACATCTTTCATAGCAGATAAGGAAGCTGAGGCTAAGTGACCTTTCTGCATGGTAAATCAGAAGCAGATTGAATTTCAAAGCCTCAGATTCCTGATTCATTGCTTTGCCTGCTAAAAATACCTTTTCTCCAAATGAAACCTATAATATCAGGTTGTGATGATGAGATGTGGAGGAAGAGTCCGTCAACAAGAAATGATATTTTAGGTATAACATGATCATCTAAGAATTTAGAAAAAACGGGAAAAGTACTTTGAAAAAGTACCTACCTGTTTTCCATCCAGAGTGTAGAGTTTTTTGACAACCCCGGTCTCCAGTTTGATGGCTTCTGTGATATCAGTGAGGACTTGCTCAAAAGAGTGGGCTGTCTTCTTGTTCAGAAGCACACGCACAGCCTTCCGAGGCTTCACCCCACTGCGGATGATGGTAACCAGCTTGGGGCGCACAAAGTCCTTGTTCTCCCTGGCCTGTGCACTGTTGCTGCTAGCCAAGGACTGGGGGGCTTTCATATTGGCAGATGTTTTTACGTTGACAGACCAGTTGGGATTGACATTCTTGGTGTACTCCACCTTTTTAAAGAAGTTGTCTGAGGAACAGACATAGCTTTCCCCTAAGGCAAGAAATAAGTGATTAGGTGATTAGTTTAATAGCAGATATATGGATTATTCTAACCAAACTAATACACACTGACACTGGAGTAGAACTTTTCAATAAATGGTGATACTAACCAACCTTAGGTGCAATTCCTAATTGGGCTAAAAACTTGGCTCATCCAAATTCAAGAGTAATTCTCAAAACATCCTTCAATATAATGACACACCTAGTTGAAGAACTCTGTAAAGCTAAGGGTTCTAAGGACAAAGAGCATATCTAAATTTAATATAACAAGTGGAGTTCCAAGCTTGATATGGTTTTTTCTGGAATTTAAACATTTATGTTAGTTTCTAGGATGTTTAGCTTTCAGGGGCATTACTGGAGAATTTTTAACATTTCTATTTCTTAAAATCCCTGTCCTATTTTTGGACTCAAAGTCCCATCCCTTTGTGATATTATGAACCAAGGAAAACTTTCAAAGTTAAAACATTTTTATGCCAAGTTAAAATGAACCAAGTAACCTTGTATATCAGGCATACATACATACTTGATAAGAAACCAGGTCATCCTTTGCACAGAGTATATGGCCAAGTATGGAATATTGAAATGTGAAATGTGTGTGCATATGTTGAATGTTTATATGTGTGTATAAGTGTGTCCTCTACTCCTTATGCTACACTAGGTAGAGAAACTGTCTAAATAACAACCAGTACATATAAACACCTTAGCTTTTGCTTGAAAAATACTCTCATGTTTCTACCACTCACCCTTCATCTTTCCATCCTCTCAAAGGATGCACATAAGATCTGTGTATTCAGGGTCATCTTCACCAGTGCTCACCCTTGGCTGCCACAAGTAATGAGGTAAAGAAGTGAGAATACATTATACAGCCTGATTTATGGATTGGAAGGATCTAGTGTAATTTTCACATTTACCTTGGGCTAGAGGAAATGACTAATATCGCAAAAGAAATGCAGGGATCAGAGGCAAGAGGAGGGGACTGGACACCTGGGACTATGAGCTGAAGAAAATAGGAAGAGAGATAGGCTCAGCCTGGGGAAGAGAATACTGGAAAAGGTTGAATTCGTTGAGTAAAACACATTAGCCTCAAGGTATCTAGAAGTTCATTGAGAGGTTGAGCTGCAGAAACAGTGTGATTTAATCAGGCTTAAGTCATCGGTAATAACCCTAAATAAATAAATAAACCCTAGCCAGTGCACAGAAAGCATTAAACACAATTATAGTCTGATGGCTCTCCTTTGGTCTCAGCAGGAGAACTGCATTCAGAAACACCAGGTTGATAATTCACTCCCTTTGCAAATATTTATTGCTTTGCCATAGCACCAAATCCTTTAAGACATGTTAATGAATAAATTTCTCAGTAATGCTAAGAGAAGTTTCAGTCAAAATCTCTAGTGTACCTTTGAGGACATTTATGTGTGTGTGTATGTGTGTGTGTGTGTGCGTGGTGTGTGTGTGTGTGTGTGTGTGTGTGTGTGTGTGTGTGCGGAGGGGGAGGGTAAGTGGCATCCAACATAAGCAAAGTGACTTCCAAAGCTGCCCTCAGTCCCAGAGTTCTATCTTGACAGGGGGACAAAGGGATGGTTTTAAGTGAGGATAGGCACCCTTACCCACTTGGTGCATACATGGACACCCAGGATGAGATGGTCAATACCTCAGCCAAGAGAAGCTCTGATTTCTTTGACTCCCTTGCTGGTTAATTCAACCCAACCCAAGTAATTATAGGCTGGGGTCTTTAATTTTTGACTTAAAAGGATGAAGGAAGGGGCCCTTTTAGTGTCTCCATATATTCACAGCCAATAACCCCCATAACCCTAGAAATGGTCTCTTGACTTAGCAGTTCACCAGATTCACTGGCACCTTGCAGGAGGTCACTGCCTTTGAGTCAGATGTTTTCCATAACTTGTCATGTACTTTAAAACTGTCAGACAAATGGTGGTGTGGAAATGTGTGAAGCTATATATTTATGATTTCACTCATCCAGTCTCCTCTGGAGAGTCAGCTGTGTAGCCCTATTAGGACTTTGGACTTTTTTGCTCCCATCTCTTAAACCTCTTAAGCCTCTGGAGTATGAGTATGATTAACCGTCTCCAGATGAAAATGAACATGATGACTGACAGCTATAGTATCATATAGCACCCAAGAACTTTCCAGAGGGCCCAGCCTCAGCCAAATCTATGTTGAGCACCTTCCAGTGGTACATTTTAGTCACTCCACTCTCTCGTTGGGCTGAATATGGAGTAATGGAAAAAGCGCAGCTGATGTGATGTCAGTCAGGATGGGGTCCCCAACACTTCCTAGTTGTGCACTCTAACCTCCCTTGGCTTCAGTTTCTTCTTTGCAAAGCAAGGGTGATAATAAGAATACCTATCTTGTGGGGTTGTTGTGGGGCACAAATCAGATGATGGATAAAAAGTGTTCAACCCATGGCCAGGTGCGACGGCTCATGCCTGTCATCCTGACACTTTGGGAGGCTGAGGCAGGTGGATCGCTTGAGATCAGAAGTTCAAGAGCAGCCTGGACAACATGGTGAAACCCCATCTCTACTAAAAATACAAAAATTAGCTGGGCGTGGTGGCACATGCCTATAATCCCAGCTACTAGGGAGGCTGAGGAAGGAGAATCGCTTGAACCTGGGAGGCAGAGGGTGCAGTGAGCTGAGATCGCACCACTGCACTCTACCCTGGGTGACGGAGAGAGTGAGATTCCGTCTTAAAATAAAATAAAATAAAATAAAATAAAATAAAATAAAATAAAATGCTGATCCCAGAGCCTGGAACATAGTAAGCACTTGATAAATTTCTGTTATTATTAAGCCCCTAATCTTACGGAATAGAAGCGAGAACAAGAAGGAAAGAGCAAAGAGGAAAAGAGGAAAAAATTGCTGAGAGAAAGAGACTAAAAAGAGGAATAGAAGCTGAAGAGGAAAAAAAAGAGAAAGTATCAAGGGCAACCATCTAGGAACTGAGCTGTGATTATGATATGACATGAGCACTGCTGGGGGCCTGTGATTCAAGGATAAGATTTCCTGCTGGTTGGAAGGAGGCTTCCAGTTGTGGCAAATGCCAAATGTAGGAGATTTATGCTAACACCCAGTAAAGCTGCTGCTGCCTCTGCAGAGGCCCGCTGAGAGCAGGATATTTATCGTCGTCAAGAGTGATGACTTAGGAGTCACACAGACCTGGATTCAAATCTCAACTAGGCACTTAAAAGCTGTGTGACCTCAGGGAAATCACTTAATGTCTCTGAGTCTCAGCTTTGCCTTCTCTAAAGCAAAGATAATGCACTAGGTGACACCTGAGTCCCTTCTAGGTCCTAGAGTCTATAGGGAGGAATCTTCTCTTTTCCTTCTCAAACAGGCTTCAGAAAACAAAGCTGTTAGGATAATTAAATGTTAAGAAAATAGCTGCCCACCTCCAAGGACTCTTCACTTCTGCTAGAAAGACATCAAATGCTCTTCTTTGCTAGACTAAGACTTCCTTGTCCTGATTTTGCCAGCATTTTCAATGTCTGCTGCCAGAGCTCAGTGCCTCCTGCACTTCCTGCTGCCTGGCACTTGGAGCTGGATGAGGTGTGTCGCACCTTTACACAGTTGGGTTCCCATCCTGCCACAGCTTCCAAGGGCTATTTCCTACCAGCTGGGGGCCTAGAGGGAAAGCTGGCTTCACAGCCAAGCAGGGTGCAAATTCGCTGGAACTAAAAACCTGCTTTAGGGTGAGGGGATAAGGAATGAAATCATGGAAGCACAGCTGAAAGGGCAGAAATGAAACAAGCTGTGGGCTGGAGATGATCTAATGTCTACCTCCCTTCTCTTTAAGAAGGCTGCATTTTCAAAAGCATTTTATATATATTTGTATCTTCTCAGTGCAAAAGCAAGCTTCTGCCTGGGTTTTCTCCTCTTCTCCAGGGCTTCCTGACTCAAGAAGGAATATATTAAATGACACTTTACTGTATTATATTAAAATATTAAATGACATTTGATTATCATATCTATTAGCAATGCATCCCTCCCAGGTATCTTAAAATTCTTGTGTTTGACAATGTACTTGCTTTAGTAGTTAGAGAATAAATTAGTGAGAAGGTGGATTCATCTCAATGAAACATATGAGCTATGGTAAAAGAACTGGATCATAGCCAGTGTGACTACACAGCTCGGATTTTCTAAGACTGTTCCAATTGTAAATATTCTGTCCCATGGTCTGTGTAATAACTCTTGAACTTGTCTCAATTTGGGTTCAGAAAAGCTGGCTAGTCATAAATGATATCCCCAAGGTTGATCTGGATACTTACATACAAGAAAATGGGGAAAGAATTGGACCAGATATAAAGGGAAAGAGAAAGATTCTAAAAAAAATAAATAAAATAAAAAAATAATAAAAAAAACAAAGACATGACAAAAGGAAAACCCACCAGTGGATTTTATTCATTGACCTCCTTGGGATACAGCTAATGAGGACCATATCCTACATGGCTTCACTAAGACCCTCGGTGTACCCAAGGACTGTGGGAAAACTGACATCAATAACCTTTGATCCAAAATGCTTCCCTTGATACTTTCTGTATCTAGCAGAAAACCGTAGACAAGAGGCACTAGACAAAGGAGTGTCACAAGGCCAGAGTGATTATTAACCAATTATTTTTAAATTTCATTTATTTTTAGGCTAAAAATGTAATAATGTGGCCATTTGAAAACACAGTGTGTTCTATGCTCTATTATTCCTTTAAGATGTAAAAAGAAAAAAATTAAAACAGATTTCTGCACGTCTCAAAACTCCTACCACTTTAGTTAGGTGAATGGAACCATCAAGATCACCCAGTCTAATACTTCCCAAGTCTAAGTGCTCATAAAAGTCATGTGAGGAGATTTGTAAAAACACAAACACTGGGGCCCTAGCCCTGGGGATTCTGATTCAATAGATCTTGGGTGTGGCCCAGGAATGTAATATTTTTCTAAAGCTCTGAAAGATTTTGAAAGGCAGCCGGGTTTGGAAACCACTGACCATTACAATCCCTTACTAACATAATCATTGTCATAATCATTATTATTATTATTTCCATTATTAGTATTTTCACATCATTAATAATAATAGTACCTGTAGCTATAATTTTACCTTGTCAATATGTTTCCATATCTATTATCTAAGTTTAACCTTACAACCACCCTAATGGATAGAGAAGGCAGGTGTTACTAGTCCCATTTTACAGTTAAAAATATTATTCACAAGAGATACACAAATGTGGTGGTCTACATATACATGAAATATCATCCTTCAACAAAAAGGAAAGAAGTGCCAATACATGGAACAACATAGATAAAATTTGAAAACATTATTCTAAGTCAAAGAAGCACAAAAGACCACATAGTATTTGATTCAATTTATATGAAGTGCGCAGAATAGGCAAATATGTGGAGACAGAAAGTAGATTAACCATTGTCTAGAGCTGAAGAGATTGGAGAAAATATGCAGTGACAACTAATTGGAATAGGGTTTCTTTCTGAGGAAATGAAAATGGTCCAAAATTATGTTATGATGATGGTTGCACCACTTGATAAATCTTCTAAAAATCATTGTACACTTGAATGGGTAAATTTCATGTTATGCAAATTATACCTTAATACAGTTGTTTGTTTTTTTAAAGAGTTATTTTAAAAATAATTAACATGAGTCACATTAATGATAAGAACAAACCTATGATCATGTAGCTAACCAGCTATAAACTAGGATAACTCAAACAATAATAACTACCTTTTATTAAGCACTACTGTGTGCCAGGCAGAGTAATATGCACTTTATATCTACTGTCTTATTTAATCCTCAAAGCCATTATTCCCACTTTACAGATGACAAAATGAGGCTTAGGGAATCTAGATGGTTTCCTCAAGGTCTTACAGGCTAGCACTGACAGATCCTGAATTTCAACCAAATCTGAGTCCAAAGACTTCTGTTTTCATTATAATCTGCTGCCTCTAAGACTAGAACCCAATGACCCTGATATTTCACACCGGGAAGTCTGTCCTCCATTCCCAGATGGGCAGTTCTAAAATATAAAATAGGAGAGAAAAAGACACATTGTCTTCATCCTCCTCATCCCAGTGCCCTTTCCCATTTGGCTCTGTGGCAGTGGGAAAATTGATCACATTTCTTAACACTATCCCAGACATAGCCCTGAATTTTCTTGACTGAATAGGCAGTACTAAGGACTAAATGGGTATTGAGGTCCACTGTGCCTTGTAGTTGTACATGACATGTGAACAAATGCAACTGAGCCCTATTCACACTTCACATAGTCCAGGAATTCACCAAGAAGTACTACTGCACCCAGGAGTGACAGATAAGAGGAGTTCAACCTAATATGACTCAAAGGTAATCAAGGGAATAGAAAGCTGCAGTCTTTTCAAAGTTACATTTATTGCCTACCTATGTTGAACAGAGATTATCACCAGCCCCTCGTGATACATCAATACGCACACACACACACACACACACACACACACACACACATATCTAGGGAGAAAAATCAACATGTAAAAAATGGATTTTGGGGAAATTTTGTGCATAACGCCTCTCTTATATCAGAGACAAGAATATTCTAATACTTGGTCTGAATACAATGTCACTTGGTTCAGTACTCTTTCCTAATGTCTATTGTGGTCTTTAGAATATCACAGTTCATGGAAATGAGGACATATTGGGTGATACAGGGTGCTTTGTCTGTGAAAGTTGTTACAGAGAAATCCCTGAAATTTGACTGAGATGTGGATTTTACAGTGACAAAAGACAGACACCCTAACAATTACTCTGTTGGACAGCTCCCTCGACCTAGCTTCAAACCCTTCAAAGTTGCCGTGACTCTCCTTTATTTTAAGACATGCTCCAGGATGGCCAGTCCTTTGATGGTCAGGAAGGGCCTAGGATTAACCACTGCCTGTCCATTGAACACATGATGAAATAATCTAAGCTTCCTGGGCATTGGTTTTCAAGGTCAGCTATGTAGAAAGATCTCGGCCAGGCACAGTGGCTCACACCTGTAATCCCAACACTTTGGGAGGCCAAGGCGGGTGGATCCTGAGGTCGGGAGTTCAAGGCCAGCCTGACTAACATGGAGAAACCCCACCTCTACTAAAAATACAAAATTAGCCAGGCATGGTGGCACATGCCTGTAATCTCAGCTACTTGGGAGGCTGAGGCAGGAGGCAGAGGTTGTGGTGAGCCAAGATCATGCCATTGCACTCCAGCCTGGGCAACAAGAGCGAAACTCTGTGAAAGAAAGAAAGGAAGAAAGAAAGAAAGAAAAGAGAAAGAAAGAAAGAAAGAAAGAAAGAAAGAAAGAAAGAAAGAAAGAAAGAAAGAAAGAAAGGAAGGAAGTCGAACTTGAACCTTGAGACTCAGATGCAGCAACAATATGGACACTGTCTTTTATAAGTAACTGGTCCCAATCACTTTGCCTGACAACTTGGGCAACAGCAGCTATTTGAGAGAACTAGTGTCTTGTACAAAGGAAACCCTCATTCTCCTTTGTCTAGGAACACAAGAAACTTAGAAGCAGTGAAGCAGAGGCAGGTTTTTCCCACATCAAATTCTTTAAGGTGCTATTTCTCCTTCCTTGTTAGTTATTTCATAATTTGGTTACTCTAGAGATCTGCCTGCTTTAAACTCACCTTTGCTCAGGGAATGAAAGGAGTGAGGAGAGAGGGCTGGATAATGGGGGAGGGGCTTGAGGAGGAACACATTAATTATCACCACTCCTTGAAGCTGTTCTTTAAAGCACTGTATTAGGTCAAATTGATCACATGTGTTATATCCACCAATTTTAAAATAGGGAAGCATCCTCAGTATAATTGATTTGATAATATAGAATGTTAAAAATGTGACCCAAGATCTATTTTCTAAATGACCACAAAGAAGACTCTATGGCTGGGTAAGTTCTGGTAAGAGGTAGGATTTTCCCTATTTTGAGGTGGGTACACAGGTTGTTGGGATTTTTGGCAATCTACTCAGAAAATTTAGTTGCCACACAAAAATCTATAGAGGTTATAAGGGGATTTAGGTATAGTGAGTCAAATCCTATTCTAATAGGAATGGTCTTTATTAAAATACCAGACATACCTACAGCTTTCTTTGGTATTTCTCCCAATGACCTCAGCCTTAGGGACACACCCTAAAGTAGGCTTTTTAGAAGCAACAGCTGAGCCGCGACCACTTACCTAAAAGAATAATCCTCTGTGAATATGTCCAGGAAATCCTGCTCTTAGGGTGCATATTTCCAATGAGTTGCAATTCACAAATAATTTCTCAGCAGTTCAAAGAAAATTTGGGCATAATATTTTCTCTGTTAACCCAACCAAATGTCCTTCCTCGTTATACCCTTAATGATTTCATGCTCTGCCTCAATAGTGCTACTCAGAGTTAATTATGAACAAAATCTAGAGTAAATGCTACAATTAAGATTTTCCTTTTTATACCCTGGCAGATAAGCACAATGCATGATCACCACCATTCACACTTCAACCTCAGCAGAGACTGAAGGGTGATTGCTAATGGTTCTGTTGATGTCTATAGCATTAGAAATTTGAGCATCAATCAACCCGGTGTTTTGAAAAATACATTGCCTAATTTTTTTTCAAAGCAACCGAAGAATGTAACCATAACCAATGATGCCACCTCCCACCAACGGCCACCACCCACTATTTAAATTACCTTCCTCCAGTTCATCCATGCTTCCGATCTTCCTGGATCCATCAATGGTGTAAATGTAACGCACTCCCTGAGGCAGGTTGATGTTGTCAGACAGAGATCGCGTCAGGTCAGCCAGCAAGGCGTCAAAGCTGCGAAAACGGTCAGAGGACACAGCGTACACAATCCCCTTGAAGTAGCGGTCCCCATTGCGGTAGAAACGTACCTTCTTGGCTTTCTTCTCATTACTCAGTGCCTGCAAGGTTCTGGTTCGGTAGAAGCTACAGTGGGCGCTGTGAGTGGGGCTAGGCAACCCATTCATCCGGGAGCCTCGCATGTTCCTGGATGTCTTATCTCTTTCGTCAAAGTGTCCAAAATCAAGTTCCATATTTTGGTGGAACCTCAGAGACCTGAGCGTGGGAGAAAGGGATGGGGGTGAAGAGAGGCAAAAACAAAAAGGGACAAGGAGAAGGAAAAAAGAAGGGATTTTAAATATTAGCCAGATCCAGATCTGCAATCTGCTGCTTGTGAAAAGAACTGGTTGAAAAAAGCCTGTGACCCATCTGCTGCTTGCCCCTGACCTGCAGGAATATTGATCTTAATAGAGAAGAAGGAGGGGCTGGGCGGGGGTGCTGGTGGTTGTGGGGGTTGGGAGTAAGAGATAGAGAGGGAGGCACTCTTGGCACTGTTCCAGACAGAGGAGAAGGGGAGATTTTGAAATAGCTGAAAATCCTGAGACTTACTGACAGTGGCTCCTATCAAATTGGAACTTCGGGCTAAATACATTAAAACTGGCATCTGTTTCCTCACACATGCCCACATGACTAACAGTTGTAAATGAATCCATAGCCTGACAAAATTCCCCTTGAAGAGAACAGAAGGAGCTACCCAAGGTTAGCATCTCCAGCTTAGGAAGCAGTCTTTGCATTTCAGTACAATGACTATGAAGGGGGAGTGTTTTCATTTTATTCCAAGCCCTCTTTCCTACTCTAATGTGTGCATCCCCTCCCCCCAGAATAAACTAAGATTCTCCTTTAAAGGGACAGCCTCCAGGGAACAGCCAGTGTCTTTGTGCTATTCATCAAACCCTTTCCCCACCAAGCTGGTGCAGCTATCCGACATTCATAAGAAATAAGCTGGGGGGAAAAAGGATTAGAAAAATAAGTTATTTAACAAGTTACTAGCTCTGTCTTCCCCCGGTTCCATTTGTTCACAAAATCCTTTTTTTTCCCCCCCAGGTGCTCCACCCCCTCCCCACTGATGCAGCAACACCTCTTAATGGAATAATTTAATTGTTGAAAGATTCACAAATGACTCTCCGAACAGCATACGGGACCTTTAGAAGGAAGCACACCTTTCATTGTTCTGGGTTTCTACCTTAATTGAAGTGACATTTACCCTCACAGCAGGCAATTCACCCCAAACTTGTATATTGCCCAGGTGCATTAGCTGAGAAAAGATGGTCATTTGTCAGGCTTTGCTTTTCTCCCTTCTGTTGAACCCCCTCCCCCACCAAGAACCCCAAACAATCAAAACATGAAACCCAATACAACTGAAGCCACAAATGCTAGCAAATGTAGTGACATCCTACGAGCCAAACTATTAACATGCATCTCACAGATGGGGATAAAAGGACTCACAAAGCAAGCAGGGCTCAGCTGCTACACACTGCCACATCAATATATTTGCAAGGGACCAGGAGGACAGGAGATAAGAAAGACTGGTGCCTAATGGGTCTGCCAGGCTCAATTCCGCCTTTTTTCCAATGTCACCATGACCTATGCTGAGCTCAGCATTGTCTCTGTCAGACAACCTGCAGTGGTAAGAGACCCCACCTCCTCAAGGCAAGCAGCAAACATTTCCCCAGGCATGCCAGTAAGGCTTTGCTTTGCTTTAGGATCAGAGGTAGTATTATTCTAAATTAACATCACAGTGAAAACAAAGGAACATCAAACTCACTTTTCCAAAGGAAAATCCCAGGTAGAAGCTTAGGGAAAAAATCGGATAGAATAAGGCAAAAAAGGAGAAGAGGAGACAGAGAGACAGAGAGAGCAGGCTTTGCCTTGTGCTTTTCCCGTTTGACATCTGTTACATTCTTCTTGAAAATCACTTAAAAGCCCCACTCACCGGTTTTCTGCTGGTTGGGTGGAGATGCTGAGAGAAAGAAAACCAATCTCTCTATGCCTTTGTTGTCTGAGCTCCAAGCAAGAAATTCCTGCCAGGGTGGATAGATGCCTTCTAGGTCCTAGTGCCTTGTCCAGCTTCTCCCATGTAACTCAGGCTTAGTGAATCCCCCCAACCTCCTATGATTAATTACATGCTTTTAAAAAAATTCACAGGCTGCATTAACAGCTAGAAAGGTTTCATTTATAACCAACAGGAAATTGCGGGGTAGCAAAAAGATTGCGCAGACAAAATCAGAATGCTCTAATGAGCAATGTGCTAGCCCTTTCTTTTAGAAAATTGGCAATTTCACTTGGCCAAAACCTTGGCCTAATCTGCCTGGGGGCCAGACTCAGACAGCCAAGCCAGGCTTCTTAGAAATTGTAGCTCTCTTCCTTTTACCCTCTTGAGAGAAAAAAAATAAAATAAAATCTGCAGATTCTTTAAGGCAGTTTAGCTCAAGTATCCAACAACTGGTTTTTTGTTTTTTAATGAAGTCAACAAAGTAGACTAAGAGGAAGTAGGATAGGAACAAAACAAGGGAAAATAATTTTAGAATATTATGGAAGATAGAAGTAAAAAGGACATCCCAAATCTATCAGCTTGGTGTAAGAATTTGGTTAATGAAAGGTTAATGTGGCATTTACCTTTGAGAGTTTGGAAGTTCAAACCCAACCCAAAGACCTTTCTATGTGAAGTAAATCTGATGGCTACAAAATAAATATTAACAGATTTCTCCTCAAACTGCTTATTTGTCACTAACTGACTTCTTTATATAAAATATGTTACAAAAAAAACTCAAGGAAGCATCCAAATTGAACTAATTAGATCAGGCCGAACTATAAAACAAAAGAGAAAGGTGAGAGGTTAAATGGGGTAGGGGGATGCTACCATCTTCACAATTGAAGCTACATGCATCAATATGTAGCAGCCTTGAACTATCATGGTTCTATTTTTGCTTGGCTTCCAGGAAGCTCAGAGCTAAGAGCATGCTCAGTAATTATTTTATATCTGATTCCTAGTATAATTAACCCTTCCTTTTATATAGTGCTGTTGAACTTTTATATTTAAGCATTTTCTCTGCATGTGTTTTATTGTAAGCTGCCACCAAGTGGGATAAAATATATGATGGTCTTTCTTCTGTGAAAGGTGTTGACTCAGCAAAGCCTGGAACTGTCTGTTAGTTGAGTGGATAGCCTCAAATGTGCAACCTACCTAGTTAAGTCCCCCCAACACCTTGCTGCTGATTTCTTGGTTACTATACAAGTACCTCAGGGGAATGCATGTGTCTGCCCTGTTTTCTTCCATGTGTTGTTGCCTTACCTTGTGGCAACCTCATGAAAAATCAACATTATTCAGGCTAGAGGCAAAGAAAAATCAAGGAATAAGGGCAGGAAAATATGGAAATTCCAACAAAGCTAATGTCTTAAAACTTCTTTCTTGCACATCATAAGCATTCAGTAAATATGTAGCAATTAATTTTGCATCAGAACTAAAAATCATTTTATTTCTGGTGAAGATACAACAATGGATGGGATAATAAAACTTAAACACGAACCATTTGGAATGTATTTCAGAGGAAAATTCCTCATAATATAGGCTTTGCAATGCTACTGTGGAAGCTACAAAATGTTTTTATGAGACAGCCTAGGATAAATGACTTTGTTTGCTTTATATATAATAGAGAGCAGAGGGATAGGCAGGATCAATATTTCCTTGTTTGAGATATGTGGGCATTAATAGGTGTTCCTTAAAAACAGGAAAAAAAATTCTGTGGTCAAAAATGTCTGAAAAGTGTTGCGCTAAACGAAGATAATTTTGCTTATCATAAAACTTGTCAGGGCCTTTAATATAAACTATAAAATGTGTCTCAAAAAGAAAACAATTTGGTATACAGGGCTTCCACTTATTTTTAAAGCTCAGAACCTTTTGGTCGCCCCAGAACATGGACTAATGTTCTGCAGGGATAAAAAACTTTTGCAAAAACTGGACTAGATCATCTCCAAAGATATTTCTTCTCAAAGAACTCTCAGCTACTTACCAAGACCTTCTTTCTCACTTCTTCAGAGGAAACAGGCCATTGGCAAAGAGAAGGTCTCAGATGTGAGTCCAGGGAAAAAGTAAATCTTTAAATATGGAAATCAACTTTGAAGGTCAAGGGAAAGTCACGGTTGAGGGAGTGAAGTGATTTAAGAAAAAGAATAGCAACTCTATGTTGGAAATGTAGCAATACGACCTTTTGATTACTTACCATGTGCCCTGTACCACAGGCAAGACAGTGTAGGAAACATCCATCACTGCCCCTGAGGGGCTTGACGACTCATTGAGGAAAGGAGATAGCACAGGACTATGCATCTTGCAAAAATCATGAAGAAGGGATTAGATCTTTCTTGATATACTGCAGTCTGGGTTAATCAAACTCAGCTTAAAGAGCAGGGTCAAGAAATTTCTCATCCATCTCTCTCTCTCTCTCTCTCTCTCTCTCTCTCTCCCTCTCTTTTACTCTCTCTCTCTCTCTCTCTCTCACACACACACACACACACACACACACACACACACACACACAAAATACCAAAAAAATTATTAGTTTATGTTACCAATCAGAAGCACAAAGAGTAGGATCCTGTGTGGGACAGAGTAAGCAAACAGGAAACGAGGTTGGACTTTCCCTTGACCTTCAAAGTTGACTTCCATATTTAAAGATGTACTTTTCCCCTGGACTCACATCTCATATCACAAGATTGCTTATGCATAGGGCCTTTATTGAGAAAATCATAAAACTATTGAAAAACATAACAGAAGCTGTTAATAAATGTAAAGTCAGACCAGGCTCATGGATAACAAGATGCAATGCTGTAAGGTATCAATCCTCCCCAAAGTAATCTATACATATGAAGAAATTCCAATAAAAGCCCCAACACGAATTTTTGTGAAACTCAAAAAATTACTTCAAAATTTTTGTGGAAGAATATAAAACTCTAAGAGTAGCCAAGATCATTGTAAAAAAGAGAAATCAGAAGCCAATAACTGCCCTACAAAAATTTGTTATAAAGCTATAGTAATGAAGATAGTGTGGTGTTGGCCTGGAGGACAGACAAAGATTAATTAAACAAAACAGAGATCAGCATAAACAGGAACTTGCTATATCATAAGATAATGGGAAAAGCATGGACTCTGGAGCCAGACTGCCTAGGTTCAAATTTTGATTCTACTAATTATTAGCTAGGGACCTTGGGTGAGGTACTTAACCCTCTGTGCTTCACTTCACCCATCTGTCACACGAAGGTGATGATAATAATAGTAGCATTCTCAGTTGTTATGAGGATTAAATGAGCAAATATATGTATAGTGTTTAGAACAGACCCTGGCACATAGTATGTATAAGTATTAACTTTTATTATCCCCCGAATATTCATATGCCAACTCCCTCACTTCTTTCAAGTCTTCACCCAAAGGTTGACTTCTCAACAAGACCAACCTAGACTACCTGATTTAAAGTTACAAACTTCCCTCTCAACCTAGCAGTTCAAAATTTTTTTACTCTCTTTATTTTTCCATAACATTTATCACCTCCAACATACTACGTAATATACTTATTAATTACATATTTCCTGAAGGTATAATATAAGCTTCAACAGGGTAGGAATATTCTAACAGCTTTAATGATATATATAATTTACATTACCAATAGGACTACTTTTGTCTATATTTTTAATATTGCATAATTAACTTTCTAGAACAATACCTAACACACAATAGGTTTGGATATTTGTTGAATTGCATAAAGTAAGGAACACATAGAGTATTCAATAGATAGTATTAAGTCAATTAACTTTCATATAAAAAAAATCAAATTAGATACTCCCCTTATACTATACATAAAAATAATCTCCAGATGTTTTAAAGACCTGAATAAAGAACAAAACTTTAAAATTATTGGAAGGAAGCATAAAAGGTTTCCTTTAAATCCTTACGGTAGAAAAGAATTTCTTAAGACACAGAAAGCAGAGATCTTATAAGAAAATATTGATAAATTGATTTCATAAACATTTACAGCTTCTAACGGCAAAAGACAGCATTTAAACATTAAAAAATAAATAATAGACTGAGAAAAAATATTTGAAACTTAAATATCTGACAGAAAGTTAGTGTCCTGATATCTATATATGACACATAGATATTGATATAGTTTGTATTTTTGTCTCTGCCCAGTCTCATGTTGAATTGTAATCCCCAATGCTGGACCTGGTGGGAGGTATTTGGATTGTGGGGGTGGATCCCCCATGACTTGGTGCTGTCTTCCTGATAGTAAGGTCTCCTGAGATTTGGTCTTTTAAAAGTGTGTGGCACCTCCCCTCCAATGCACTCATGCATGAGTGTTCTTTCTCTCTCGCTCACTCTCGCTCTCTTGTTCTCTCGCTCTCTTGTTCTCTCGCTCTCTTGTTCTCTCGCTCTCTTGTTCTCTCGCTCTCTTGTTCTCTCGCTCTTGCTCCAGCTTTTGCCATGTGAAGTGCCTGCTCCCACTTCGCCTTTTGCCATGATGATAAGCTTCCTGAGGACTTCTCAGAAGCTAACGTTGGAGCTATGCTTCCTCTACAGCCTACAAAACCATAAGCTAATTAAACCTCTTTTCTTTATAAATTATCCAGTCTTGGGTATTTCTTTATAGAAATGCAAGAATGGCTGAATACAGCTATACATAAAAATATATATGTAAAGTTATATGTTATGTATATATATATATATATATATGTATGTATGTGTGTGTATGTGTATATGTGTGTATATATATATATATATATATATATATATATATAGCACTATGAGCAGTAGCCCAAACAATTTCATATGAAGTCATCCTAGCTATCATCCTCCTATCAGTCCTATTGATAAGTGGTTCACTGAACTCAGATCACGTAGGACTTTAATCGTTGAACAAACCCTTAATAGTGGTTATACCATTAGGATGTCCTGATCCAACATAGAGGATATGTTTACCTCACCAAATAAACACAGGTCTTAGAGCCTCATATGCAGTTACCAATCGAACATTTTCTCTACCCCAATATCCACAAAACAGAAAACAAGTTACTTTAATCTGTTTACCCTTACTATATATCCTAAGTATACCCTCTAACATCAGTACATGCTTATTGTCTTATTTCAGCAGTTTACCAGCTTTCTGGATCTCTAGCTTAATCTAGGCACCTTGATCATCACACCATCCCAATGAACATAATACTGATCGAACCTGCAGGGTTCATGTTATCTCTGACACTTGGGCTTTATGACCCAATAGATCCAGTGGTGCTCAAAAATATCTATAGCAGCTCAGGTTGTTATATAGAGATGGTGGCAAGTCCTAATAGGAGAATCATTTGTATAAGCCCCTCCCCACCCCTCAAAGGTTTTGAAGAAAAGCCTCTTATATTGTAAAGTCGCTCTTGATTTTCTTGTGTGTTCTAGGTAAGAATTTAATGCCTGACCATGGGAAACAGAATGACCCTGGAACCCAAGCTTCCCACCGTATGTGGGTTTTATTTGATCTGCCAGGACATAAAGCTGAACATGCACAACAGCATTTCCTCTTCAAATAGAACTGATATATAACATCAGGACTTCGTGTGTCCTAAAATTTTTTGAGAAAGTAGACATTTTATCTGTAGATGTCCTTGCCCAGCTACATCAGAGCTTGGTCAATATGGCTGATGAATAAAGCGTCCATGATGGTAAGGGTGGAAGATGCATATAGCTAAATAACATGAGGTTCCTCTTATCAAAAAACTAGTCTGGCTACAGCCACTGCTGAGTGCCCAATCTTCTTCTAGCAGAGACCACTGCTGAGCTGCTAATTTGGAACCATAACCCAGTATAACCATATGCCTACCTGGTAACAGTAAAATTACAACTATCATTTGGGAGACAGATGTTTGCCCTCAATGGAATAGACAACTATTTTTTATACATGCTCACATTGGCTATCCACAAGGCTTCTGCCATATCACCATCCATGGATTTACTGAATGTCTTATCATCACAGCATCTTTGCAACATTTGTTCTAATTAAATAATTCATTTGTCAGCCAAAAAAGTGAGATAGTAGCCTCATATTCATGGGTTTCACAGATCTTACCATGGATGCCGTCTCTCAGAAGCAGCTAGCCTTATTGAATGGTGCATTACCTAACACTGAATCAGTTTATGGCCTTAACTGGGAGGCTACACATTGTGAAGTTGAAGTACTGTTCTATGGATATAGTTGTGCTCTGAACTAGCTACCAATATTTCTCTTAAAGCCAGGCTATCAAAGAATGGAAATAGAGATGGTATCAATTATTATTACACCTAATGACCCGCTCACAAAAAAAAGTTGCTTCTCTCCCTGCAACTTTGGACTTGGTGTGGTTATGGTTTTTAATTCCAAATGGAATGGTATCTCCACCACTTGAAAGTTAGAGCAATCCAATACCGGCAAACTATCAAAGGCTCAGTTTTTCTTGAAATAAAAACTGGGATGATGCTACAGGGTAAATAAACAAACAAACAAAAAACCCAGACAGACAAGCAAAACAAAAACAAAAATCCCTAGTGAATATGGAATATGTAATGGAAAAAGAAAGTTATAAATGCCACCACAACCATATGAACAAATTAACTCCAAATGAGTCAAAGACTTAAATGTAAGAACTAAAAACTAAAACTCTTAGAAGAAAACAGGGTTATAAATCTTTGTAACTGACCTTGGATTAGCCAATGGTATTTTTAGATATAACACCTAAAGCACAAACAACTAAAGAAAATATGAATTAGATTTTATCAAAATTTAAAGCTTTTGAGCATCAAAGGACACCATGAATAAAAGAAAAAGGCAACATACATAATAGAAGAAAATATTGGCAAATTATATATTTAATAAAGGACTTCTATCCAGAATGGATAAAGAGCTCTTTCAACTAAACAATAAAATGACAAACAACCCAATTTGAAAACGGGCAAAGGATTTGAATAGATATTTCTCTAAAGATGACATACAGGTGGCCATTAAGCACATGAAAAGATGCTCAATTCCATTAACCATCAGGGTAATGCAAATCAAAACCATAGTGAGACATTATTTCACAGCTACTAGGATAACTAATTTAAAAAAATACAGACAATAACAAGCATTGACGGAGATGTGCAGAAATTGAACCCTCATTACTGGTGAGAATATAAATTAACACAGCCACTTTGGAAAATGGTTTGGCAGTTTCTCAAAAGATTAAACACAGAGTTACAACATAACTCAGCAATTCTACATTTAATTCTGCATAATCAAGAGAAACACAAACACCTGTCCACATAAAAACTTGTAATTTTAAATGTTCATAGCAGCGTTACGCATAATAGCCAAAAAAGTAGAAACAACTGTCCATCAACTTATGAACAGATAAGCAAATTATGATATATCCATACAATGGAATATTACTTAGCCATAAAAAGGAATAAACTACTGATACATACTACGACATGGATGAGCCTTGAAAACATTATGCTAAGTGAAGGAAGCCATGCACAAAAGGCCGCACATTATATGACTCTATTTATATGAAATGTCTAAAACAGGCAAATCTATAGAGACAAAAAGTACATTAGTGGTTGTCTTGGACTGGCGGTAGGGAGAAAGGAGTGACCGCTAATGGGTATGGGTTTTTCGGGGGTTGTTGAAATGTTCTGCAATTATATAGTAGTTAGTGATGGCTGCACAACCTTATAAATATACTCAAACTCATTAAATTGTGCATTTTAAAGGAGCGAATTGTATGGTGTGTGAATTGTATCCCAATAGAAAAACTATTTATAAAAATTTATACATAAACGTTTGGAGCAACTCTGTTCATAATCTGCAAAAAAATAAAAACAGCCTAATATCCTTCAACAGCTCAAATAAACAGATAAACACTCTGAGCTACATCCATACAATAGACTACTACTCAGCAATAACATCAATGAACTACTGGTAATCACAACAACTTGGATAACTCTCAAATTCTTATGCTAAGTAAAAGATGTCAGTCTCAATAGACTGCATAGTGTAGGATTCCATTAATATGGCATTCTAGAAAGACCAACAATAGGGACAAACAACACAGCAGTGTGTGCCAGGGGTTAGGTGTGGAGGGAAGGTGTGACTACAAAAGGATAGCACAAGGGAGATTTGAGGGGTGACAAAAGTGTATTTGATTCCAATTGTGGTTCATACAAATTCTAATTGTGTTGTTAACACAAATCTGTACATATGTTAACGTTCATACAACTATACACCAAAAAGTCAATTTTATTGTATGTTAATTTAAAAATGAAATGTTTAAATATGGCAAATTTTTATGATTGCGTAAAACTCGGTGGTAGGCATATGGGTGGTCCATCTAGTTTTCTCTGTACATTTTTTAACTTTTTATTTTTAAATAATTCTAGATTTACAAAAAGTGGGAAAATAGTACAGAAGCCCGTGCACCTTTCACTCAATTTCCCCCAACGGTTGCAAATTAGAAAACTGTAGTACGATATCAAAATCAGGAATTCGATATTGGCAAAATATATATAATTCTATGTCATTTTATTTTGTGTATATATTAAGTGCAGCTGCCACCACAATCAAAATATAGAACTGTACCATCACCACAAGGCTTGCTATTGCTACCTCTTGTTAGTCACACCCAATACTCCATCCCTTCATCATTCCTAACCCCTGGACACCACTAATCTGTTTTCCAGCTCTGTAACTTTATCATTTTGAGAAAGCTATGTAAATGAAATCATACAACATGTAACCTCTTGAGATTAGCTTTTTTTCACTCACCATAATGTTCTTGAGACAACTGCTAGTTGTTACATGTATCATAAATGTATACCTTTTTATTGTTGAATAGTATTTCACGGTAAGGATATACCACTGTTTGTTTACACATTCACCTATTGAGGGACAATTTGGTTGTTTTCAGTTTTGGGCTACTACAAATAAAGCTATGTGAACAATCGTATACAAGTTTTTGCGCAACCATAAGTTTTCACTTCTCTGGAAATGAAAAGCCTAAGATTGCAATTACTGGGGTCATACGGTAATTGCAATATATAGTTTTATGAGAAACTGCCAAACTGTTTTCCAGAGTGGCTGTGAGATTTTACATTCCCACCAGCAGTGTATGAGAGATTCAGTTTCTCTGCATCCTCACTAGCATCATCTGTCATGTTTTTTTTCTTTAGCCATTCTACTAGACGTGCAGTAATATCTTGTTGTGATTTAAGTTTGCATTTTTCTAATGTCTAATGATGTTGAACATATTTTCTTTGGTGAAATGACTCTGCCCCTTTTACCCATTTTCTGGTGCAGGGGCCATGCTAATCTTGTCTGTATCGTTCCAATTTTAGTATATGTGCTGCCGAAGCAAGCAGACTTTTTACCCATTTTCCAATGAGATTGTTTATTTTTTCTGATTTTGAGTTTTGAGAATTCACTATATGTTCTTCATATGATTCCTTTGTCAGATACATTGTTTGCAAACATGTTCTCTCAGTCTATAGCCTATTTTTTCATCCTCTTCACGTGGTCTTTCACAGAGCAGAAGCTGTTAATTTATTCATTTTTTCCTTTATGGATTGTGGTTTTGTTGTCATGACTAAGAACCCCTCATGAAGTCTAGGTCCTAAAGTTTTCTCTTATATTATATTCTAAAATTTTTATAAATGTATGTTTTACCTAATTCCTATGATCCATTTTGAGTTAATTTTTGTATAATGTGTGAGGTTTAGGTTATGGTTCATATTTTTTGTCTATAATTTTTGTTCATGTGTCATTTTTTGTTCATATTTTTTGTTCTTTTTTGTTCACATGTCATTTTTTGTTCATATTTTTTGTTCCTATGTCTTGCTCTAGCGCCATTTGTTGGAAAAAATATCTTCCATTGAGTTGCTTTTGCACCTTTGTCAAAAATCAGTTTGATATATTGGTGTGAGTCTATTTCTGAGTTCTCTATTCTATTCCATAGGTTTATGTATCTATGCCTCCTTCAATATCGAAGTCTTGATTACTGTCGCTACATAATAATTCTTGAAATTGGGTATACTGATTCCTCCCATTTTATTCTTATTCTTAAGAATTGTGTTGGCTATTCTAGGTCTTTTGACTTTCCATATAAATTTTATAATAATCTTGCCTATATCTATAAAAAATCTTGCTGGGATTTTTGATAGAAATTGTGTTAAACCAATATACCAATTTGGGGAGAATTGACTGTATTGAATCTTCTAATCCATATACAATATATGCCTCATCATTCATTTAGGTTTGATTTCTTTTCTTAGTATTTTGTAATTTTTAGCATACATGTCCTATACATGTTCTGTTAGACTTTCACTTAAATATCTCATTTTTACAAGATTGTATATTGGATTGTATTTTAAATTTTTCATTCCTCATGTTCACTATTAGTATCTAAAAATGTAATTGATTTGTGTATGTTGATCTTGTATCTTCCCACCCTGCTGAATTCACTTATTAGTTTCAGGAGTTTTTTGTCATTACCTTGGGATTTTCTATATGGATCATCATATCATCTTTAAATAGAGATAGCTTTAGTTTTCCCCTTCTAATCTCAATGCCTTTTATTTCTGTTTCTTGCCTCATTGCACTGGCTAAAACTCTAGTGCTATATTGAGTAGCAGTGGTGAGAATGGACTTCCGTAACTTCTTTCTAATCTTAGCTAGAAAGCATTCAATCTTTACCATTAAGTATGATGTTAGCTGTAAAGGGCTCTTTTGTAGATGTTCTGTATCAAATTGAGCAAGTTCCCTTCTATTTATAGGGTTTTCTGAGGAATTTTTTAAAAATTATGAATGGGCATTGAATTTTGTCAAACACTTTCTCTGTATCCATTGATATAATCATATGATTTTCTTCTTTATTCTGTTAATATGGTTTATTACATAGATTAATTTTCAAATATGTAACATTTTTAATGTCTGATATATTTCTTCATAGTTTTTTTCTTAACTTGAAGCAAATATGAAATAAGGTACTTTTCTGTACTTCTTCAAAATAATTTAAAAATTACACAGACTTGTAAAAACAGTGTAGGCAATTAATTACTCAGAAAAATGTGTGGCAGAAGGACATACAGCTTAGTAGTCAAAAAGAGAAACAATTTATAAAGTGTAGCTCAGTAGTATTTAACCCAGGCTTCACAATAGAATCAGGTGAGATGCTTTTACAAAATACTTTTAACTATGATTTCATTGATCTGGTGTGGTCTCAAGCATTGCTATTTTTCAAAGCTACCCTGGTGATTCTAAAGTACAGCCAATGTTGAGAACCACTGGCATTGTGGAATGAACTTAACAATGTGGACTTTAGACTCAGATGTAAAGTACCTAGTAGTAGGTATGATACATATAAAGGATATATTTATCAGACTCAGAATATAGAAGAATCTCGTACAACTTACGGGAAATATTCACAGAAAGCGAAACCACATCTGTTTTCATCCTCTTCTTCCTGCTGGTTAAAATGTGAATGACATAATTTGTGCCCAAGCAGCCATCTTGTACCAGGAAGTGGAAGCCAGGTATTGAGAATGGCAGAGCAACAAGATAAACTGGAACCTGGTGATTACAAAACAACCATATCAGCCCTGGAGAACTTCCTTACAAATGTTATTTAAGGCATAGAAAAATAAGCTTATACATTTCTTGAGCCCCTATTGTTTATAGTTTTTTCACTGGCTCTCTTATACCTAATACAAAAGAAAAAATGTTAAATATAGTCATGCTTTACATCACTGTTGGTGGGCCAAAAACTGGGAAGAATCTGAAGGACAGGAAGTAGATAGGCTCTGATTGAACAAGGAACCATAGCACAAGGCACATATGGGAGAGTATTCTGATAGATGGTGAAATTATCCCAAGAGTTCTCCAGACCAAGAGGTGAAACCTAGAACCAAGCAGTGGTCTTAGAGGTAGCCACTTTGTATCACAGGAAGAAAAGCCAAAAAACTCAGGCTCTTTTTATCCCTCTACTCACCACATGGACCAGCAAGCAGTAACAGAGGAATCTGTCTTCAAGTGAAAGCAGTAAGTACAGGAGCTTAAGGCTGTGAGACAGGGTAGTGCCTTGGTGATGATGATGGGCAATGGCTAAGAAAATAACAGTATTCATGAGAAATAGCAAAGCACATATAGTCATCAAGGTACCCTTCCTTATGGCATGTTCTCCATCTCACTCACTCTCACTGAAAATAGTACCTCTGTCTGTTTCCCCTATTATCTGAAATAAGTTGCATAACCAGAGGAAGCAGACAGTCTAATACGATATCTCAACTACAAAGAGAAGCATATAATAAGAGACTTGCCAAACATTTAGACAAAGAAAATTCTATGAAATATAGACAATAAGCTCAACAAATTAAAAGACTTCCACTAGAGAAATAGTCCTAAGAACACGAATATACAATGGTAATAAACTCAAAATGATAAGAAAAGATATCACATCCATGAAAGATCAAGCAATTATGAAAACAATAATAGGCAAATATGAAAACTTGAGACTTTTAAATGTAAATAATAGATCAAATTAGAGGCATGAAGGACCAATCAAGACATTTTCACATTTTTCTAAAAGAGTTCCATTGAGTAAAATTGGAGAAAATGAATGGGGAGCAATATTTGAAGAACAGCCAAAAAGTAAAACCTCTTCAGAGACAAAAATCATTAATCCACAGATTGAAAGGACCCTCTGATTGCCAAGCAGGATGACTTATGAAAACAAGAAAAGTAATTTTTTTAAAAAAGACTTAAAATTAAAGACACCACAGTGAAATTTTAGAGCATCAAGTATAACATGAAAATACTAAAAGCATTCAGAGAGAAAATAAAGACCACCTACAATGGAACAAGAATCTGTTTGACATCAGATTTTCCATTATCAAAATCACATGCAGGAAAGCAATGGAGCAATATCTTCAAACTGTTGAGTTAAAATAATGCTGAAACTTGAATTTAATACTGAGCCAAACTATTATATGAGTAGGAGGGAGAAATTAAGACATTTTGGATACATAAGAACCCAGAAAACTTACCACCCACAGAAACCCTCAGAAAGAATTGTTAGAGAATATACTTCAGCAAGAAGAAAAATAATTTGTGGAAAGTAGTTATGTTAAGGGAATAATGCTTAATAATTTATGTATTAGTTATATAATTAAGAACTAATTTTTAAAATGAGATATAACCTATCTACCATCTGGGAGAAAATTTTGCAAGTGTAAGAACAGTGAAGTGTGTTACCCATAAATTTTACTTAAACCAAGAAAAACATAACATTTTTATTTTGCCTCAACAAAGGGGATATGAATGCTTATGTAGCTTTTCCAGCCATTTAGAAGAGCATGAGGGGTGTCTGTGGTCACTGGCCTAAGTTAATTCCCAGGAAACAACTTCCAGAAAGTACCTGCTCATCTATAGCTAGTCCCAGGGATCATCTCTGGTCTAAAATATCCTTGTATGAAGCAAAGTGGAAGTGGTTCATAAACTGAAAGAAAGCAGAAAACTGATCCACACAATAGTGTACTCAAGAGATTTCATTCTACCAAATAGTTTCTGAGCTTCTCCTATGTGCCAGACTCTGTGCAAGGGGGAATAGAGAAATGAGAAGACAAATAAAGAAGAAGTGGCAGATCCTGCTCTTTGAAGAGATGGCCTTTCTGCTTCAGTCTTTCAGAAAAAAGGAAGAATTTTTAATGAAGCTATTACATCAAGAATAGCAGTAAGAGACAGACCCAAACTACCCGTGTTTTAGGAATCTCAGCGTGGTACAGACCATGGGAAGATTTCGCACCTTGAAAACCTGAAAGCAGGGAAACCATCTAGAAGCTAATGAAATAATTACAGGCACTTAGTGAAAGTAGCCTTATAGAAGTTGAGAGGGATAAACATCAGAAATTTGAGTAAGATTTCTGTAATCAAATCCTAGATATTCCATCTTTTATTGCATATTTAAAATATAGTTCTTCCTGATGAAACCATGTGGTGTGGTGGAAAAAGTGTAGACTTTAACTGTATGACCCCAAGAAAATTACTTAGCCTCACTGAGCTTCAGTTTACTCAGCTATATAATGTGGATAAGAATAGGGTCAAATCTGTAGGCAATTTGTAAGAATTAGATGAAATAATAAGTATAAAGTTCTCGGCCCATAGTTGGTGATATTTAATAATAGGCATGATTTATAGACCTGTACTTAAAAATTACCCTACAGACACGTTATTGAATTTTTGTGTGTATGTCACCTATTCCAGTTACTATGGTTGCATAACTAACTGCTCCAAAGCTTAGAAACATGAAGCAATCATTCATTATTATCATGGATTCTGTGGGTTAGAAATTTGAACAAGATGGCAGGCACGGTGGCTCACACCTGTAATCTCAGCACTTTTGGGAGGCCAAGGCAGGCGGATCACGAGGTCAGGAGTTCGAGACCAGCCTGACCAACGTGGTGAAACCTCATCTCTACTAAAAATACAAAAATTAGCCGGGTGTGGTGGAGCACGCCTGTAATCCCAGCTACTCGGGAGGCTGAGGCAGAAGAATCGCCTGAACCAGGGAGGCTGAGGTTACAGTGAGCTGAGATCACACCACTGCACTCCAGCCTGGGCGACACAGCAAGACTCCGTCTCAAAAAAAAAAAAAAAAAAGAAAAGAAAGAAATTTTGACAAGACACAGTGAAAATAACTTGTCTTTGCTCTATAATGTCTGGGCCTCAGCTGGAATACTCGCAGGCCAGGGACTGGAATCATCTCTAGGCTAGTCCACTCACATGTCTGGCAGTTGATGCTGGCTGTCAGCTGGGGGCCTCGGTTGCCTTCCATAACCGAGCATCTCTATTTGATTTCTCTACTTGAGCTAATTTGGTTTGTCTCACATTATGATGGCTGGTGTTGGAGAGAAAAACCTTTTCCCTACCCTCTAATTTCAGTGTTTTGGGGCCTGAAAATTAAACTGACAACACACAGATCAGCAAGAGAAAATAACAAATTTAATTACATCCACATGGGGGTTCACAAAGAAATGTGACTCAAGGAGGTTAGAATTGGAGGCTTTTATAGCATCTTAATAAAGGATGGGGAGGAGCAGAGGGGCATTTCTGGGAGAATAAATGACTTCTTAGAAGGAGAAAGGGCATTTATTGAAAAACATTTAAATGATTTTTTAGAAAGATAAATGAGCCCTTAGGAGAATAGGTGAGAGATATCATAGCTTTGTGATGTTTAGGTGTGGTGCTTGGGTGTGGTGCTCACTTCTCATCTCTGAGAAAAGAATATTACCTCTCCTTTCCAAATTTGAGAACTTCATCATTCTTCAGTTGACAAACTCATAAATGTCATACTTACTAATATGAAATTATTTTCACCTCATAGAAAGGTATATGATATAACATCACAGGCTCTTAGTCCTGCATTGAAAATTCACTCATTTGAACAGAGACAATTTAGTATAAGGATTAAGTTCATGAGTTTTGGAGTCCAACAGACCTTGATTTGATTTCCTGACTCAGCCATTTATGACCTATGTATTTAGATCAGACAGGATGAATTTAGTTGCCAGGGACAGAAAGGACAACTAAGAGGGGCTTAAACAATAAGCCTGTAAGTAAGGCGATTCCAAGATTTTTAATTCAGTGGCTCTTCAGGGATCCACTGCTTTTCACATATCCCTTCCCTCTTCCCCAGTTTGTCAGCAGTGCCTGCTCACATGAGC
Organism: Homo sapiens; assembly: GCF_000001405.40. Taxonomy (NCBI): domain Eukaryota; kingdom Metazoa; phylum Chordata; class Mammalia; order Primates; family Hominidae; genus Homo; species Homo sapiens. The sequence continues at coordinate 111,427,963 of NC_000023.11, forward strand.
TACAAAAATAACACATGTTCTAGACATTATGTGTAGAACCAACCATTTTAAACAAAAGAGAGGACATTTCTTCCAACAAATGTGTTTTTATTCTCCATGAAAATATTTCCTAGAAGCCACTCAGCAGACTTCCTTTCAGGTCATTAGCCAGGATTTCTTCCATTTCCATGCCTTAGCCAATTATTGGCAAAAGGAATGAGACCACTGATTGGGTAAAATTGATCATGATTCACTTCCTTAGGATGGGAGAAAACTCAGTCTCTCCAGAAAATTATGGCTGATGAGAGGAAGGTAAAAAAAAAATGGGGTTCTGTTAGTGAGAAATAAGTGAAAGAAACCAACAAAGTTTGCCCCAATACTTAACATATCTGAGCCACATGGTGGGGAGCCCCATGATATGGTTTTTTTCACAAGGAAGTGTTATGATCGTTAAATAAGATGACAACTCTCGTAAAGTGCTCAATAAATGTCAGCTATTAATGTCATGATTGATTATGTTATTTTGGCTTTTAATTTGGTAGCTGGTCCTTTCCATATTTCTCTTCTGTCCTCCACAACTTGATATCAGTGCCTTCTTTCATGGTCAGAAGATGGCTACAACAATTCTACGCATCACATGAAGATAATATTTTTGATCCTCAGTTTCCCTATCTGTAAAATGGAGATATTCATATTTACCTCAAAGATTTGTTGTGAGGATTAAATGAGATCATTCATGTAAGAGCTCAATAAAGTTAGCTATTATTGTTGCTGTTATTGACATCAATACCCTCTGGCAAGTGCACAACATGATGCCAAGCTTAAATCAAGTGCTGAACAAATAGTGCTGTTGTTGTAAATAAACATTTCTTTGTCCAGTCTGTGCAAGAAAGGGCCGAGAAACCTTCATGACCTTGGGCTAAGCAAAATACCTTACACATATCAAAAGCCCATATAACAAAAATAGATACCTTGGACTTGATCACAATGAGAAATTTTTGTGCCTCAAATGATACTATGAAGAAAATGAAAAGATAATCCACAGAATGGAGGAAAAGATGGGCAAATCATATCGCTGATGAAAGGCTTGTATCCAGAAAATATAAAGAACTCTTGAAACTGAAAAATTTTAAAAAAAATTTAAAAATAAGCAAATAACCTAAATAAATAGTTCTCCAAATAAGATATAGGAATGGCCAATAAGCACCTGAAAAGATGATTAACATCATTAGTCTTTAGGGAAATTCAAGTGAAAGCCAAAATGAGATACTACTTCACACTCACTAAAATGAAAGAATAAAAAAGACAGATAATAAAAAGCATTGGCTAGGATGTGGAAAAATTGGAACCCTCATACACTGGTAGTGGGAATGGTACATTTGGAAAACAGTCTGGCAGTTCCTCAGATGATTAAACAGGGTTACCATATGATCAAGCAATTCCACACTGAGGTATATATCTAAGAGAAATGAAAACAAATGTGCACAGAAAAAATTGTACACACATGTACATTGCAGCATTATTAATAGTCAAAAATTGTGAACAACCCAATGCCCATCAATAGATGAATGGATAAACAAAATGTGATATATCCGTAAAATGGAATATTATGCAGACATAAAAAAATCAAGTACTGATGCATGCTACAACATAGATGAACTGTAAAATATTATGCTAAGTGAAGGAGGCCAGACACAAAATGCCACATATTGTATGAGTCAATTTTTATGAAATGTCCAGAATAGGCAAATCCACAGAGACAGAAAGGAGGTTAATGGCTGCCTGGGGCCGGAGGTAGGGTGATACAGGGAATGATGCTAATGGGTACCTGGTTTCTTTTAAGGGTGGTGAAAATGTTCTAAAATGGATTGTGGTGATGATTGTACAGCTCTGAATATACTAAAAACTGTTGAATTTTAAACTTAAGTGTGTGAATTTTGTGGTGTGTGAATTATATCGCAATAAAGCTATTTTTTAAAAAAGAATATGTTGGGCCTTGCAATTTATACAAAGATGAATAAAGCACATTCCTTCAGTGATGGCCCTCACTATTTATTAGGAGGGTTAGGAAGTGCACAAAATTAGCATTCCTGGCTCCATTTTATGTCCCCACCCTTGCTTTTTTAAAATTCCATTTTAAATACATGATGTGTGTTTATATTTGATTTACCCTTACAAATCACTTCCAATTTCTGGGACGAGATGAACTAAAGAAAAAACTTCAAATAATGGTAATACAAAGAAGAAAGTGTTCAGTGCCATAAGAGATTTAGATGGGGACACATAGCCAAACCATATCACCCTCATACGTGCAAGATGGATGAATCTCAAAAACATAACGCTAAGAAGCCTTACACAAAAGAGTACATTTTATATGATTTCATGTATATACATTTCTAAATCACCCTCATATGGTTTGGCTTTGTGTCCCCACTGAAATCTCACCTTGAATTGTACTTCCCATAATCCCCACGTGTCATGGGAGGCACCCGGTAGGAGGTAATTGAATCATGGGGGCAGTCCCCACTCCATGCTGTTTTCGTGATAGTGAGTGAGTTCTCACGAGATCTGATGGTTTTATAAGGGGCTTTCCCCCTTTTTGCTCTGCACTTCCCCTTGCTACTGTCATGTGAAGAAGGACGTGTTTGCTTCCCTTTCCGCCATGATTGTAAGTTCCTGGGGCCTCCCCAGCCATGCTGGACCATGAGTCCATTAAACCTCTTTCCTTTATAAATTATCCAGTCTTAGGTATGTCTTTATTAGCAGTGTGAGAACGGACTAATACAGGGGAGAAGTAAAGAGCATTTATGGAAAGGGAAAAATAAGAGTGCCCTATCTGTCAGTGAATCTTTGTTTCCCTGATCTCCTAATTAACCACAGGAGAAACAAGTCAGAAGACACATAAATGGATCCCAGAGGGACTTCGGTAGAACCAGTGAGTAGCTGTATGTTCAAATCTGATGAACTCTGAGAGCCTGGGTTATGTCGAGGACTGAATTCTTAGGTAGTTTGGGCTCTGCTGGGCTGTATCATGCACTGGCAGCTAACCCAATGGTAGGATGAGGAAAGTAATGCAAGCCTCTTAAGCTGGAGTGTGCCTGCAACCTGCACCTGACCAGCACTGAGCAAGTGGAAACATGAGAGTTGTTTGCCATTAAGCAAGCCTACAGAGGAAAAGCCAGATATGGGGAGGTGAGTCTTCAGCATGTCAGCTTCAGGCGAAGCTCAGCTGTTGGCACAGCAGGCACTGGGCTCTCTGCTCAGAAACTGTCAGGAACATTATAATTAAACATCCCCGCCTCTCCCTGACCAGGGCTGACAGCTGTGAGAACAGAGCTGCTAGGAGAGGCACACATATTCTTGAATCAATTCTGATACAGGAAGGGGGTGGGAATCATCCCACCTCCACAATTTCCAGAATAAAGGGCACTTCTATTCCTGGGAAACCCATGAGTCAGAGATTCCAAAGGCATCTTGGATGATAGAAGTACTTTTCTACACTTTGGAAAAAATATGGCAGTTTTTTATAAAGTTATGTACACCGCTATCTTGTGATCCATCAATTCACCTCCTAGGTATTTAGCCAAGACAAATGACAACATATGCCCAGAAAAAGACTTGAATATGATTGTTCATATCAGCTTTATTCATAATAGCCCAAAGTGGAGACAGCTCAAGTATTCATCAATAGACTAATGGATAAACAAAGTATGATTTACTCATACAATGGAATACCACTCAGCAATAAAAAGGGACGCATTATTAATACATGCAAGATGGATGAATCTCAAAAACATTATGCTAAGAAGCCTTACACAAAAGAGTACATTTTGTATGATTTCATGTATATACATTTCTAAATCAGGAAAAATCTATGGTGGAAAAATTTAGAACATGAATTACATTTGAGGGGGTTGGGGGCAGAAAATAGCTGGAAAGGGGGAATAGGAGGGGACATTATATGGTGATGATCATGTTGTATCACTTCATAGGGGTTTGGTTTGCATGGGTATATGCATTTCTCAAAACTCAGTGAATGCACATCAAAAAGAAAAACAGAATGGGAAAGAAAATGAAAAATACATGTCATGTTGGGGGCAGGGGGGATGTTGGACATTATCAGATTTGAATTTTTAAAAGTCAGTCTGAAACAACCAATTAAAAGTGGGTAAAATCTTTTTTTTTCTTTTTTTTATTATTATTATACTTTAAGTTTTAGGGTACATGTGCACAATGTGCAGGTTAGTTACATATGTATACATGTGCCATGTTGGTGTGCTGCACCCATTAACTCATCATTTAGCATTAGATATATCTCCTAATGCTATCCCTCCCCCCTCCCCCCACCCCACAACAGTCCCCAGAGTGTGATGTTCCCCTTCCTGTGTCCATGTGTTCTCATTGTTCAATTCCCATCTATGAGTGAGAACATGCAGTGTTTGGTTTTTTGTCCTTGTGATAGTTTACTGAGAATGATGACTTCCAATTTCATCCATGTCCCTACAAAGGACATGAACTCATAATTTTTTATGGCTGCATAGTATTCCATGGTGTATACATGCCACATTTTCTTAATCCAGTCTATCATTGTTGGACATTTGGGTTGCTTCCAAGTCTTTGCTATTGTGAATAGTGCCGCAATAAACAAAATAAATAAATAAATAAATAAAACAAAATAAATAAAAAGTGGGTAAAACTTTAAACACATTTTACTAAAGCAGATATATGGATGGAAAATAAGCACATGAAAATATTTTCAGCATTATTTTCAATTAGCAAAATGCAAATTAAAGTCACAATGAGCTATCATTGAACACTATCAGAATGGCTAAAGTTAAAAATAATGACAATTCCAAGTGCTGGTGAAGATTGCAAACAACAGGACTTCTCATATATTACTGGTGGGAATATAGAACTGTACAGCCACCCTGGGAAACAGTTTGGCCTTTTTTTTTTTTAATTAAACGCACACTTGCCATATGACTGAGTAATCCTGCTTGTTAAATAGAATTTAAGGGAGGCCATTGTTTTGGACTGAGCTCCTGCACTAGGCCCAACAGACCAGATCAAAGCAGAATTTAGTCACTTGTACTAAGTGCCATGCAACCAAACTGAACTTAACTCTGGCCACTTTTGAAAAGAACAGGAGAGTCACAGCAACCAATCCTAAGGAGCCCAGTCAACCTGAGCAGGTATGATAAGGAAGCCTTGTCTGCTTTAACCGTATAAGGAATGTTATATGAAGTAACCTGATGTTAACCAATCTGCTTTTTACGCTATATCAGTTTTCTTGTTTCTGCTTAAACTAGCTTATAAAAACCAACTGTTCTGCCGTGCCCAGTGGAGTGCCCTTCTATCTTGTAGATAAGATGTTGCCTTGGCCAGGTACAGTAGTTCACGCCTGTAATCCTAGCACTTTGGGAAGCCAAGGCGGGCAGATCACTTGAGGTCAGGGGTTCGAGATCAGCCTGGCCAACATGGCGAAACCCCAGCTCCACTAAAAATTCAAAAACTAACCAGGCCTGGTGGCGTGTTCCTGTAATCCCAGCTACTCTGGAGGCTAAGGCATGAGAATTGCTTGAACCTGGGAGGTAAAGGCTGCAGTGAGCCGACATCACACCACTGCACTCTAGCCTGGGCAGCAAAGCAAGACCTTGTCTAAAAAAAAAAAAAAAAGTTGCCTAATTCATGAATTGCTAATAAAATCCAATTAGATCTTTACGCTAAATTTGTTGAAATTTTGTTTTTAAACACATTCCTGGGTTACCCCAGAGAAATGAAAACTTCTGTTCACACAAAAACCTAGGTAGGTAGCAAGAATGACTTGTCTCTGCTTTATGGTATCTGAGGCCTTGGCTGGAATGTCTTGAATAGCTGGGGATGACTCAAATCTGGTGGGCTGGAAGCCTCTGGTGGCATCTTCACTCACATATCTGGCATATGAACTGGGATAACTCAAAGACTACTTAGTGAAGACTGTTGACCATAGAACCTACAAATGACCTCTCCATGGGAGTGTTCAGAAGTGAGCATTCCAAGAGGACCAGGTGGAAGCTGTATTGCCTTTTGTGCCTCAGAATCTGACCTAGCTTCAGAATCCATGCAGTGTCACTTTTACCACATTCTGTTGATTAATACAAGTCACTAAGGCCAGCCCAAATTCAAGGGGAAAAGAATTAGACTGCACCTCTTGATAGGGGAGTGGCACGGTCACACTGCAAAAGAGCATGTGGGATAAGAGATATGGTCACCTCTATCCTTGGAAAATATAATCTTCCATAGTGAACAAATAAATTAATCTATGTAGAAATCTAGACAGCCACTGATTTTAAAAAACCCCACCACAACAATATTAAATAATTTAGGATGTTAAAAATAAGATGGGATTTCAGTACATTGAGCTTCATAGAGACAGCACCCAGGCAAGTGAGAGTTGGATGGACACTGGGCAACTCTGTGCCTTGCTGATGAACTAATAACTAAACATGGCCAAAGGAGAGCCTAAGAAGCTGAAAGGCAAAATGTCATCATATGCATTCTTTGTGCAAACTTGCCGGGAGGAGCACAAAAAGTAGCACCCAGAAGATTCAGTCAGTTTCTCAGAGTTTTCTAAGAAGTGCTCAGAGAGATGGAAACCTGTCTGCAAAAGAGAAAAATTTGAAGACGTGGCAAAGTTGGGGGAGGCCTGTCACAAAAGAGAAATGAAACCTAAATCCCTCCTGAAGGGGAAACAAAAAAGTTCAAGGATCCCAACGCACTCAAGAGGCCTTCTGGAGCCTTTATCTTGTTCGGTTCTGAGTACCGCCCAAAAATCAAAAATAACATCCCAGCCTATCCATTAGTAACGTTGCAAAGAAACTGGGAGAGATGTGGAATAACACTGCTGCAGACAATAAGCAGCCATGTGAAAGGAAGGCTGCAAAGCTGAAGGAAAAATATGACAAGGATATCGTTGTACACGGAGCTAAAGGAAAGCCTGATGCAGCAAAAAAGAAAGCCGTTGGGGCTGAGAAAAGCAAGAAAAAGAATGAAGAGGAGAAAGATGAAGAGGATGATGTTGAGGAGGAAGATGATCATGAATAAGCTGGTTCTAGTGAAGCTTTTTTCTTTCTTGTCTGTAAAGCATTTAACCTCCCTGTACACAATTCACTCCTTTTAAAGAAAAAAAAATTGAAATGTAAGGCTGTGTAAGATTTAACAACTAAACAGTGTCTTTTTTTGTATAGTTAGCACACTACCAAATGTGTAGTTAGCTAGCCCTGTCCTGATGGTATTTTCAATAGCCACTAATCTTGCTTGTTACAGCAAAGGGGTTGCAAATTGGCATGGAAATTTAAAGCGGGTTTATGTTGGTGCACAGCACAAATTAGTTATATATGGGATGACACCTTTTTCATCTTCAGTTCTCTCTGATGCAGCTTATACAAAATAATTGTTGTTTTGTTTACTAAATGCTAATTTTTAATTGCAAAAAAGTTGCAGCTGTTTTGTTTGACATTCTAAATGCTTCTAAGTAAATATAATTTTAAAAATTAATATTGTTGTCCTTTTCATAGGCCTGAAATTTTTCTTCCTGAGGGGGAAGCTAGCCTTTTGCTTTTGCCCATTTTGTATCACATGAATTATTACAGTGTTTATCTTTTCATATAGTTAGCTGATAAAAAGGTTTTATCTAGACACCCTGCTTCTCATCATGGGAGTAATAAAAGTTAAATTGAGACCGTTTTCATCCATAACTCAATCCCCAAATCTTGATCAGTTGATAACAAATTTCATATAACCCACTTATATTTACAAAGGGAAGAGTAAACAAGCTACTCATAGCAAGGGGTTATGAGAATCAAACATTTTGAAAGTCTGTTTTTGAAGGACTAATAGAAAAGTATGTTTTAATTTTTACATGAGGACTCTATATTCTTTCACTCCCATTACCATGTAATGGTAGTTATATTTTGCAGTTCCTACATTGAAGAAGAACTGAGAATGTATCCCCAAAAGCATGAGCTTAAAATACAAGACCACCATACTGAATATTTTTTTGTTGATGTTAGTTCCATTGAAGACTGAGAGAGCTGGCTGTAAAGGTCTTTTCCCATTTCTCTAAATATGGATTGCTCAGGAAACTTGAGACTCTCCATTAAAAGTATTTCTAATTAATTGGGCCAGCTTTTAAAATGACAATGTCAGATTTAAAATAGGGTATATTTTCCTATAGTGCAGTTTACCTCTTTACAAATCAAATAGATGTGAGGAAAGAAGACATTTAAGCTTTGCATCTCAGTATGAAGTATTCAATTTATTTGAATTTGATTTTTCTTTAAACTTATTAATTAGAGTCAGCGTCTTCTCTGATTAGCAGTTTAGGGAAATTTGACAATTTTGTGGGTTTTGAGATTATCATTATCTTAAAGTGCCAGTATTTTAAAATGGCATTCTTGTAATTTTACACGCTTTTGTGATGAAGTGATGTTTTGTTAAATAATTATGACTTACATTTTTTCCATTTGTATTTTTTATGTAGTTTTAGGAATAATACTGAAAATCTTAGTCATGGATGATACTAATATACTAACCATTGCAGAGTTTGCTTTTTAAAAGTTGGAAATAAAATATTAAATAACAATACATAAAAACCCTGGGCATCAATGTTTATAGAGGTTCTATTAATAATTGCCAAAAATTGGAAAATTGGAAAAATATTGGAAAAAACTTAACTGAAATCCTCTCCTTCAAACAAGAAATAAGTAACAAGAAAAATTGCCAAAAATTGGAAACAACACAAATATCCTTCAATAAGTGATAAACTGTGGTACATCCATACTACGGAATATTGTAGAATCTAGGTGATGGGTAGACAAATGTTCACTGTAAAATTCTTTCAAATTTTCTGTATCTTTGAAATTTCATAATAAAATATTGGAAAAAAATTTAACTGAAATCCTCTCCTTCAAACAAAAAATAAGTAACAAGAAAAATCCTTCATGAATCCAAGCCAGCAGCTCTCATTTGAAACTGAAGCACACCACATGCTTTCCACATTTGGTAAGAAGAACAAGTGGAAATAAGAAAATTAATCAAGGGAGAACCTTGCTGTCTTTCAGATAATTTGCAGAGCTTTGCTTTATTGTTTATGAGAAGAGAAAGTCACTCATTTCTCAGAAGACAAGAATCAGCATTTCTAGACTAAAAAAAAAGAGCCAGGTGCCTATTCCTTGATTTATTTGTAAAGCTGTGTGGCCAAGCGCAAAAAAAAAAAAAAAAAAAAAAAAAAAAAAAAAAAAAAAAAAAAAAAAAAAAGTACAACCATATTCCAGGAGCCCTTCTTTTATTTCCCAGGTTGTGTATTGTGTATTTTATCATAGGTGTAGCAAAAGTCCTTTTGTCCTACCCTTCCTTCCCCAGTCCTCCAAATCCTATCCCTGTCTCTTCCTCATATTAAAACCTGAAATCTATTCATAGATCCTAACCTTGAGATGTGGCTTTGATCCCTGCTAGGTGGGTAGGTAGACTCTTTAGCATAAATGCAAGATCTAAATGCAAACAGGGTGGAGTTGAGTGGGGTGAAAGTCTTGTGAGGAGACTGCTTAAGTTATTTGGGTGTCTTGTGTGGAGGGGTAGAAGACGCGGCACACTTCAATTATTCCCACATTTATCTGCACAAATAACACATACAAGCTGTTGCATATATTAGTAATTTTTGGATCTCAAGTGAGTCTCTTGTACACAGCATATATAGACAGGATCATGTTTTTTATCCATTCCATCAATTTTATCTTTTAGTTGTAGAATTTAATCCCTTAACATTTACAGTAACCGCTGACAAGGAAAGGCTTACTTCTGTAATTTTACTTTGTCTTTTATATTTCTTATAATTTTTCTTCAGTGCTTCCATTACTGCCTTTTTTTGTGATTCATTGTTTTTTTTTTTCCCCTAGTGTTATGATTCCCTTCTTGTACCTTTTTCTCTATGTTTTTAAGTTGTTTGGTTGTAGCCACTCTGGGGATTGCAGTTAACCCCTTAACTATAGCAATCAGGTTTGAATTAACAAAAACTTAAGTTTCAATAGTATTAAAAAACTGCTGTCTTTGGGATGCTGGTGAGGGAAGATCACTTGAGCCTAGGAATTTGAAACCAGCTTGGGCAACAGAGGGAGACCCCGTTCTACAAAAAATAAAAAGCTGGGCATGGTGGCTCATGCCTATAATCCCAGCTACATGGGAGGCTGAGGCAGGAGGGTCACTTGAGCCCAGGAACTCCAGGCTACAGTGAGCTGTGATCATACCATTGTACTCCAGCCTGGGTGACAGAGTGAGACTTTACCTCAAAACACATACACACACACACACACACACACACACACACACACACACACACACACGCAAACTGCTGCTTTATAGCTCCATGCCCCCTTTATGTTGTTATTGTCACAAATTGCATCTTTACACATTTGTGTGCCCATTAAGATAGATTTATAATTATCATTTTATTTACTTGCTTTTTAAATCATATAGGGAAAAAATAGGAGTTACAAACCAAAAATGTTCAATATTACTGGCTTTTATGTTTAACCATATGATCACAGCATGAGTAAATCCCACTGATGATGATGTATAATTCTTTTTCTATATTGCTGAATTTTATTAGTTAATTTTTTTTTGTTTGTTCATTCGTTTTTCAAGACAGGGTCTCGCTCTATTGCCCAGGCTGGAGTGCAGTGGCATGATCACAGCTCACTGCAGCCTCAACCTCCTGGGGTCAAGTGATCCTCCCACCTCAGCCTCTGGAGGAGCTGGACTACAGGCACATGCCACCATGCCTGGATAGTTTTCGTATTTTTTTTTCTTGAGAAAGAATTTCACCATGTTGGTCAGGCTGTCTCCTGAGTTCAACAGATCCACCTGCCTCAGCCTCCCAATGTGTTAGAATTACAGGCATGAACCATCGTGCCCAGCCTTATTTGTTAATATTCTTGAAGAATTTTACATCTATATTCATGAAAGATAATGGTCTGTAGTTTTCTTCCTTTTCCTCTTTCTTTCTGTTTCTTTTCTCTTTTTTAAAAACAATCTTTGTTTAATTTTGTTACCAGGGTAGTTTTAGTTTTGTAAAATGAATTGGAAAATACTCCTTCTCTTATTTTCTGGAAGAGATTGCATGGAAATGTGTTAATTCTTCTTTAAAATTTGGTATAATTCTCCAGTAAAACCATCTGGTTTTGGAAGTTTTTTTGGCATTATAAAAATAATAATTCAATATTATTACTAGTTATGGGATTATTCAAATGCTACATTTTGTATTAGGTAAATTGCGGTACTTTATGTTTTCCAAGAAAGTGGTCCATTTAGTCTGAGTGGCCAAATTTATGTGTTAGAGTTTTTCATAGTATTCCCTTATTATCCTTTTGATTTCTGCAGGGTCTGTAGTGATATCTTTTGTTTCATTCTTGATATTAGTAATCTGTGTGTTTTCTTTTTTTGTCAGTCTTGGTACACATTTGTCAATCTTATTTATCTTTTTAAAGGACCAGCTCTTGGTTTCATTTTTTTTTCCCATTTTCATTGTTTTCTCCTCTTCATTATTTCTTTCTTTTTGCTTAATCTAGGCTTATTTTGTTCTTATTTTAGGTACTTGACGTAGGAGTTTAGATATTAATTTGAGACCCTTCCTTTCTTTTAATCTATATGTGATGCTTTCCTTTCATTAACAATTTTGTAAGTCTGCAGTAGACACCTTACACCAGACAAAGACACCAGCTGACTTAAATGAAAAGCTAGGATTGAGAGGATAGTAGATGTTGGTGACATAAAGGAATCGAGGGTGCTACAGCAGGATAGCATGAGCTTTAGAGGCATTGACAATATAGTTGGGAACTCCAAGTTGATACATGAAATAATGAGTGCCTATTACAAGAATACCACTAAGTGTTAGCTTGAGTTGGTACAAGTGCTAGTGGTAGCAGGAGGAAGGAAAAATTGAGTGAACAATCACAAGAGGGTGGAAATGAGCATGAAGTAATTTCTGGTGACAGAGGCCTGTCTGCCTGACAGAAGATCTTTATATAGGAGCAGGGAGAAATGGGGTTGGTGAATTAGGGTGGGGCCAGATATAAATGAACTGAAAAATCAGAAAGATTTGTAATTGATGTGGTAGGCTGATGGGCTGGCATTCATATGAAAGAAAAGGCAAGCTGCAGCCATGTTAGCTTTCTGCACTCACTCCTCTAACAAACTGATTGGCAGTTGCAACTCCCCAGGCATGGTCTGTGGAATACGGCAAGGCAGAGAGCCATCTCCATAGGAGGGAACATACCTTAAAAAGTAATGGGGATAGGAGTAAAGAAAAAAAAAAAAAAAAACGGGACCGGGCACGGTGGCTCACGCCTGTAATCCCAGCACTTTGGGAGGCCAAGGCGGGTGGATCACCTGAGCTCAGAAGTTCAAGACAAGCCTGGCCAACATGGTGAAACCCCATCTCTACTAAAAATATAAAAAAATGGCCGAGTGTAGTGGCACATGCCTGTAGTCCCAGCTACTCAGGAGGCTGAGGCAAGAAAATTGCTCGAATCCGGGAGGCGGAGGTTGCAGTGAGCCAAGATTGCACCACTGCACTCTAGCCTGGGTGATAACAGCCAAACTCCATCTCAAAAAAAAAAAAAAAAGAAAAACTAACTTATGACAACCTAAGAACTCCAGAATTAGGAGATCAGATATAAAAAGATAATCTTTCTAGAGGAAAAGAGTAGTGCTGCAAACATACAAGAAATAATAAGATGAGGTCTTTTGGGGAGCTATCAATGACTGATTTTCTATCTTGTGTTTCCCCAAATGCTTAGTACACAGCCTCATGCACTGATGATGTTCACCACACTTAAGCAGAAAAGAAATGATTTGTTTTGATTTAGCTTGCTGGTTCACATGATCCTGAAGCTCATAGAATATGATTAAGTGAATAAAATTATACCATCATGAAATTAGTTATTGAGCATCCACTACATGCCACATACCGTTACTAGACTAATAAAAAAGCAAAATAAAACAAAACTCTTTTCAGTGAGGATGCAAGACCTTGACCAAAATAGTTCTTAGACATTTAATACCATGCACTTCTAGGGTAGGCTATATACCTTCATCTTCCCAGAAAGATTAATAGTGTCTATAATTTCAACTTTCAAGAGAAGATACAATCAAGAGAGGCAGTATTGCATAATATAAGAGCATGTACTTCCAAGTTTAGCTGCCTGTGTTTAAATCCTTGCTGTGTCTTTTACTTTGAGTTTGACTGTGGGCAAGTTACTTACCTTGTCTATGCTCTATATTACTCAATTATCAAATATAATAATAATAATACTGACCTAGGTTGTTGTATTTAACAATTTAATATAGATAAAATATTTCATTAGCTCTTGGCACATTGTATGCTTTTGGTTAATGTTAACTGCCGTTATTATAATTACCCAGCCTCTCTTAAAAATCTACTTTTATTGATACTTGTTATTTATACCAGTTAGTTGCATATAGCCCTTAAACAAAAGTCTTATTGACTATAAATATACTGTTCTTATAGCTTTATGATAACTACTATTGTCCCTGTTGCTCAGCTGAGATAAATACAGAGAGATTGCCACAGGCTTTGGGGTCAGATTACCTGGGTTCTGAACTAAGTTCTACTTTAGACTAAGTGTGAGCCAGAACAAGTTATTTCAGCTCACCATGCCTTGGTTTTCTCACCTGTAATCGGGAATAATGTTATGTACCTCATAGAGTTGCTGTGAGGCTTAAATGGGATAATGGTTGTAAAGTATTTGGCACAGTGCCTGGCACAGAATAAGTAATAAATATTAGCTAAGTGGCACACATAGTAACTCTGGAAAGGGAGAGAAATGGGGGGCTGAAATTCTCTCCTCCTGCTCAGAGTAGGAGTCTGGTGTGGATCAAAAATAAAGCGTAGTTCTGGAGTCCACAGAGCCACACAATTAGACCACCCTGCTAGGGTGGAGTATAGGAAATATAAATAGAACTGGTCTAAGGCAAACAAACCCTTGCTTTCTTTTGGCTCTCTTGGATCCCTTCTTTTCTGCATAGTTTGCTCTTTTGATTCTTTCTGATCCCAGTGGGTTGGTGCAGGAAGACACCATTCCACAGCTCTTGAAAATTTGAGCAGGATCAGGGTGCAACTCAGGGGAAAGGAGACAGAGAGTGGGTGGTTTAGCTCATCTAGATCTTATAAAAACAGGAAGGAGAAAGAGGGGAAAGGGAGTTTAAAAAGAGAGATTGAGAGACAGAGAGAGAGTGTGCACACTTTTTTCTATGTTCTCACTAATTTTCTCCTTTTTGGCCAAAATTTTAAGATCCAGTGAACTAAGACATGATGTGAGCTGAGCTTGCTTTCTTGTGTGAACCCCAAGCTAGATGGGAAAAATGAAACCCTGGCAGTATACATGTTTCAATCTAGCATTGAATGAAGAGAGTTCCCTCAGTGCTATTTATCTCCTGGATAATATAGAGGTTTTTTTAAATGGCCACAAATTCATTGTCACTCCTTCCATCAAGAAGTGGGATCTGTGGATACCCCATTTTCCATAATGTGCTTATTTCACATTGCATGCCTGTATCAAAAAACTCATGTACCCTATAAATCTACACGTCTACCCTATAAGTCTATACATCTACTATGTACCCACAAAATTTAAAATAAAATAATTTAAAAAACAAACAAGCAAACAAAAATAAGGCCATGGCCAAACATGGGAGCTTGTTGCCATGGTTAAATGGTGGTAGGGCCAACTTGACCTGATTTCAGAGATGGAAGAACAGAAAGAAGAAAATCAACACTGAGGGTAAAATTAATGCTTTATTCTTAAGTGATCCTGTGAAGAGGAAGTGCCAGGTAAACTGGGATCAGTTTCTGAATCTGTCTGTATCTCTCTTTACCTTGAGAATTTACCTTTGTTCACTCTAGCTCTGGGGGAAAGCCTCAGATGCTGGTTTCTTCCCACCATCAGCACAGCTACCCTCTCCTGTAGTTTCATGCGGGCTCACTTTGCAAAACTGGAATGGTGACAACCATGAACACCTCATCTCAGAATGCCTGGAAGGGTCAGTGGAGTTGGGGCAATCTGAAAGGAGGAATTGGAAATATCCAAGGAAGCCAGTGTTTTACCACCTGGTTTTCAATCATAAACTTCATTAATCTGAAGGAAGTTGAGCTATTCATATTTACAAGGAAGCATCCAAGGTCAAGTGTTCGCTGTTAATTAGAATCCTAGAACTTTGGGGCTTAAATACCTTCAGAAGCCTTCTGGTTGAATCTCTCATTTTACTCATGAGAAAATTGAAGCTCAGGGAAAGGAAGTCACTTGGATAAATTTATTAAACCACAAAGTGGCAGAAGCAAGGAAAGAAACCTGGTTTTCCAAGTCTGAATCCAGAGTTATTTTTACTACATCAGTGCCTCACAAACTTCAATATGCACAAAAATCACTTGGGGCTCTTTTACAAAAGACTACTAAGGAGAAACAAAATTGACTTACCCATACCATCACATTTCTTCTTATCTTATCTTTTATCTTGTGCATGTTTATTTCACCATCTTTCTTTGAGATACAGACTGTTTTTCATTTTTCGTCTACTTATTACCCCTGCTTTCATTTGTCTATTTTGATACTTGCCTTGGTATTAGTACCAGTAAATAATGAAATACGCACAAGAGAAAAGATAAGAAACGTGATGTCATGGCTAAGTCAATGTGCTTCTCCTTCGTGGCCTTTTGCAAAAGGTTTGTTGAAGGTGGAGGTAGAAACTGGTTTCAAAACAAGTTTGGGGGTTATTTCTGGATTTCCTGTCCCCTGTATCCATGGAAAATCCAGAGCATGCAGTATGAATATATAATAGTGTTCCCAGTTTTATTCTGTGGTTTGTGGAAACTGGTCACACTGCTTTACAGCCATACCACATATATTTAAAGGCTATAGCTATGCAATGGGGTTTCATTCCAAATGATTCAGAAAACTACTTCAATCTTTTACTTTGTCAGTAGGGTTCTGGCTGGTACTTAGAGAAGAACTAGATGAACAGGGAAACTTATGACTTCTATTTAAGTGAGCCAGGACCTTCAAATTAAGTGGGGTTATTTTCCTTCCCAATTTTAGAAGATACAAGCTCACATTGGAGCTAGTTCTCTGCCTTCCAAGCTTTATGACTCATGTGACCTTACCTTGGGTAATTCACTTCCTTCTCAGGGCCTCAGTTCCCTAATTTGTAAAATGAAGGACTGGACTACTTCCAAAGCTGTTATATTTCAGTTACCATGTTCATTCCTTGAACATGGTAATTGATGTGCAAGACAATGACTAAATCCATGAAATCATCTGCTCCGACTATGTTCTCCAGGTTCTCTTACTTCCTAACATAGAAGGGGCACACAGAAGATTTTCAGCCACAAAAGTTGAAACAATGAAGCCTTTTTTGGTTATCCTTTAGTTACCCAGAAAAATAAATCAATCAGAACTTTTCTCTCAGCCACCAAGAGTTCTGGTAACCTGTGTTTTCCCTCTGAGAAGCTTTTCTGCTGGTGTCCTTTATGATTGTCAGTGACAAGAAGCAAGACTAGGGGGTAAGAGTGGGAGTAGCTGGAGTCTGGACTTAGTGGGCTGCAGAGTAGTTGACAATCATGTTTTCTTATTAGGTGTCAGGAATGACCTTGGCCATTTATGAAATGTAAGTGACCCCAGGGAATGCTTAGCAGTCCTTTAAAAAAGATTTAGATTAAAATTCCTGCATTGCCATTTTACAAAAGAGAGTAGAGGAAAGGGAAACATCAAGCTAAGTTTGACCTCCTCACCTTGTGATTCCGACCTTCGAGGGTCTCTGGTGACAGTACTATGCCTTCCTTGTACATAGCTGGCACTCAATTTTTTTGAGTACTGGCTTCGATACTTCTTGCCTAAGAAGAAAATAAAAAGCAAAATTATATGATGAAATATGGATGAACCCAAAAAAGAAAGAAAGAGAAGGAGAGGGAGCGAGAGAACAAACAAAACCCAGAGAGGTCACAGGGTCTATCTTTTACATCTAAGGAAGTAGAAGCTTAAGCGAGCTCAGACGGAATTGGCCATGTGATGTTTTTAAAAGTCCATATAAGGAAATTTCATGCTGCAGCCTGTCAGTACTGCCAATTCTGCTCATGAATTTTCTATGCCGTTTGACACTTATGTTTTCTGGAGTTATAAAAGGAGGAGTGTTACTTCTTAATAAACTCCCTCTTCCACAGCGGGATAGAAAGGAACCATAGCTGAAAATAGGAGCTTTTAAGTGTGGCAGAGCAAGCCCAGAAACCGGGGTTTTCAGCCTAGGTTATCTTCTAACTAGCAGTGTGTCCTTGGGTAAATACTCCTTCTATGGCATTTTTTTTTTAATCTGGAAAATTAAAGAAGGTCAGAGTATAAAATCTCTAAATTCTCTTCCACTAACAGAAATATGTGTTGCTTTTTTTTTTTCAACTTTTATTTTCAATTTGGGGGCTACATGTGCATGTTTGTTACAAGGATGTATTGCATGATGCTGAGGTTTGGAATACAGTACGATTGAACCTATCATCCAAGTAGTGAACACAGTAACCAAGAGGTAGTTTTTCAACCTTTCTCTCCCCCCTTATTGTCCCCAGTGTCTATTGTTCCCGTCTTTATGTCCATATGTACCCACTGTATATTTGGTTCTTGAAATGTTTGTGCTGAAGCACCCTGGAATTTGATTCTCAAGCAACTAATACTGCCATCTTGTGGTCAAAACAAGTTTGTCTTTTTGTTCTAAAGATGGCTCTCCAGCTAAGACACAAATGATGATGTGCATTCATTCAGTACATTATCATCTATGTACGTATGTATATCTATCTATATCTATCTATCTATGTATATCTGTCATCTATCTGTTTATCCAAGTCTCTATCATCTGTTCATTATCTATGTATCTATCATCTATTTATCCTATTTTTTAATTTTTTATTGAAGTATAACATACATATAGAAAATTGCACCATTAATAAGGATGCTAAATTTTCACAGACTAAGCATATCTGGCACCCTGCTCATGAAACAGAACATTACCAGATCCCACAAGCCCTCTTTGCCCCTTTTTAGTCACTGCTCCCCACCCCCAACCTACACTCACAGTGAATTTCACAAATGTAACATTGTGCAAAAGAAGGCCAAATACAAAAGTTAGTACCCACCTCCTGCCCTGGGTTACCACTATCCCAATTACTAACAGCATAGATTTATTTTGCTTGTGTTTGTACTCTATAGAAATTGAGTTATTTTCTATGTATTCTTTTGCATCTAGTTCTTTTTGCTCAACATTATGTTTATAAAATGTATCCATATTGTTGCATATAGTTGTAGATCATTCTTGTTGCTGTAGAGTATTCCTCAAGAGCCTCTTAAAAATTGGTCTGTGGTGGCTGGGCGTGGTAGCTCACGCCTGTACCCCCAGCATTTTGGGATGCCTAGGTGGGTGGATCACTTGAGGTCAGGAGTTCAAGACCAGCCTAGCAAACATGGTGAAACCCCACCTCTACTAAAAATACAAAAATTGGCCGGTTGTGGTAGCGTGCACCTATAATCCCAGCTACTCGGAAGGCTGAGGCAGGAGAATCGCTTGAACCTGGGAAGTGGAGGTTGCAGTGAGCTGAGATTGCGCCACTGCACTCCAGCCTGGGTGACAGAGCAAGACTCCATTTCAAAAAAAAAAAAAATTGATATGTGATTAAATTAAATTTTATTTTTTTCAGTATGAAAGTCATGTTTTGTGCATGGTAGGAAAGTTTTTTAAAAAGTAACTCATAACCTTCTTCCCAAAGGTAGATCAACCATCATTAATATTTTGGTGTTTTTTATCTCAATATTGCTTCAATACATTTTTTTCAACATTTAAGATAGTTGTATATAGAATTGTATATATAAATTTTGTTACCTTAATAGTAGAATGTAAACATATCACTGTGTTATTAAACATCCTCATGGATGTCATTTTTAATTTATTTTAATTTTTGGAAGTCATTTTAAATAATTAACATTTGCTTACATTTGGAGTGCTCAGAATATTTTTTCTTTGTTTTACTATGAGCAAACTCAGTGAACATCCTTGACCACAAAATGTTTTCTGTTCTTTGGATTGTTTCAAAATTTTAATAAAAGTACTAAAAGTAGAACTTTGGGGTCAAAGCCTTTAGAAACAGAAGACAGCTTCAGTTTGTGCCTACGATGCAGTCAGTGATAAGACACTGGGGGAGAAACTGGCACATACTGAGTTCCTAGTATATGTACCAGACATTGTACAAGGGACTTTATGGACATTCTCTCATTTAATTCCCTGAAAAACTCTATGAGGTACATATAATCTGCTTTTTTTGGAGAGAGAAAAATCAGAACTCAGACAGGTTAAGTAACTCATCCGAAGGTGCACAAGGAGTAAAATGGCAGAACCCAGATTTGGACTCTTATCTGTCAGGCTACAAAGCTTGTGTTCTTTCAACTACACCACACTGCCCCCCAGAGTGCAGTTTGAATGATGCAACGGAAATAGACCCTCTTCTCCAATTAATCATCTCCACGGGCCTGTCACAGTTCCTAATAAACTGTACATGTTTTCTGGGCAGGGCAAAATTCTATTTTTCTCAGCCATTACATTAAAGCAAGAGTATCAGAGTGGTTCTGATCTTCTAGCAAGGCCTGAGAATAGAAATTGGGCCCCAAGAGAGTGTGAGCAGCGTTTGCCTGAGAAGAGGAAGGAGCTGTTTCCCAACTATGTTCATACTTCTTGAATTTTCTCTACAGTGAGATGGAAGTTGCCTTTTTCTCTTGTTTCCCTTCTATTAATACCTCTGAGTGCTCAGTCTTCCCTGCTCCATCCCTCTGACTTTTCCCCAACTTGAATGTTGTAGTAGCCAGGCTGGTGCACTACTAAAGTTCTCTATCTCTCCTTTCTGCGAAAACTAAAGCCTCATGGCTGGGTTTTTGGATACCCTTCCTGGTCATTCCGGCTGCTTTCTAGTTCCACTATTCCTTCCTCCTCCTCACCTCCTGCCAAGTACATCTTTATTTCTCCAGATTCCATCTTGTCATTTGCTACTACTATTACTACTACTACCTGCCCTGCACCAACAACCAATCTCCCAGATTATCTGCAGCTACTTTGGGAAGCAGAAGGTAGAGTCCTGAGAGAAGGAAATGAGAGAGGAAAAAAAATGTCAGCTAGGGCTGGGCGCGGTGGCTCACGCCTGTAATCCTAGCACTTTGGGAGGCCGAGTCGGGTGGATTGCCTGAGCTCAGGAGTTCAAGACCAGCCAGAGCAACATGACGAAACCCCGTCTCTACTAAAACACAAAAAATTAGCCAGGTGTGGTGGCACACACCTGTAGTCCCAGCTACTCAAGAGGCTGAGGCACACGAATTGCTTGAACCTGGGAGGCAGAGGTTGCAGTGAGTCGAGATCATGCCACTGCACTCCAGCCTGGGCAACAGAGTGAGACTCTGTCTCAAAAAAAAAAAAAAAAAAAAAAAAAAAAAAAAAAAAAAAAGCTCAACTCAGTTGCTGCATATTAGATAAATGTCAGGCAGCTGGAGTACAGCATGAGCACTTGAAATGACTACCGTGAACACAAATGCCGGCCTGCTGCACTCTGCCTTAGGTATGAGACATGAAAGACTTGTCAGTATGTCCTTCCTTGTTCTGAATTGCCCAACAAGCAAAGCCTTTACCAGATAGCTGTACTTCCCTCTCCGCCAAACTGACACCAAACTAAAACTCTCCCTGCAACATCCTCACCCAGATGCTAAAGTTTGTACCAAGTTTGGGAAGCTAATGAGCATCAGACTCCTGTTATTTTAAAAAATGATGCTGGAACAATGATATATCCATATACAGAAATAAACAAACAATACATCTCAACCCTTTTCTCATAACATATATTAATACAAAAATTAACTTAAAATGGATTATAGACCTAAATGTAAGTGTTAAACTATAAAAGTCTTATAGGAAAACCTAGGAAACATGATAAACATAACTCTTTATTACCTAGAGTTAGTCAACGGTTTCTTAGATATGACAATGAAAGCATACGCAACAAAAGAAAAAAGTAGAAAAACTGGACTTCATCAAAATTTGTTTGGTACAACAAATTAGATAGCCTAGATAAAATGGATAAATTCTGAGAAACACACAAATTACCTAAACAGACTCAGAAAGAAACAGAAAATCTGAACAGACCTATAACAATTACAAAGTTTGAATCAATAGTTAAAAAAAAAAAACTCCCAAAAAAGAAAAGTCCAGGATGAGACGGTTTCACTGGTGAAATCTACTAAACATATAAAGAAGAATTAATACCAATTTTTCTCAAACTCTCCCAAGAAACAGAAGAAAAGGGAATATTCTATGAAGTCAGTTTTACCTTGATACCAAAACCACATGAAGGCATCACAGGAAAAGAAAACTACAACTATCTCATGTGACTATAGGTATAAACATTCTCAATAAAATTCTATCAAACTGAATTCAATGGCATATGAAAAGGACTATACATCATGAGCAAGTGGGATTTATCCCAGGAACAAAAGGATTGTTTAGTATAAGAAAATTAATCAATGTAACATGTTACATTAAAAGAAAGAAGGAAAAAAAACATATGATAATTTCAATTAAGGCAGGAAAAACATTTGACAAAGTCCAGCCACCCTTTCTTGATAAAAACTTTCAACAAATTAAGAGTAGAAGAGAACTTCCTCAGCATGTTAAAGGGCATTTATGAAAAACCCACAGCTAGCATCCTCCTCAATGATGAAAGACTGAAAGTAGTCTCTTAAAATCAGGAGCAAGAAAAAGATGCCTGCTTTTACCACTGTTATTCAACATTGTACTAGAAGTTCTAGTCAGATAAATTAGGCAAGAAAATAAATAAAAGGCATCCAAATTGGAAAGGAAAAAGTAAAACTATCTCTATTTGCAGATGACATGATCCTATATATAGAAAATCTGAAAGAATCCACCAAAAAACCTACAAGAGCTGTAAACAGATTCATTAAAGTTACAGGTTAAAAGATCTACCAACAAACAAACAAAAAAATCAGTTGTATTTCTATACACCGGCAATGAAAAGGAAGTTAAGAAAACAATTTTACTTACAATAGCATTAAAAGAATAAAATATTTAGAAATGAATTTAATCAAGGAGATGAAAGACTTGTACACTGAAAACTATAAAACATTGCTAGAATAAATTAAACACCTAATAAAACGGAAACACATCCTGTTTTCAAGGACTGGAAGACTTAATATTGTTAAGATAGCAATACTACCCAAAGGAATCTACAGATTCAATGCAATCTCTATCAAAATTCCAATGGCCTTTTCATAGAAATGGAAAAGCAAATTTTAAAATTAGTATGGAATTGCAAGGGGCCCCAAATACCCAAAACAATTTTGAAAAAGTAGGACAAAGGTAGAGGATACACACTTCCCTATTTATTGGGCCATCTAAAGACATGAAATACTGATACATGCTACAATGTAAAAGAACCTTAAAAATATTACAGCAAGTGAAAGAAACCAGATATAAAAAGTCACATATTGTATCATTCCATTTATCTGAATTGTCAAGAATAGGTAATCCATAAAGACAGAATAAAGAATGGTAGATGCCAGGGGCTAGAGGAAAGGAGGAGTGGAGAACAACTGCTTAATGGGTACAGTGTTTCCTTTGGAGATGATAAAAATATTTTGTTACCAGAGGTTGTGGTTACCCAACATTTTAAATGCACTAAATGCCACTGAATTGTTCACTTTAAAATGATTAATTTTATGTTATGTGACTTTCACCTCAATAAAAAAAGGTAAAACTTTTGTGCTTCAAAGAATACCATCAAGACAGTGAAAATACAAGCCACAGAGTGGGAGAAATATTTGCAAATCATATATCTGATAAGGAAATTATATCCAAAGTAATGAAATTTTATAGCTCAACAATAAAAAAACAAATAACCCAATTAAAAATGGGCAAAGTATTTACAAGACAGTTCTTCAAAGAATATATGCAAATGTCCAATAAGCGCATGAAAAGATGTTCAACATCAGTAGTCATTAGGGAAATGCAAGTCAAAACCACAAGATACAATTTCACACCACTAGGATAGCTATAATCAAACAAACAAAACAGAAAATAGCCAGCATTGACAAGGATGTGGAGAAATTTAAAACCTTATACATTGTTGGTAGAAATGTAAAATGGTTCAGCCTCTTTGGAAAATAGTTTGGCAGTTCCTCAAAAAGTTATGCATAGAGTTACAAATGACCCAGCAATTCTACTCCTAGCTATATACCCAAGAGAAATGAAACCATATGTTCCCAAAAAAGTGTAATTATACATAAGTGATCATATTAGCATTATTTGTAGTAGCCCCAAAGAGGAAACAACCCAAATGTTTATTAATTGATGAATGGATAGACAAAATGTGACATATCCATAAATGGAATATTATTTACCTTTTAAGATACAGTTCAAGTCTGTAAAGTATTTTCTAATTCTTCCTCACTCTGACTCTAGGAATCATTGACCACCCCCTCCTTCATGCTCCCACAATACTCCACACATGTGTCTATAATGTTTTGCTGCACTTTTAAGAAGTGAAACTATCTACCACCACACAGTCTTATGCTTAAATCAACATGATTTTACTATTCTACTGTCTTTATCAACATAACTCTACTATTCCAGGAAACTTTTGCTTAGAAAATTGAAAGTTGCAAATCAACTTTATTGTACATTCCAGGGACTTACTGAAAAAACGATCAACTCATCAGGAACATCAAGCAATAGTTATAAGCAAGGACTCTTTGAACTCCACTACTCAAAATCCTTATGTGCTGGATCTACCAGTCTTAAACTACTGTGTCATGATTCTTAATCAATTATAACAATGCCCTCTTCCCATTGAAAGACCTGCCTTAAATCAGACTTCAAAACTCATAAATATCCCAAATTCACCCTCACCATGTGTAGATACTAGTAAAGTCTGTTGAGGTAGTGTTACTCCTACTGCAAAGAGAATAAACTCAGCTTTGTTTCATCAACAGTTTGTTTTGGTGATATTTTGGAGTAATAAGAAATCAATATTTATTTACATGTTTATATCTCTCTATTAGATTTCTAGTTCCTTTAGAGCACAGACTATGTCCACTTCCTCTTTTCATTCTCCATATCTAGCCTAACCCCTGGAATATTATAAAAATTTTAAGCAAGAATGATATTGAATGAAAAAATGTTGAGTGGGCCTGGAAGATGCCAAAACACTTAGGAAACTATTGAAATAAAACAGACTTAAAAGGATGAAGGCTTAGATGAGGGCAGCCCACATGGAGAAGAGGGTGAAAGAGATTTAGAAGGTAGAATTAATGAGACCACATAACAAAATGTGGTGCATAAAGGAGAGAAAAGAATTAAAACTGACTTTGGGGTTTCTGTCTTGGGTGACTGGGTAGATATAATCAGTAGTTCTTTTAATGTGAATAATTAATTTGGGACGGATAACAAGTATTCAGGCAAGATAATGAAGTCAACTTGGACATTTAAGTCAAATTCAATAGTATTTTCATACTTGTATATTGCCATTCTGACTAAAGCACACTGAACTTGGAATCAAGAATACTGGTTTCTGGTCCTGGTTTGACTGCTTTTAGGCACTTTATCATTATGTCTGTGCTTAGCTCTCTCATTTTTAAAATGAGACTAGGTGATCTCCGAGTATCATTCCTACTCTGATAGTCTTGTATAGAATGATGATACAGACCATGTCTCATATTTACTGTGAATCAGGTATACAGGAGAACAACAGAGGGCATCCTCATATCAAAGGTAGCCTCAGAATTTTAAAAAGCAGTTCAAAGAATGGATCAGCATTCTCAGGCTGTAATGGATCTTTAAAAACAATCTTATCTTTGTATAAAATTTTGTAAAATTAACAAAATAAATTTACATAAAGGTTTTAAAATATATGACTTGTCCTCACCATAATTATGTAATCTGGGCAGGAGCCAGATTATCTCACTTTGTGGATGAAGAAATAAGCTCTGAGAGGCTAGCGAGGTTTCAATGTTCCCTGCCAGGTGTTCACTTGAAGAAGATCTGAGAAGAGCATTTCCATAGCTGCCACTATGGGGGAAACAAATGACAAACACATAGACAACTGAATGTAGGATATAATGTCAGAGAGAGACAAGTGCTAGAAAAAAATATAAATCAGGGTAAGGCCATAAAAAGTGACTTTGTGTTTGGAAAGGGGAGGACTTTCATTTTAGATAACATGGTCACTGAAAGCCTTTCTGGGAAAGTGACATTTGTGCAGAGGCCTGATTAAGGAAGGAAAGAAGCCATGTGAAAGTTTGAGGAAAGCATTCCAGTTAGAGGAAGTAGTGAAAAGGCTCTGAGGCGGGAATGAGTTTGATGGCTTGAAGGTAAAAAAAAAAGAAGACCAATTATGTCTGGAACAGCATGAGTAAGGGTGAGTCTAGTGGGCTTTGGTAAGCAGTTTGGATTCTATTCCATGATGGGAAGTCAATGAAGGGTTTTGAGCAGAAGAGTGACAAGATCTATGTATTTTAATCATCACTCTGTTTTGTGGAAAACTTGACTGAGGGTCACATGAGTGGATGATCAGTTAGAAAAAGAGTTAGGAAGACTCATTAGGCGGCTACTGCAGTAAACCTGGAAAGAAGAAATGTTGGCATAACTAAGGTGAGAGTGGTGGAAGTGGAAGGAGATATGTTTGAAAGATAAGCCTGTCAAAACTTGTTAATGGGTCAGATGAGGAGTAGGACATAAAGAGAGAAACCAATGGTGATTCCTAGATTTGGGGCTTAAAAACACTTGGCAAAGCAAATAAGAATAGGGGTAGGGTTTTTGGGAGTGGTGAGGTGGGAATCAAAGGTCTGCACTACATCTCCATGAATATACTAAAAACTATTGAATTGTACACTGTAAATGGGTGAATTGTATGGTATATGTATGACCTATATCTCAATAAAGCCATTGCCAAAAAATGAGTATTTGTTAGACCTATTAGATGCTTCTTAGCCATTTAGTGAGCAGTTGAATATGTAAGTCTAAAGTTCAAGGGAGAGGTTGAAGTTGGAGATATAAACTTGGAAGTCGTCAGCACATTGATAGCATTTGTTTTTAGTTATCTACTGCTCTGTTAAAAGATACCCTAAGACGTAGTAGCTTAAAGTGACAATAAATTATTATTTCTCATGATTTTGTGCATTTCTTGTAACTTGTGTAGCTGCAATAATCTGGAAGCTCAGCTACAGCTGGTACACACATGTCTGGGGCCTTGGTGCTGGCTGTCATCTGGGGTGCCCCAGTTCTCCTTCATGTGGCATCTCTTTCTCTCCATATGGTCTCTTATCATTTACTTATGTACCACAAGCTTCATACATGGGACTTGGCTCCCAAGAAAGCAAAAGCAGAAGCTGCTAGGCCTCTTAATGCTTAGTCTCAGAATTGGCACCTTCTAATTTCACTGCATTTTAGCATATTCTATGGCTCAAAGCAAGTTACAAGGCCAGCCCAGGTTTAAGGAGGAGGAGAAATGGAATTCACCACCTGTCAGGAGGAACAAGCTGCACATACAACAATGGGAGGAGTTGTTGGTGGCCATCTTTGTAGATGATGCATCACATTTAAAGTCATGAGATTGCAAAAACAAGCAATGGGAAAAGGATTCCCTGTTCAATAAATGGTGCTGGGATGACTGGCTAGCCATATGAAGAATATTAAAACTGGCCCCCCTCCTTATACCGCATACAAAAATTAACTCAAGATGGATTAAAAACTTAAGTGTAAAACCCAAAACTCTAAACATGGTGAAGACAACCTAGGCAATACAATTTAGGGCATAGGCACAGGCAAAGATTTTATGATGAAGAGGCCAAAAGCAATTGCAACAAAAGGAAAAACTGACAAATGGGATCTAATTAAATTTAAGCACTTTTGAACATCAAAAGAAACTATCAACAGAGTAAACAGCATACAGAATGGGAGAAAACTTTTGAAAACTATGCATCTGAAAAAGGTATAATACCCAGCATCTATAAGGAACTTAAGCAAATTTACAAGAGAAAAACAACCTCATTAAAAAGTGGGCCAAGGACATAAACAGACACTTTTCAAAAGAAGATACATATGCACCAACAGGCATGTGAAAAAAGTTCACTATCACTGATTATTAGAGAAATGCAAATCAAAATCACAATGAGATACCATCTAATACCAGTCAGAATGACTACCATCAAAAAGTCATAAAATAGCAGATGCTGGCGAGGTTGTGGAGAAAAAAAGAGTGCTTAAACACTGTTGGTGGGAGGTGAATTGGTTTAACCATTGTGGAAGACACTGTGGTGATTCCTCAAAGACCTAAATACAGATACCCTAAATCATGATACCCAGAAATCCCATTATTGGGTATATACCCAAACAAATTTAAATTGTTCTATTATAAAGATACATGCACACGTATGTTCATTGCAGCACTATTCACAATAGCAAAGACATGGAATCAACCTAAATGCCCATCAATGATAGACTGAATAAAGAAAACATGGTACATATACATCATGGAATACTATGCAGCCATAAGAAAGAATGAGATCATGTCCTTTGCAGAGGCATGGATGGAGCTGGAGGCCACTATCCTTAGCAAACTAATGCAGGAACAGAAAACCAAATCTTCTCACTTATAAGTGGGAGCTAAATGATGAGAACACATAGACACACAGTGGGGAGAACACGCACACTGAGTTCTATCAGAGGCAGGAGGGTGGGAGGAGGGAGAGGATCAGGAAAAATAACTAATGGGTACTAGGCTTAATACCTGGGTGATGAAATAATCTGTACAACAAACCCCCATGACACAAGTTTACCAATGTAGCAAACCAGCACATGTACCCCTCAACTTAAAATAAAAGTTTTAAAAATAAAAAAATAAATAAAGTCACGAGATTGGCTGAGATTACTAAGGGAGTAAGTATAGAGAAACATAATTTCTGAGAATTGAGGTCTAGAACAGCCAAATGATGAAGAGGAACCAGCAAAGGAGACTGAGAAGTAGTAATCTATGAGGTGTAGACCAGGAGGTAGACCTAAGTTCAAGTCCTGGCTCTCTACTTGCTAGCTGTTTTACCTTGAATACCTACTAGACCCTGGGTAAATTTCTTAACTTTGCTAAGCTTCAGCTTCCTCATCTATAAAATGAAGATAGTAATAGTACCTACTTTTCTATCCCTTTTCTTTATCACAAGGTAGGGAAAGAAAAAATACATAAATTTTACAAAGTAAAATTGCCCTTTGGATCTAACACAAGGAATCCATTGGTGACTTTGGAAAGTGAGTGTTGGGAGCAGAAGATAAAATGGCTGAAAGATGAATAGGAGCTTCTTTCCAGAAGGTTGTCTGTAAAGGAAAAATAAAGGCAGGGGCTAGAGTGGAACAAAGTGCCGATTGTGAAGTTTTTTGAAAAGATAGTAGATATTTGAACATGTTTATAATGCCAATGAGAAGAATCTAGTAGAAAATTAATGGCTGAAATTACAAAAAAAAAAAAAAAAAAAAAAAAAAGAGAATAGATCAGCAATGGGACATGGTTCCCAGTGTATGAGAGGAATGGGATTCATGTAGGGGTGGGATGATTAAATCTGGGCAGGAGTCAGGATTCCTCTCCTGTCAAATTAGGATGCAAAGAGATAACGGAGGAATACAGATACAGATACACTTGTAGGCAGTATCGATTTTCTTAGTGACTAGGATAAGAGATGGTCTGTGATAGAGAGAGGATGGTAGTGAGGCAGAGATTAACAAAAGTTAAAAAGTGATGAATAAAAGAGACTGCTGAGGAGGTGGGACACATCAAAGGGTGTTTCTGTGTTGAGTCAGTTAAATTTGAAGATCACATGGCATCAATGGGCATACTGATGTGGCTATCTCAAGCAGAGCTCTACAGTCCTGTGGAAGGACCAGAGATGGCAGGTGAGGCGGAATTATCTGGGGTTGGGTTTCATAGAGTAGAAGCTTTGCTAATTTTAATGCTGCCTTTTAGAAAAACTGAGAATGAGAATTCAGGTAGGAGGTCTGTGCTGAGCTTAAATTCTTATTTTTATTAATAACATGTGACCTAGGAATATCCAGGAGCTGATGGTGAGAGAACTCAAAATTTCTGAGCACCTATCCATGTACCAAGGCCACAGGATACATATGAGCATTTTCTCACAACCGCCATGATAGGCAGGTAAAATTATCTTTGTTTTACAAAGGAAAATCTTTAAGGTTCAGAGAGGTTAAGAAACTTGCCTGAGCCTGGTTTTCTTGTTGTGCTTCCTTCAGAATGTGAAGGCAGACTGATTATTGATGGGGCAAAGTGCACATTGGGGTGTGATTAGCTTTATGACATTATTTTGAATCTCCACACATACTCTGTGTTTGGTGTTCCTTTAGGAAATAACTGAGAAGAGGCCAATCAGCCTCTCTCTGAATGAGGAGAATGTGGTCATTTATAATTCGTCTTTTAAGATGCCAGTATTACTGCTGAGAGACTCCATATAGCTTTCTCATTTTCATGATATTTTCTTGTAGAAAACTACCTCTTCTTTTTGCCAGCTCTAGTCCAGACTCTGTATTTTCAAACCTCGTTTTAATGATTCCTTCGATTCCTTTTACAAAATGGTCTCTCTTAAATTTCCCTTTGACTAAGGTCAGGATGAAATTCCTTACTGGTACATCTGGTTAATGATGTCACTGTTTCCTTTTCTTGCCAGTTTCCTGACATAATTACAAAGGAAATCTCTCACATTTTGGGGGTAGAGAAATCAAGAAACGTCAGCCATGGCCAGGTTTGTGGGATAGTTGCTAATGCTAGGTCTCAGGTGTGCATGGTCAAGCAACTGAAAAATCCGGAGTTAACTTCCTGCTGGAGCATCCCTTCATCTTTAGTGCAGAGTGTTAGTCAAAATAGGTTAACACCTGTACTGGCCTGCGTTAACTGATTAGAATGGGCAATGGCTTAGTCCTGGAGCAGAGTTTCCAAAGCCACTTGCTGAGCCATGCCCTAACTCTTTAGTTGCTAGATCGTGGAAAATATAGAGCAGGGTCAGAGGGGATGGGCCAGCCAGGGGCTGAAGTGGAGATTTTGGAGCAGTAGCTACTTACCAACCAGTACGAAAAGGATTTCAAGAATTGAACAACTGGAACAGCCTTACTGAGACACAGCAGCTGAATGTCAGCACTGTCTTAGTGGCTATAAATGCTGTCTAGAGGTGCTTATAATCAGATATACTGCCTAGGAATGTGTGTGGTCAGAAGGCAAGCAGGTTTATGCTTTTCTCCTGAAAACTCAAAGACATGAAAACATTTTTAACCTATTATTTTTTTCCTTTTACACATCATGAGGACATTAGTGATGACGTGGCCATTTGCTCAGAAGTGTTCATTGTTACCTTATATCCATTCTACTCTTCTTCCAAAGTAAAATAATTATTGGCTGGACACATGACCACCTAGGCAAAGAGCACATTCTGCAGCCTTTCTTGCAGCTAGTTCTGGTCATATGATTAAGCTATTGCCAGTGGGATGCAGCTGGAAGTGATATGAAGCACCCCCTGATCACACTCTTAAAGGAAGAGAATATCTCCTGCTTCCTTTACCCCACTGCTTGGTTTTCAGACATTGTGGAGAACCATTTTGATCCCCATGGACAAAGGAAATACCCTGAGATTGGTTGAACCACAGGATATGAAACATCTGTATTCCTAGACAGCCTCATGCAGCCATGCAGCCCTAGATTGCCTACCTCCAGACTGTAATGCGAGAGAGAAATCAACTTCTACTGTTTAAGCCATTGTCAATTTAGGTCTCTGTTACAAACAGCCAAAATTATATCCAAATATAGGAGGGTTTTATGGGTTTATATTCTTGCTATGATTTTTGACTCACCTAAGTCTCATATATGTGCAGTTGACCCTTGACATGAGGTTGAACTGCACGGGTCTATTTATCTGTGGAATTTTTTCAACAAAAGTTATCCTGAGTGTTCCTGCCTCTCCTGCCTCCCTTTCCACCTCGTCCGCCTCTTCTGTCTCTGCCATCCCTGAGACAGCAAGAACAACCCCTCCTCTTTCTCCTTCTCCTCAGCCTATTCAATAACAAGACGAAGAGGATGAAGACCTTTATGATGATCCACTTCTACTTAATGGATAGTAAATATACTTTCTCTTCCTTATGATTTTCTTAGTAACATTTTCTTTTCTGTAGCTTACTTTATTGTAAGAATACAGTATATAACACATAAAATATATGCATTAGTTGACTGTTTATGTTATCAGTAAGGCTTCCAGTCAAGAGCAGGCTATTCACAGTTAGGTTTTGGGGGAGTCAAAAGTTATACATGGATTTTGGCTGTCAGGGAGTTGGCACCCCTAACCCTTGTGTTGTTCAAGGGTCAACTGTATATGTATTAATATTTTTTTCTCATTACCAAGTTAAGGACAAGCGATGCTAGAAAGGCACAATTACTGAGGTCTGAAATTTAAGGTCCATTGTGTCCTCCTATTGAATGATGGTAAGGAGACCAATTCCTTTTTAACTTAATATCATTCTCCAAGTGAACATTAGGTACTCTTGGAGGTTGTATTAATCATTTAAATGAACTCAAATGCCTCTTTTGGATTAGGAAACTGATATTAATGTACCACTCCGGAAATGGAATGAAATAGACCTTGACCTTACTTTCCATAGTTTACAGTTCAAGCAGGGATAGATTTATATTCCCCTTGAGCCTTAATATTCCCAAGAAAAGAAGTTAATATGACACAACACATGGAGCAGTGGGAGAGGAAGGGATCACCTGTTTAGCCAGCTGGGCTAACTCCACCTGACTGGCTGAGTTAGCCCTGGGGTAAGAGACAAAACAATTGGAATGGAATGTCTGTTTGCTCAAATTGGGCAGTAGCATTAGTGATTCTGTACATTCAATAGTTACCTGATACCTGTTAGGCTTAATGCTTACTTTGCTGCAGAGAAGCTGCCTGCTCCCTAAGATAATCTATCATAAGTCACACATGGCAGAACTGAATGAAACTCATTTTTTCAGACAATGAATATTTCTGTGGTATTTTGCCTCAAACAGACACAATACTACAGAGCAAGAGCTGTGTACTCTCTCATGGTAGAATTTAAGCTGCAGTTTGAGTTGTTTATCAAGAGTTTACTGCAAGGTTCTAGCCAGAAATGATGATTTTATCAGCCAAGTCTAGAGTATCATAGGGCAAGAACTTGGACCCCAAGTGGCCAATACAAACATTTTCCAATTCCTTTAACATTTACGGAGCACTTATACACGTATAATCTCATTTAATGCTCAGAACGATCCTGTAATCCCGCTCTTGCAGATGATGAAATTGAGGCTTGGAATGTTTAAACAACCTCAAAACTACCTTTAGCTAGTATTGTGAGAGAGCCAAGACTTGAACCCAGGCCTGTCTTCCTCTAAGGCACAGGCTGAAAGTTAAGTTCTGTGCCTGAAGTTAATTTGTGAAGGACATGAGATGGGACAGACCTGCTTCCATAGGCTGATTCATCTTTCAAGCCCTGAAACTTGGAGTCAAGCAGTCAATTGGAGACCTGTTTTCACATAAACATCCAATTTCTCATTATTTCTGAGATCTGGGTGGTAGTTGTTGAGGATGATATTTTAGCTTTATTGTGGATACTGACCTGCTGTGAAAAGTCCAAAAATCCAGCAGCCCATGGAGAGGTTGAAGAGATGCCAAGTTTCTGAGTAATCCACAACTTAGATCATCAGCTAGCCTAGAAAGAAAGATGATTGTATCTCTAGTTGTTTGGAGCTCATCCTGGGGAAAGAGATATCTGATTAATGGAAATTTTATTCCAGGAAACAGCTTTACTTATATTCTCAGCACTTGCTTATATGATTTCCAGAAAGTGTTATTTTCACTTTAAAGTAATCTTCAGGGTCTTTAATGATCTTTTCAGCACTGCTCTGTAATTCCCCACATTCTTATCTGAAAGTAACAACAGGAAACCTAGTTTTAACACCAACTCTAAACATCAAGAGAGGAAGGAAAACGAGCCTATTAATTTTGCTTTTTTTGTTTTAAGGCAAGAGCTTCTGCTCATCCAGGAAGGAATCAAGACCCTGGCCTAGGGAACTTATGCTTCATTGGTGATTTGGGGCCTAGGGACAGAAGGGTCCTAGGTGAGTAGTCCAAACCATTTTCCTCTGGGTCCTAATGAGAAAGATCTGTTGTTTGGGTGCTTAGCTCAGCCTAATTATTTAACAAAAATAACAGAGAAGAAAAAAGTCCCTGAGGGAGGCAAGATGGAGTCTGTGAAAGAGCCTAAGTTTCTAAGACAAGCCTCTGGGGCAACAATCAACTCCTATGTATATCCATCCTCCAACACACATGCCAAGCGAAGCCTGATGAGAAATACACAGCCCTGTCAGTCAGTACCACAGAATCATTAAACCAGGGAGGAAATTACAAACACTAATATTTAAACTAAACAAAAATGTCATTCATTAATCAAACAAACATTTATTGAGTGCTATTCTAGTTGTTCTTTGACCATAACGTACATCAGAAATTCTTTTCCCAGCCTGTCTCCTGTCATGCAACGACTGCCTATTATCAACCTTCCTGAACGTGGTTGCTATGTAGTTAGAATTCATTAAAAGTCTGGGATTGGCTTCCTTATATTATTGGTGTGTTTTTTTATATCAATTAAGATGTTCTTCGCTGTAAATAATGGAAAACTCAACTCAAACTGGCTTAAACAATAAGGTAGCGCATTTGTTTCCTATTGCTGCTGTAACAAATTACCACAAACCTTAAGACTTAAAACAACACAAATTTGTTATCTTACGGTTCCAGAGGTCATAAATCTTAAATAAATCTTTCTGGAGTAAAATCAAGGTGTTGGCAGAGCTGCCTTCCCTCAGGAAGCTTTAGGGAAAATTCCACTCCCTTCCATTTTCAGCTTCTAGAGGCTTCCCACAATCCTTGGCTCATGGACATGTATCACTCTGACCTCTGCTTTCATTGTTACAGCTCTCTGTGACTCTTGACTCTACTGCTTTCCTGTTATGAAGACTTTTGTAATTTGATTGGGCCCTCCAGGATAATCTTAATATAGCAGGATCCTTAACTTAATCATATCTTCAAAGTCCCTTTTGTCATATAAGAGAATATATTCATAGATTTCAAAGATTAGGACATGAACATCTTTGGTGGGCCATTATTCTGTCTACCATACGTAGTTTACTGGATTACATATTGGGGTTCCAAAGTTAGAGGAGACTTTGTAGTTGGTTGATTCAAGAATTTAAAACTATCATCAAGGACAACTCAACACCAAACAACTTTATTTTAAAAATGGACAAAATTTAGCTGGGCATGGTGGCATGTCCCTGTAGTCTTAGCTATTCAGGAGGCTGAGGTAGGATGATCCCTTGAGCCAAGGAGTCTCAGGATGCAGTGAGCTATGATTGTGACATTGCACTACAGCCTGGTGACAGAGTGAGACCCTGTCTCTAATAACGTAAAACATAACATAACATTAAAGAACAGGAAAGAGTATCTAAATGATCAAAGAACTTGAATAAACATTTCTCAAAAAATATGCAAATAACCAATAAACACATGATAAGATGCTCAACATCACTAGTCATTAGGAAAATGCACATCAAAGCTGTAATGAGATAACACCTCACAACCATTAGGATGGCCAGTATTAAAAATAGAAAAAAAAAAAAAAAAAAACAGAAAATAACAAGTGTTGGCAAGGATGCAGACAAATTGGAACCCTTGTGCATTCTTGGCTGGCATATAAAATGGTACAGCCACTGTGGAAAATGCTATGATGATTCCTTTAAAAAATTAAAAATAGAATTATCATATTACCCAGCAACTCCACTTCCTTGTATATACTTCTAAAGAATCGTGGCCAGGAGCGATGGCTCATGCCTGTAATCCCAGCACTTTGGGAGGCCGAGGTGGGCGGATCACAAGGTCAGGAGATCAAGACCATCCTGGCTAACACGGTGAAACCCCGTCTCTACTAAAAATACAAAAAATTAGCCAGGCGTGGTGTCAGGCGCCTGTAATCCCAGCTACTTGGGCGCTGAGGCAAGGCAGGAGAATGGCGTGAACCTGGGAGGCAGAGCTTGCAGTGAGCCAAGATGGTGCCACTGCACTCCAGCCTGGGCAACACAGCAAGACTCCGTCTCAAAAAAAAAAAAAAGAATCACAAACAAGGACTTGAACAGATATTTTTACATATATGTTCATAGCAGCATTATTCACAATAGCCAAAAGGTGGAAGCAACCCAAATGTCCATCAACAGATGAAGGGATAAATAAAATGTTGTATATTCATAAAATGGAATATTATTTAGCCTTAAAAAGGAAGGACATTTTGACACACACTACATCATGAATGAACCTTGAAGACAGTGTACTAAATAAAATAAGCCAGTAACAAAAGGACAAATATTGTATGATTTAACTTTTTTTTTTTTTTTGAGACAGAGTTTCACTTTTGTTGCCCAGGCTGGAGTGCAATGGTGTGATCTCAGCTCACTGCAACCTCTGCCTCCTGGGTTCAAGCAATTCTTCTGCCTCAGCCTTTCAAGTAGCTGGGATTACAGGTGTGTGCCACCACGCTCAGCTAATTTTTTTGTATTATTAGTAGAGACCGGGGTTTCACCATGTTGGCCAGGCTGGTCTTGAACTCCTGACCTCAGGTGATCTACCTGCCTCAGCCTCCCAAATTCTGGGATTACAGGCATGAGCCACCATGCCCAGCCCGATTTCTTTTATAAGAAGTGCATAGTGTAGTCAAATTCATAAAAACAGAAAGCAAAATTGTGGTTGCCAGAGGCTAGGGGAGTCAGAAATATCAGTTATTATTTAATGAGGACAGAATTTCAGTTGAGGAAGATAAAGTTCTGGAGATGTATGGTAGTGATGGTTGCACAACAATATGGATGTACTTAATACCACTAAACTGTACACTTAAAAATGGTTAAGATGATAAATTTTATGTTCTGTGTATTTTACCAATTAAAAAAAAGCCATCAAGGACACAGATTCTTTTTTTTTTTTTTCTTTTTTGACAGGGTCTCACTCTGTCACCCAGTCTGGAGTGCTGTGGCGTGATCATTGCCCACTTTTGCCTAGATCTCCAGGGCTCAAACAATCCTCCCACCTCGGCCTCCCAAGTAGCTGAAACTACAGGCATGGGCCACAGCACCCAGTTAATTTCCTTTTTAATTTATTTTTTTGGCTGCATAAATGTCTTCTTTTGAGAAGTATCTGTTCATATCCTTCAAAAAAATGCTCATCATCACTGGCCATCAGAGAAATGCAAATCAAAACCACAACGAGATACCATCTCACACCAGTTAGAATGGCAATCATTAAAAAGTCAGGAAACAACAGGTGCTGGAGAGGATGTGGAGAAACAGGAACATTTTTACACTGTTGGTGGGACTGTAAACTAGTTTAACCATTGTGGAAGTCAGTGTGGC
The DNA here is from genome assembly GCF_000001405.40 of Homo sapiens. Classification (NCBI taxonomy): domain Eukaryota; kingdom Metazoa; phylum Chordata; class Mammalia; order Primates; family Hominidae; genus Homo; species Homo sapiens. The sequence continues at coordinate 111,464,585 of NC_000023.11, forward strand.
GATTCCTCAGGGATCTAGAACTAGAAATCCCATTTGACCCAGGCATCCCATTACTGGGTATATACCCAAAGGATTATAAATCATGCTGCTATAAAGACACATGCACACGTATATTTATTGCAGCACTATTCACAATAGCGAAGACTTGGAAGCAACCCAAATGTCCAACAATGATAGATTGAATTAAGAAAATGTGGCACATATACACCATGGAATACTATGCAGCCATAAAAAATTATGAGTTCATGTCCTTTGTAGGGACATGGATGAAGCTGGAAACCATCATTCTCAGCAAACTATCGCAAGGACAAAAAACCAAACACTGCATGTTCTCACTCATAGGTAGGAATTGAACAATGAGAACACAAGGACACAAGAAGGGGAACATCACACACTGGGGCCTGTCATGGGGTGGGGAGAGGGGGGAGGGATAGCATTAGGAGATATACCTAATGTTAAATGACGAGTTAATGGGTGCAGCACACCAACATGGCACATGTATACATATGTAACAAACCTGCACGTTGTGCACATGTACTCTAAAACTTAAAGTATAATAAATAATAAATAAATAAATAAAAATAAAAAAATTTATTTTTTTGTAGACAGAGTCTCACTATGTTGCCCAGGCTGGTCTCGAACTTCTGGGGTCAAGTGATCCTTCTGCCTCAGCCTCCCAAAGTGTTAGGATTACAGGCGTGAGCCACTGTGCCTGGTCCAGATTCTTTTTTTGTCACTATACTCTGTTATCTAGAGCATTCACTGCTTTCTAAAGCTAGAATCTCCTCGTGGTCATGATAGACCTATCAACAACAAGCAGAGCCGTATGTTTTCTTGCTTACAGCCAAGGGAAGAGCCTTTCTCCTAAAACCAAAGACAGTTCCCCCAAAACTTCCAATACACCTTTCCTTGAATTTCAAGCAGGTTGAGTATCTGAACCATAGCTGGTAAATGAGATAAATTTATCCTCAGACCAATCAGGCTCACCCTTTGAGCTGAAATCAATTCTCCAACTTGCATTGCTGCAATTCAATATGAGAGGAAGAAAGTGAGTCCTAGGGAGTCAACCACAATCTCCACTACTTCCAATTTACAATTTGTGGAGCAACCTCAACTCAAGTGCACAGACTAGGATACAAAACCTCTGTGCAAAATTCAAGCTATCCTTCCAGTTCCTTTACAGCTGTTTCACTCGAGTGCCTGCAACACTTCTCTGCATTTCAGTTCTGATGCCTCTTCAGATCTCATCCTATTGCAACAGGAAAGGCCACATCTACTCACTCAGTAGAGAAGGCATCAGAAGAGGCCACATTTACATTTGCTTCCACATGTAAATGTGGATGTGCCTGGGAGGTGCTTTGAAAATAGGAATTCCTGGAGCTAACCCAAGAAGTGCTGAATCAGAACCTTAAATAAAAATTGTTATTTCTCTTAATGAATTTGCATCTTAAGAGGTTTCCTAGGTAATTCTAATATTGATCCATGGAATATGCTTAGAGAAGCTTTGGCCTTATCTTTACTAAGAACTGTCCTCAGTGCTATAAGTAGAGTAATAAAGGCAATATGGGTCACACTGTTGAGGAGTTCACAGTCTATTTGAGAGAACAGTCACTTAAATAATTATAGCAAGGCCAAATAGGTGCTGTAGTAGAGATATGAATAGAATTCTATGAGGCTGATACTGCCGCAGGGAGTCAGAAAAAGTTTCACAGAGTTTTTGGCTATAGCGAGGTAACATTACAGGGATGCATCTACATTGAAAAGACAAAAAGAGAGGAAGAATTTTAATAATTCAGACTACCAAGAAGAGTTAGTGAGTGCAGAATTATGTGAACATGAGACAGCAGAAGTGCATTTGTGATTCTCCCATGGGATCTTAGTTCCTTACTTTTGCAGTTTTAACATCTCACTGCACTGCTCTGAATACGATTCTAGTGCTTAATGATACCTATTTTTACCTACATATTTATGTACAAAGTTGTATCATGTACTTTGAGGTATTTAATACATTTTTCAGAGTAGTTATGACTATATGTAGTTAAATATTATATTGCTGCCTCTAACCTGCATCCCTCATCCCCATCCTTACCTCATCCTGGCACCTTAAACAATGATTTTAGAGAAGGAGTGGCAGTTATCTAGGTGGAAAAGTAGACAGAGAGATTCCAGGCAGAGGAACCAAAATTGTCAGTACAACACATTTAGGGTATAGCCAACCAGAAGTTCAGCAAGGCTCTCAGAGGATATATGAAGTAATACGGCAGGAGAGGAGATCAGGCTGTTTAGGTAGTCAGGTTAGTAAAGAAAATGTTAAGGACTTTGTCCTTTAAACAGATGAAAACGAGAGCCGATGAAGAGGTTTAAATAAGTGAATGACAAGAGCAGATGTGTGTTATAGAGACATCATTTATTGGCCAGGTGGTGGCTACTCTGAAGCAAGAGAGACAAAACCTCTGAGAGCTCAGGAAAGCTCAGTTCAGTTCCATTTTGGGAAGGCTCTTGGCGTAATAAAAAATATAGAAATGATAGAATAAGTTAAAAACAGTATGAACTATTCAACAATGATTATATTTAACAAATTAACGGTTCAAATACACACATTAACTCATTGACTATTTCTGTGATCTCATATAGAGATGTTGTTAATCTAGGTAGAAGCCTAGGCCACTCTGCATCCCCAAACTGATTTTATTTCCAGATTTCATCATGTTCTAAAATCTTGAGCAAGCAATTTAATCTCTCTGTGCATTAGTTTTCTGACAATGGGAATAATAACTACTTTGTAAGAATGGAGTGAGATAACAGGTGTACAGTGTCTAGCACTCTTGGGTGCTCAGCAGGTGTTAGTATTTCTTCACAATCTTTAAATATAATAGGCCTGTGCCCATGTGCACTCACATAGGAGTACCCATACACACCAACACATGCACTTGGATTCTGATAATGCTGCCCTGGGGCCAAAGTTGGAGAGGGGGTAATTCCACCATGCCATCCCAGTGCCTCTCCCTTCTTCTGTGTTCAACTCACCTCCCTGAAGAGCGAGTATACCCACTACCTCAGATATCTTCCCATTAAAGCTTTCTGCCTGCACATTCACCTCAGTATGAATGAGTTATGCCACTAACTTATTTCCTCACCCAAGAGTGTTTGCATAGCAGTATTTATCTGTGATTATAGAAAAATGGCGTTTTTCTACTAAAGATATTTCAGGTATCCATTAATCTAAGCCAGAATTTCTTCAGAAGTAAGGAGGACTTTCACATTGCTCCTGACGTTACATTCAGGAGGTTATTTAGCCTCATAATTTTGAGTTTCTCTGCTTAAAGATAAGCAGTCCCTTTGGGCTCCCTGTTTTTTTCTGGAGCATAGAGATTTGTAACAGTGACAATTCCCTAGCTGAACAACAGTAATAACTTACAGTGCTGCCAATGGGCTTTCTGGGTTCCTGTTAGCTTTGCAGAGTCATCTCGTTGAGTTGGCTGAGATCTGGCACTTAGAAGCTCTGTAGAGTGATTTCAGAATACAGCATCAGCTAAATGGGTCCCTGGGCCTGAGCCAACCTCCCAGAGCTCTAGTTCCAAGACACTGTTTGAAGAATGCTGGCACTTAGAATTCCTTGGGGATGGTATATTTTATGAGCTAGTAAAAGCCTAATCTGAAATTTTTGAGATTTATTCATTGCATTGTGGTCAAAAATTATGCTTCATTGTGCCCTGATTATATCCAAATCTCTTACCAATTGACATGCCAGAAGGTAGAGATAAAAATACAAATGACTACCAGCTCCCAATCACTTCTTTTTTTCTTTCTTTTTTGTTTTTTGGAGACAGAGTTTCACTTTGTTGCCGAGGCTGGAGTGCAATGGCATGATCTTGGCTCACCACAACCTCTGCCTCCCGGGTTCAAATGATTCTCCTGCCTCAGCCTCCCGAGTAGCTGGGATTACAGGTGCATGCCACCACGACTGGCTAATTTTTGTATTTTTAGTAAAGACAGGGTTTCACCATTTTGGCCAAGCTGGTCTTGAACTCCCAACCTCCGGTGATTTGCCCACCTTGGCCTCCCAAAGTGCTGGGATTACAGGCTCCCAATCACTTCTAAATGCTCATTCTCCCTTTTAAAATGTTACCAGGCTAGGAGTGGTGGCTCCTGCCTGTAATCCCAGTGCTTTGAGAGGCTAAGGCTGGAGGATCACTTCAGGCCAGGAGTTTGAGACAAGTCTGGGCAACATAGCAAGACCATGTCTCTACACAAATAAAAATAAATAGAGAAGCATGATGCCAGGCACCTGTAGTCCCAGCTACTTGGGAGGCTGAGGTGGGAAGATCCCTTGAACCTAGGAGTTCAAAGCTGTGGTGAGGTATGATCTTGCCACTTCAGACTGGGTGACAGAGCAACACTGTGTCTCTAAAGAAAAAAAAAAGAAAAAGAAAAAAACAGATGTTACCATCATTTCTATATCCTGATCAAGCATAAAATCATAGTATTTTGTGGCTAAAAAAATATTGCATGAAGTCATTTTGTCTATCCTCCACCTGTAAATAAATCTAGACTTAAAATCACTTCACACAGTTGATTATCTAGTCATTTCTTAGTGACCCACTTGAAAACTTAACAATCTTTACTACCAATAATGTTTGCAATATCTCTATTCTAAATTCTCCTAGCTGCAATTTAATCTTCTGTTATTTAGTCTTCAGTGGGAAACAAGTCTTCCCCTTGTACATCTTCCAGTTGCTAACTGGTCATATTCCATCCCTGTGGGTTATCTTCTCCACAGATCTCATTCTTTTAAACATCCCTCACCAACGTTATGTATTATCCCATTAATTGACTCTTAATTTTATAAAAGCTTTGGCAAATCATCCTTGTCGCTCATGGATTGAGTAAATATGACTGATGTGGTTTGACAGTGTCCTCACCCAAATCTCATATTGAATTGTAGCTCCCATAATCCCCACATGTCATGGGAGGGATGCCATGGGAGATAATCGAATCATGGGGGCAGGTTTTTCCCATGCTGTTGTCCTGATAGTGAATAAGTCTTGAGAATAAGTCACAAGATCTGATGGTTTCATGAAGGGCAGATCCCCTGCACATGCACTCTTGCCTGCCACCATGTAAGATGTGCCTTTGTTCCTCCTTCACTTTGCACCATGATTGTGAGGCCTCCCCAGCCAGTGGAACTGTGAATCCATTAAACCTCCTTTTCGTTATAAATTACCCAGTCTTGGTTATGTCTTTATTAGCAGCATGAGAACAGACTAATACAATGACCAACAACAAAAAAGAAAATTCAAAAGTATGAGAACATAATGGAAAATAGTAAAAAGGGAGTTTTTCCATTTCTATTATATATACCATTGATGTTTCATACGATATTTAGTGCATTTTGTAGAATGTATGTAACCCATGTCCACAATAGAAAACTTAAAAAACATAAAAAAGTATAAAGAAAGAAAATAAATCTTCAGGAACCTGATCACTTATCCCTAATGGTTAGAAATTTCTCTCTGTGTGTGTGTGTGTGTGTGTGTGTGTGTGTGTGTGTGTGTGTATTTCCTCAAACAGGGATCATACTCTATTTGTAGTTGTATATCTTGCTTTGTAGTTCATTGACATTTTCCATATCATTATCCACTCTCAAAATAGTGTTTCTTAGTGGCAGTATAATTTTCCACCTTGTAGCTATAACTTAGCTCATTTAATAATTCCCCCATCGCTGGGCATTTAAATGGTTTCTAGTTTAGCACCACTTGTGTTAGTTCATTCTTGCCTCACTATAAAGAAATATCTGAGGCTGGGTAATTTATAAAGAAAAGAGGTTTAATTGGCTTATGGTTCTGCAGGCTGTACAGGAAGTATGGTGCCAGCATCTGCTCTTGGTGAGGCCTCAGGAAGATTACAATTATAATGGAAAGCAAAGGAGGAGCAGGCACATCCCATCGAGAGAGCAGGTATGAGATAGAGCATATGGGGAAGGTCCCAGATTCTTTTAAACAACCAGATCTCACATGAGCTAAGAGCAAGAACTCACTCATCATCAAGGGGATGGTACTAAGTCATTCATGAGAGATCTGCCCCCATGATCAAATCAACTCCCATTAGGCCCCACTTCCAACACTGGGGATTACATTTCAACATTGAATTTGGATGATACAAGCATCCAAACCATATCATTTTCCCTCTAAATCATATGTTCTTCTCACATTGCAAAATACAATCATACCCTGCCAATAGTCCCCAAAACATTTCAACATCAAGCCCAAAGTCCTCTCATGTGAGACTCATCTCCTTCCATTTGTGAGCCTATAAAATCAAAACAAGTTATTTATTCCCAAGATACATGTTGATACAGGTATTGGGTAAACATTACCATTCTGAAAGGGAGAAATCAGCCAAAAGAAAGGGGATATAAGCCCCATGCAAGTCTGAAAGCCAACAGGAAGGTCACTAAACCTTAAAGCTTCAAAGTAATCCCCTTTGATTTCATGGCCCACATCCAGGCCACACTTGTGCAAGATGTGGGCTCCCAAGACCTTGGGCAGCTCCACCCCTGTGGCTTTGCGGGGCTTAACCCCCATGGCTGCTCTTACGGGTTGAAGTTGAGTCCTTGTGGCTTTTCCAGGCTCAGGATGCAAGCTGCTGGTGAATCTACCATGCTTGAGTCTGGGAAGACAGCAGCCCCTTTCCCACAGCTTCACTAGGCTGTGCTCCACTGGTGAGGTTGTGTGGGTGCTCTAACTCCACATTTCCCTTCTGTACTGACTTAGTAGAGGTTCTCTGTGGGGATTCCACCCCTGCAGCAGGCTTCTGTATGGGCACCCAGGCTTTCTTATACATTCTCTGAAATCTAGGGGAAGCTGCCCAGCCTCCTTTACTCTTGCAATCCACATACCTGCAGACTTAACACTACATAGAAGCCACCAAGGCTTCTGGCTTGCATCTTCTGGAGTAGTGGCCTGAGCCATACCTGGGCACCTTTGAGCTGAGTCTGGAGCTGGAAAAGCTGAGATTTGAGGAGTAACATCCTGGGGCTGCATAGGTCATCAGGGCCCTAGACCTTATCCCTGAAACCATTCTTTCCTCCTAGGCTTCTGGGCCCGTGATGGGAAGGACTGAGGCCAAGATTTCTGACATGATTTCAAAGTCTTTTTCCCACTGTCTTGGATATTAGCACTTGGCTCCCTTTTAGTCACACTGATCTCTCTAGCAAGTGGTTGCTCCACAGCCTGCTTGAATTCTTCCTCTACCACAGGGCCAGGTGGCAAATTTTCCAAACTTTTATGCTCTACTTCCCTTTTTAAGTATATGTTCCAATTTTAAGTCATTTCTTTGCTCCTGTATCTGATCATAGGCTGTAAGAAGCAACTAGGCCATCTCTTGAACACTTAGAAATTTATTCCACCAGATAAACTAGGTCATCACTTTTAAGTTCAAATTTCCATAGATTCCTATGACATTAACACAATGCAGCCCTCTTCCAACCTTTGCCCATTACCCAGTTCCAAAGCTCTTTGCTAGGGCATAACAGGGGTAACCTTTACCCTAGTTCCCAATAACTTCCTCATTTCCATATGAGACCTTGTCTGTCTGACCATCACTGTCTATATTTCTATCAGCATTTGGTCACAACCATTTAATCAGTCCCTAAGATGTTCCAAACTTTCCCTCATCTTCCTGTCTTCTTTTGATCCCTCCATACTCTGCCAACCTCTGCCCATTACCCATTTCCAAAGCTGCTTCCACATATTTAGGTATCTTTGTAGCAATGCCCCACTCCTCAGTACCAATTTTCTGTATTATTCCATTCTTGCATCACTATAAAGAAATACCTGAGGCTGGGTAATTTATAAATAAAAAAGGTTTAATTGGCTCACAGTTCTACAGGCTGTACAGGAAGCATGGTGCCAGCATCTGCTTGGCTTCTGGTGAGGCCTCAGGAAGCTAACAATCATGGCAGAAGGCAAAGGGGAAACGGTTGCCTCATATGGCAAGAGTGAGAGTGAGAGAGAGCAGGGAGGTCCCAGACTCTTTTAAATAATCAGATCTTATGTGAACTCAGAGTGAGAAATCACTCATCAACAAGGGGATGGCACTAAGCCATTCATGAGGAATCCACCCCCATGATCCAAACAGCTCCCACCAGGCCCTACCTCCAACACTGGAGATTACATTTCAACATGAGATTTTGAGGGACAAATATCCAAATCCTATTACCATTAATAAATAATACTATATTATTCTTGTACATAAAACTTTGTTCGCATTTCTGATTTTTTTTTCAGAAAGCAGTTTTATATAGATATATAAAGTTTTCCGATTTCCATAATCTGTGAATCTGTGATTGATTCAAGCTTTCACATCAGATCTCTGGATAATTTTCTCATAGAAAGAGTTACTGAATGAAGTATTAAGACTATAATCTAGTAGAGGAAATTGGTTATTAGATATATAGTTACAGGATTACTATAATTCAATGCTACAAATTACTTTGGGTTGATGGAGAAAGGAGAAATCAGTTCTGCTTGGAGCTTTGGCAGTGGTCTGGTCCTTATGTTTTTTGTTTATTTCCTTGGAAGCATAGCGATCTCAGAGTCTGAATAATCCTTGGTCAGTTGCTGTTTGATACAATATCATTTTAACTTTAGTGTGATTTCTACTGCTGTCCTTGAAATTTTCATTCCTACAGTCAAGCAAATCTGGCATTATTTTGCCCCTCCCCCCAAGAAATGTATTTAGAATATGGAAGTAGGAGAAAAAAATGGGAAACCAGATAAAAAGTATTTCTATTACAATGGTTGCTCTCCAAGAGGAAAGGCCCTGGTTCAGTCACATCAGTCCAATGCTGTTTCGTCCTTGAACATTACTGTAATCACCACCACCAGTTAACTGTCAATTAGCTTCTCAGGTGGCACAAAAAGCTAATGTTCAGAAGAAAGGACATGGAGAGATTAGAGACACTTGCCAGCTGGCTAATTGACAAGGCAGGACTGTGGGAAACTAAAAACAGCCAGTAAGAGGGCATTAAAAAGACATTCCATATATCAGGGTACAGAAGGGTTCTGAAAGGGCACTGAATGCCTGTGCCCAGCATGCTCCCAGGCTTTCAGAAGGGCAACTAAACCAAAGAATTCCTCTACCAACTGACTTTTGCTAGAAGAAGGCAATAGCTAGAGGCTCAGAGTAACAGAGATAATTTGTGACCCAAAATTTCTTTCTAGATGGGAGCCAAGGGGCTATGAATGAAAAGGCTAACACCTGTTAGGAAGTTCATTGGCATAACATCAAGAGCTGTGGATGGCCAGGGCCCTTAAAGCAGATAGACCAGCAGCCAACCATCTGATTAAGCTGATATGGGATCATCCACACAAAACAGATTGTTTTCCTATGTGCTTTAAATGCTATCTAGCTTTCTGAAAAGGCTGAATCCAGTGGAACAAGAGGAAATATAACTATGATTTTAATACAGGCAGTCTTCAGCTTACAAATGAGATGTGTTCCAAAGATTTAGTGATTTGGAACTCAAAACACATTTTCCCATAGATTTAATGCTAGACATTACTTCTCAGGTTCCAAATCAGCCCATTTAAAAAGCCTATTAATCCTCCAGTGTAGCTGAGGTGTAATACTATAGTATTAGTTGGAATTCTCACTTCTGGTTAATAGGGCCTATGTAATACAGAATGAAAGGGGAGAAGGAGAAGAAAGAGGAAGAGAATTCCACATTGCCTGCTCTTCCCTTGGGAATAGTTCCAGCCTGCTTGAGGCAAATTTTCAAACATGCCACATGGTTTCTGAAAAACACCCACTTCCCTTTCTGCACCTTTTCTGGGCCTTTTAGGCTGTCCTAAGTCCCAGAGCTTGACAGCTTCTTAAAGTGCTTTAGCATCTCCAGTCTCCCATGGCTTTCAAATCTCCTACTCGCCCTCACCCTCAATCAAGTTTGTATTTCCTCACAGATGTCCAAAACCTAGCTCATTCACCTTTATTCCAAGACTGTTCTGCTTTCTGACTTTCCAAGCCCTGTCAGTAGAAATAAAATTCTTCTTCATTTAAGTTAGAAAACCCAAGGTCCTCTTTAACTCTTTTTTCCCCTTTCTTCATGCAGCTTATCAGTCAAACATCTTGGTTGATTCATCTTCTGGAAGGTCTTTGTATATCACCATCCTTGTTTAGGTTTTCATCAGTGTAAGCGATTCTTTTATAGCTACATTTTGAGAATCAGTATATATAATCTCTTATTTGAACTATAGCAGCAGCCTCCCTGACTTATTTCATTGTCCAGCTCCTCCTTTATTCCCCTTGCTAATAAAGAAACCTTTCTAAAACATAACTTTAATCACCTCGTCTATCCTTCCCCTAAATCTAGCAATGGTTCTCCCAACACCTAATAGCTAGTTATCACAACTAGTTTTCACAACAACCCAAATACAATAAATATCCTTATTCCCATTTTGGAAATTAGGAACACAATTTACTGGAAATCACTGGCCTGTTTAGTGACTCAGCCAGGATTTGAACTCGGGTACATTTGTTTCAAAAGTCCATGGTCTTTTTCCTTCATACCACATCACAATATAGTCCAAATACCTTTTGTTGGTGATCAAAGTCTTCCATAATCTACCTCCATTACTTTTCCATTCTCTCTCATACCACTCCTCCTTCTATCCACTCTACTCCTGCCTATGAAGACAACTTGCCACTTCTGAAACATAACCTGTACAGGTGTACCTTGCAGACATTGTAGATTTAGTTCTGGACCACCACAATAAAGCAAATATTGCAATAAAGTAAATCATGCAATATTGGTTTCCCAGTGCATATAGAAATTATGTTTACATTATACTGTAGTCTATTATGTGCAATAGCATTATGTCTAAAATATATACATACTTTAATTTAAAAAATACTTTATTGCTAATAATAGTCTAAGCCTTCAGAGAGTCATAATCGTTTGCTGATGGAAGGTCTTGCCTCAATGTTGATGGCTGCTGACTCATCAGTGTGGTGGTTGCTGAAAGTTGGAGTGGCTGTGGCAATTTCTTAAAATAAGGCAAGAGTGAAGTTTGCTGTATCAATTGACTCTTCCCTTTACAAAGGATTTCTCTGTAGCATGCAATGCTGTTTGACAACATTTTATCCACAGTAGAAATTGTTTCAAAATTAGAGTCAACCGTCTGATGACAGAGTAGTGTGACTATACTTAACAACAATTTATTGTATATTTCAAAGTAACTACAGAAGAGGACTTGAACTGTACCCAATACATAGAAATGATAAATACTCAAGGTGACGGATACTCCAAATGCCCTGATTTGATTATTACATATCCTATGGATGTAGCAAAATATCACATATACGCATATAAATGTGTAAAATATTATGTATTGATAAAAAATTTGAGTCAATTCTCTCAAACCCTGCCACTGTTTTACCAACTAACTTTATGAAATATTCTAAATTTTTTGTGGTCATTCCAGTAAATCTACACCAGGAGTAGATTCCATCTCAAGAAACTACTTTGTTTATCCATGAGAAGCAAATCCTCATTTATTAAAGTTTAATCATAAGATTGCAGAAATTCAGTCACATCTTCATACTCAAATTCTAATTCTAGTTCTCTTGCTATTTCCACATCTGCAGTTACTTCCTCACCTGAAGCCTTGAATCCTTCAAAGTCATCCGTGAGGGTTGGAATTAACTTCTTCCAAACTCCTGTTAATGTTGATATTTTGACCTCCTCCCATGAGCCACAGACATTCTTAATGATATCTAGAATGGTGAATTTTTTCCAGAAGACTTTCAATTTACTTTGCCTAGATCCGTCAGAGAAATCACTGCATATGGCAGCTATGGCCTCATGAAATGTATTTCTTAATAAGACTTAAAAGTCAAAATTACTCCTCGATCCATGTGCTGCAGAATGGATACTGTGTTAGCAGGCATGAAAAGAACATTAATCTTTTTGTACATCTCCATCAGAGCATTTGAGTAACTAGATGCATTGTCAACAAGTGATAATATTTTGAAAGAATGTTCTAAGCAGTAGATCTCAACAATGGGCTTAAAATAGTAAGCCATGCTGTAAACAGATGTGCTGTTACCCAGGCTTCGTTGGTTCATTCATAGAGCACAGGCAGAATAGATTTAGCATAATTCTTATAGGATTTTTGGAACGGTAAATGAGCATTGACTTTAAACTTAAATTCACTGCCTGCATTAGACTCCAACAAAAATTAGCCTGTCCTTTGATTCTCCTCTCTAGCTATGAAAATCCTAGATGGCATGTTCTTCCATTAGAAGGCTGTTTTATCTCCACTGAAAATCTGTTGTTTAATCTAGCCACCTTCATCAATAATCTTAGCTAGATCTTCTGGGTAACATGTTGCAGCTTCTCTATCAGCACTTGCTGCTTCATCTTGCACTTTTCTGTTATGGAGATGGCTTCTTTCCTTGAACTTCATGAACCAACCTCTGCTAGCTTCCAACTTTTCTTCTGCAGTTTTCCCTCCTGTCTCAGCCTTGAAGAATTAGGGGCTTGCTCTGTATTAGGCTTTGGCTTAAAGGAATGTTGTGGGTTGTTTGGCCTTCTATCAAAGCCACTAAAATTTTCTCTATATCAGCAATGAGGCTTGTGTTAGTCCGTTCTCATGCTATTAATAAAGACATACCCGAAACTAAGTAATTTATAAAGGAAAGAGACTTAATTGACTCATAGTTCCACATGGCTGGGGAGGCCTCACAATTATGGCAGAAGGCAAAGAAGGAGCAATGTCACGTCTTACATGGTGGCAGGCAAAAAGAGCATGTGCAGGGCATGTATGTTTATTGCAGCACTATTTACAATAGCAAAGACTTGGAACCAACCCAAATGCCCATCAATGATAGACTGGAGAAAGAAAATGTGGCACATATACACCATGGAATACTATGCAGCCATAAAAAAATGAGTTCATGTCCTTTGCGGGGACATGGATGAAGCTGGAAGCCATCACTCTCAGCAGACTAACACAGGAACAGAAAACCAAACACTGCATGTTCTCACTCATAAGTGGGAGTTGAACAATGAGAACACATGGACACAGGGAGAGAAGCATCACACATCAGGGACTGTCAGAGGTGGGGAGCTAGGGGAGGGAGAGCATTAGGACAAATACCTAATGCATGCGGGGCTTAAAACCGAGATGATGGGTTGATAGGTGCAGCAAACCACCATGGCACATGTATGCCTATATAACAAGCCTGCACATTCTGTACATGTATCCCAGAAGTTAAAGGAAAAAAAAAATAAAATTAAAATTAAAAAAGTAAAACAGTTTTAAAAAATCCTTGAAAGAACAATTTAAAAAAAGAGTATGTGCAGGGAACTCCCCTTTATAAAGCCATCAGATCTCTTGAGACTTATTCACTATCACGAGAACAGCATGGGAAAAGGCCCACCCCCATGATTCAATTACCTCCCATTGAGTCCCTCCCACGACACGTGGGAATTATGGGAGTTAAAATTCAAGATATGATTGGGGTGGGTACACAGCCAAACCATATCAAGGATATTTAGCTTTCCTGTCATTCATGTGTTTACTGGAGTGGCACTTTTGATTTCCTCTGAGAACTTTTCCACTGCATTCACAGCTCGGCTAACTGTTTGGCACAAGAGGCCTAGCTTTTGGCCTATATCACCTTTCATCATGCCTTTCTCACTAAGGTTATTTCTAGCTTTTGATTTCGAGTGAGAGATGTAGGACTTCCTTTCACTTGAACGCGTAGAGGCCATCATAGGGTTATTAGTTGGCCTAATTTCAGTATTGCTGTTTCTCAGGGAATAGGGAGGCCTGAAGAGAGGGAGAGAGATGGGGGAATGGCTGGATGGTGAAGCAGTCAGAACGCATACATTTATCTATTAAGTTTACCATCTTATCTGGGTGTGGCTTGTGGTGCCCCAAAACAATTGCAATCCATAACATCAAAGATCACTGATCACTGATCACCATAACAGATATAACAGTAATGAAAAAGTTTGAAATATTGTGAGAATTACCAAAATGTGCCACAGAGACACAAAGTGAACACACGCTGTTGGAAAAATGGCGCTGATTGCATTGCTCAATGCAGGGTTGCCACAAACCTTCAATTTATTTAAAATGCAGTATCTGTAAAGTGCAATAAAGTGAAATTCAATAAAACAATGTATGTCTATATTCTACTGCCTTTGTCTAAGCCTTTTTGTAGATGGTGAGTCCTTTCTTTATCAAGGCTCAATTCAAATGCTACTTCCTCCACACAAAGCCTTCCCTCTACCAACCCCGTGCACCTACAAATATGCTCAAACACTAGCTAAAAGCTGTCTCATGTTTATAAATTACCACACCACTAATATTACTGTAGTTCATGTGACACTTATCAATTTTAGCTTGTATTATAGTTATTTGATTGGGGGTTATCCCAACTACTACTTTAACTTTAAAGTAGTAGTTTAAAGTTAAGGACAGGTAACCACACTTTTAACCTTCAGTCCTAGCAAGTCGAGGTGTCCATGGGAGGTGTTCAGTTAATGTTTAAGAAATGAATTATTAGTGGAAATTAAGATTGCAAGGTAAAATAAGGCTGAATATCATCATGAGGAGTTTCTATTTGATGAGAAATACCCCAGAGGATTTTAATCAGAGGAAAGCCACAACGAAAGCTGTAGTTTTAGAATGACTAAAAGAGATTCAAAATGCAGGTTAGAAGAGAGCTGTGCTGAATAAAAGTCTCATCGCTGCTATGCATTAACTCTGTGACGTTGGTCAATTTCTTTAAATGTTCTAATGGATACATTATAATCATACTTATTTATGGGGTACAATTTGATGTTTCAATACACATATCTGTTGTAAAATGATCAAATCAAATCGCATATTCATCACATGATTTATTTATCATTTATTTGTGGTGAGAACATTAAGAAACCTATTTTCTAGCTATTTTGTAGCATACAATAAAGTGTATAACTATTCACCATAGTTACTCTACTGTGCAACAGAACACCAGAACATATTCCTCATGTCTAATGGTAATTTTGTACTCATTGGCTAACCTTTCTCCATTTTCCCCTTCCTTATCCCCTCCCCAGTCTCTGGTAACCACTGTTCTACTATCTATTTTATGAGACATTATTTTGTTTAGATTCCACAAATCCCTTATAAGATATGTGATTTGCAAATATTTTCTATCATTCTGTCAGTTATCTTTTCATTTTCTTGATTGTTTCCTTTGAAGCATGAATGTTTCTAATTTTGAGAACATCCCATTATTTATTTCTTCTTTGATTTCTTGTGCTTTTGGTGTCATATCTAAGAAATTTCTAATCCAAGATCAAGAAGATGTGCATCTATGCTTTCTTCTAACAGTTGTATAGTTTTAACCTGTACATTTAGGTCTGTCATCCATTTTGAGTTAATTTTTATGTATAGTGACAGGTTGGGGTTCAACTTTAATCATTTGCATGTGGATATTCTAGTTGTCCCAGTACCATTAGTTAAAAAGATGATTTTTTCCCCCATTGAATTGTCTTGGCACTCTTGAGAAAAATCAGTTAACCAAAAATGTAAGTTTTTACTTCTGGGTTCCCAATTCTGTTCCATTGATTGTATATGTGTCTATATCTATATCCAATGACAGAACTCACTGTCCTGATTACTATTGCTTTGTAGTAAGTTTTGAAGTCAAGAGGTATAAGTCTTCAAACTTTGTTCTTCATTTTCAAGACTATTTTGACTCTTCTGATTTCCTTGCATTTCCATATGAATTTTATAATCAGCTTCTCAACTTCTGCAAAAATAAAGCAGCTACAATTTTGATAGAGATTGTTTTAAATCTGTAGGTTGCTTTGAGGAATATTGCCATTTTAGCCATATTAAGTCTTCTAATACATGAACATGGGATGCTAGGGCAAGTCATTTAACCTGCCTGGTTTCACCTGCTTTATTTCTCAAATGGGAATAATAATAGTCATTCTATGTTACAGGATTTTTTACATGAATTTTTTACATGAAAATTGCATGAAAAAACTCTCTTGAAGTGGGGAATATAACACAAGTATAAGGAATTATTTATGATAGCATTATGGGAATCAGTATAGACTCTTGATGTCATAACTCTATAGAACATTAAAAATATTGGCTTATGTTTGTTTGTTCCAAAATTAGTTTCATTTATTTAAAACCACAACTTTTATTTCTTAAGTGCCTACTGAGTGGTTGGTGCCACAGTATGCTCCATGGCATAGAGATAAAGAGTATTGGCTCTATAGCTAAACTACCTGCTTTCAGTTCCCAGTTCTACCACCAGATTTAACCTTAGACAAGTTACTTGTATCTCTGTCACTCAGTCTTCTTGTTTGATAAATGAAGATCATAATACTGTAGTACCTACTACATAGGATTCTTGTGAAAACTGAATAAATTAATTCATATAAAGCACTTAGAAATATGCCCAACACATTGTCAGAACTTAATAAGTGTCAACCATCATTATAACACCATATAGAAATATGTGAGGGCCCTACATCCAGTGGTATTTATAATCAAATACATATGAAATAGCCTCTAACCTCTTGGTTTGCATGATTCGAGTCAGCCGGACATTTGTTTGAAGGTAGAGTACCTTCTTTAAAGAAACTAGACTTAAATGGAAATTCTCACACAATAAAATGGGGACTACAATTTCCCTCATTGGATATATGAATAAATAAAATTGCTTTTAAATTACGTTTGACATTTTGCAATGTAAAGTCCTTCTTAGGTGTTTAAACAGAAAACATGCAGGTTGCTTGGGATAACTGTTTTGTGAGAAACGAGTGTAGCAACATTGCATCATTTTTTTCTGTTGGTGTCTATTCTGCTCTTAGGTTTCACTTATTAGAAACAGCTAGGGGAGAGTCATAACTGTATATGCACATCCCTGCTGTGTCCGTCTCCAGACCCCTTAGAGGCAGTCTGATCTCTGGCGGCAACTGGTTCTAGGGCAGTTGTGTTGGGTTGATGGCTGGTAAAGCACTCTGCCTACTACTAGTCTTCTCAAAGCTTGAGCTTAGGGAAATCATCACTGAAGCCACTTCAGTTAGGAGCAAATTGGGAATCACAGCATTCAACACTATAACAACAGCCTGAAAAAGACACATAGCAATTTCTCATAGAACCAGAGGATCAAGGGGATTGCAGGGGCTCTTGGCAGGCCATGTGGATCCTAGTTCATTCCTCAGTCTCTAGGAAGCCCTACAGCAAAACCATTTAGGATAAACTAATGTGTAGCACCGACCCCTACATTCTCTGCTGTTTCTTTAGTCCATTTTCTAAATCAGGAGAAATGGGCTTTAGGACACTTGAGCATTTAAATGGAGTTTGGGGGATAAAGCCCTAAATAGGAAATCTCCCCTCTATAAATCTCTCATTCCCAAGCATGGAAAACCTCAGAAACAAAAGGGCATGGGAGAGAAAGCCAAATAGCAACAGATCCCTTGTGCCAGCCAAGTGTTGCTTGGCAAAGCAACCTGGGTATTTGATGTGGGTACAGTCATGTGGAAGTGGTAGAATGAGTAAGTCAAAGGCAAGGAAAGCTAAAAGCAGCCTTATAGTTCAACCTTAGAGGAAAGCTCTGATGCTCTTATGAATATTTGAGACACTCTAATGAAATGATTTCCTCAATTTGCTGCTTATAATAATTAAAAATAATTCATGAATCCAAGGATGATAGGTATTGGTCAAAGCTTGATGTGAACCTGAAAAGAATTGCATTAGTTTCTTTTAAAATTTTGAATTGTGCTCTCAACCTTCTTGTTCTCATCTCCTCAGTTCTGCTCTCTAGTTGGCCTTTGTTTTATTTCTTTCCACCAAAACGCTTTTCCATCCCCCATTTTTAAAAGTTCACCTTCTATTCTTCCTGCTCATCATAAAATATATGTTCTTTAAGTTGCAGATTCAACTAAATATGAGGAGGAAGTCAATCTGATTGAACTAATTCAAAGGTAAGGTAGGGATGATTGAAAATTCTTGAGTAATCATGGGACTCTGCATTTTAAAAGAAGATCAGTTTCCTCCAAATTAATTTCTAATCTTGAGAAAATTTTAAACTAAGTCATTTGATGAATGTTTTTGGAGGAAAGGTTTGGGAGAGGGAAGCGGTCTCCTGATGTCCTTCAGATCACATATTATTTTACCCACACTGTTTTGGCTGCATTCTAGTTGTAAAGTCACCTGTGACAGGAAGTATGGTCACAACTTCAAAAAGCCTACACACTCGGATGTATGAGGCCTTGAAGCATTAGGTTTTAAATGAAAGTGAGAATCAGAGCTTTGAAAGTTGCTTATTGGGTCTCTGTGGAAATTCCTAGTTTGCATCTCCCTGGAGGAGAATTTCTCTCTTTGTTTTATACCCACAAGGCAGTCTGACAAAGGCCCATGATACTTTCTGCCTTGGAGTTTTCTTACTGAGAAGGTAGTAGGTAGAGGTGAATGAGAAGATGAGCATTAAAATGGAGTTTAAAATTTGGGATGCTCTAAACTAATGGGGAAAGAGAGAGAACCCCTTGATATCCATCAGCTTCAGTCAACCAGGTAGATGGTATGGTTTTTTGCCCTCTTAATTTAACAGTTGGTGAAATTCAGCCTTGGGCTGACACACCCTTGTGAGAAGGGCATGCATTGCTTCACAAGCAAATTTATTGCAAATGACAAGCAACAGATCCTGCAGTGAGGTTCCACCTGACCGGGCAGTGACTGATTTACAGACACTTGGCTCTGCTTGAGCTTTGGAAGCACATTTTTTATTCTAAGCTTTTTCCCTTGGGGTTTCCACCTCATCACCAGCTCTTCCCTCCTCCCCTCACACAAAGACACTATGCAGTTTGCAGGGGTGTTATACCTACTGCTCGGTATCACCATCACTCTGAATGACAAAACAGCCAAATAAGACTCAAGAGAAAGAGAAAGTTAATGAGCTGAAAGATTCCAAAACTTCTGAAGCAGGCTGCCTGAAAACTTTGAAAAGATCTTTAATTCTGATGGATCTAGCTGCTTAATATCTTTAACAGTGCTATATGCTGTTCATTAATAATTGCTATTTTTGTCTCTTCATTGACCCCTACCCTGCTGTCTAACCTGTCCAGAATATCTACCTAATTGGTTCTCAACAATGTCTATAAACCAGAATTACCCAAGGAATACATTTTAAAAAAATCTAGATAAGCAAGTCCTATCCCAGATCTACTAACAGTTCCTGGAAACAGGGTATGTGTATTCACATATTAAAAAATAGTTTCTCCTATGATTTTTGAGGCATAGCCAAGGTTGAACATCACTGCCTTAGGCTCATCTAGAAGAATTTTATCTTTGCAACAATTCTGTGAGATATGTACTATTCCCATTTTGAAACTTGAGGCTCATAGCATGTCAATGATTGGCCAAATGTCACACAGCTAGAAATTTGCTAAGCTAAGATTCAAAGGCAGACCAGTCACTTCAAAGGACATACCATTTCTATTCATCACACCAATGAGCTATGCATAATTTTTCTCAGTGCCCTGATATAGACCTCTGTCAAACCAAGAGTCTTGCTCTAATAATTTCCATCCCTCTCTTGGTCTTTAGTTCCATCATACTAATGCTTTTCTACTTTTTACAACCTAGCCATCATTTTCCTGGATAGAAAAGATGGAAGCAACATAGGCAGTGAGCAATTCCATAATCTCCCTATATGTACTACCATTACGCTATCACATTATCAGTCTTAATCCACAGGTATATACTCTCCTTTTCATCTGCCTGTCTGCCATTTGTATGTCTTCTTTTGAGAAATGTCTATTCACATCTTTTGCCCATTTTTAAATTGGATTATTGATTTTTTCCTCTTTAATTGTTTGAGCTCCTTATATATTCTGGTTATTAATCCCTTGTCAAATGGATAGTTTGCAAATACATTTTTCCATTATGTGGGTTGTCTCTTCATTTTTTTTTATTGTTTTCCTTTGCTGTGCAGAAGCTTTTTAACCTGATATGATCCCATTTGTCCATTTTTACTTTGGTTACCTGTGCTCGTGGGATATTGCTCAAGAAATTTTTGCCCAAACCAGCATCCTAGAGATCTTCCCCAAAGTTTTCTTGTAGTAGATTCATACTTTAAGGTCTTAGATTTAAGTCTTTAATCTATTTTGAATTGATTTTTGTTTGTGATGAGAGATAGGGATTCAATTTAATTTTTCTGCATATGGATGTCCAGTTTTCCTAGTACTATTTATTGAAGGGACTGTCTTTTCTCCAATATATGTTCTTGACACCTTTGTTGAAAATAAGTTCACTTTAGATGTATGGATTTATTTGTGGGTTCTCTTTTGTGTTCCATTGGTCTATGTGTCTGTTTTTATGCAAGTACCATGCTGTTCTGGTTACTATAGCTCTATCGTATAATTTGACATTAGGTAATGTGATTCCTCCAGTTTTGTTATTTTTGCTGAGGGTAGCGTTGGCTTTTCTGGGGCATTTGTGGTTCCATATAACTTTTAGGATTGTTTTTCTATTTCTGTGAAGAATGTCATTGGTATTTTGATAGGGCTTGCATTCATTTTATAGATTGCTTTGAGTAATATGAATATTTTAACAATATTGATTCTTCCAATCCACGAATATGGAAAATCTTTCCATTTTTGGTTGTCCTCTTCAATTTACTTTGTCAGTGTTTTATCGTTTTCATTATAGAAGATCTTTCACTTCTTTGGTTAATTCCTAGATCTTTAATTTTATGTGTGGCTATTGTAAATGGGATTACTATTTTGATTTCTTTTTCAGATTGTTTGCTATAGGCATATAGAAATGCTACTGTTTTTTTATGTTGATTTAGTATTCTGCAACTTTACTGAATTTGTTGTATCAGTTCTAATAGTTTTTTGGCGGAATCTTTAGGTTTATCCAAGTACAAGATCCTATCATCTCCAAACAAAGATAATTTTTCTTCCTTTTCAATTTGGACACCCTTCATTTCTTTCTCTTGTCTGATTGCTCTAGCAAGGACTTCCAGTACTATGCTGAATAACAGTGATAAAAGTGGGTAGCACAATTTTAAAACTACAGTTCTAATCAACTCCCCCAATTTGCTGATGAAGAAACTGAGGTCCAGAGAAATAAATTGACTTGCCCAAAGTTATACAGCATGTAGTAAATCAAGATCTAAAATTCAAGTTTTCTCATATGAAGTCCAGTGCTCTTTCTAACACACTCAATATGGTTATGAAGTCCAGTGCTCTTTCTAACACACTCAATATGATAAAGAAGGAAAGCAGCACCATGTCCAGAAAGTTCTGGAGAAAACTCTGGTTACAAGAGAGAATAATAATATTAAGTTAACATATCTTGAGCAATTACTGTATGCCAGGCTCGTTTTACTGCTTTACTTCTGGCTGTGCTCTGGCTGTTTTAGACTGCCTTCACCTGAATTCAAGTACTGCATCTGCATCATTCACACATCTTTGAGTGTCTCTGGAACACATCCAGCCTCCTGGCCTCTTCACCTCCACTTCTGGTGCCATAATTCAGGTCCACATTATCTTTTTCTTTAAATCACAGCTTTATTAAAATATAATTTGCGTATCATATAATTAATGCTTTTAAATAGTGCACATACAATGGCTTCTAGTATATTTACAGAGTTGTGCAACCATCCCCACAGTCTGATTTTAGAATATTTTCCCCATGCCCATTAGCAATCACTCCCCATTCTTTCCTCTCCAAAGCCTTGGTAAACACTAATCTACTTTGTGTCTACGAATTTGCCTTTCCAGATACTTCATATACATGGAATAATACAATATGTGGTCTTTTGTGGCTGGCTTTTTTCACTTAGCATGTTTTCAATGCTCATCCATGTTGGAGCATGAATTATTACTTCATTCCTTTCTGTTACTGAATAGTATTCAATTGTGTTGATAGACCACATTTTGTTTGTCCATTCATCTATTGACAGACTCCTTATTATCTCTTGTTTAAACTACTGCAATAGCATTCTGACTGTTGTTTCTACCTCCATAATTCCCTATGCTCTTCCCACTGTCATTAGAAATATTTTATAAAAGTATCAATTTTCCATCACTACTTCAGTGTTTCCCTGTTCTAAGCAGGAAATCACAAACTTAACTGCCTCTAGAGGCAAGTTAAGTCAAGCAAATGGATGAAGTTATGAGATGCAAGACAATTTTTGAATGGTGGGTTCAGTGGCCAATTGAAGAGTAAACCCTGCTTAAATGCATTCAAATTTGAATTTTTTAAGTGTAAACAAACAAACAAAACAAAACACTGTGCTTACCTACAAAAACAGTCAGGTTGCTTTTCTCTGTGCCTTATTTATCTAAAAGAGAACAGCCCAACCACTTAGCAAGGCTCTTTATCACTTGACTCCAGTCTTATCTCCTGGTTCCTCTCCTGCTTCTCCTCCTCCTTCTCTTTCTTCCCATTCCCTCCTACTCTATAGTTTCAGCCACACCATGCTATTGGAAAAGCCTAAATTGCCCTTTATATTTTATGACTTTTGTGCCTTGTTTTTTCCTTCTGTCTAGAATGCCCTCATTCTGCTTCTCTTCCTGGAGAGCTGATTCTCCATCTTTCAAGATCTGCCTTGAATGTCATCTGCTCTACCACCCTTTGTTCGACCTCTACCTGTCTTATCATATATATCTACCACATTATAATCGAACATCCTATGTGCAGGTCCATCTCCCTTATCATACTATAAACTCCTCCAAGGTAGAGATGTTGTTCGAGTCAATATTGTATCTAATAGTCTACAAAGAGGAGGCTCGTATACTATCATATCTGGCTGTGAAAAAGAGAGATTTCCATACCTTTCCTTGGAGCAACTATTAACTGGATCCCAGGAAAGTTTAAGTAGTTATTTGTCCAAAGCCACCTAAATTTGGTTGCCAGGGTCTGAAATTAGACATTGTGATATTGGACTAGCTACCTCAGTGTCTCCTACCACACAAGGAATGAAACTTATGTTCTAGGCCTCAGAAGCAGGGTAGGGTGATCCCAACTGGATGCTCTCTTGGACTTTGGCGAGTTTTTCATGTGGACCTCCCTCATTCCTCAATTTTCTCTCCTTCCCTTCCCTTCCCACAGTCCTCAATCCTTTCCCCCTTCTTTGTCCCAGTCTCCTCTACCTGCTACTTTCCCCTCTCAGTTATTTATCCCAATAGAAATAATCAAACCTCAAGACCCATCAACTCTCCCTTTGAGCCTATAAATTTTGCAGTCTCAAAGAATCCACTAATGTCAATGTTTTTTCTCTTTTTCTCTTTCCTGCTGGTCTGCAGTGTCCTGGGTAGACTTTCTCAAGGATAAGCATTGGTCACAAAGGGGATAGGGCATACTGATGATTTTCTACTCAAGCCTGTAGGCTTGTTCACCCTCTAAAATGTCTGCAATTAAATAGACCCTTCACCGGTTATGAGAAATGCACTTTCTTTCTTAACATAACTAGGACTCTATTTCTTACCAACTAGTACCCCTGTTTTAGTATGCTATGAAAACATTTGCTATCTTCCAGTCTAGGTCTGTCTTTTTTTCTCCTTCCTTTCTTTTTTCCTCCTTCTCGCCTTCCTTCCTTTCTTCCTTCCTTCCTTCTTCCATCCTTCTTTCCTTCTTTTCTCTTTCTTTTCTTTCTTTCCTTCCTTTCTTCTTTCCTTTTCTCTTTCCTTCTTCTCTTTCTCCTCTCCCTTCCTTCCTTCCTTTCTTCCTTCCTTCCTTTTTTTCTTTGCAGAGGTGATAAGTGGGAGATGGGAAGACACTTAAACTTAGCTTGTTATATATTTTATTTGTCTGTAGCAAAGATCCCAACAAAGATAGTTTCTGTTACTGAAATACAATTCCACAAACTTTTATTGAATGCCTTCTAGGTGGCAGGCAGTATCCTGGTTGTGATTTCTTTCAATGAGCTAATAAGGGGCTTAAGATTTGAGGCTGAAACTCAGGATTTGTTCTAATGAATAAGTTCTTATACAAACTCAGTTATATGTAAAATAGCCAGAAGGTCTGATTACCTTGATAGCAATCTAGAAGTATTTCTTCCAGTGCTCTCTGCACCAGTGTTTATTCGGCCAACCAGGGTAGATTGATCACCCACTATGTTTGAGGCACTATATTAATCATTGTGGTTACATTGATGAAAAAGATATTCCTATCTCATGAAAGAGGCAAGTACCTATATTACTGAATGCATTATAATGTTTTGAGTGATGTAATTAATGTATGAACAAAGTGATTAGTGCAGAGGTTTGCAAACTACTGGCTACCTGTTTTGGTGAATAAAGAAATACAGCCACACCCATTCATTCACTTGCTGTCTGTAGCCACTTTTGCACTACATGGCAGAGCTGTTGCAAGAGAGACTATGGCTTGCAAAACCAAAAATAGTAATTCCCTGGCCCTTTACAGAAAAAGTTTGTGGACTCCTGCCTTATAGAAGTTAAGTGTGTTTGAGGTAACCAGGAAAGCATCAAAACAGTGATGTCTGAATTGGAAATATTAGATTTAGTCTCACTTTTTCAGGTGTATAAGAGAGGAAAGAGGGCTATAGATGGAAAGATCAGAGGCAGAGGTTGAGCAGAGATATGGAGGTAGAAAAAGCAAGACCTTTACTAAAAACCATTGAATTATACAATACGTAAATTGCATGTAAATAAAATTAAAAAAAATAAATGGCTTATGCCTGTAATCCCAGCGCTTTGGGAGACCAAGGCGGGCAGATCAAGAGGTCAGGAGTTGGAGACCAGCCTGACCAACATGATGAAACCCTATCTCTACTAAAAATACAAAAATTAGCCGGGCATGGTCGCATGCACCTGTAATCTCATCTACTCAGGAGGCTGAGGTAGGACAATTGCTTGAACCCAGGAGGCGGAGGTTGCAGTGAGCCGAGATCACACCACTGCACTCCAGCCTGTGCAACGGCGAGACTCTGTCTCAAAAATAATTTTAAAAATTTAAAAAATAAAAATAAAAATAACACTACATACTTAAGAGCTGGACCAGTGTGTCTCAATGGAGCTCCAAACTTTATGATAACCAAAACTACCACTGTACACTTTTAAACACCCCCAGGAGTGTGGTAAAGGTTCACTAAGAGCCACTGATAATCCAATGTGGCTTGAGTACAGGGTATATGGAAGAAGTGGCAGGCAGTGCCTAGCTAAGGAGCTTCAATGCTATCCAGCAGTTAGTCCTCTTCCAAGTGTACAGTTCATGGACTAAGATCTCTTCCCTTGAGAAAATCTGCTACCTCCCTGTAAACAGGGCCTTTCCACAAGATCCCAAGTGTCAGCCTAAGATGATGAGCCCCCCAGAAAATAGAGGCTTGCATAATTCCATCTCCCACCATTTCCCATCCTGTGGAAGGCTGACCATCCTACCAAGCTGTGGCCAATTGAAGTGAACAAATTTGCTACAATCGTAAATACACAGCTGGAATATGCAGCTCTATAGTGAACAAAATGGGTCATTAAGCATGCATTAGCAGCTGGTAACCTACACTTTAAAACTGCTATTAACCTGCTGATAAGACATTTTAAACAATAAATAAAAGACACCCTTAAGAATGGTGTGAATGTATTTATATGTTCCAAAGCTTTCAAAGTGATAATGATTTATTTTCGTCAGTGCTTTTAATTCTTACAACTCCTGCCTTTTCTACATTTTTCCACCACTCATTTAAGAGAGGCACAAAACATCCTCATTCTCATTTCTGAGAGGCACTCTCAGGAGGGAGTGGTTTAGCAGTATTCAAAAAACAAGATTTCAACATGCTTAGGGGTATTGGGTGGTAGAAGTAAAGGTCTTCTCCCCAAATCTCAAGGTCAGCCAACTCCAGTACACTCTAAGCAGCAGTAATGTTTCCTGGGCCTTGAGGGAAGGGAATCTGTGAGTTTTGAATAAAGTAACCACACTGTTACCTTGGTTAGGTTGTGGTCTGAGAGTACTCAAAGAAAAAGTTCATTTTCCCAGTATATTGGTGAGAGGGTTTAGTGAGGTTTTTAGCTGCTTCTATTTTAAAGACCCTTTCCTAAATATGTTGCAATTACATTCCAATCAGCCTACCTTCTCTTTGTGCCTCAATCTCATTCACAAATTAAAACAACATTTTCTGGGGACTAGTTTACTCAAAATTGTAATTATTGCTTCATTGATTGCAAACCATGAACCACCCACTTCTCTTAAATACAGACAGCTGGGCCATCTGTTCCCTATGAATCATGTAAACAGAGAAGACTTGACAGAAAGATTTAAACACTTTCCAACCTGGTTCTGCCTTATTTCAAAAATGCAATCAACTGTCCAGAGACTTAACAGATGCAATGGTTAAGATGTGACCTGCCAACCTGATCCTCTCATGTAACATAGAAAGTTCTGGTTAGAAAATTAGGTCAAAGCATCCAACCTTGTCATATTTGTTCTTCCTGCTCATTTAATTAAATTTTAAAAAAATTATATGGAAAATACATACACAGGAAATAAAAATTTAAGCAGTACAGAATGGTACAAAATGACAAGTAAAATGCTCTCTTCCTGCCGCTTGCTCCCAGACAAATCCCTTTAGACATTTGAATTTTCTGTTTTTTTGTACTTTTGATTAACTAGAGACTCTAGTTCTTGGTTTATCAATTTTAATCTGTACTGAGACTTCCCACTAAAAAAAAAGATGATACATTTAGCTCCCTCATCCTCTCTCATGATGTAGCCAAGACCCTAACTCATTAATCCTACCTCTCTTTTTTCTCCCCTTGAAATGTCTATTATAGCTTTTAGTTTTTATATTAGTTGTATAAACTTCAAATAATACACTTAAGCCTTCATTTCTTAATCCATTCACTTGGTTTTTATTATTTTTTTAATATTTTCCTTTTTATAGTTTACATATTTTGCCTTGTGGAAGAAATCTTTCCCTGCTGCAAGATTACAAAAATATTCTCGTATACTTTATTCTAAAAGTTTTGTCTATTACACTTAAGCCCCTAAACCATCTGGAATTGATCGCTGTATAGAGTGTGAAGTAGAGATCCAATTTCACTTTTTCCGTATGGATAATCATTTGTTTCAGCAGTGTTTATTAAATAGTCCAAGCTTGCCCTACAGTTTTGCAATATTACTTCTGTTATATATCAAGTGCTATACAATACTTTCAATATAAAATCTGTCTCTGGAACCTGTATTCTCTCCTCTTGGTAAATTTATTCAATTAAATTGTATGCCTTAGGGTCACCACACCCTGTGAGCCTTGGTTTTCTCATCCTTAAACTGGGGATAACAATATCTTGCCCTAACTACCTCAGAGAGTTAGTGGGAAGTCAAGTGAAATAACATATGCCAAGACACTTTGACAAATGGAAAGTGTTATTCCAGTTATGGAACCATAACATGCTGGCATCAAAGTGACTTTAGATATCACTTCATTTAGTCCTTTATATTTACAGAAGAGGAAACTGGGGTTTCGAGCAGTTGAGTGATCTGCTCACGTAGAAGGCCTCATTATTATGCTCCTAGAGTGTGCTTCCTGAGGCCTCAGCCTAAAGTAAAGTACATTTTATCTGATCCCACAAAAAGATCGAGTCAAGGACTTAATCCTCTAGGTCTGTCTGTTGGATACTGTTTATGTTTTCCCCTAAATGTGATGTAATCGCTGAAGTTTGATATATTACTTCCTGTGCCTAATGGCCAATTTCAAGGTTAAATGGTGCAAATGCAATTTTGCATAAGCCACCTCTGATTTAACAGCAGAGATTGATATACATCACAGCCACTTAACAAATGGCATCTATCCAGTTGGTGCCTGTCACACAGCTATTATGTGTTAAATATAAGGCATATTAGGTGATTTATATTGCTACTTTATGTAAAACGAGAACATCTATTTATGAAAACTGGCCCATCTATGAATTGGCAAACACACCTGAACAAGAAGACAAAAGTTTGATTTAAACATTAAATAGCAATAAAGATAATTTAAAACTTTCATTTTCATTTAGTTAGAAAAAAATGTGTCTCAGTCAAAGACTGAATTTGGGCAGATAGTCCACAAACAGGGAATAACTATTAGCATAAGATAAAGTGTGGTTATAAAAGCATTGTTTTTTTTTTACTGTGAAATATGTCATTTACAAAGAAAGATTAAGCATGCCTGTAGTTTAAAGATTAATAGTAAAAAATAAAGCAACCGTTTCTATATCTATCACTCAGGTTAAAAAATAGTATATTATCAATACCTTAGAGGCCCTTGGTGTGTACCCTCTATAGCACCTCTAAACTCCCAGGGCTAACTACAACCCTGTATATTATGCTAATTATTCCCTCGCTTTTGTTTATAATTTTTGCTGCATATGTGTGATTTCCTAAAAGATGCATTGAATAATTTTGCCTTGTTTTGAAAATTACATAAAAAGGAATCATAATGTTTGTTTTTTTGGCATTTTCTCCCTTCATCTGCATTGGAACTTAATTGGCTGAGCCTTAGATACGTTTTTAACTTACACAAATTTAACTATGTGATACAAAATAGAAAGAAGAAGAAGAAAGGAAGAAATAACAAAAATAGTGAAAGAGAGAAAAATGATCATTTAAACAGCATTGGCGATTCTTTCCCCCATCCAGAGTTGTTAAATAAAATATAGGACACAAAGTTGGTTTTCAGATTTTAAAAATCATAAAAATTTAAAATATAATTATTACATTTTAATACTAAAAAATTATTAGTTGTTTATCCAATATTCAAGTTTAACTGGGCTTCCTGTTTCATTTTGTTTGCTAAATTTGGCAGCCTATCCTATCCCATTCAATGTGCCTGCACCCAGAGTGAATGGAGGTATGAAAAAATGTGACTCTTGTTTTTTCAAGTATTTTCCAGTATCATGTGACAGTGTTATGTGTAAATCCAGTGCTCAAACATAGAAATAGTAAGGTGTTCCAATGCTGAAGGGAAAACTGACTTATTGGGAGATATGTTGCTCTCTAACATGGCACCTTCCTAAATTATTTTTGAAGGTAATTTTGATTATACACAATTGTATCAGGAGATGCATTCAATCATTAGTAACAGAGACCCAACCATAATATTTGAAAAATAAGAACTTATTCCCTCATATGAAGGAAATACAGGGATGATGTAATGGTTTCAAATGTTTGATCAGAGACTCAAGCTCCTATCTTTCTGCTTCACCATTCTTAGTGCTAACTGCCATCCTCAAAGTCACTTTATGGTCCATGATGGCTGCTAGAGCTCTAGTCATGAATTTTGCATTTCAAGCAGGAAATATGAGGGGTAGCGGGAGATAAGGGCATTCACCAGCATTCTGTTCAATTTTCAATAGCTTTCCTGCAAGTCCCTCCTAATAAGGTCCACTTAGATTCCATTAACCTTTTCTAGGTCAGAAATATAGATTTTGATAAGCACATTACTATCCAGAAAAAAAAAAAAAACCTCAGGGTCCGGTCCTGCCATTAATGAGGAAGAGAAAAGTAAATATTGGGTAGGCAATTAGTAGTCTCTGCCACAGTGATTTTTGCCTTATCAACTGAACTAAGAACCCAACCCCCAAGTAAGACAGGACTCCACTATTTACTATTTACAAGAAAAGTTGCCTAAATTCTCATTCATTGCTTTTTTGGATTATAAAGAATCAGTTCAATTATATTAGCATGTTAGAAAAACAGTGAATAAATCTGTCTATATATTTGACATGTATTTTAGTCCAAACTACTACACTGCTATAAATAAGTAGCCCCTTCATTTAAATACTCCACAAGTAACATACTTTGAAATATTTAAGTACTAATTATTGGCACTAATAAATTCAGCCAATCTAAGAAACACTTTAGCTTTATTAACAAATCTTAACATTAAGTTTTATGCCAAGAAAAAATATTTAAAGGATCTTATACATAATCCGTGTACAGGGATAATTGTCGTATCTCCTAAACTGTTTGGAAGATGATCAGAGGTATTATTTGAGCTGTGCTTCTTGTCTGTCTGACATAGAAGTGTGTTGGATACTCCACCTAGGCCCTTTAATTCATTAGTAAACTATCATATTCATTTTGTGGGTTTCCAGAATCCTTATTTACCCTCAGGGACATCATTCGGTCCTTTACCTTCACCTGAAATGTGTAGAGGGATGCACTGTAAATAAAAGACGAATGCATTTATCATTTAAGCAGTTACAGAAAGAGTCAGGTAAGAAAAGAAATTGAAATAATGAGATAAAACTTAATTTTAGAGCTATTTGTATATTCAACTTACTAATGATTTCCTGTATAAGCAAGAGTTTATTCTATAGCAAAACTAGATACTCCATAAGATAACTGCTGGCTCCCTAATTCCCAACTTTTCCAAGTGTAAGAGCCAATTCTGGAAACAGGAGGATCACCAACTACTCCAGCATGTTCTCACCCAGTAGCTTCCAAAGCAAAGTCCAGGGATAGAGTTGTGAGCATCACTGCAGTTCAGTACTTAACTCCTACTTCCACACTCAGATTCACCAGCTTGCACAGGTGGCTGCACATACTATATACTCTAACTGCATGGCTATATCTCCTTATTGTCAAAGGGAAAAAAATGGCATTTGCTTCCACATATTTGCACCTTTGATTATGAGATTCCCTCAGCCTGGAATATTCTTCCTGCATCTTCTTTACCAAACTGGACTCATTTTCCAAGGCCCACATGAATAGCTAACCTCTTCTGTGAAGCCATCCCTAATTTCTTCAGGCAGAACTAACTTAATCTTCCTCTATATTTTCACACCACTTTGCTTAGCACTGATAACTCTGTCTAGCATGCATTTCATTCTGTTTTGTATGAAGAATGTTTATATAATTGTCTCTTCCACTATATTGTGAACAATTTGTGGTCTGGGGGCAGATGTTAGTTCATCTTTGTTCAAGACATAGAATCTCCCAGCCCTTGTGGCTCTTTGTTCAAAGTGGTCCTCATCCCATTATATTATTTGGGGAAAAGGTAAACAGTCATTCTTTTTTCTTATTCACCACAGATAAAACATGCATTGATTGAGTCAAAAAGTCCTCCAAAGACTTAATACACTATGAGCCAGTATTATATTTAACAAAAGAGTAGGCCAGGCCCAGTGGTTCGTGCCTGTAATCCCAGAACTTTGGGAGGCAGAGGTGGGCGGATCACTTGAGGTCAGGAATTGGAGACCAGTCTGGCCAACATGGCGAAATCCCGTCTCTATTACAAATACAAAAATTAGTCAGGAGTGGTGGTGCATGCTTGTAGTCCCAGCTACTCGGGAGGCTGAGGCAGGAGAATCACTTGAAACTTGGAGGCGGAGATTGCAGTGAGCCAATATCATGCCACTGCACTACAGCCTGGGGTAAAAGAGCGAGACCCTGTTTCAAAAAAAAAAAAAAAAAAAAAAAAAAAGGCTATCTGCTTCATCCAATGGAATGTTTGTATTGCAAGCGCAGAAAGCCCTCCTTAAGATATACCTCTAAAATCTAACCTAAAAAGAGTATTATGGAAAGTCTCCAGTGTACTCCTTAGAAAACATTAGCCAACCACCACTAAAATCTATGCTTATGTCTATTACCTATTCCTCAAAATCTGTTCTTGCTATCTTCATGGAAAAGAAGGGATTTTAGAAAATGTGTGGAGCACAGCTTTTCCCATCTTATCAGCCAGCTTCATAATCAACTGATGTCTGGGCTCTAACCTAGAGGTGAAGTTAGATAAGTAGCCACATATTTCCAACACACAGTTGTTGGGAGGAACACCATGTTGATCTGGCTCTCATTTCAGTCTGGTAGGGCTCAAGGGAAGAGCAACCTACCCAGTCATCAACTGGATTTCCTTCTTTCATTATTTCAGACACATCCTTGCAAACAACGAACTTCTAAAATAAGCACTTTGAATCAGTTTAGTCTAATATCTGGGCCCAGTTGGGACTCTGGGAACAAAAGTTCTAAAATGAATATCAAGGTATTCACCACTACAGTCCTTTTGGCTGAATAGCAGAAGAGATTGTATGGGGAGATGCAATAATAAGAAAAATGTCTAGCAATCTCTGCTTTTTCTTCAGCCAGGCTACCAGACAAGCCTCTGAATCCCCAAAGTGATTTGTACTCAGTGACACTGTGTTCTGAAAATAACAACTCTTTTAATATGGTGAAGTAAAAAGATTGGGGTGTTTGAAATTTGATAAATCTGAGCTTAAATCTTCGCCTTATCATTTATGGAAGCTCACTACGTGAAGTTGGTACAAATTACTTAAGATTCTTGAAGTACTTATCTATTTCTTAAACTGTAAAATGGAGTTGTCTACCACATTGGATTATTGTAATGCAACACTGAAATGATGAAGAGCTCAGCACACAGGAAGCATGCATTTAATAATATCTGTAATCCATGATTATCAGTTGTCAGCAAAGGCTGGTGGGTAACAAAGAGTCTTGTCCCTTGAGTATTTGGTATGTACTTGATAGTTTTGGATTTTTGCATGAACTAATAGTTCACGTTTTTATCTAACAACTATGGAATACTAAACAGTGCCTATGAGGTTAAATTCCAAGTGGTGTAATTTCCTTCTAAAAGCTTCACAATCTTCATTCATCCTCAATCTGAAATCTGAAATCCCTTTAGTTCCAGCTTACAGATCAGCTAAATTGAAAGCCTCAGTGACAATTAAACTTTTATGGAGCATTAAAGAAGAATCTGGAAACAGGTTTTGTTATAAACAAAAGGAGAAAATAAACAATGATGAAGATATTGGGCCATAGAAAAAGGCTAACACCAAAGAGTAGAGATGAGTGAAGTCAGAAAAAGAAAAGCCCTAAATATAAGCTTGGCCTACATCAAGACTCTTAGGTAATAATAATTATTGTTATTAAATAATATGTGCCCTGCACTGTTCTAAGCCTTTACATGGATTCTTTCATGAAATAACCCTCTTAGGTTATTATAATTACTATTCCAGTTTTGTAAATGAAAATACTGAGGCACAGAGAGGTAAAATAATTTTCCAAGGTCATTTATTGGCAGAATCAGGATTTGGATACAGGCTGGCTGAATCCTGATCCTGTGATTTCAAGCTTCACCTATGTTGATGGAAAAAGGTACAAGACATAGTTCTAAGCACTTCTCATTAATTATCTCATGATTCTTCAACAATCCTTAGGAGCCAATACCATTATTAACTCTATTTGACAGATGAAGAAACTAATTCTCAAGGGTGGGGGGGAGGGAAATAACTGGATGTGGTGGCCCGTGCCTGTAATCACAGTGTTTTGGGAAGCTGAGGAGGCAGGATCACTTGAACCCGGGAGTTCAAGACCAGCCTAGGCAATGTATTGAGACCTTGTCAAAAAAAAAAAAAAGAAAAGAAAAGAAAGAAAGAAGGAAGGAAGGAAGGAAGGAAAAGAAGGAAAGAAAGAAAGAAAGAAAGAAAGAAAGAAAGAAAGAAAGAAAGAAAGAAAGAAAGAAAAGAAAGAAAGAGAGAAAGAAAGAAAGAAAAAAGAAAGCAAGCAAATCAGTGACACAGCCAAGATTCAGAACCGTGCATTTTGGTTCTGTGGCCTGCACTCCCATCTGATACTGCATCTCCAGACACAATGATACAGGTTGAGTATTACTTATCTGAAATGGGTGGGAGCAGAAATGTATCTGATTTTGGATTTTATTGTATTTGGAATATTCACATATATATAATGAGATATCCTGAGGATGGGAACCAAGTATAAGCATGAAATTCATTTAGGTTTCATATATACCTTATGCACATAACCTATAGGTAATTTTATGCAGTATTTTAAATAATTTTGTGCATGAAATAAAGTTTTAAATATGCACGTGTAGAATTTTCCACTTGTGGCATCATGTTGGCAATCCAAAAGTTTTGGATTCTGGAGCATTTCAGATTTTGGATTTTCAGATTAGGGATGCTCAACCTGTATTAAGCACATCTAACAGATGAGAAACTGGTGTTCAGTGGCTGAGGTGCCACAGTCACTCAGCAGAAATAGGTCCTAAATTCAGAGTCCCTAAAGTTTTATTTTTACTAGGCTACCTGACCCCTTACCATAGAGACTGTCCTGTGGTTTGGGACTTTAGTTTTCAAGGCCTTTTGTAGTTCTGCCTCGTTGTCAAATAGGTAACTCAAAGGCACTTTTTTAGTCTTTGGTTATTACACAACAGTTTGGTGAATTATTTGCTGTTCTTTTCTGGTATTCCAAAGCTAACAATTTCTAAAGAGTTAATCTAAGAAGATTATAAGAAATAAATAGCCCTGGACTGTTTGTCTCTAACCCTTACCCTCTCCCTCTTCAGGACTTACAGGAAATATATTGGCAATAATCAAAGGAAACTCAGTAATTCAGCCAGCATTACCTAACAAATCTCCTTGAAACTATTTTAAAAGCGACGGATGAGTACAAGGTCCTGGAAAGCACATGTTCTTTCTTCCTTAATTGCTGCCTAACTAAAAGCAAACAATATTGAGAATCTTTCTTTTTCTTTTTTTTTTTTTTTTTTTGAGTTGGGGTCTTGCTCTGTCTCCCAGGCTGTAGTGCAGTGACATGATCATGACTCACTGCAGCCTTGAACTCCTAGACTCAACGGGTCTTCCCACCTCAGCCCCCATGTAGCTGGAACTACAGACATGTGCCACCAAGCCCAGCTAACTTACTTTATTTTATTTTTGTAGAGATAGGGTCTCGCTATTTTGTCCAGGCTGGTCTCAAACTCCTGGCCTCAAGCCATTCTCCTGCCTCAACCTCCCAAAGTTTTGGGATTACAAACATGAGCCATGGCACTCAGCCACTATTGAGAATCTTATCTCTGAAATGCACTACCTCAGATGGCAGAAGAAGCTGTACGTATACCTATTAAATAGGCCTATTGAAACCTTGTTTGTTCAATATTAATTAAGTGATGCTAATATAACCCAACCTCTGTGAACAAGCCAAGAAGATACCTGTGGATACTGGGACAAGTATTTCCTATTTGTATAACCCTTATAATTTAAGTAGTTCATGTTACTTTTATAAACACTGGAACTTAGCCTTCTAACACACCCAAGTTATAAGAAAGGGGCAAATCTTTAGTCCTTCCTATTTGAATTTTAAAAATTGAGGCACAATCATATTAAACAAGACAGGTTTCCAAATTTTCAACTCACTGCTGTGTCCTTAAACTACATAGAGGGTCTACATAGCAGGACTGATTCTAGGTAAAAATACAAAGGTGAAATTTGTCTTTGGGCCCTTCTGCATTTTTCTTTACCCATTCAGCAATCTTCATGCCCTTTCTGTGATTTTCTCCCCCTCTGCTCAAATGGCGCAATGCTAAAATACTTTACTTATGGCTTCTAATATGGACCAGATCTATACTTTGTGACTTCCTCTCCACATCTCCCACTCTAGAAATTACCTGAGTTGCATTGCAATAGGACTTCCTACAAAAAGTGTCATGTAGGAAAGCAATCAGGTGACCTGACAATCCCACTTCTGGGAATGGATGTGACAGATATAAATTACCAGGCAGTAAAAATAGATGTAGGAAGATGTAAGAGTAGAGTGACCAGCTGTCCCAGTTTTCCCAAGACTGAAGAGTTTCCTCGGAATGGGACTTTCAGTGCTTAAACCAGTAAAGTCTCAGATGACCTGAAACAAGTTGGCAACCCAAGGAGTATTGTTTACAGTAAGCAAAAAACAGAAAAAAACAAACAAACTAACTAAATGTTCACCAATAGGGTAATACTTGAGTAAATTATGACACATCATTTTATAGAATACTATCCAACTACTTAAAAAATGAAGTAAATATATATTGAATAGAAAAGATGACTACAGGAATTATCAAATGAAAAAGCCAATTATATAATAATATGTCTAGTATGATACAATTTTGGTGAAAACATTTAAAAAAGACAATTAAGTTAGAAAAGTAACATGATCAGTTTTTTGTTTTTTGTTTGTTTGTTTGTTTGTTTGTTTTGAGACGGAGTCTCGCTCTGTCGCCCAGGCTGGAGTGCAGTGGCGCGATCTCGGCTCACTGCAAGCTCCGCCTCCCGGGTTCACGCCATTCTCCTGCCTCAGCCTCCCAAGTAGCTGGGACTACAGGCGCCCGCCACTACGCCCAGCTAATTTTTTGTATTTTTAGTAGAGACGGGGTTTCACCGTTTTAGCCGGGATGGTCTCGATCTCCTGACCTCGTGATCCGCCCGCCTCGGCCTCCCAAAGTGCTGGGATTACAGGCGTGAGCCACCGCGCCCGGCCACATGATCAGTTTTGCACAGTAGACCCAATCCTAAAAATGAAAAAATAACTTGGCATTTTAAAAATCCATTTTTGTAGTGGCTAACACAGGGATGACTCATATATTCTGAGAGGTCATTAGGGCAATAATTAATAGCTCTATTACCTCAGGCCTAGGAATTTTGAAAAATTTATCCCAAATACATGAAAGAATAGAGAAATCTGGAATAACTAAGAATTATAGTGTCATATAATCTCACCAGAAAACATGTGAGCATTCAAAGACGAATGAAAAAAATAGAATGAAAACAAACAGGCATGATTTTCCATTTCTTGTAAAGTAGCCTAAAAAAAAGCCAAATACAATTTCCAGTGACGGAAGTTTTAAATAAATAACAACGTAGAGTTGTTTGGATTTGATGATGGCGTGGATCTTTGATATAAACAAGTTCACTGTATGTTATATATGGAAATAAGTAAAAGTGATTAGAAAATTTCAGTGAGGGGAATACAGTCTGTGCAGAAACTGTTTTGTGAAGGAAATATGTCATAGACATATTCAAGACTTTGGGGAGTTGTCAATGTCTCAGGACATATCTCCCTTGAATGTTAAAGATCGTCAGTATACAAAAAGAAAAAAGGGTAGAAATTACACCAAAAGAGTAATGATAGTTCTTGCTGATTAATGGGAATACAAGCTATTTTGGTTATTCCTTAGTAATCTTTTTTGTTTTTTCCAAATTTATCTAGAAATGAAATATTGTCTTTTTTTATTATTATTATACTTTAAGTTTTAGGGTACATGTGCACAATGTGCAGGTTTGTTACATATGTATACATGTGCCATGTTGGTGTGCTGCACCCATTAACTCGTCATTTTAATCAGAAACAAAAAGCATTGAGTCAGCTCCTATCCATCACTGGAGGGAGCATGAGGAAAAGGATTGTTCCAATACAGTGTAAATTACTGACCCCTTTTTGGAAGGCAATTGGTTGTATCAGTAAAATTTTTAAACTTGAATATCTTCAACCCAATAATTCTACTTTTCTGTGCAGACATCTATATGTACCAGGACAAACATTGCAACTTTATTATAACAGCATTTTATTTTACTATTGATGAGCAACCTAGTGTTCATCAATAGGATATTTATTAAATAAATTAAGGTACATACTTGCTAAGGAATGAATGGAAGACATTTTTAAAAACAAGATAAATATGTATGTTATGACATAGAAAGCTGTCCGTATAATGTGGTTGAATGAAAAAAATGTAGAACAATGTGTGTGTAATCCTATTTTTATATCTACACAAATACACTTGTATGTTCATAGAAAAAATCTAGAGACTAAACTGTTAACAGTGGTTACTTCTGTAGAGGTGAGGGGAAAGAGTGGACAGTTCTCTTTATATATCTACATGTTGCTTCGGGGTTTTTTTTAAAATCATAAGCGTGTATTATCTTGTTAAAAAGCCTTTTCACCCAAAGTAAGCATCTGACAGAATGGATAAATTGTACTATATCTGTACAATAGCATAGTTAGGCATTAAAACAGATGAATTATAGCCTTACATGTCAACATGGATGAACCACAAACATAATGTTGAGAAGAGTTTCAGAAAAATATACGCAGTGTGGATCCATGTATGTAAAGATCCAAAACATGCATAAACCCTAAACAACATTGTTTAGAGATACACATATGAAAAAGAGGAAGGGAATGACAAACATAAAATTTAGAGTAGTAGTTACTTCTGGAGACGAGGAAGGGGCACCCAGATGCTTCAAGGATTTGGGTTAATTCTATTTTTTTAGGCTGGGTAGTTGGGTAAACGAGTATTCATTTCATTATTATTCTTTAAACAATATTCATTATGTTGCGTATGCTCTCATATATACAATAGATTTCATACATGAAAATTACATTATAGATTTCATAACTAAAAATTTAAACAAAAGAAAAACATTTATGTTATCCTGAAAACAATCATTACACACACACACACACACACACACACACACACAATCAGACAGACTGATTCATATTAACATGTTAGAAGCTGATTGGAGCTATAAAATCTGACCTGGGAGCAGGTACAATTTAGCTGAGGCTCTATAGAGATGCAAAATCCTACCACCAATGAATGAATGAATTAATTAATGAATAACATTTTAGATTTCAGGCAGTTAGAAACAAGTCAGGAATATTTCAATGTGGATTGGGGACAAGGGGTATTCTTGGTGTTTCCACATTACATTACAACATATGGGGAGCAAACCCCTTCTCTCAAATGGTTTATGGAGTCAATGACTTTCTAAATCTTCAGATTTAGTACCAGGAAACCACTCGAAAGTGATGCTTGGACTCCCTCGTATCTATAAAAGGTTTCTCTAATGACCAGTAAAGTCTAATAACTTGGCTAAAGTTTTCACTGAATTGAGCCCAAATATTTGAATTGACAACCTCCTATGAAGACATGGTTTTTGACATGTGCATTCTTCCATGGAACATTCTACTCTGAGTTCCTATTAATTAAATTTAACCTAAACAACACCAAATATCCCACCACCTTTTTCCCCCCACTACTAAAGAAGAGAAAATAGAAAGGAAAAAAGATTTTAATTTGCTC
Source organism: Homo sapiens (assembly GCF_000001405.40). NCBI lineage: Eukaryota > Metazoa > Chordata > Mammalia > Primates > Hominidae > Homo > Homo sapiens. The sequence goes on from NC_000023.11 coordinate 111,503,495, forward strand.
AGACATCTTGGTTTTGTTGAAATGATTTTTAAAAATCTTTGTCCCTTAATTGATACTTCCCCTTAGTAATTAAAGTATGGCAATAAATATGGATGAAGCCTTTTACATTACTTGACAATGAAGGGGTCAGGCTCTCAGTCTCATATTCATCAGCCTGAGATGGGAAGCAGTAGCACGATGGGGGAAACCCATCTGTCTTTATTAAGACTTGGCACCAAGGGAGCACAGAAAAGAGAAGAGCTCATTTAGTAAATGGCAGTTCCCATTCTGCAAAGCGACAGAAAATTTACTGCACTGTCAGCAAGAAAAAAATAATCCACTCAGAGAAAGTTGTTATATTAGGAAGATTTAAAGAGAAAGACCTTTTCTGTGATATTAGAGAGGATAAAAGTTTCTACCTAATAATACATAACTAAGTAGAAAAAATTCTTCTCCAGGCCAACATTGCTCATGTTGCCTTTCCTTCCTCTAAAGCTCCTTCCTCTAGTGACCTATTCCTATCTTTTCCATCATTTTAGGCCAAAAACAAGCCCTAGCTCTACCCGAAGCCTTCCCTAATTTCAATCCAAACTAATTTCATTTTCTCGCTGTCATATTTTCTACTGGGCATAATTTAGCATTCTAACAGTTCAGCCTTTTACCATGTATTTTAATTCTCTAATTGTTTCTTGTATTAGTTTGCTTTGCCAAACTAGATTTTTTTTTAAAGTATTTTGTGGGCAGAGACTGTGTCTTCAACAGCCTTGGAGCTCCCTTTAGCACCTGGCGGGGTTCTTGGCACATAACAAGTGTTCAACAAGTGCTTATTCCTTGATTTCTTCTGATCTAAATTCCATTATCCACGGTAACCATCTTCATTGGACAAAAACCTGAAAAAACCAAATAGATCAATTTCTTAAACAGTTTCAAATTATTTATTGAAGTAATACACACACAGTATCAAAACATAATAAAATACAGGAGGACTTATGATGGAAAGCAACACTTCTGCTCCATCATGCCACAGCGCATATGTTTGCTCTCCAGGGGCAACACTTTTAACTTGTTTAAAACTGTTTCTTCTTATAGTTACCGCCTCTGCATAAAATGCCTAGACCACTGGGTCTTACTGAAATCATTTCTTCTCCCTTCTTCCATTCATTTAATATAATTATATAGTTATGTTGACTCCTCTATCCGTTATTTTAAATTTTAATTTCTTGGATGTAGAATGTTTATTACATGTTCCTTCAGCTCTCTACTCTTCCTTTTACCTCCCAACTTTCTTCATTTGTACTTTTCTATTGCATTATTTCTATAACTACAGTTAGCTTAAAAGTTAAAATTAGTCACCAGTGTTTACATTTTTGTGACTATGTCAATAGTGTTCACTTCAGGGACAATAATTAAATTATATTTTCTTCTTTGTACAGGTTTTAAATTTTTCCTGGACTTTCTAATAGCTTTTCCCCCCACCATACACTATTTTCCTGTGTCATATCCTCAGTTTGTTGGTTTCTTTTCAAAGTCTTCGTCATAACAGGTGAAGCCCCGTTTTTTCCTGGAAATTCACTCCCCAAGGCCTCCAACCTCAGGCTCCACTGTAGGCCAGTTGCTCTTTAGACTTACTCTAAAGCTACCATCCTGGGACGTCACTGCTTCCCGGGGTTTGATCTGCTCTTTTCAAGAATTCATGTCTTCCTCTTTCTTGGTTTATTTCCTCTTTTTCACTGGACTAAATCCTCAACTTCCTTTAAAAGTATTTGTTGCAGAGTAATTTCGGGAGTCATCTCATATCTGAAAATGCTTTGATTTTATTCTCATACTTGACTGATAGTTTAACTGATTTTAGAATGTCGTGCTGAAGAAAGTCATTTTCCTTTAGAACTGTGAAGGTATTGCTCCAATGTTGTCTCCTGTGAGACTGATGATGAGAAATCTGATGTCAATATCATTTTCATCTCTTTGTAGTTTACTTGCTTTTCTCTCTGGAAGCCTTAGGATATCTCTATACTTTGTATTCTGAAATTTCACATGAATGTACTTTGGAAAATGATCTTGTATTGTTTCTTTGATAATTCCCTCTCCTTTGTTCTCTCTCTCTCTTAAATTTCTATTAGTCAAATGTTAGATCTCCAGGATTACCTTCTATCTTATCTTCCTCTCTTAGTCTTTTTGTTCTAACTTTTTTTTTTGATATTTCCTCAAGTCTGTCTTCCAACTCTTCCTTTGAATTTGATCTCTGCAATCATATTTTTATTTCCAAGAGGTCCTTCTTGTCATCTTAATATTTATTTTCAAATATCCTATTTATGTTATATGAATGCAATGTTTTATTGAACCTAAGTATACTAATTCTAGAATTTTTTCTCTCTTTCTTTTTTTCTCTCTTATCTGTCTTTTCTTTTTTTTCTGTTTGTTTACCATTCTGTTTCATGTTGAAAGTGTTCCTCAAATATTTGCTAATCATTGATATTTTGTTTACATAGAAGAATGGTGCAATAAAAAGTGATTGGAAGCTTCATATACATAAGTAGGGAGTTGGCCATTTTGTTCAGAGGTTGCCTAAATGCAGAAATACAGATGATTTTTCTCTTGGATCTCTCAATTACTTTCAAGAATAACACTCTAATTTTTTGGCGCTCATGGAGGATATAGCCGGATACAGGGCATTCTGTACACCAGATTGAGGAGGACAATGGGAGGATTAGCTGTGTAAAAATGGCTTCACCCTCCCCTTTCTGCCTTATATCTCACCTGGTTTCTTTGTCAACCCTAGCATTTATGCAGGGAAGGCTGACTTTCTCTCATTGTATCAACCCACTTAAAGTATTCTAAACTGTGGCATCTCCTATTCTGCTTCATCAATTACCACTCCTTCATCTACTTTTTAGCTTTCATCCAACCTTCATCCATCAATGGTCCCTTTCCCATTTTCTTCATTGTTGTGAGTTTATATCTTTTGTGTTCCTTTGCTATCTTTGGATGTAGAGGCAATACATGCATATAATCTGTATTCCATCATTAACTCATTGAAATACATAAACTTATTTCAATTACAGCTTAAGCTCCCACTTTGCTATTTTTTCTATTTCTTCTGAGAGTAGAGCACTAAATAACATCATACTCACTGCTGTGATAGCATCAAACTGATTTGGCAATAAAAACCCATTTTACAGTGTAACACACTGAAACATTAGAACAATAAACTTGTATTTATTATTTTTTTTTTAAAGAGTTTCACTCTGTCGCCCAGTCTGAAGTGCAGTGGCACAATCTCAGCTCACTGCAACCTCCACCTCCTGGGTTCAAGTGATTCTTCTGCCTCAGCCTACAGTAGCTGGGACTACAGGCATGCACCAGCACACCCAGCTAATTTTTGTGTTTTCAGTAGAGGCAAGGTTTCACAGTGTTGACCAGGCTGGTCTTGAACTCCTGACCTCAGATGCTCCGCCCACCTCAGCCTCCCAAAGTGCTGGAATTACAGGCATGAGCCACCATGCCTGGCTTGTATATATTTCTTAAGCAGAATTTCTGTGCATAGTCCAAGAATGTCTGGTATGTTATTTAGTACAGTCAGTTCATTAGATACCTATTTGTTCCCTCAAGGTAGTGGTTCTTGAGATTCTTAAGCTGGGGAGCTTGTTAAAAATATATATTCTCAGGCCTCAGCTCTGCAGAAGGTCTGGGATAGGGCCAATACTCTGTATTTTGTAAGAGCCCCTTGAGTGAAAAGCACAACTATGGTTAAGAACCACTGACCACTGGAAGTCCAGCAACAGCGAGTTGGGCTATTCTCATTCCCTCTTTCTCCTCATTTCAATCCCTATTCTTGCTGACTCCAAAATACATGGCAATCTTTAATGGAAGAATTGTTCAGAGTAGTTGCTGCATGGCTAATCTAGCTTTTAAAACCATACTACCTCAATAAAAATCCACCAAGCAACGTAGAAAAAATTGACAGGTTCATCTGTGCTGAGTGAACTCACTTGCCCAAGGTCCCAAGGTCATCAATGTGAATGATGAAGATGGGAACAGTATTTGGATCAGTCACAGTATATAGTCGAAGCCAGATATTGCCATTCCTTATAAATGTCTAAATCTATAATGAGAAGGTAAGAAATTACATTATAGCAGTGCCAGAGCTTAGCTACCAGGAAAAAAAAAAAAAAAAAAAAAAAAACCTCTTCTGCAAGGATGAAACAAGAAAATTACTTGAATTTGAACAATGTGTGCTAGGTTTTATTGGGGCAGGGGGTTATTTTTAAAAAGGAAAATTAGAGTTCTAATTTAGACAACCCAACGTTATTGATTCACTGTCTTATTTAAAAATAAGGTCTGCAAGACCTTTTAGAACGTTGTCATTTTTACCCCCAGGGAAATCAGAAGTGAGCCAAGCAGAGCTGCTGATTTGTAGGTACTAGAAGTAGACCTTAGACATAGCTTCAATACTAGGGCAGGAATATGATAACAGTGGCTAACAGGACAGGTTTGGAGTCAGACATACCTGGGTTAAGAGGTTAGGCTCCATCACTTACTAGTTATGTGACCTTGAGAAAACTACTTAACCTCTCTAAGGTTCAGTTTTCCCCTTTTGTAGTTTCTTAAGTAAACCAAGCTCTCTCAAGCTTTGGTGCCTCTGTACAGGCAGCTTACCACTCACCTCCTTTAACTCTGATTAATTCTTACTCATCCTTCAGGTTACAAATCAACACTGCCTCTTCCTGCAAACCCTGATTTCCCCATCAGAATTAGCAAATGCTCTTCTGTGTCTCCTCCCCCAAGTGCCCTAAACATATCTTCAATCATAATAAATGTATGGTAATTGGTGGTTTATAAAAATTTGTTACTTCCATCATTTAGGAGCCAGAAAATTAGAGTGCACAGGCCAAATCTGACCCATGGCCTCTTTTAGTACAGCCTTCAAAATAAGAATGGTTTTTGCATTTTTAAAAGGTTAGTTACCAAAAGAAGTAGAATATGCAATTGAGATTGTACGTGTCCCTTAAAGCCTAAAATATTTATTATCTGGCTCTTTAGAGAAGAATTTGCTGACCCCTGCCATATATCATAAGTAATTTGAGGGCAAGAACTATGTTTTATTTCACTGTATGTCCTATTCCTAGCACAATGTCTGACGCATGAAAGGAATCACATGCTTGTTGAAGGGATGAATTAGTCAGTACAACCAGTATTTTCTACAGTATTATTTATTGTAGAATCAAAACACAACTTTATTTTGTCTCCCCATGTTCCAATAAAATGTACCCCATTGAGGTAACCTTTTCCTGACCATAGATGGAAGTTTGGATAGAGCACATGATTTTCTGCTCACTTCTTCAAAAATAAACAGTCCTTAGGTCACTCTAAGTCACAAAACACAACCTTGATTTAGTAATTAGAATGTATTCAGTCCAAGATATTACTCAACTTTCTCCATCTTCACTTAATGGTGAGGCTTTGTTTCCCACTAAGCCCATGCTAAGGCCTGTAGTGGTGGCTAAATGCCTTTGGAAAAGGAGGAGTGATAGGTTTTCTTCTTTCTCTCTCCACTTGCCAGTTCCTATTTGGATCCTCACCAGGGTGGAAATAGGAGTAGGGAAGAGAGGTAAGGGATTGGTCATTTCTTCCTTGGTGGAATGGCTTCCCACTCTCTGGGTCTTTGGCTCTTCTGTGGGTTCTTCAAAGGCCTCTGTCACTGAAGACCCCTCTACTGTAACTTGGGAGACCTGGGTTGATGCATTTTTATTTAGGTTGGTACTTAACAGCTCCTTCCTCAGCCTTTGGGAATCCAGCAGTTATCTTCAGCTTCCTGTTGATGGGGTCCTTTCTCCCCTCCAGATGGCCGCATTGAACAGGGTTCAGGATGACCTTACCCTGGCTCTCTTTCTTGCATGATCCCCATTTGGTTTCTAGGAAAAAATCAAACATCCCCTGCCCTAACAAACTCTGGGAATGAAGGCCAATCCCAACACAGTCAATCCTGTTCTCCTGCCAAGGGCCACATTAGCTTTCTCAGAATGGAGTACAGTTCCAAATCGCTCCCCTTCTACTGCAGGGAATAAATGTCAAGTTCTATGAGTGATCCAGTGAAGTACCCACTAGGCTTCTACTCCTGTGGAAGGTGGAGTGGAGTCTTGGCCTGGCAACAGCTCTGGGCAAAGAAACATTTTCACAAATTTCCCTTCCCACTCCCTTTCACAATCTGACTCCCTTTTATTTCTTGGAGCCTCTTCTGGAGTATTTCCATTGTAAATTTTGTATATGATGACCTGGCTTTGGAATTCCCAACTATTGTGGGTCATTAATTATGTCTTCCTGGAAACTCGAATTTAATATTGTGTTAAATAAGGCTTATTTTTTCTAATTATGTAAGAAAAGGTCAATTATCCATGGTGAAACCTCTGGTTAGATTCACGTAGCCTCATTGTCTATTGATATCTACCAATTTGAAGCAACAGCATTAAGATTTGTTGAGCATCTGTAGCGTATGCTTTAGAGATATTTTCTCATCTAACCCCCCTTTTATAATTTTCCCTCTTTTATAGGTGAAAACTGAGTCTCAGAGAAATTAATTGACCTTCTTAAGGTAATCCAGAAAATATAGATCAAAGCTAAGGTGAAAACCCAGGTCAATATGATTTCAAAGACCCTGATCTTTCTGCTATACCATGATCTTTGAACTTTTTCATCCAAAAATCCCGAATGGCAGAGAAGAGTGAACACGTATCCCTGGGGAAGTATGGGTGGCCCAAAGAGGCCCTACCACAAGTGTAAAATTTCTCTAAAATCTCATGCTTGATCATAAAAATGCATAAATTTGCATTCTATTCTGTGTGTTTATTATCATATAAACTATGTTTAAAATTATCACTTAAACTATCTACGTTCTCCTTGTCCAAATATTCAAGTAAATTCAATCATCTAGGAAAATACACTATGTTTATCCTGTACTTTCTTGAGCATACTACTGTAGTTTGAGAAACACCAGCATATTCCACAGTTTGAGAAAGAAGGTACTAGAATATGCTGGTAAGGCAAGGATTTCAAGGACAGCCTCAATTGATTTTAACCACTGGAATGAGGGAAATGGAAAGACATAGTATGCAAGAATTGTTAAGGAGAATTTGGGAATAAAGTGAAAATCACTGCAGTAATTTCTTAAAGATTGGCATGACACTATAATTAATACTATTGTGATTATTGATACCATAATAAAAATTGTTTATGATCATGTGTTGTTGGATGAGCAATGCACTAATGATGGTATAATATTGGAGAAGTAACATTGGGACATTCAGCTGTTCTTAACCTGGAGGCCATGGAGCACAGAAATTTTATCCCTATTTCTGAGGAAGGGGAAGGTCTGTAGCTTTCCTTAGACTCTCAAAGGAATCCAAGATCCACAAAGATTAAGAAACACTGCTACAGAGAAAACAGCAGAGATTTTGGGATCACATGGCCTTGTTCTCCAGTGCTGGCTCTAGGCTTACTAAACTACATGATATACTTTCTCTCTAAGTCTCAGGTTCCCCATTTGTAAAATGAGGATCATAATACCCAAATCACAGGGCTGTTGTGAGGATTAAATTAAGTTCTTTATGTTAAATGTTTGATATAGAGTAGGCACTCAAGAAACGTTAATCTCCTTCCTCCTGCCACAATATGTAAAAGATGATAAGGGCCTTTGACTACAAATGGATGAATAACTTATAGTGGAATATATACCCTGGCTAGATATGACTACTTAGAAAATGTTCTACTTTAATCTTAGAACCCCAACCAGAAACTCAGGCTGATGTTACATTTCCACAAAATATTTAAATCAAATGTATTAAGTTGGTGCCTAAAAAATCTTTTTCAAACCTAGAAATATACACATGCAAACATTCTGTTTGTAAAGATGGAATTATTTAAGCACTATCACATCCTGGAATGTTTGGTTTCAATTCTAAGCATATATTACTGTAAGACCCAGGATGAAAAACCTCTTGAATTTAGCTAGAGATTTGATCCTCTTAAATGACATATGAAGCAGCTTTTATAAAGATAGGGAGCCTCAGCTAGTCTTACAGATTCATGAGGAAGCCTCTAAGGGGTTAAAGTAGAAAGCTTATACAAACTTTGCTTCTCAGCCTCTCTTATCTCCTCCCTCTCCACACCGCTGAGACAGAGCAGAGCTGAATCACTACCTTTCCCGCATACTCTAAACTGTTGCCTGCGAAAGAGGAACTGGGGACTTAGACTAATTCAGGCTGCTTTCATTCAAATGTTCCAGAGGGCACACACACATCCAAACAGACTTCTCTTTGCTTTTCAGAGCTTATAAGGAGCAGGCATCTGAAGCTGCACTCTGAAGCTGTAAGTGGTAACTGACATTTTAAGTAACATTTTAAGTAATAGAAGGTGTTTTTCTGTTTTTCTGCAAAGGGATTACTCTTTAGGAAGATGAAAGAGAAACCATACTTTGCATGAACATAGTCCTGCTTCTTTGGCAAAACAAGGCTTTCATTCTATGTTCCAGCTATTCCAGAGATGTTCCTGAACAAGTTACCTGTTGGTGAAAGCTTCAAAAGGGATACTTAAGTGACCAATCCTATTCATACTGTGGGCCAGGAGAGGTAAGAAATATTTGGAAATATTACGATGTTAATCCCGGTGAAGTGAGAGGCATTATTTTATTTATCGGCAGGTGTGACAAATAGGCACCATCTGCTGCAGAAGATACAGCAACTCCTACTTGAGCGAGCTTATTACTTAATGGCTCCAGCCACTGAAGAAGCATTTGCTGCTGGAATCGTTTTTTCACAGGGTGATGTGGAACTAGACACACTTCTCTCTCTCAGTTTTTTCTCCTCAGCTAGGAAGATAAATATAAATAGAATGTATTAACTCTTAAAAGCTGATATCAGTTGATAGTTTTGAATTTCTTTTCTGAATTGTTCCACTGAAGGTTTTCCTTAACTACTTGATGAGATTTCAGCTCTGGAATTATATAGGCAGGTGTCATGCAGAAAAATGTAAAATTACCAGTGGGTTGTTCCCAGAACCTTATCATGTTAAAGAAAATAAAAGTAACTACTAGGAGCACCCTGAGAACCAAACAGAGATCAGGGTACACTTATTTTATATCTCCAGCACCTAAAAAAGTGTCTGGAACTTGATTGGCACTCAATAAATGTTTGCCAAAGAAATGTTAATCTGATTTTGGAGGCCTGTGGAGAACTTGGTTGCTCTTGCTACAAATAAGTTTCACTCAAAGAATCCCTCTCGGGCTTGATTGATGCAGAAAGTTATTCCCTTATCATTCTGGGGAGCAAAATTCATGATCTAGGAGTGTATGTTATTTTGCTCCTATGAGGTTATATACACTATGCTGATGTCAAAAATTAGTGAGAACTTGACATTTCAATGTTTATACTAAAAACACAAGACTTTTTGTTACTAAGATTTTATTTACCAAATTAATGACAAAATATGCAATTAGAAAACCAAAGGTGCATATTCATGTCACTTGTGAGTATTTTGGTTTACATTAGAAGTGAAGTAAACCAGATGTACAAGTTAATATTGGACATTGACCAGTTATTAAACACTTTCTCTTTTCCCTTTCCCCCAAACTTCTCTTCCTCTTTTTTTGCTCCATTCTTTCTCAATATTACCTCCTTCCCTTCCTTCTCCCCCTCATAATCACTCATTTCCTGCCCCATCTTATCTCCATCCCACATCCCTCATAGTCTTTACTCATTTCTCACATTTCTTTCTTTTCCTCCTCTCTCCCTTCCCTCTTCCTCTATCTTCCTTTCTTTCTTTCCCTAATTCCTTACCCCCTTTTCCATTCCTCACTCTCCTCCTTTTCCCTCAACAGCTTTCAATCACTTTTACAAAGACTAGAAACTGATTTTTATTGCATGAGCTTTCCAGAAAGAACTGCAGGATACTAAAATAATTCTTTCCACAAAAAATCATATCCTTCAGAATTAATAGAATTTGAATTCCTTTTGAAATTGCATGGTTGTTTTTCTTTCCAAATGGTGCAGAGCTTTTAACAGAGCAATCATATTATCTGTGCAACTCATTAATTAGTTAGCAAAGAGAGCCATGACAATCCTGTTTGAAAAGCTTTTATGAGAAGTAGTCACAGATATAGGACCAGAGTAACAAAAAAGAGGATTTCCTAATATCTAACGTTGCATTTATTCATTTCAAAGTCCTTAATGGATTTAAGGAATTAAATTGATAAACCTCCCTAAATTGACCAGACTGTTTGGTCTCCCGAAGACTGTAGAGGCTTTAAGAAATATGTGATTAGCTAGTTTTCCAAACTTTCAAAGGAAATGTTTAAAGAAATTGACAAGGTTAGCTGAGATCATTGTTCTCTAAGCTTCTCCAAGCTTCATAGAATTCTAATAAATATTGAATAAGTATTCAGACCTAAGGAAGATTCAGAGTCAATTGTGTAGGAGGCAGAAAATGTAGTATCAATTGTTATTGAAAATTATCTGCAGACACAAGTGAACTTTCTAAAATTTAATTTAAAATCTAACCAATCCCATGTAGTTTTCCTTTAAAATCTTGTAACTGAAATAGCACTTCATGAAGAGAGTTTCTAACAAGGTGATAATTTCTTAATTCTAGATTATAATCTGGAATTTAGTCTCCAATAAGAAATTGAACAGTGGGGGAAGGGAATAAAAAGAAAAGAGAAAGTTATATTCTTCTCCAAGCTATATTAGCAATCGGATCAGAGATAAGACTGTGCCTCTCTTTGAACTGTAAATGTTAGGTACATTTCTTCATCATACCCATGCATTTATTCAATAATTCTTGAGCAGCTACTGCAAGCAAAGCTGTATCAGGGATAGACTGCTGAAAATGATCCTCAAGAATTTTGTAAGTTACAATTTAGAAGAAAACATATCAACTAGATACCTGCAATATTTGTCAAATTTAATTCCTCTAAGAGAAATACAAAGCATTGTGGAAATTAGGGTTAGGGTGGAAAGTCAAGATCAGCTTCATGAACTAAATCTTGAAGAATTGTAGTATTTCCTCACCCAGAGATGTGTGAAGATAGAAGGAACTGGTCAAACAAAAATGTGGAAGCAGGGAAGTAGGTAAGAGTGAGCATTACAGTTTTATTGGAAAGAGGGTAATGGAAGGAATTAAGGTAAGCCAGGGCCAAGGCATTGACAGCCTTAAATGTCAAGCTAAGGAGAATGGAGTAAAATCCAAAGGCAACATGTAGACTTCCAACATTTTATTTCTTTTTCCTTTTTCATTCCACTAGACTAGTTATAAATAAATTGTATAGTAATAAAATATAGAATAAAATAGCAAGTTGAAGATTACACAGTTTGGTATATTTTTTATAAAGTTCAAAACAAATAATACTAACATCGTTTAGGCATAGGGGTGTGTGTGTGTGTGTGTGTGTAAATAAAAGGAAGGTAATGAGTCACAAAATTCAGAATATTGGTTATTGGTTATTTCTGGAGAAGGATAGGTAAGAGGATGAGATGGGAGGAGCATAGGTAGATGTCGTGTAAATTATTAGTTATTCTCAATCTTAAAGTTGGTAGATGTTTGCCCACAGATGTTTGTCCATGGGTGTTCAATATATTATTAAATAAGTGAATAAAAAGAGCTCAAATTTACCAGTGATGACAATGTGCCATAAACCAAGGAGTATGACTTACCTGATTCTGTATACTTGGGGTCCAAAAGGGAGTATAAAGATACTAGAATAGTGTAGAGGTTTCTCCCACTTGACTTGCACTAGCAGTGAGTGTTTATTTTTCCTTACCCTTCTTTTCTGGAAGGCAGGTGAAAAAGTAACTTAGGAGATACATGGGTGAAAAATCCATTAAGCTCTTATCTCTAGGTTACTACCATTCTTAAGGAAAGGAGCTGCTGGGAGAAGTGGTGAGGAGGAAGGCCAGTGAGACTGACAACCTATATATGAAGCACTCTGAATACATAGTGAAGCAATTGAGCTGTGTGGGCTGTCTGGGACTGTTAGAGTCCTGATTTGAAGTGCTCTGTTCTATTTGTAGACTGGTGTTTCTCAGCCCTGGCTGCATATCAAAATCACCTGTGGAGCTTTTAAGCAATACAGATGTTCATGCCCCATACAGAGCTACTGAATCAGAAACCCTGAAGAAAAGACCCAGTTATATATATTTTCAAAAACATACTAAGTAATATTAAAGTAGAGCAAGGACTGAAAAACATTCCCTGAAGAGTGTGCTTAGAAACAAGTGGGTAACTTGTTTCAAACATTGATTCCAGGATACTGTCCCCAGAGATTCTAATCTAAGAAAAAAGGGAAAGGGTCTGGGAAAGGGTCCGTGTTTTTATTCATAATAAACACCCTGTAGGTGATTCTGATGAAGGCACTTCCCTTGACCACTCTGAGAAACACTGCCCCAAAGGTTCCAAAACACTAGGGTTTCAGGGTGATTAGTCCATATATTTGCTTCCTAAAACTGCCATAAAAAATTGTATAAGCTAGGTGACTTAAAACAACAGAAATTTATTCTTTCAGGCCTGGAGTATAGAAGTCTGGAATCATGGCATCAGTAGGGCCGTGCACTCTCTGAAATCTGTAGGGTAGACTCCTTCCTTGCCACTTCGAGCCTCTGGTATTTGCTGGCAATCCTCAGCATTCCTTGGCTGGTAGATGCACCACTCTAATCTCTGCCTCTGTCTTCTGCTTGTATGCCTCTGTCTTCTCCTCTTCTTGTGAGAACACCAGTCATTATATTAGGGCCAACCTAATATATTGACTTGATTCCATCTACAAGGTCTTATTTCCAAATAAGGTTACATTCACAGTTACTGGAGTTTAGGACTTCACCATTTTTGGGGGGTGACACTATTCACCCATAACACTGTTTTAAATGCTTTTAAAAGTACAGCCTCCAAACAACCAATAAGATAGATTAGCTGTATTCTTTAGCTGGGCTATCTAGAGAGAAAAAACAATAATTAACTCTCAAAGCTCAGTATACAAAGAAATACTTGAAAGGCTTGTGTTTAGTATGCGTATTCCTGGGCCTTGATCCCAGCTAATCAAATATCAAAATAGCTGCACTTGTAAGGATAGAAAAATGTTTCCTAGACCATTGCTCCAAATATAGTGGAAAGATATTATATATCTCTCTCTCTCTCTCTGCTCTTGTTTCTTATGAACCAAGTTATTCTGTATGGGCAATAGGAACAGTAAGCAGGTAGACTAAGAAAAATATGGATTATGGAAAGTATAGTAACGTGGGCTAGGGAATACAAACTTTAAGCTGAAGTGTTCCCAAGCTGGGGGCAAAATTCAATATGATAGGAAAAATAATGTGACCGTTGGAGCTATTTCTATGAACTCTCCTTGGGTATGTTAACAACAGACAGAACTAGGCTACATTGTTAGCAATCTACTATTGCACATAGAAGTGTGACAGGTGATGGTTGTTTATATTGTTTATTTTAGCCACCCATATTCAAAATTCATGTTTAGAATGGCAAGTTAAATCATTTTGGAAGACTTCAGCAGTGAATAGTTGACCCTATTTACACAGTGGAATGTTTTTGCCAATAAAAAGAAGGTTCTAGCTTTACCAACGATAAAGCATGCAGTGCATTTATTTGCTCAGAATAGGCATACCCTCTCAATTCCTTCTGGTCTATAACTATTGGGGGGAAATGTCTATTTCCACTCTACAGATCTAAATGAGAGAGATAGAACAAAAAAAGAAAATTGGAGGAAGCCTGCATTCCTGAATGTTCCCCTGATTCATTAAAGTAACAATTGTCACTGGGATCTGGAGATTGAAAAACAATTCCTTAAACTTAGGATTCCTTTGTTTCAGTGCTAGGCTTTCTGGTTCAACTAGATCAGTGGTTCTTAGTCCTGGCTGCGCTTTGAAGTTACTTGGAAAAGACTTTATTGCTTTTCTTCTATCTCTCTTATTTAGATATGTGGGGTAAAAATAGACATTTTTCCCCAGTGTTTTTAGACCAGAAGGAATTGAGAGGGTGTGCCTATTCTGAGCAAATAAATGCATCCTTCATCATTGGTATAGATAGAACCTTCTTTTTGTGGGCAAAAGCATTCCACCATGTAAATAGGGTCAACTATTTACTGCTGAAGTCTTCCAAAATGATTTAACTTGGCATTCTAAACATGAACTTTGAATATGGGTGGCTATTTTTTTTTTTAATAGCAGTGCTTGGGTCCCATCCCAGACCAATAAAGTCTGAATCTCTAGAGTGGTGCCCAGGCCCCTACTGTGGAGATTATGATTCAGGAAGTCTAGGTTTGGGCCCAGGATCTGTATATTAATAAGTACCCCCAAGTAAATCTTATGATCAGTTGGTTTAGAAAACGTTGTTCTAATATAGGTTAGTCATTAGCTGCTGTTTACTGATGTGATTTTTTTCTTTAACCTTTTAAAAGCTATTTTCTACAGAGAAGAAAAAGCATTCTAAAATTAGTTTGCATATAGCAAACCATTTTGCAATTTATCAATTTATTTTTATTTCAAAATACATTGCCATTTGTTTTTCTTAGAGATAACTGAATCTTTTATTTTTGTTTTTGATTTTCAGGAAAATCAATATCTGTTGGAGAATCTGAAGAGCCAAATCTCCTGAGCCTAGGCCTACTGCTGTCAGCATCTCTGAGACCTCTCTCACCTGAGAATTACCAGGTCTGACAACACTTTCCCTCCAGCCTACAGTGAGGGATGTCAACAAAGCTACAGAAAACTCACATTCTGTAGACTTACAAGCTGTGCAGCTGGGCAGGAACCTTACAATCTCCATCCTTAGGGAAGGTTCAGAAATACAGATAAACGGGGTGAAAACTCAGATAAGCTGAGCCTGATATATACAAAAGCCTTCAGATAGTCTCCTCGCAGAAGAGCCCAATTAAGTCCACATAATTAGTCCACACATCTAGATTAGGTATAGGCAAAACGAGCCTTTTCTCCATCTACGAAAACAGAGCAAAACACTGATATAATACTCTAAAAGATTCTTGTTCTAATAACAGTATTATAAAGCAGTTTCACCCATATTTATTTTAATCAGTATAAAAGTAGGAGTGTGGAAAATAAAACATTACTTGTATTTTTAAAAATTGATTAAGAAGCTCTGATAAAACCTATTGGAGGGGCGATTGCTGTGCTGAAGGATAGAGAGGGTGTTGCAATTGTCAAATAGCATCACCATTTTCTGCTTGTGTGCTATTGCCTTAGCTCTGAGAGTGATTGGTTTTTACCAGATTGTTAGAACACGTCCAATAGATTTAGAGACAGTCTAAGTGACTGTGAAATGCCTCAAGGGCAGTAGAAATCAAATAGAAACACATACTAACTCAAGTCTTGAGTGATGATGGAGGCGCATTTTAAATACCATGGAAATCTCACTGGGCGTGCCCATTTTCCCACTCTGGCAACAGAGGTTGATACCTCTTCAGACAAGTATTCCAACCTGTACATGTATGTGGGCTTATTCCTGAGCCTCCTGGCCATTCTCCTCATCCTGCTCTTCACAATGCTCCTTCGGCTCAAACATGTCATCTCGCCCATCAACTCTGACAGCACAGAAAGTGTTCCTCAGTTCACAGATGTAGAGATGCAGAGTCGAATCCCCACTCCCTAAAGCCAGGATGAAGGTGAGCTTTAGTGGATCTGGGTAAACCCTTATATATGGATGTCCAGGAGAGCTTGCTTTCTTGCATGAAGCTTCCCATGTAGGGAATCCACAAGTTGTTCATTTAACAGCAAGCTGTTCATGTTTTCTTTGTGTTATTCTTCATCTTTACTCTGCTTGTGGGCTATCTAAAACGTTTAAGACTCACTCTGAAAGGAATATAGGAAAAGACAGCTGGTTGGGAGGGCTGGTTTCCATAGTAACCAAACAGTGCCTGGGCCTTGCACAAACCTCAGACCACAGAAATTCATGCGCAGTGGTTGTAAGAAGCACAGGGTCCCTGGAAGCTCCAAAAACAAACAAAGAAGATTTGCTTTTGAAAGGGCTGATCCTTCAAAGAGGATATCCCAAGAAAAGGACAAGTTCTAATTTAGTGTTTTGATCCTAGAGAATCACCTCTATACAAAGTTAAATTATGTCAGAAGTTAATGGAAGAGAAGCCCTTTCCCTAAACAGCAGTGATTTGATCATCTTAGGCAATCCGGTTTGTTTCAAATGAAAGAAGAGATTTAAAGAAACTGTTTCAGTTTAGAGAGCAAGTTTTCAGAAAGAAGTTTCTAGTAAACAAACTCATCTAGAGAGAGAAAAATGTGCATATTATATCCATATTAATTCTATTCATGCAGCTTCTTTGTCTTTTTCTCTCTCCCTCTCACACTCTAGGATAGAGTTGCACACAAATATGAGCTTTGTTTAAAAGGTGCCTTTGCAAACAAGACTCAACTGTACTTTAGAGCAGAAATAAAATGATGTTGGTATTCTGTTGTTGAATATGGCTTTGGACAAAACATTCAAGCCTTCTGAGTCCCAGGGTTTTTGTGCTGAAAAATGATTAGAGAGCTATTTAGTCATCACTATACTCTTTAGATCTGAGCATAAAAAAAAGAGAGAGAGACAAAGGAGGAAAGGACTAAACAACATCCTCCAACAAATCCTTATTGAGATCAATGTCCTCAAATGTCACATTTGTATTTCCCAGAAAATGTTCCTCCCTTCCTGATCCCTGCCAAAAGATGAAGTGTTTCACTTATTACCTATAAGAGAATTATATTTTGAAAAATTCCATTCTCATAAGTAGCCCTAGTATGCCAGTAGTGTGGAGAGAATTTAATTTTTAAAACTAACTTTTCAAAGGGAAACCAAAGGAGATGAGTACCATTTACAAATCAGAATTTAAAAAACTGGTCATATTCTTGCCACCAAAGGACGAGTACACCTGTGTTAAATTTTACTTGCTAAAACAAAAAATAAGTTATCTTTTGTACCTAAAGGGGGGTCATCAAATTTCACAGAGTACTCTCTCAGGAACTGTAATGATGGTAAGAGAGAAATCAAATAGATGTTAGATTAATGCCACCTCCACCAGAAATGTAGCTCTTTGTAGTCTGTAACCAATTTAGATTGGCCCTTTTTCTCTGATCTAAATCTAGATTGGTAGTGAAATTCCCAAGTGCTTTCCACTTTTATACACAGTCATTTGTCAATGCTCCTCTCTCCAAGGGGCTGCAAGTGTGAAATCCCTACATGCAGAGCTAAACTTAGCAGTAAGACTGACTCTGCCACACCTGTTACAACTGTGCACTGTCAGAGATGGGAGCTGCACTCTGCATCATTCAAAACAAATTAGCAGATAGGCTAAGACTTGGATAGGGCATATATTTTTCAAAACTCAAAGTGACTCACATTATTACACCTTGATGGTCTAAGTTGTGTGTTTATTCAACACCCAGATTCAGTGGACCCTTTAAAATTTGAGCTTTGGCAGCCAAACATGGACTTCCTCAAGACTGGCAACACCCCCCCTCCAGAACTTCTTAAGAACACACATCTTCCCTCATTCCAGGCTCTCACTTTTGTGCCCACAGTATTTGAATGCACTTTACATTTGAGAAGTCAGTGGCTGGCTAAATGAAGGAACTGATTATACTTTCAACAGCAGTGAATAGCAAGATACAAAATACCTTGTTGCTGAATCTAATAGAGATACAGACTGAAAATCTATTCTCTGCCCATCTGACCTTCCCAACCCAAATTTCAGGAGAATAAAACTGCTTTTTAAGCACTGACTTGGATGAAGATTTCTAATTTATGATTAGGTTACTCACATGGAAAACTATCAACCTCTTTCATCACAACTACCCCATGGGGATCCAGCTCGTCACTGAGCATTAACCAAAGCACACAGCACAGATTACACCAAAATAGCAGCATAACACCCCCCACCCAATTTCCAGTGACAATATAAATGGAAATGCTTTTAAGCAGATGTGTCATTATAATGACTCACATGGTATTTAATCTTTAGGAAAATAAACTGAATGTTTTTATTGTAGCAAACTTACTGTAAAGAAAAGAATTTTTACATTATATTTATTCCCCAATGTATTAACATATATTACTGCTCAAAAAGGCAGCCAGAGTAACCAGACGGCACAATTTGAATTTATCCTTCTATTCGAAATGCTGACTTGGATTGCCTTCCCCCACCCCCACTCCCTCCAAAATTGCACATTAGCCAGTATATAAACAGGTAGGTTATTTATATATATGTGTACTCTGTTTTAAGATGAAAAGAACAATTCTTCACTTTTTATTAGCTGAACCATATGAAATTGCCATTTGATAGGCCAAAAAATGCTCAAATATCACCAACTTCATAAAATTCAACCTAATACAAAGACTCACCACATTAATTCTGTAAATAGTAAATTCTCCTAATATGTTTAAAAAGAATCCAATTTTTTAAAATATATTTTGCATATATTTCAGAATCATGGGTTGTACAAAATGAAGTATATTGTAAAAGGCTTATGTATTATGTATTATGTATTAAGTAGGAAATATTAAGGTTAATCAAGTAAAGATGAATTCATCCAGCCTAACCTTTCCATCCATGCCAAATCTGAAGCTTTGGACTCATAACTGAGTTTGACTGCTGCAGATCCCACCATACTTACTAAGTAGGTATAAGGGATCCATTTTAATACATTTCAATGGTTATATTTAGTAATACATTTTATTCACTTGCATTTGTACAAAAGAACTTTTTTTTAACAAAATGAAGAATTGTGTGGAATAAAAAATTGAGTTTCTTTTGTTTGAAATTATTAATGTTTGAAATAGATTCATATTGTATAAAAATGGAAATATATTTGCATTAATATTTAGCATGTCATTTTTGATCCCTGGACAATAAATAATGACTGGTTTGATGATAACACGTATCTATTGTCTGAAGAATGTAAAGAGAATGACATTAGTCTCTTCATCCCGGTATAAATTGTAACGACTGCACATTTGTGGGACTTTTATAATTTTGAGGTCTCATTTTTTCTTATTCTCTGATTCTCTCTCCACTTGTCAAGTGATTGGTGCATTTGTTTGTTTAGTAGTAAATTGTCAAAAAAAAAGAATGACTTCCAGCTGTCAATAAGAGTGACCTGAGGGAAGATTGAGATAAGGTGTCTAAAGTGCCAATAGCCTTCCACATTCCTCTGCTGATAGGATTTTTTTTTTTTTTTTTTTTTTTTTTTTGAGACAGGGTCTCACTCCAATCACCCAGGCTGCAGTACAATGGCCCGATCATGGATCACTGCAGCCTCATCTTCCCAGGATCAGGCGATCCTCTCACCTTGGCCTCCCAAGTAGCT
Source organism: Homo sapiens (assembly GCF_000001405.40). Lineage (NCBI taxonomy): Eukaryota > Metazoa > Chordata > Mammalia > Primates > Hominidae > Homo > Homo sapiens. The sequence goes on from NC_000023.11 coordinate 111,522,832, forward strand.
GGGACTACAGGCGCATGCTAATTTTTTTTTTTCTTTTTTTGGTATTTTTAGTAGAAATGAGGTTTTGCCATGTTGGCTAGGGTGGTCTCCAACTCCTGGGCTCAAGTGATCCACCTGCCTCGACTTCCCAAAGTGCTGGGATTACAGGTGTGAGCCACCAAGCCTGGCCAGATTTTTTTTTTAATGTAGCTTCCATTTTGTACTTTCTTCATTTGATCCTCACAGTAACCCTGTGAGTAGTGAGTGGAGATAATATGAAGTCTGCTTGACAAAAGAAAAAACAGGTACAGAGAGATTTGTGAGGCATTCGTGGTTACACAGAGGCAGAGTCAAGATTACACTGTAAGGCTTTGGACTCCTGTTTTAATACTCATTCCACCATGCTTTTCTTTCTGAGCACTGAAGAGATATTTCAGAGCTATTCATTCTATAACACTCCAAGTTCTGCAAACAACAATTGAGCTCTGTGGGTGATTAACTCCTTGATTCCAATAATTCAAAACAAATTAATACAATTCTGCCATCTCTTCAAATCGTTGTGTAGTGTGGCAAGACACATTCCCAGACTGAGGGAAAGTTTGCACAAAGGCAACCCCTGCAGCTTTGATTTACATAAATGAAGAGAATAGACAGTAATATGGATGAATTATTACCCACAATGCAAATCCCAATCATCTGATCATTGGATTTAATGTTCACAGTCAATGCAAGTTCTTCATATGTATGATTGCTATCTCTCCCCTTGCCTCCCAGAAATGAGAACACCTCCCAGAAATGAAAACACCTCATCTTAGGTAAAGATAATGTTGTTCTTTAAAATTATATGATGCCTTGAGTATACACAGCAATTCCATTTGCCCTCTAGAATAAATGCTATGACATTAAAAAAGGAAAGAATTACCAACTAAAAAAAAAAGCTTCCTGTAGCCACAAAGAATGAATTGTTGAAGGAGACAAAATATGGAACATATGTGAAGTAGAAAAAGAAAATACACATAATAAATATAAGTGAGGAGATTTTGAAGAATAACTTGAGCAATTCCCGGTATTCCAATTCATTCAAGTGTCTATTGATTAAATCAAACATATATGTGGAGGAGAATAAAAGAGACAGATTACACAACGTACTGGGCTAGGCTCTGCAGGAATCTAAAGTTTGCAATCAAAAAGTTTGCAATCTGGCAAAAATGACAAACAGAAATTCATCCATCCATCCATTCATTCATTCAGTAAACATTTATTTAGCACATAGTCTGTGTCCTGGTGAAGGTTATAGCCTACTAGGATGGATAACACCAACCACATAATTGCAAGAATACTGTGTTATAAAGAAGTATAAGGTGCTTGGGCACTTATAAAGTGGAAGGGATGCTTCCTAACCTGGCTTAGAGTGGCAGAGAAGACGTTACTATATATATATGTGTGTGTGTGTGTGTATATATATATGTGTGTGTGTGTGTATATATGTGTATATGTGTGTGTGTGTGTGTGTGTGTATATATATATATATATATATATATATATATATATATATATGCTAAAGTTTAGTGAATGAGTAAAAGGAGAGAGTAAGGCAAACATGCCATAGAGAGAATGACAGGAGTAAAGATTCTGAGATCAAATACACTTGACACACTTGAAGAAGCACAGTGAGTGAGGGAGAGAAGTCTTCAGAAGCCTGGAAAGGTTTACAGGAACCAGAACATGCAGGCCTTCGTGGGCAGTGCTATAGACTTTTTACTTTATTATAAGTGTAGAGAAGAGAACACTGGCAGCAATATAGAGGATGGATTGAAAAAAGGCAAAGGAGGTTGCAGGGAGGCCAGAAGAAACGCTATGGCAGTGATTCAGGCGAAAGAAGAAATGGATATCTTTGCGATAGATTTAGGAGATAAAATCAGCATTACTTGACCATGAATTGGCTAAGTGGGGTAATTAAGAAGAAAAAGTCTAGAATGATTTACAGATTTCTGGTTTGAACAAGGATCTGGTGACTCTATTCACTGAGATATAGAACAATGGAGGAAAATCAGATAAAGAGATGTATTCAATTTAGGACATTTTAGTTTGAAGTGCCTCTGAGACATCCAAGTGTAGATGTTAAGTAGGCAGTTGAAAATATGGATCTGGACCTCTGAAGAGAGGTTTGGGCTGGAGTCATAAATTTAGGAGCTGATAAAGGATGAGATTACCCAGGGGAGGGGTTATAAATAAAACTGAGGAAATGACAATAATGTATGTAAAATATACCCAAACATGCTCCTCCCCATTTTTGGAGCGTAGGCCACTTTTCAAGCAGATTGAAAAGAAGATTAGGTTTAAGGGTTCTCAAACTAAGGTACATTGCCCAGAGAAACTTGCAAGCAGGAGAAGTAAAAGAGTGTGTCAGAGTCAAAGTCCTTGGGAGAGAGGTAAGACTCCAAGCTGGGGAGACCAAATATAAACATTAAGTACAAAGATTAAGAGCAAGACCATAAATAAGAGGTAAATAAAGCCAATAATTAGAAGTCAGAAACCAATGGAGCAGTGTAGGTACACGTCAGAAGACAGCCCTGAGAGGTTGCAGTGAATAAGGGTGACGATGAATATTGATGCAAAAGTCCTCAACAAAATACTAGCGAACTAATTTCAACAATACATTAAAAAGATCACTCATCACGACCAAGTGAGATTTATTCCAGGGATGCACGGATGGTTCAATATACACAAACCAATGAATGTGATACATCATAATAATAGAATGAAAGCCAAAACCATATAATCATTTGAATTGATGCTTAAAAAGCATTTTATAAAATTCAACATCCCTTCATGATGAAACCCTCAAAAACTGGCTATAGAAGGAACATACCTCAACATGAAAAAAGCCATATATGACAGACCCACAGCTAGTATTATATTGAATGGGGAAAAACTGAAAGCCTTTCTTCTAAGCTTTGGAACACGACAAAAATGCCCACTTGCACCACTGTTACTGAACATAGTACTGAAAGTCCTAGCTAGAGCAATCAGACAAGAGAAAGAAATAAAGGGCATCCAAAATGGAAAGAAGGAAGTCGAATTATATCTGTTTGCAGACGATATGATCTTCTATTTGGAAAAACCTAAAGAGACCACCAAAATCTATTAGGATTTTTAAACAAATTCAGTAAAGTTGCAGGATACAAAATCAACATGCAAATATCAGTAGCATTTTTACATGCTAACAGTGAACAATCTGAAAAAGAAATCAAGAAAGTAATCTCACTTACAATAGCTACAAATAAAATTAATCACCTAAGAATTAACTAAAGAAGTGAAAGATCTTCTGCAATGAAAATTACAAAACACTGATGAAAGCAATTGAAGAGGACACACAAAAAAATGGAAAGATATTCCATGTTCATGGATTGGAACAATCAATACTGTTAAAATGTCCATACTAACCTCAGCAATCTATAGATTCAATACAATCCCTATCAAAATACCAATGACATGCTTCACAAAAATAGGAAAAAAAATCCTAAATTTTATATGGAACCACAAAAGACCCAGAGTAGCTAAAGCTATCCTGAGCAAAAAGAACAAAACTGGAGGAATCACATTACCTAACATCAAATTATACTATAGAGCTAGAGTAACTAAGACAGCATGGTACTGGCATAAAAACAGACACATAGACCAATGGAACAGAATAGAGAACCCAGAAACATATCCACACACCTACAGTGAACTCATTTTTAACAGAGGTGTCAAGAACATGTGTTAGAGAAAGAACAGTCTCTTCAATAGTGGTGCTGGGAAAACTGGATATCCATATGCAGAAGAATGAAACTAGATCCCATATCTTGCCATATACAAAAATAAAATAAAAATGAATTAAAGAATTAAATCTAAGACCTTGAATTATAAAAATGCTACAGGAAAACATTGGGGAAACTCTCCAGGACATCTGCCTGGGCAAAGATTTCCTGAGTAATACCCCACAAGTAGAGGCAACAAAGCAAAAGTGGAGGAAACGAGTCACATCAAGCTGAAACTTCTGCACAGCAAAGGAAATGATCAACAAAGCGAAGAGTGACAGAAAATATTTGCAAACTACCCATCTGATGAGGGATTAATAACCAGAATATATAAGAAGCTCCAGCAACTCTATAGGGAAAAGCCTAATAATCCAATTTAAAAATGGGCCAAAGATTTAAATACACAGTTCTCAAAAGAAAACACACAAATGACAAATAAGCATATGAAAAGGTGCTCAACATCATTGATAATCAGAGAAACGCATATCAAAAGTACAATGAGATATCATTTCATCCCAGTTAAAATGGCTTTCATCCAAAAGACCAGCAATAACAAATGCTGGTGAGGATGTGGAGAAAAGGGAACATTTTTACACTGTTAGTGGGAATGTAAATTAGTACAACCACTATGGAAAACAGTTTGGAGGTTCCTCAAAAAAATGAAAAACTGACCTGCCATATCATCCAGCAATCCCACTGCTGGGTATATACTCAAAAGAAGGGAAATCGGTATGTCGAAGAGATATCTGCACTCACATGTTTGTTGCAGCACTGTTCACAATAGCCAAGATTTGGAAGTGACCTAAGTGTTCATCATCAGATGAATGGATGAAGAAAATGTGGTGCTTATACGCAATGGAGTACTATTCAGCCATAAAAAGAATGAGATCCTGTCATTTGCAACAACATGGATGGAACTGGATGTCGTTACGTTAAGTGAAATAAGCCACGTACAGAAAGACAGACACCACATGTTTTCACTTATTTGTGGTATCTTCAAACCAAAACGATTGAATTCATCGACATAGAGAGTAGAAGAATGGTTACCAGAGGCTGGAAATAGTAGTTGGGGGATGAGGGGGAGGTGGAGATGGTTAATGGGTTGAAGAAAAATAGAAAGAATGAACGAGACCTAGTATTTGATATCACAAGACCTAGTATTTGATAGCACAACAAGGTGACTATATCAATAAAAACTTAATTGTACATTTTAAAATAACTAAAAAAGTATAATTGGATTGTTTGTAACACAAAGGATGAATGCTTCAGGGGATGAATACTCCATTTTTCATAATTTTGTTATTACATATTACATCCCTGTATCAAAATTTCTCATTTACCCCATATGTACATACACCTACTATGTACTCACAAAAATTAAAAATGTTAAAAAATCGGAAAAAGAAATAGAAATGAACAGTTATTTGAAGAATTTTTGAGCATGAACCAGAGATTAAGTGTAAAGAATACAAAGTAGAAAGAGGTCTATCAACATGGCGAGAGGCTGGAGACCAAGCAGAAGAGTAACCAGTGAAGGTTCTTTCCTCAGAAGAATAGCAATGGTGAATGCTCAATTCTAAGTCTTTTGCTGTGATGCCCTAAAGTATAACCCTCCACCATAACTGAACCTTCACTAAAGTCTGAAACTCACATAGCCTAGAGATAGCAGTACTTTGGTTGAGTGAAGGGATTATTATGATGTCTTGAGTGGTAACATGGTGGATAAAAGAGACCACACACAGAGAGAAGACAAAACATAGAACAAAAATGGTAAATTTACTAAAAGTAGGAATTTCAACCCAGAGATAAGTGAAAGAAATACAAGACTTTACCTGAACCTTAGATTCTAAAACTCATTAGATGCCTGGAGACAGGCTAATTAAATGTCTAAAACAATCTCTTCAACATTTAACATTTCAAACTACCAGAATATCCAATATTTGTTCACCAATTTAATATATTTGTAGGTGATGCTGAAATCTGTTAGCTAATTCTAACATTATTTATACTCTAGAGTTTAGACTCATAAGTAGAGAATGCCCTGCAGAATAAGATATTTCCTTCCAACCTTTGAAGAATTTCTACAATGATGCAGTAGAGACCTAACCCATGTAGTTTCAAAGGACAGAACTAGGACCAACAAGTAGAATTTAAGGGGAGTAGAGTTTATAGGAAAAGAATTTTGATGCATTGTATTTCTAGTGACAGATTCCCCAAAATAGGGCAGACTTTCTTGCAAAGTAGAATATTATTGAAACAGTTAAAGTAAAGGTTAATGGACATACCTATAAAAGATAATTATACTAACAATAATTGATATATTTTGAAGATTTATTATATGTCAAGCTCTATGCTTAATATTCTACATGCATTCTTATTTAAACTTAACAAAAGCCTGCAAAATAAGTATTATTATTCCCATTTTATCTATGAGACATTGAGGTTTAAAAAGATTAAATAAGTTGCCCCAGGTCACACAGCTGACAAATGACACATAACTGAGATTCTCACCCATAGCCAACTGACTCCAGAACCCATATACTACCATTATGCTATACTGCCTACCAAATTCTATAGAAGTGATTTTTATATTTGCTAAGAAGTTAGATCAGATGAGCTGGGGGTCTTTTTTTTTTTTTTTTTTTTTTTTGACACGGAGTCTTGCTCTGTCACCCAGGCTGGAGTGCAGTGGCTCGATCTCGGCTCACTGAGAGCTCTGCCTCCCGGGTTCACGCCATTCTCCTGCCTCAGCCTCCCGAGTAGCTGGGACTACAGGTATCCGCCACCACGCCCGGCTAATTTTTTGTATTTTTGGTAGAGACTGGGTTTCACCGTGTTAGCCAGGATGGTCTCTATCTCCTGACCTTGTGATCCGCCCACCTCGGCCTCCCAAAGTGCTGGGATTACAGGCATGAGCCACTGCGCCCAGCCCTAATTCTGAGATTCTGTTTGTGTGTGTAAATATGTCTGTTTATAATATAATATGCATATACACACATAAACAGACATATTTACACACAAAAAATGTATGTGTGTATATGTCTATATCTCCATACATGAAAGAAACACATATTTATATAGCTCCATAAATAGTACATACATACACATATATATGTCTATATCTCCATACATAAAACACTAGAGATAGAAACTCCTTAATCCAAGGAAAAGGTGAGAAAAAGATGGCCCTCTCAATAGCAAAATTCAGCGCAATTTAAAATCAATACAAACTGAGAAGTGATTTGTAAAATTTTGGTTAACAAGACATGGAAAGTGACCACCAAGTCCTATGAAGTTGACCTAGGTAGAGCTAGATAGCCTGGAAGCTATGACTGAGATGTGAAGAAACGTCAACTATCTCAACTGTACTGTAGGTAGACTGTCTATGATGCTGAATCAGAAAAAGGGAAATCTATACAACATCTTCATTAAAAAAAAGGAGACAAATAATTGGTCTTTGTTTATGAAGCAAAAGCACTATTTTTTAAATTATGGACTATTTTAAGCCTATAGAAAAATGCAAAAAATATTAGGAAAGAAAAACCATTTTACCTGTGAACCACTTTTGACAATTCTTAACATTTTACCATATTAGCTTCAGATCTTTTAAGAGATATAAAACATTATAGGCAGAGTTGAAGCCCCTGTGTCCCTGTGTACATCTCTATGATCCTATTCCTCTTCCCTAGAGTTAAATACTTAGAGCTAAAATGATCTACCCCTACTCCCAGCTTGAACACTGGGGACTAAATTTATGTACACTTCTACCCCCAATATACCTAACTGTCTACATTAAAATGAGTCTTCCAGGAGTCTCTTGTGCAGGAAGGTGGTTTGGCCGTTCATTATAGGAACTTCCCAAGAGAATCATCAGTGTCAATAAAGTGTCAGAAGACAATTTGTGCCTTGCACTCTTCGAATACCTCTCCTTAAAATCCTCCTCTGTTTCCACTAATCCAAGACTGTTGTATTATGATACTTACCCAGTCCTAACGAAGTCCCAATATTGAAAGAGCCACTTTTAAACAAACTTTCAATTCTGAATAAATTCTGACCTTGTCTTTTCTCCTCTGAGATACTACCAAAGTTTTGGGAAGTTGGTGTTATCTCTTACCATGGTAAGCAAACAAACTCAACAGGTTATGTTGATAATACTGAGAGAACCAGCATTCAACACTACTATTTAGAATTTGTTTTATCATTATAATATATGATTTAATTTGTTTCACTACATATGTACGTATCTTAAGGTGTCATTAATTTTCACTATTGTATTACATTGCATAAGCATGTTTGATCCATTTTCCTCATGAATATTTTGCCTGATATTAATAGAGATATATCAGCTTTCTTTTGGTATCTGCCAGACACACATTTTCCATTCTTTTACTTAAAGTGTGTGTGTGCTTGTGTGTGTTTTGATACAGGGTCTCACTTTGTCACCCAGGCTGGAGTGCAGTGATGCAATCATAGCCCTCTGCAGCCTCGACCTCCTGGGCTCAAGTGATCCTCCCACTCAGCCTCTCAAATAAGTACGACTACAAGCACACACCACTACTCCCAACTAATTTGTTTTTATTTTTAATATAGATGAAGTCTCATTATGTTACCCAGGCTGGTCTTCAACTCCTGGCCTCAATCGATCCTCCCACTTGGCCTCCCAAAGTGCTAGAATTACAGACATGAGCTACAGCACCCTACCTATGTGTGTTGTTATATTTAGGTGTATATCTTACAATTAGAATATCCGTTGGGTTTAATATTCTTATTTTATTTAAAAATGTCTCTTTTAATTGGTGCATTAAGCCCATTTATATTTATTGGGATTACCAATTTATTTAGATTTCTTACTATCACTTTGTTATTTTTTTCTTTGCTTTTTTTTCCCCACATTTCATTCAGTTGCTTGAGTTTTTAATTTCCTTTTATTTCCTCTACTGATTTTGGAATTAAATATTCTATTTTTATTATTTTAGTGACCAGACTAAAATATTAACATATTTTATCATACTTATTGTAAAGGATAAAGTTCATCAGTATGTCTAATCTGCTGTTTTGTAACATAGGATTACACAGTAGAATTTTTTGAGTCCAATTTCTTTCCTTTCATCTTCTATATTACTCTTGAACATTTATTTCTACTTTGTTTTAATTTTTATTTTGATTAAAAAAATAAATCAATGAATCTCAAAAACATCACGCTAAGTAAATAAGTCTTGGACAAAGAGTACACATTTTATACTCACATTTATATAAAGTTCTAGAACTCTACTGTCCAATATGGTATTTAGTAGGTACATGTGGCTATTGAGCACTTGATATATGACTAGTCCAAATTAAGATGCACTATAAGTATAAATTGCACTTTGGATTTCAAAGACATAATATTAAAAAATGTAAAATATATCATTCAAAATTTTTGCACTGATTGTATGTTGAAAATGATAACCTTTGGGGATACATTAGATTATATAAAATACAATATTTTTATTTTTTATTGATACATAATGGATGTACATATTTTGAGGTACACCTGATAATTTAATATATTCATATAATTTGTAAAGATCAAATCAGTATAAATGTTATCCATCACCTTAAATATCTTTCAAATATCTTAATGCTAGAAACATTCCAATTATTCTCTTCTAGCGATTTTGAAATATACAATAGATTCTTGTAAATTATAGTCACCCTAGTGATTTATCAAACACTAGGCCTATTTCTTCCATCAGATTGTATGGCTGTACCCATTAATCAACCTCTCTTTATTCCCTCTTTCTCCCATACTCTTGGCCTTTGATAACCACCAATCTACTCTCTATCTTCATGAGATGCACTTTTTTAGCTCCTACCTATGAGTGAGAACATGCAATATTTGTCTTTCTGTGCTTGGCTTATTTCACTTAACATAATGACCTCCAGCTCCATCCAAGTTTCTGCAAATGACATGCTTTCATTCTTTTTATGCCTGAATAATATTCCATTGTGTATATATATCACATTTTCTTTATCCATTCCAATCATTGATGGGCCCTTAGGTTAAACCCATATTTTGGCTATTGTGAATAGTGCTGCAATAAACATGGGAGTGCAGATATCTCTTCAATATATTGATTTTCTTTCTTTTGAATATATGCACAGTAGTGGAATTTCTGAATCATACAGTAATTCTGTTTTTAGATTTTTGAGGAACCTCTCTATAGTTTCCCGTAATAGCCGTTTACTTCCTAATAGCTGTTTACTTCCAATTTAGATTCCTATCAATAGTGTGTGTTGGGGGGAGTCCATTTCCCCCACATCCTTTTCTTCATGGTTCAATTTTGGTAGGTTATATGTGTGCAGGAATTTACCCATGTTTTCTAGGTTTTCCAGTTTGTTGGCATATAGTTGTGCCTAATAGTCTCTAATTGTTCTTTGTATTTCTGTTGTCTCAGTTTTCATTTATGATTTTATTGATTTATATAGTATCTCCTTTTCCTTAGTCTACCTAAAGGTTTGCTGATTTTATTTATCTTTTTTAAAAAAACAACTTGTGGTTTAATTGAGCTTTTGTATTGTTTTTTAATCTAAATTTTAGTTTTTCTCTGATGTTTATTATTTCTTTCCTTCTACTAATTTTGGGTTAGATTTTTTTTATTTTCTAGTTCTTTGAGGTGCATTGATAGGTTTTTGAAGTCTTTCTATTTATTTGATGTAGGCATTTATTGCTATTAAGATCCCTCTTAGTGCTGCTTTTGCTATATCCCATATATTTTGGTATATTGTATTTCCATTTTCATTTGTTTAAAGAAATTTTTTAATTTCCTTATTAATTTCTTAATTAATACAGTGGTTGTTCAAGAGAATGTTGTTTAATCTCTACATGTTCATGAAGTTTCTAAGGTTCCTCTTGTAATTGATTGCAACTTTTGTTCCATTGTGGTCAGAAAAGATAATTGATATGATTTCTATCTTTTAAATTTTGTTGAGAATTATTATGTGACCTAAGATATGATCTATTCTGGAGAATGTTCCATGTGCTGATGAAAAGAATGTGCATTCTACAGCAGTTGTTTGAAATGTTCTGTAAACGTCAGTTAGGCCTAGCTGGTCTAGTGTGTACTTCAATTCAAATGTTTCTTTGTTTATTTCCTCCCTGGATGATCTGTCCACTACTGAAAGGAGGGTGTTAAAGCCTCCTTCTATTATTGTATTGTATTCTATCTTTCCCTCTAAATCTATGCATGTTTGCTTTGTATACTTGGAAGCTCTGGTGTTGGGTGCATAAATATTTATAATTGTCATATCTTCTTGCTAAATTGACCCCTTTATCATTATATAGTGACCTTCTTTGTCTCTTTTTACAGTCTTTAATTTGTAGTCTATTTTTATCTGATATAAGCAAAGCTACTCCTGTTCTTTTTTTGGTTTCCATTTGTCCTCAGGGATATTTATTTCTTTAGGCATTCCTGATGCTTTCAATGGGATGAAGCAGGGACAGGTCTCCTGCCAAGGAACCCAAGATGCTGGGGAAGCTGATTGTCTACCTCTATCTCACTTTTTCCAGTGCAGAAACCATGAATCAGGGCAAACTTTTCCATGCCTGTGGTGCAGGGCAGATTGAGTGGAAGGGCATTGTGAATATCGAAATCCTATTCTCTTACCATCTGCTCAGAGTTTTTTCACTTCTGTATGGCCATGGGAACTGTCTCATCCTCATATTTGAGCTCTGGGATAGTGCTGCTGAGAAACTTGGTACTGTATATTGGTTCTTGGGTTTTTTTTTATTGGGGAGTAAAGCCAACTTGTTTCTATCCTGCCATTTTGGAATCAAAATCCAACATGCAATATTTAAATTAATATCACCTGTTTCTTTTCACCTTTAGAATTGTGGCTAGTAGAAAATGTAAAATTACGCATGTGGCCCTGTTTTTTGCTAACATTATATTTCTATATAACAGTGCTATTCCTAAAAACGTTAAACTTTTTATTGTGAAAATATCTAAAGAGTGGTTTCTTTTGGGAAGGTGGGGGAATTGACTGGTAACGTCAGGAAGAAAATTTCTGGGGTGATAAGTATGTTTTGTGGCTTGATGGAAGATAGTATTACATAGGTTTTTAATTTGTCAAAACTTGTTAATTGGTACACTTAAGATTTGTGCATTTGAATATATGTATCTTTTTCCTTGACAAAGAGCCAAAAACAAATATTAGACTGTAATGAATGATGTGCATGCTCAAGGCTTAAGGTGAATTGTATTGATATTTTCAATTTGAAGTGCATCAACAAACAAGATGTTTTGGTGAATGGATGAAGAAACAGTTATATAATAAAGCAAATATAGCAAATTGCTAATTGTAGAATCTAGAGTGTGGGCATACAGATGTGTATTGTATAATGCTTTAAATTTTTCGATATGTTTGGAAATGTTCATTATTAAATGATAAATCAAATAATAAATGTAGATAATTTTAAAAATTAAACAGGATTTCTGCTTCCAGATAATGGAGTAACAGGAATCAGATTTACTCTCCTGGCTGCAACGAGCAAAAAATAAAATAAAAACAGATAAAATATATGAAATAATGCTTTTCAAGGCACTAGACGTCAGAAAATGAAGAACATTAGTCTGGAGCTATGAGAAACAAATTAGGTAATCTCTATGATTGCCCTAGCTTACTCCCTTAAGATATTTTCCAGGCCATGGCACAGGAAGGATGTATTAAGGTGAAGGATACTGGACTCTTGTTGAGGATATGGAGCTGAGAGTGCAGGGAGACTAATAGAGCTAGAGCTAAGAGAACAGAGACAGAACCCCAGATACATGCAGAGAGCTCCCCTCAGGTATTCAACAGAATACTTATCAGTGCATGTATGAGAAAAATCTACCTAAGGCCAAGGAAAGAACAATGTGAAAGAATTATATTACAGGGTACAGTGCCATACACCCACAGAGGGCCAGAAATAGTGCCTATTCCCACCAGTGAGATTAGAATAACTAATAACTTACAGAGCATTGGGTAGGGTACCAGGAAGGGCTTGCCTCAGTAGTGAAAAAATAGCCCTAGTCTGAGCTCTGCTTTGGACTCACTTAATACACCATAAAAATAAGACCTAAATGAATCTAATTGTTTCTAAGCAACTTAACTGCATCCAAGAACAAAACTCATAAAGATTTATAGGGACACACATATATCTAGCACCCAAAAAGTTAAAATTCACAATGTCTAACACTGAATCAAAGATTACTAGGTATTCAAAGAAAAAGAGACATATGACCCATAATGAAGTGAAGAAAGGTCAATCAAAATTGACCCATAACAGACAGAGATATTAAAATTAGACAAGGACATTAAAATGGTTATTATAATGTTACTTAATATGTTTAACAAGTTAAATAGATATACAAAATATATAAAAAGATGACCGAAATTGAACTTCCAGAGATAAAAACGATAATGTCTGAGAAGGAAAAAAAAATCACAGGATGGGATTCATGGAAGACTAGCCACTACAGAAGAAAAGATAAGTGCATTTGAATGTATAGCAATAGAAATTACACAAAAGACACATAGAAAAAAATAATATTGATAAAAGAAAAGTGCATTAGTGAACTATGGGACAACAGTAAATGACCTCATATATGCACAGTGGGAATCTCTGAGGGTGTGAAGGGGAAAAAAACATATGAAGAAATAATGGCTGAAAATTTCCAACATTAATAAAAAATATAAACTCGCAAATACAAAAAACTGAAGGAGCCCAAAGCACAATAAGTACGAAGAAAACTACACTAAGATTCATCATAATCATATTGTTCAAAATAAGTGACAAAAAGAAAATCTTAAAAGCAGGCAAACCTGTCTGTTAAGGGGAACAGATAACAATGATATCAGATTTCTTGTCAGAGAAAAATGCTATGGAAAAGATAGTGGACATCTTTAAAGTATTTTTTAAAATCTGTCAGCCTGGAATTCTATACCTGGCAATATATTTTTCAAATACAAAATAAAGTCATTTTTAGGCATACATAACCTGAAAGAAATCATCACCAGCAGATGTCCATTGCAAGAAATATTAAAGGACATCCATCAGGCAGAAGGACAACAAAACAGATGAAAATATTGATTTAGACAAAGAGCAAACAGAAGAGAACAGGAATTGGTAACTATATGGGTAAGTATATAAGACTTTTTTCTTATTTCAACCTCTTTAAAAGACTGTTTAAACAAAAATAATAACAATGCATTGTGGGATTTGGAACATATATAAAAGTAAAACATGACAACAATAGCATAAAGGCTGGGAGAAAGAAATAAAAAATATAATTGTAAGGTTTTTATACTATATGTGAAATGGTATAATAGCACTTGAAGATATACTGTAGCAAATTAAATGTATACATTATAAACCTTAAAGCAACCACTAAAATAACAAAACAAAATGTTATAGCTACTAAGCCAACAAGGAAAATAAAATAGGATCACAAAGAAAATTTGATTAATCCAAAAGAAGGTGGAAATAAAGGAAAAAGAGGGAAAAAATAGATGGGACAAATATAAACAAACAATCAGATTATAGGCTTAATCCTTACCATATTGATAGTCATATAAATTTAAATGGTCCAAACACCCAAATTAAAAGGCAGAGATTGTCATATTAGATACAATATTAAGACACAACTATATTCTGCCTGCAGAAAATGTACTTTAAATATAAAGACACAAATATGCTAAACATAAAAGGATAGAAAAAGATATAGCATGCTAACACTATTCACAAGAAAGCTGGTGTGGTTGTATTATCTGACAAAGTAGGTTTCAGAACAGATAATACTGCCAGGTATAAAGTAAGTCATTTTATAATGATAATGGTGTGAATTTATCAAGAAGATGTAACAATCCTAAATGTTTATACACTGAATAACAGAACTTCAAAACATATGAAACAAAAACTAATAGAACCACAAGGAAAAACAAACAAACCCATGATGATAATCTAAGAATCTATATACCTCTCTCTCAATAACTGACAAAACAAGTGGGTAGAAAAATCAGCAAATGTATATAGTAGATTTGAACAAAACTATCAACTAACTTGACCTGATTGACTTTTATAGAACACTCCACCCAACAACATTAGAATGCACTTTATTCTCAAGAACCCAGGACATATTTACTAAGATAGACCATATTCAGAACTATAAAACAGGCCTCCATAAATTAAAAAGTATCCAACTCTTGCATAGTATGTCCTCTGACCATAATGGAATTAAATCAGAAATTAATAACAAAATGATCTTTGAGGATTCCCATAATATTTGCAAATGAAATAACACACTTCTAAATAATACATGGATCAAAGAAGGAACCAAAAAGAAAATTGGAAAGTGATTTTAACTGAATAAAAACGAAAAGACAACATATCAAAAATTACAGAATGCTACCAAAGCTGTGCTTATAAAAAATGCCTATATTAGGAAAGAAGAACAGCTTCAAATTATAATATCATTTTCTATCTTGAAAACTAGAAAAAGAAGAACAAATGAAACCTAAAGGAAATAGAAGAAAGGAAATAATGAAGATCAAAGCAGAAAACTGTGAAATAAAAAACAGAAAAGCAGCTGAAAAAGTCAATAAAACCAAAGGTAAATTCTTTGAGATCAATAAAATTGATAAACTGCTAGCCAGATTTTTCTCAGGAAAAAAGAGAGAAGACAAAAATTACAAATATCTAGAATGAGAGAAGTGTCATAATGACAGGATCTATAGATATTAAAAAGATAAGGGAACACCTTAAACAACTCTATTCCCATAAATTTAATGAATTAGGTGAAATGGGAAAATTCTTTAAAAGATGCAAATTATCAAAGCTTACTGAAGAAGAAATAGATAACCTGAAATAGCAACCTGTATACATGTTATGGTGTGTGTGTGCACATGTGTGTGTGTCTGTGTGTGTGTGTGAGAGAGAGAAGTTAAAATTATAGTTTAAAGCCTTCTCACAAAAAATCTCCAGGTCTATATGGCTTCACTGGTAAATTCTTCTATACCTTTAAAAAGTAAGTAATACCCACCTGGGCAACATGGCAAGACCTCGACTCTACAAAAAAAGTAAAAAATTTAGCCAGGCGTGGTGGCACAAGGCTAAAATGAGAGGGTTGCTTGAGCCCAGGATGTTGAGACTGCAGTGAACTGTGTTTGCACCATTGCATTCCAGCCTGGGCAACAGAGTAAGGCCTCATTTCAGAAACAATAAAAATAAATAAATAAATAATACCAATTCTACACAAACTCTTCCAAAAAAGTGAAAGGAAGAAAACACTTCCCAACTCATGCTATGACGCCATCATTACCTTGATACTGAAACCACACAAAGACATTACAGGAAAATGCTGGGTAGAGAAAGGCTGGTCCCTAGCTAGGGCTTCACCCCCACAGACCTAGGTGACGACAGGAATTTCCTGCCCAAATGTTGCATTTCCCAAGACCACCCTGGCCTGTCACACCCCTATCCTGGGCCCATAAAAACCGGAGAACCTAGTGGGCAGACACAGAAGTGGCTGGACATCGTGAGGAACACACTGGTGGAAGAAGACACAAGCAGCTGGTCATGGAGAGCCCACCAGCCGAAGAGCACGCTGACGGGGACCGGCAGGCCATCAACCAATGGCACAATGTCAAGTTTGGCCAGAACAGTCAGAGAAGAGCCAGGCAACCAGCCCAACTACAGAGGAAAACCATCTCCCTTCTGGTTCCCCCATCTGGTGAGAGCTGCTTCTACTCAATAAAACCTTGCACTCATTCATTCTCCAAGCCCACGTGTGATCTGATTCTTCCAGTACACCAAGGCAAGAAACCCCAGGATACAGAAAGCCCTCTGTCCTTGAGACAAGGTAGAGGGTCTAATTGAGCTGACTAACACAAGCTGCCTATAGACAGCAACCTAAAAGAGCACCCTGTAACGCACGCCCACTGGGGCTCCAGTTGTAAACATTCACCCCTAGACACTGCCGTGGGGTCGGAGCCCCACAGCCTGGCCGTCTGTATGCTTCCCTGGAGGTTTGAGCAGTGGGGCACTTTAGAAGCGAGCCACAACCCCATCACATGCCCTGCGAGGGGGACAAGGGAACCTTTCCCGTTTCACATTATGAAGAAATTCATAACAAAAATTTAGCAAATTGAGTTCAGCAATATGTGAAAAATAGAATACATCATGACCAAATGGGTTTTATCCCAGAAATGCAAGTTTGGATGAACAGTTTTTTAAAAATCAACATAATCAACAATATTTAAAAAACTAAAAAGGAAAAAATATATGATTATTTCAATAGACACAGAAGAAGCATTTTACAAAACCTAATAGCAGGTCATGATAAAAGCACTCAACAAACTGGGAAGAGAAGGGAACTTCCTCAACCTGATACAGTTCTCCTTCCAAAAAATCAATGGTAACATCCTATTTAGTGGTAAAAGATGAAGTGCTTTACCCCTAAGATCAGGAATAAGACAGGCAAATGTCTGCTTTTCCATTTTTATGCAACATTCTAGTCAATGTAATCAAGCAAGAAAAAATAAATACACAAAGACATCCAGATTGGAAAGGAAGAAGTAAAACTATATTTTCTGATGACATGATTGCCTATGCAAAATATCTGATAGAATCTACCAAAAGCATCTACTAAGGCTAATAAATGAATTTAGCAAGGTTGCAGAACACAAGATGAATATAGATCAATTATATTGTATACAATAACAACAAACTATTGGAAATTGAAATTTAAAAAACAATAACATTTTCAATAGCATCAAAAATATGAAATCTTTAGGACTGTCTAATAAATGATGTGAAAGACCTGTACACTGATAACTGCTAAACATTGCTTGAAAGAAATTGTAGAAAACATAAATAAATAGGTAGTCCTTGTTCATGGATTGGACAACTCAATATTGTTAAGGTGTCAACTCTTTACAAAACTGATCTATAAATTCAACACAATCCCAATCAAAATCCCAGCAGACTTTTTTTTTTCTTAGGAATTGATGAGCAGGTTTTAAACATCATAAGGAAATGCAGAAGACCTAGAATAGCCAAAAGAATTCTGAAAATAAAATTGGGGGTAACATCTGATTTTGCAGCACTATTTGTCAATTAAAATAAAATCTATTTTTTAAAAGCTACAGAATAAAGACAGTGTGTTATTGGCATAAAAGTAGACAAATAGGTTAATGAAACATAACAGAGTCCATACATAAACCCACCTCTATATGGACAACAGATTGTGGTTATGGACAGCAGATTTTTGACAAATATGCAAAATCAAAGGAGTGGCGAGAGAAAAGCCTTTTTAACAAATGCTGCTGAAACAATCGGATGTCCATATTTTGCATGATATACAAGAATTAACTCAAAATGGATCTTACATCTAAATGTAAAACCTAAAACTTCTAGAACAAAACAGAATAAAATCTTTGTGACCTTGGGATAAGAAAAGATTTACTGAACTTGAAAACAAAAGCACAATCCATAAGAGAAAAAAAATGATAAATTGGATTTCGTCTAAATTAAAAACTTTGGATCTTCAAAAGAAACTGATAAGAGAATGAAAAACAAGCCACAGACTGTGAGAAAATCTTTGCAAAGCATGTAACTGACAAATCCAGTATTCATAAAGAACTCTCAAAACTGAAGAAAAAGATAATAACTTACCCAATTTGAAAAACTGGAAAAATATTTGAATAGACATTTCTTTGAAGATGTATGAGTGAAAAATAAGCACATAAAAAGTTGTTTATCATCATTAGGAAAATGTAAGTTAAAACCACAATGAGATACCATTGCACAGTTATTAAAATGTCTAGAATAAAAAAGACTAACCACTTCTGGTGGCCTAACAAAACTTTTTGGGTGGTAGATAAGTTTACTATCTTGATTGTGAGGATGGTTTTATGAAATACTTATATGTACATATTTACACAAGTTTATATAAATATATATGTATATATATTCCAATTATGCACCTTTAACTATGTGCAGCTCTGACGTTGAAAGATTTCCTCATGTCTGGTGATCCTTGACTGGATATTCATACTTAAGAATGAGACACTAAAAAGCTAAGTTTACTCACAAGCGTCACTGTATGATGATCAGACATCAGTTCAAAATCCTTAGCATGAGTAAAAAACTTTGCATCACCTTACTTGCTCTGTTTAATCCTCAGACCCCACTCCTTTCTCTTCTGCAATACACTCTAGCTAGGTCACATTCTGTTCCTGCATCCTGGAAAGTTCCCTTCACCTCTGCATCCTCGGCATACTGCTATTTGCCCTTTAAAACAACTTGGCCCATCCCTATTATTCAAGTCTATCATTTTCCTTAATCTCTCCCTAGAATACAGTTAATAACTATTTCCTTTGCATGACTTTGGTGGTTATAATTCCTTATACTCTTGCATTAAATCCCTGCATTGCAATACATTCTTTTGCATATACATGAGCTCCTGGAGGGATGACATTCATCTCTACATCCTCAGTGACCAGCACAAACCCTGGCACATAGTTGACCATTCAGTAATACTGGATGAGTGACTGCATGGCTAAATGTCATACTCTGACTCTCATACTGCACTGTCTCTGACGCTTATAGCTAGATCTGCTCAGTGGAAGGTCTAAGTCCATAACCTGGCCTACCACTCTCTCTTTCAACTAGATGCAGTTCATCTTGATTGGGCCCTGCTGGGACTTAAAATATATGAAAGACTGACATATACTGTGAACATTTTAGTCGTTATTACTGGGAATTTACTTTTAGTAAACAGGTTGTTCACATGTATGACCTAAATATGATACTAACAGTGTTCTTTACATATTTACTCACCAAATCATTTCCGTGTTCTTCAAATGTTGAATTCTGAACATTGTGATTTAGTACAGCCTAAATCAGTGAGCTTTTATTTTACATATGGAAAAGGATAATCATTGTCAATGAAAAGAGCCAAACTGTAAAATATTTGAAGTGATTTATTCTGAGCCACATATGAGTGACCATGGCCTGTGACACAGCCATCAGGAGGTCCTGAGAACATGTGTCCAAGGTGGTTGGGGTGCACCTTGCTTTTATACATTTTAGGGAAGCGTGAGACATCAATCAAACACATTTAAGAAATACATTGGTTTGGTCCAGAAAGGGGTGGGGGGTGGGAGCTTCCAGGCCATAGGTAAATTTAAACATTTTCTTGTTGACAAATGGTTGAGTTTGTCTAAAGAGGTGGGATCTGTCTAAGATAAGAGATTGTGGAAAGCAAAGTTTTAACTATACAGATGAGACTTTTACCTAGCAGGCTTCAGAGAGAATAGGTTGTAAAATATTTCTTATCACACTTAAAGTCTGTGTTGATGTTAATGCTGGAAAGGTATACTGAGACCCGTTCAACCCCCACTTCCCATCATGGCCTGAAACAGTCTCTCAGGTTAAATTTCAAGAGCTCTGGCTCAGGAGGAATTCCATTCAGATGGCTGGGTTACCTGTTGAGGGTGTCCAGGTTCTTGGTGTTTTGAACAAAGAACTGGACAAAACGCACAAATAAAGCAAAGAAAGAATGAAGAAACAAAAGCAGAGATTTATTGAAAATGAAAGCACACTTCACAGGGTGGGAGCGGGCTGAGCAAGGGGTTCAAGGGCCCCGTTACAGAGTTTTCTGAGGTTTAAATACCCTATAGAAGTTTCCCATTGGTTACTTGGTATATGCCATATGTAAATGAAGAGGATGAAGTCAAGTTACAAAGCCATTCACATTCCTGTCATTGCTGAAATGTTTCCATTTGATTTAGTTCTAGGAAGTCCTTAGGTTCCCTGCCTCCAGGCCTTATTCTCCTGCCTCAGTTGGGGGGCCTTAGAATTTTATTTTTGATTTACATCATAATAAATTTGGAAGAAAACAAATGGTTCTTTGTAGCATAGGCTCCTAGTACCACTGTTTTGCAGTGAACAGTATATGCATACCTACTCCCCAAAGGCCGAGGAAGCTGAGAGTTGAAGAAAGAGGATGATAAATCCAGTTTCTTGAAAGAAACATCTAATAGGAGCTTACAAACAGAAGAGATGTCTCCAGCAGCAGAGAGACTATAGATTCCCACACCTGCCCTCCAGAAAGTATTCTTTATATGGCAAGCTTTTTTTTTTTTTTTTTTCCAGTAAAACAGTGAAACATATGTCAGGCCTCTGAGCCCAAGCCAAGCCATCTCATCCCCTGTGACTTGCACGTATACGCCCAGATGGCCTGAAGTAACTGAAGATTCACAAAAGAAGTGAATATGCCCTGCCCCACCTTAACTGATGACATTCCACCACAAAAGAAGTGTAAATGGCCGGTCCTTGCCTTAACTGATGACATTACCTTGTGAAAGTCCTTTCCCTAGCTCATCCTGGCACAAAAAAGCACCCCCACTGAGCACCTTGCGACCCCCACTCCTGCCCGCCAGAGAACAAACCCCCTTTGACTGTAATTTTCCTTTACCTACCCAAATCCTATAAAAAGGCCCCACCCTTATCTCCCTTCCCTGACTCTCTTTTCGGACTCAGCCCACCTGCACCCAGGTGAAATAAACAGCCATGTTGCTCACACAAAGCCTGTTTGGTGGTCTCTTCACATGGACGCGCATGAAATTTGGTGCCGTGACTCAGATCGGGGGACCTCCCTTGGGAGATCAATCCCCTGTCCTCCTGTTCTTTGCTCCATGAGAAAGATCCACCTATGACCTCAGGTCCTAAGACCAACCAGCCCAAGGAACATCTCACCAATTTTAAATCAGGTAAGCGGCCTCTTCTTACTCTCTTCTCCAACCTCTCTCACTGTCCCTCAACCACTTTCTCCTTTCCACTCTTCAATCTCTCCCTTCTCTTAATTTCAATTCCTTTCATTTTCTGGGAGAGACAAAGGAGACACGTTTTATCCGTGGACCCAAAACTCCGGTGCCAGTCACGGACTGGGAAGGCAGACTTCCCTTGGTGTTTAATCATTACAGGGACACTTCTCTGATTATTCACCCACGATTCAAAGGTGTCAGACCACGCAGGGACGCCTGCCTTGGTCCTTCACCCTTAGCGGCAAGTCCCACTTTTCTGGGAAAGGGGCAAGTACCCCAACCCCTTCTCTCCTTGTCTCTACCCCTTCTCTGCTTTTCTGGGGGAGGGGCAAGTACCCCTCAACCCCTTCTCCTTCACTCTGAGCAGCAAGTCCTGCTTTTCTAGAGGAGGGGCAAGTACCCCAACCTCGTATCTCTGTGCCCCAATCCCTTATTTCCGTGCCCCAACCTCTTATATCTCTGCACCCCAATCCCTTATTTCCATGCCCCGAGCCCTTATTTCTGTGCCCTGACCCCTTATTTCCATGCACCTACCCCTTATTTCCATGCCCCAACCCCTTATCTCTGTGCCCCATCCCTTATTTCTGTGCCCCGACCTCTTATCTCTGCGCCCCAACCCCTTTTCCCACTTTTCTGGAAGGTAAGAACCCCCGAACCCCTTCCCTCCTTTCCCTACTCTCTCTTTTCTCTAGGCTTGCTTCCTTCACTATAGGCAACCTTCCACCCTCCATTCCTCCTTCTACTCCCTTGGCCTGTGTTCTCAAAAACTTAAAACCTCTTCAACTCATACCTGACCTAAAACCTAAATGCCTTATTTTCTTCTGCAATGCCGCTTCACCCCAATACCAACTCGACAGTAGTTCCAAATAGCCAGAAAATGGCACTTTGAATTTTTCCATCCTGCAAAATCTAAATAATTCTTGTCATAAAATAGGCAAATGGTCTGAGGTGCCTGACGTCCAGGCATTCTTTTACACATCAGTCCCTTCCTAGTCTCTGTGCCCAGTGCAACTCATCCGAAATCTTCCTTCTTTCCCTCCCGCCTGTCCCCTCTGTACCAACCCCAAGCGTTGCTGAGTCTTTCTAATCTTCCTTTTCTACAGACCCATCTGACCTCTCCCTTCCTCCCCAGGCTGCTCCTCGCCAGGCCGAGCTAGGTCCCAATTCTTCCTCAGCCTCCGCTCCTCCACCCTATAATCTTTTTATCACCTCCCCTCTTCACATCTGGTCCGGCTTACAGTTTCGTACCATGACTAGCCCTCCCCCTCCTGCCCAGCAATTTACTCTTAAAAAGGTGGCTGGAGCTAAAGGCATAGTCAAGGTTAATACTCCTTTTTCTTTATCCCAAATCAGATAGCGTTTAGGCTCTTTTTCATCAAATATAAAAATCCAGCCCAGTTCATGACTTCTTTGGCAGCAACCCTGAGACACTTTACAGCCCTAGACCCTAAAAGGTCAAAAGGCCATCTTATTCTCAAAGTACATTTTATTACCCAATCTGCTCCCGACATTAAATAAAACTCCAAAAATTAAATTCCGGCCCTCAAACCCCACAACAGGATTTAATTAACCTCGCCTTCAAGGTGTACAATAATAGAAAAAAGTTGCAATTCCTTGCCTCCACTCTGAGACAAACTCCAGCCACATCTCCAGCACACAAGAACTTCCAAACGCCTGAACCGCAGCGGCCAAGCATTCCTCCAGAACCTCCTCCCACAGGAGCTTGCTACATGTGCCAGAAATCTGGCCACTGGGCCAAGGAATGCCCGCAGCGCCGGATTCCTCCTAAGCCGCGTCCCATCTATGTGGGACCCCACTGAAAATCGGACTGTTCAACTCACCTGGCAGCCATTCCCAGAGCCCCTGGAACTCTGGCCCAAGGCTCTCTGACTGACTCCTTCCCAGATCTTCTCGGCTTAGCGGCTGAAGACTGACACTGCCCGATTGCCTCGGAAGCCCCCCTAGACCATCACAGACGCCGAGCTTCGGGTAACTCTCACAGTGGAAGGTAAGCCCGTCCCCTTCTTAATCAATACGGAGGCTACCCACTCCACATTACCTTCTTTTCAAGGGCCTGTTTCCCTTGCCTCCATAACTGTTGTGGGTATTGACGGCCAGGCTTCTAAACCTCTTAAAACTCCCCAACTCTGGTGCCAACTTAGACAATACTCTTTTAAACATTCCTTTTTAGTTATCCCCACCTGCCCAGTTCCCTTATTAGGCTGAGACACTTTAACTAAATTATCTGCTTCCCTGACTATTCCTGGACTACAGCTAAATCTCATTGCCTCCCTTCTTCCCAATCCAAAGCCTCCTTTGCGTCCTCCTCCTGTATTCCCCCACCTTAACCCACAAGTATAAGATACCTCTACTCCCTCCTTGGTGACCGATCATGCGCCCCTTACCATCTCATTAAAACCTAATCACCCTTACCCCACTCAACGCCAATATCCCATCCCGCAGCACGCCTTAAAAAGATTAAAGCCTGTTATCACTCGCCTGCTACAGCATGGCCGTTTAAAGCCTATAAACTCTCCTTACAATTTCCCCATTTTACCTGTCCTAAAACCAGACAAGCCTTACAAGTTAGTTCAGGATCTGCACCTTATCAACCAAATTGTTTTGCCTATCCACCCCGTGGTGCCAAATCCATATACTCTCCTATCCTCAATACCTGCCTCTACAACCCATTATTCTGTTCTGGATCTCAAACATGCTTTCTTTACTATTCCTTTGCACCCTTAATTCCAGCCTCTCTTCACTTTCACTTGGACTGACCCTGACACCCATCAAGCTCAGCAAATTACCTAGGCTGTACTGCCACAAAGCTTCACAGACAGCCCCCATTACTTCAATCAAGCCCAAATTTCTTCCTCATCTGTTACCTATCTCGGCATAATTCTCATAAAAACACACGTGCTCTCCCTGCCAATCGTGTCCGAATGATCTCTCAAACCCCAGCACCTTCTACAAAACAACAACTCCTTTCCTTCCTAGGCATGGTTAGCGCGGTCAGAATTCTTACACAAGAGCCAGGACCACACCCTGTAGCCTTTCTGTCCAAACAACTTGACCTTACTGTTTTAGCCTAGCCCTCATGCCTGTGTGCAGCAGCTGCCGCTGCTTTAATACTTTTAGAGGCCCTCAAAATCACAAACTATGCTCAACTCACTCTCTACAGTTCTCATAACTTCCAAAATCTATTTTCTTCCTCATACCTGACGCATATACTTTCTGCTTTCTGGCTCCTTCAGCTATACTCACTCTTTGTTGAGTCTCCCACAATTACCATTGTTCCTGGCCTGGACTTCAATCCGGCCTCCCACATTATTCCTGATACCGCACCTGACCCCCATGACTGTATCTCTCTGATCCACCTGACATTCACCCCATTTCCCCAAATTTCCTTCTTTCCTGTTCCTCACCCTGATCACGCTTGATTTATTGATGGCGGTTCCACCAGGCCTAATCGCCACACACCAGCAAAGGCAGGTTATGCTATAGTACAAGCCACTAGCCCGCCTCTTAGAACCTCTCATTTCCTTTCCATCGTGGAAATCTATCCTCAAGGAAATAACTTCTCAGTGTTCCATCTGCTATTCTACTACTCCTCAGGGATTATTCAGGCCCCCTCCCTTCCCTACACATCAAGCTCGAGGATTTGCCCCCACCCAGGACTGGCAAATTAGCTTTACTCAACATGCCCTAGTCAGGAAACTAAAATACCTCTTAGTCTAAATAAACACTTTCACTGAATAAGTAAAGGCCTTTCCCACAGGGTCTGAGAAGGCCACCACAGTCATTTCTTCCCTTCTGTCAGACATAATTCCTCAGTTTAGCCTTCCCACCTCAATACAGTCTGATAACAGATGAGCCTTTATTAGTCAAATCAGCCAAGCAGTTTTTCAGGCTCTTAGTATTCAGTGAAACCTTTATATCCCTTATGGTCCTCCGTCTTCAAGAAAAGTAGAATTGACTAAAGGTCTTTTAAAAACACATCTCACCAAGCTTAGCCACCAACTTAAAAAGGACTGGACAATACTTTTACTACTTTCCCGTCTCAGAATTCAGGCCTGTCCTTGGAATGCTACAGGGTACAGCCTATTTAAGCTCCTGTATAGACGCTCCTTTTTATTAGGCCCCAGTCTCATTCCGGACACCAGACCAACTTAGACTGTGCCCCAAAAAACTTGTCATCCCTACTATCTTCTGTCTAGTCATACTCCTATTCACCGTTCTCGACTACTCATACACGCCCTGCTCTTGTTTACACTGCCGGTTTACACTGTTTTTCCAAGCCATCACAGCTGATATCTCCTGGTGCTATCCCCAAACTGCCACTCTTAACTCTTGAAGTAAATAAATAATCTTTGCTGGCAGGACTATGCCAAATCTCCTTAAGCACTCTCTAATCAGATATCCTGAGTCGTCCCAATTCTTAGACCTTTTATACCTGTTTTTCTCCTTCTGTTATTCCATTTAGTTTTTCAATTCATACAAAACCATATCCAGGCCATCATCAATCATTCTATACGACAAATGTTTCTTCTAACATCCCCACAATATCACCCCTTACCACAAGACCTCCCTTCAGCTTAATCTCTCCCACTCTAGGTTCCCACGCCGCCCCTAATCCTGCCTGAAGCAGCCCTGAGAAACATTGCCCATTCTCTCTCCATACCACCCCCCAAAAATTGTCACCGCCCCAACACTTCAACATTATTTTGTTTTATTTTTCTTATTAATATAAGAAGGCAGGAATGTCAGGCCTCTGAGCCCAAGCCAAGCCATCTCATCCCCTGTGACTTGCACGTATATGCCCAGATGGCCTGAAGTAACTGAAGATTCACAAAAGAAGTGAATATGCCCTGCCCCACCTTAACTGATGACATTCCACCACAAAAGAAGTGTAAATGGCCGGTCCTTGCCTTAATTGATGACATTACCTTGTGAAAGTCCTTTTCCTGGCTCATTCTGGCTCAAAAAAGCACCCCCACTGAGCACCTTGTGACCCCCACTCCTGCCCGCCAGAGAAAAAACCCCCTTTGACTGTAATTTTCCATTACCTTCCCAAATCCTATAAAACGGCCACACCCTCATCTCCCTTCCCTGACTCTCTTTTCGGACTCAGCCCGCCTGCACCCAGGTGAAATAAACAGCCATGTTGCTCACACAAAGCCTGTTTGGTGGTCTCTTCACACAGACGTGCATGAAAACATATGCAACTGGTCATGTCTCAGGCCCTTTTATAAAACTTTTGATCACTGGGAAAGTTAGATAGGCATCTTTATGGAGGAGGCTTATCTATGGGCATTGTTTTTGTCTTGAGTGGTTATCTATGCTACAAGCATTGCTTCTTGACTTCACTGCAAAATGCCTTGGTCTACAGGAGTCAAACATCAATCACTACAGCAGTTTTGCTTCAAGACTGCCTTACTCTTGCTATGCAACAGGTTGTTTTTCAACAATCATTTTATAATCTTTTTCATTTGCTGGTAGATATTTGGGTTCAAATGACTCCATTTACTTTTAGTCAAAGTTAATCATTTTGCTTGATCGTTTATTAGACTGTATATTCACTTTGCTCGATCCTTTATTTAACCTTATATGTACTATTACTATCAAGGTAAGTTGTTCTATCAAAGTAAATAGTGGTGATGTCATAAACTTAATATTGTAGCACAATTTTGAAAGTAGAAAAGATGAAAATGTAGATAATAAAGAAAAACTCTTGCTTACATTCAGATACATATGATAATTAGGGAGTACCATATAAAAATTTATAAAAGCAGAATTTAAATATACTGATGGCTATTTCATGAGAATGTAATGGGAGGAAGCTTTCCTAACAGCTATGCTCATTTATATTGGATTCATATATATAATCAATCAAAACAAGGTAGTTACACAGTAATGACTCATGTGATAATGATGAGACTCTGAAAGAGAGGCAATTGAATATGCATCACTTGCTTTTCATATGTAAATTCCATTACTAACCAAGCATTACTGTTCCCTAATATTTCTACATAACACTATGATTAATAGGAGTATCATGATAGAATAATGGAGAAAAATAGTCCTTATGTTGCATTTACAGATTTACAAGAAGCAAAAAATCCAGATTTATATCATAGCAGAAGAAAATCTTCCATACCCAGGCACTTAACAAATAGTTTAGAATGAGAATGCAGCTAACAGATTTATATATAATCTACAATTCAGCAATAATTTTCTCATTGATATTGATGTTTCCTTTTCTCCAGGAGTACAATGTGCAAATAGTTTTTTTTTCTAAACTCTGGATTCAAATGAATGTAAATATTTGTATTCTTCTATATCAAGTTATAACATCTGGCCACTTTGCCTAGAATAACTGTAATAATAATAAGCAGGTAAATTTACCCCTTAAAGATTTGCTAAATATTCTGCATTTCTTTTACTTATCAAAAGAATGATGAAAGAAAGAGAATAGAGGCATCCCAATTAGAAATGTCACCTGGTGGCCTAGAATCAAAACTTTAAAATTTTTTGTTCAATTTATTTAGCAGTGTCAGTCAGCAATAGTCACTTAAGTCTGTATGCTATATAATCCTCTAATAAGCACAATGGAAAGAAAACTTGAGTAGGCTCCATCACTACCCTCAAGTAGCATATGTGTGCTGGATAAGAAGACATGATTTAATGAAGGAGCATAAAAACATTCACAAAGGTTTGCTTCATCTCTGTAATGGTAGCATTTGCTCAGGACAAACCCATTGGAGATATTCTTTACTGCTCTATCTCACATACATCCAACCCATCAACAAATCATGTTGGCTCTACCTTCCAAACATGTCCAAATAACTCACTGCTTCTTATTACCTCCATAGCTACCATTTTGGTTCAGGCCACTATCTTCTCTCACCTAAACTATGGCAATAATCTCCTTAGTGGCCTCTCTGCTTCTACTCTTATCTCTCTGTAGTCTTTTTTACCCATATAATAGCAAAAGTAACCTTTTAAAACTAAATCAACTCATGTCACTTCCCCACTGAGAATATTCCAAAGGGAATATGGAATAAAACCAAACTCATTACCATGGATTTCAAGACCCTACCAGATCTACTCTCTACCGATCTCTCTAACATCATCTCCTAACAATTTCTCCTTCCCTCTACGCTAATCACACTAGCCTTCCTGCTGTTCTTCCAACACATCATGCTTAAGAGACCGAATATACAGACAATGGCCAAACCATATTAAAAAAAAAAAAATAGAACTCTGACCCATAAACTGCAGGAACCAGTTCAGGAAGTCAATTAACTAACCAGAAATCAGATTTGTAGGAAGCCAGACTACTGTCTCTAATAGCCAATCCAGCAAGCCAAACAATAGTCTCTGTAACAATCAGCTCATAATAGCCAGGACTGATTAGTACCTGACAGCTTTCCTATTTTTTGCCCCCACTTCCAACTTAGGACCAACCAGAGAAAGCCAAATATGCATCACTAGCCGATCACATAGGATGCCCTGTTTCTAGTTAGCCTGCCTATAGCTTCACCATGCCAACAGCCTCCAATCAGAGCATGCCTGAAGCAATCCCTTTTTCCCATGACAAAGATTTCCTACTCTTCTACCTACTATTGAGTCTCTGCCAAATGCAAGTAATGGTGGCTGCTGACTCCCAAGCTATAACAAGTTCTGAATAAATAGCCTGTGCTTGTTCCCATTTGTGTAGCCTAATTTATTTCCAGATGATCATTGTGCCTAGTGGTCTTCACTCTTTCTGTTACTCTGTTTGGAATACACTTCCCCTTGCATGACTTGCTCGCTTAATGAGTTCAGGTGTCTATTCCAAAATGACCTCCTCAGAGAGGCCTCCCGTGGCCATCCTATCTAAAATACTCTTCTCAAAATAATTGGTTCTAATCAGTGATGTTCAAAAAATATATGTTGGCTGGAAATATTCTATAGGCAGCTCTGCCCTTGCACAAAAAGGGTATAAGAACCTGGTGAGCCAAGAGCCCAATATCTTCTAAGGAGTACTGATGACAATGCCAAACTTTATCTGATCCCTGTGCTCCTGGAAGGCAGCAACAGTTAAGAATTTTCCCCACCCTTTTATATTCTGGCTAACCTCAAAGTACTACTCTACTCTCATATATTCTCATATAAGATCCATTTTCATCCTTCTCAGGGCTCCCATAAGCCTTGTGGATGACTCCCTTGTTTACCTGCCTCTGTAAAACTCCATGCCCCCTTCCTTTTCACGGAGATGTTCCCCATTAATGAATGTTCTCCCTATTATAGTAGCTTCAATGAGATTATCTCTTTAATTATCCAGTGTATTTTGTCTTTCACACCTAGAATTCTTTCCTTTCCTGTAACGCCCCCAACTCCCATTAAAAGAAAGGATTTTGTTCCATGACCCAAATAGTTTACAGAAGTTTACTGTCAGAACATTTGCTTTAGGGTGAAACTTTTATGCAGGATGCTTGTAAAAGTGCTCAAAAAGATGGAGCAGGACTTTTCTGAGCTTATTGTAACAAGTTGTAAGACTTTCTTGTGCCTGCTTGCTAATAAATGTTTACATGTGCGGGATAACTCAGTCTACAATGTCCATTCATTGTAACATACCATGTAGTAGCAAGATTGTGCAATGTGAAGCCCTATAGTCCTCAGCTTCTAGATATTCAAACTTAACCCTTGTGGAGGACAAATTGGCTTAAGTCAGGTTACAACAAAAATATGATAATAAATGGAAATTACTTGTTCAGTATCCATTTTTACTAATTTAATATGTAAATATATTTTTATTCTTTTTCTTATTCTTTCTTTCTTGTCTGCTTGATAATGAAAACTGAGACCATATACACCCACACAGCTTACCATCTACATTAACATGACGTTATTCTTTCACTGCCTTCATCGGTGTAATTTTACCATTCCAGGAAACTCTTTCTCAGAAAGATAAAAGTTGCAAATAAACTATTTTTTCATTCCAGGAACTTCCTGGAAGAACCATCAGGATAGTCTTGAAAGACCATTGGTGGACTGCTTGGCCCATGACTAAACTATTATATCATGATCCTCACCCAATCATAACTAAGCCCCTTGGTTATGATTAAAAGACCAGACTTTACAATCTTATAAACATCCTAACTTCACCATTATAAATGGCGATCATTAAAAAGTCAGAAAACAATAGATGCTGGAGAGGATGTGGAGAAATAGGAGCGCTTTCACACTGCTGGTGGGAGTGTAAATTAGTTCAACCATTGTGGAAGACAGTGTGGTGATTCCTCAAGGATCTAGAACCAGAAGTACCATTTGACCCAGCAATCCCATTACTGGGTATATATCCAAAGGATTATAAATCATTCTACTATAAAGACACATGCACACATATGTTTATTGCAGCACTATTCACAATAGCAAGGACTTGGAACCAACCCAAATGCCCATCAATGATAGACTGGATAAAGAAAATGTGGTACATATACACCATGGAATACTATGCAGCCATAAAAAGAATGAGTTCATGTCCTTTGCAGGGACATGGATGAAGCTGGAAACCATCACTCTCAGCAAACTAACACAGGAACAGAAAACCAAACACCACATGTTCTCACTCACAAGTGGGAGTTGAACAATGAGAACACATGGACACAGGGAGGGGAACATCACACACTGGGGCCTGTCAGGGGCTGGGGGGCTAGGGGAGGGATAGCATTAGGAGAAATACCTAATGTAGATGACAGGTTGATGAGTGCAGGAAACCATCATGGCACATGTACACCTATGTAACAAACCTGCACGTTCTGCACATGAATTCCAGAACTTAAAGTATAATAATAATAATAAAGAAAACTAAAAAAAAAAAAAAGAATAAATTGCTGAAAAGAAAAATAATGCCAAATAAGAAGTCAGAAGCTATTAAAAAAAGGAGAAAGTGGTTAACAAGGACAAATGTTGCAGAAAGATCAACTAGACTTGCATTTGGCAAATTTGGACATCTTTGGTGGATTTAGCAAAAACAGTTTAGTGGCATGGTGGAGGGAAGAATAAATGATGTAATCCTCATATCTATTTTGAGGAAGCTGATACATTTCAATTACTTTATGTTACTGACTGGCAAGTTTCACTTTGAGAGATTAATGGTATATTGATTGGAATGTCTCAAGAAGACTCTCTTTAATGAAATGGATGATCAATGAAAATGTATTTATTCAAGTTTGCATTAACCAGAGTCTTGGCCATAGAACGCACTCAATAAACAAAATTTAAATTGAAGATAACATTCATTCACTTCTCTCTCTCTCCCTCTCCCTCTCTCTCTCTCTCTCTCTCTGTGTGTGTATAGTATATAGATGCTTTTTATTTTGTATATCTATATATGCTTTTGATTTTGAAACAATTAGAGATTCACAAGAGGTTGCAAAAGAAATGTACAGGAAAGTCCCATGTACCCATTCCTTTGCCTCTTCCAATGTTAACTTCTTAAACCACAATAATACGTCACCAATACCAAGAAATTTATATTGGTACAGTCTATAGAGCTTATTCAAATTCAACAGCATGTGGCACTGTGCAATATTATCACATATGTAGCCTTGCATAACCACCACCGCAATCAAGAGATTCAACTGTACCATTGCCACAAGATTCTCTTATGTTATCCCTTTGTAGACACATGTGTTCAAGTGTTTTCTTTCTCTCCATCCCTAACCCCTGGCAACCACTGATCAGTTCTCTATTTCTATAATTATGCTATTTAATGAATGTTACATAAATGGAACCATGGACTATCCTTTTAATACTGAATTTTTTTAATGCAGCCTAATTTCCTTGAGGTTCATCCAATTTCTGTGTGAATCAATAGTTCATTTTTATGACTGAGTAGTGTTTCATAGTAGGTATGTACCACCAATTGTTTAAGCATTCACCATTTGAAGGATATGTGGGTTGTTTTTAGTTTGTAGCTATTATAAATAAACCTGTTATGGACATTCATGTAAAGGGTTTTGTATGAACATAGGTTTTCATTTCTCTGGGATGAATGCCTAAGAGTATAATTGCTGGGCTGTAAGTTGCATGTTTAGTTTTGTAAGAAACTGCCAAACTCTTCTCCAGAGCAGCTGTGCCATTTTACATTCCCATGGCAATGTATGCAAGGGATATTGGGATTTATAATAAGATGCATACATTTAGTCTTTGGAAGCTGAGTTTTCTGGCACTCAGCTCCCAAAACCCTTGGAATCTCCAAAGTAATGTGTCTTTTTGCATGTTAATGAGATGACTGATGGCTGGGGCTCCTCGATACCCTCAGGATGGGGACTAGTTGCCAGGGGAACCAACTATGTGATTAAAGGGCTGGAACTTTCAGCCCCACTTCTCACTTAAAGGAACGGAGAGGGGCTGAAGTTTGAATTGATCACCAATGACCAATATTTAATCAATCATGCCTATGTAATGAAACTTCCAGAAAAATGCCTGAGGAGTTTCTTGAGACTCACAATAAAATGTGTTTAATCCTAAATGGGTCCTGTTAAGAATTCCTTTGTTATTTTGTCATGCTTTAAGGCCCAGGAAAGGCCTAGGCAAAACTCTTGGTGGGCTTTTGTTACATTCCAGCCTTTGTATAAGGGCACTGGCTTTTTCTTAGCTTTTAATACTTAACCACTCAATCAGTACTGAAACAGTTGTTATGGAGGCCTGCGATAGTGAGACCTGGCCTGCTACACTCCCCAATGTCAATTTGCACATGATTTCTACCATGCTTGCATGTCGGGAGATGGGGCGTCGTAATATTTCTGGCTACTTCCTGCTGAGAGAGGGTTGTCATTATGGGGTACCAAACACAGCACTGGAGTAAAAGAGGTTGATTTGTTCCTGGTAGCACTCTATGTTTCGGGGGCTTAGAGGCAGCGCCTGCTGAAACATTTAGTCTTCAGTTCACAGGGCTTTAAGAAAGCACAGCTTCGGTTTTAGTGACTTCCAATTAGGAAAAAAATGAGGGAAAAGGAAAAGAGAAAGGAAAAAATTGAAAACATTATTTTGGAATTTAATCCAAACTGCAGAAAATAATAAAAATTGAAAAACGTCAGGCAAGACTAGAATTTAACAACAGGTATACTATAGTTTTTGAAGCATAATTTTTCTGTCTCTAGTTTCCCATTTTTATTAAGAGACAAATCATGGTGGGATTGGTTTGCTTCATTATACTTGGCCTGATTATTTGTATACAGTGCAGCAAGAATAATTATTTTTCACATAGGCCTTTTATATTGGCTTTGATGGAACTTTATTCCATAAAAGGAATCTAAGATAAGGCCTTTTAAAGCCGAGCCCAGCCATGGATTTGTACCACCAAATACCTATAAGTTGGGTGAATTCCTTTCCTCTTGAGGTTCCATGATAACTTGGGGTTCCTGGCCTGTCAGAAAGTGACATTCTTTACTTCCCACAGATCAGAAACCCTGTACAGGGACTTTGTACACAAAGTATTTGACCAGTTTTCCAAGGGCTTTATTGGCTCCATAAGTCAAGTTTGATTCTTTAAAGGAGAGCAAACCATTCCAGCCAAACCCTTGGTAAAATAACCAGTTTTTCCAATTGTGTCCTGTTACAAAAGAAAACAGATTCTTATTGCACTTATGCAAATAACTGTATTGCCATAAGTTAAGAATACTCACATATAGTTTCCAAATTCTGGAGAATCAGGTAGAAACAAATGTGCTCCAAATTTTTTTCATAAGAGTATAATTTACTTAATTTTTAAAAGCTGTTAATAGATCAAAAGTTTCCTTGACTCTGAAAAGCAAAACAAAGGATTAGCAAAATTTTAAGCAAAAAGCCAAAAAGATCACTTCAGTTTCCTATTAGTTCAGTTCATGCAGTTAATTCCTGTCCTGCTTGATATTAATGAACATTTTAGCTCTTCAAGAGTCCTGAACGTTGTTCCTCTATTCTGATATCACAATCTCCAAAGTTATCAGAAACCTGCATTTAAGAGCACCAGATAGAGCTTTATAGCTGATTATAAAACCACCTTCTAAAGAGGAGCAAAACAAGACAATAATTGTTTATGGATGACAAAAGGTTTTAGGGTAGCCATAGTTAAAGACACAATTGACTAGGATATCTGTTACCTCTGTGGCACACAATAATTTAACACAACAATTATGATTATTACTGATAATGTACACTAGAATATATCAGAATTACAGGAGTCTCCCATAATTTTGGAACACATACCAATAACATATTTATACAAATATACCCAAAGAAAACTAAATACCGTTTCATATTTGAAAATTATTTCTGTATAATTTTTATGCCAAATAAGCCAAACTTTCACCTTTACATTAGCATACTATTAATGTTAAACCCAATTCTTAATAAAATCTTATAGACATATTTACCCAATTTTAATGTTTGACCATAAGATTTTTACAGACCTTTTATAACCGTTTACAAATTTTGTTAAAGAGCAGGTTAGTGGCAGGACGTGGTGGCTCATGCCTGTAATCCCAGCACTTTGGGAGGCCGAGGAGGGTGGATCACAAGGTCAGGAGATCAAGACCATCCTG
This sequence comes from Homo sapiens, assembly GCF_000001405.40. Taxonomy (NCBI): domain Eukaryota; kingdom Metazoa; phylum Chordata; class Mammalia; order Primates; family Hominidae; genus Homo; species Homo sapiens. The sequence goes on from NC_000023.11 coordinate 111,558,035, forward strand.
GCCAACGTGGTGAAACCCTGTCTCTACTAAAAATACAAAAACTAGCCAGACGTCGTAGCATGTGCCTCTAGTCCCAGCTACTCAGGAGGCTGAGGCAGGAGAATCGCTTGAACCCAGGAGTTGGAGGTTGCAGTGAGCCAAGATTGCACCACTGTACTCCAGCCTGGGTGACAGAGTGAGACTCCATCTCAAAAAAAAAAAAAAAAAGAGCAGGTAGTGCTCTAAGGGAAACCCATTGTGCTTTTATTTTAATGCTCAATTTACAGAAAAACTGGATGATTGCCCTTTAACTTTAGCCAATATGTTTACACACAGAATTTCCTTTACAATCAACCTTCCACAGCTTGCTTAAACCTTCATCTTTATTTTATCCAACTTAAAATAATCCTTTAACCTTTTAATCTAGGCAAGAATCTACATTCTCATGCCTCCTTATAATCTTTTTACCAAAAGTATATTTTACTTTCCTTACACACCTTGCATGTAAACTTTTTCTTCAATAGTCTTAAATGCATGTTACACTGTTAACTCTGAGCAACCTTTACTTTTGGTGAAAACCTTGGTAAGTTTGGGATTTTAATTATGTACCAGGTGTGGAGCCTAGGACCTAGACAGAAGTGCAGATAAGGTCTGACTTATTTCAGCGTCTGACTCCACGTGTCCCAGGCTTTATCTAGAATTTAACACTCCAAAATAAATTGAACAATTTTTAAGTCAAAGAAGCAGTTTATGACCTAAAGCATTTAGCAAACCTAATATTTGACCTGCAAAATTTAGATCAAATGTTTACATTTTTGAAGATACTTTTATTTTACCAATAATCTTTAAAATTCTCTTTATTTTTATAACTTTCTTTGTATTTCTCTTATTTCCTAGTTTTGTTTACCTTGTTTTATATATAATCTTTAAATAAGCTTTGAATTAGACAAAAACTAGTTATCCCTTAAAAAGGAAAGCATTTTTAGAAAGAATGTTTTCCTACAATATATTTTTATTGGAAAATACCCAAATAATGAGATATCTGTTGTTTAATTTGATATAACTTCAGATTCTAAATTATGAGAAGTTTGTTTATGAGTATTTATCCCATTGTATTTATCTAATTATTTATTTTAATCATTTACCTGGATTATTTATGAAAACTGTGTAGTCATAATTTAAAATTATAAAACCACCATTGCAAAATTATAACTAAGACAGTGAAAATGATCTGAACTGACTCCATCTTGCTTCTAACCTAGAAGCTATTCTTGTTCATTAACTTAGTTTAGAGTTTAGCTTTGAAACAAAGGTGATAACAGTCCTTTCCCAGAACAAACTTCCTTCATGTCTGTGGACTAGCCTGCCTAAGGCCACAAGATTAGAAGTTAGGGTATTTAACTAAATAATTCAAGATATAGCTAACTTCCTTAAACCAATATTAATGTTTCATTTATTAAAAAATTACCCAAGCAAAGATCATTCTATTTGGGCTGAGTTATGGTTTTGTAGCCTCTATGCCAAATTTTGACACCTTATAGTATTTGGCAGAGATAAGTATGATATTGCTAAATCAATAAATGCAAACAAAAATGTATGCTGGTAACTCTTAAGGCATTTCTAATATTACTTTACCAATAATTTTTTTTTTTTTTTGAGACAGAGTCTCACTCTGTCACCCAGGCTGGAGTGCAGTGGCACGATAGTGGCTCACTGCAACCTCCGCCTCCCGGGTTCAAGCGATTCTCCTGCCTCAGCCTCGCGAGTAACTGGGATTACAGGCACCCACCACCACGCATGGCTAATTTTTGTATATTTAGTAGAGACAGGGTTTCACCATTTTGGCCAGGCTAGTCTTGAACTCCTGAACTTGTGATCCACCCGCCTCAGCCTCCCAAAGTGCTAGGATTACAGGCGTGAGCCACCGCGCCCGGCCTTTGCCAATACTTTTTAAAGCTAGCTTATTTATTAAAGATTTTAAGTCACATAAACTTGAAAAAGCATTTGACTAGTCTTTGCTGTTAAAGTATTCAAGTGCTTTTATTTTTCTTTGAGCCAATTAATTAGAACTCTTTTATATATTTTCAGTAGTGAAACATGATGTACACAAGACATAAATACATAGACGTACTAGACATGCCAACAGAAGTACATTTTATAGATTCAGGAGACCTCCTTTTTCTTATCTTTTAACTAGATCTTTGAGCTCTGGGCAGAGCCCACACTGAATCCTGGGTTTTTCAAAAGGGAAAATTATTGTGAGGCTAGACCACGTGATGCTTTTACAGTACACTTAAAAAAATTTTTTCCCAAAGATATTTCTAAATGTCTAAATTATAAATTTTTCTCAAAAACCCCAGAGTAGCTTCTGTTGTAATAGCTATTAATGAAGAAAACAGGATTCAGTCAACTAAGAAGAAAAAACTTTTGCTCAAAAAGACAAGGTCCTCCTAGGAGAGAAATAAACAAAAACAAAAACATGAAGGTCTTTTAAATACAAACATGCAAACATACATATACACATCCTGGATGTTAGCTTTAATTAGGCTGACTTTTAAACATTGAACTCCTAAAAAAATTTTTTTCCTTCCCAGAGGCCTCTCAGCAGGAATGGACCCAATATCTCCCATTTTCAATTTACATGGTATCAAAAAAAATAAGCAGATACACAAACAAGTGGAGACAAATTTTGGACAAGACAAAAGGGAGTGCATTCAGGCAAAACAGACTCAAAACCAACTCAAAACCTGATCTCAACCAAAATGCAAGGCAGGGGTATGAGCAAGCCCTATCACTTCCCTTGGTGGTACTGGACAAATGGCTTAACAAGCCCAGATAGGAAAAAAATAGGCTCCTGGCATACGATCCAGTTAACTCACCCTTTGAGCATGTCCACTCCTCATCATTGTTCTTCCCCAGTACAGAAAAGGACATGCAGATTTGCACATGGAACAGCCCTCCAGAGGGTCCCCAGGGGAAACCTCACCTGGTAGCTGCTGGATCCTCCTGAAGCCTGTCTCATCACAAGCTGCCAGCTGCTGAATGCAGCACTGTCCTTATCTACTGGCTGGCTCACCAAATTTGTTCCCGGACCAAACTGAGGGTTGAGTTGCTATTTCTCATGGCCCAATAACGAGATGGAGATGAACTGGGGAGGAAGAGAGTTTTTATTTATGTAACCAGTTATAGGGAGAAGGCCTGGAAATTGTCGCCAGACCAACTCAAAATTACAAAGTTTTCCAGAGCTTATATACCTTCTAGGCTATACGTCTACGTGTAAGTGTGCATTCATCTAAAGGCATAAGTGATTAACTTCTTTTAATCTATAACTAAGGTCTGGAGTCCTGAAGACATTCCTCTGGAGCCTCAGTAAATTTACTTAATCTAAATGGGTCCAGGTGCTGGGATGATTACCCTTACCTGCTACATCACGGAGGTTTGAGGAGTTCCTTCAGACCCCCAATAAACTTGTTTAATCCTAAATGGGTCCTGTTAAGAATTCCTTCATTATTTTGTCATGCTTTGAGGCCCAGGAAAGGCTGAGGCAAAACTCTTGGTAGGCTTTTGTTACATCCTAGCCTTTGTATAAGGGCACTGGCTTTTAATATTGAACTTAACCACTCAGTCAGTACTGAAATAGTTGTTAATGAGACCTGGCCTGCCACACTTTCACACATACGTTTTATCGTAGGATAATGTTTTAACACATAAGTTCACTGTGTTAAAAATCATAAGTATATTTTAGGATGTGGAGTTGATATTATAATCTTGGCTTTCCATGTTTAATCCTTTCTCTAATGCCTTTTGCACTCAATATTATCACTGAGGTGAATAACAACTGAGTGTACAAAAACAAATTGAAAGGGTGAAAAGGACAAAGATCAAGTTGAATATGAATATAGATAATCATATTTTAAATAGTATAATTAATTTAACATGTACAGTCTACGAAAAGATGCTGGCAGCAATACATCTGTCCTGGATTAAATCAAGAGAGCCCAGGGATAAGAAGTGACATTTAACAGAATTATTATTATAAGCATATCTTATTATTAAGATGAAAGAAGTTCACATTTTATCTGAACTTCTGGACACATACTGAGCAACTGCAAAAATGTTTAAACAAATAAATCACCAGAAGCCTTTCAATCAGCTTAATTCCCTTCAATTGGACAAGAGCTTAATAGAAAAATTCATCTTTACAGAGCCATCAGTATTTGAAAGCTAAATTCAGTTCGACAAATAAAAGAGATTAAATTCAAAGAAGAGCATAAGGCAAGGGTATAGCAACCAAGAGGTCTATTTGTGCACCAGTATTTTGAGTAAGCCTATGGAAAGGATGTTAAATCTTCAGTTCTAGATGGATAGATGGATAAGGATGTGGATAGATGGAAGAGCGCATTATAAAGCCAGTAAAGTAAAATGTAAATTATATAATACAGGTGGTGAGAATATGGATGTTCACTGTAAAATTCTTTCACCTTTTCTGTATGTCTGAACATTATCTTAACAAACTTGAAAATATGAAAAATCCTCAGTTCTGTATAACTCATAAAAACAGTAGCATATTTCCACTTTGACCATAAAAGATAGTGGTATATATGTGTACATGTGTGTGTTTTAACTGACATGCTAACCAACTTGCGGTACCTGTACTACATTTTCCACTCATTCCAACACTTTATACAATTTGGCATGTTGGACTGGAAAGGATAGTGGAGATGGTATTCCTTCATCATTGTAATTTACACTCACTCGCATGGGTATATAGGAGAGCATACACAAGACCAATCAGAAGAGAGTGTGCTGGAATCTCCATGTCATCAACCTTTATAAAAATGATTCCAGAGTTTCAGTTATCAGTCCATCAAATCAGAGCAATGGCAGAGTTCACCACCTGTATGGATGATAGATGGTCCATATTTCTTATCAGGGAAGAGACAATGAAAAGAAAACATTCCTCAAAAAAGTACATTTTACTTAGGATTTACTTGACAATGTATTCCATTATATGTTCATACCATCGAGGAAAAAAAGGGTCTCAAAAGCATAATTATCTATTCTTATGGAATATTACAAGTTCTTTATCTCTGGGATTAATAGTCAGGGCCCTATCTAAAGGCAATCTGGCTAGAGACATAGAAATAAATTTGAGAAATAGGGATTAGGTAGGGAGGCAAACCATCAGATGCAGTCAGGTATAAAAGTTCTGTGAAGGGAGAGTTTTTTTGGTTGTTTCTCTTCACTGCTGTACCCCCAGGACCTAAAACACAGCCTAGCGCATAGTGAGTGCTTGATAAATGCTTCATTGACTAATTCAATTAATGAATTCTCCTCAATTTATTAGATTGTAAACCCATTTATGACATTGCAATGAAGTGAATTGTGTCCCTTCCAAATTCCTACATCAGAGCCTTAACCTCCAATGTGATGGTATTTGGAGATGGGGCCTTTGGAAGGTAATTACGTTTAAATGTTTGGAAGGTAATTACGTTTACTCATGAGAGTAAAATCTTCATGTTGAGATTGGTGCCCTCATAAACAGAAATCATGGTGGTGCACAATTGTAGTCCCATCTACTCGGGAGGCAGAGGTGGGAGGATTGCTTTAGTCCAGGAGGTCGAGGCTGCAGCAAGCCATGATTGCACCACTGCACTGCACACTCCAGCCTAGATGACAGAGTTAGATCTGTCTCACAAAAAAAGAAGAAACCAGATAGCTTTCTCTCTCCCACCTGTGCCCCCATCCCACCATGTAAGAATACAGCAAGAAGGCAGTTGTCTGCAAGCCAGGAAGAAATTGTTCACTAGGGAACCAAATTGGCCAGCACCTTGCTCTTAGCCTTCCAGCTTTCAAAAGTGTAAGAAATTAATTGAGTTGTTTAAGTTGTTTAAACCATTCAGCCCATGATATTTTGTTATGGCAGCTTGAGCTGACTAATACAAGCATGAACCATGTATGTCTCTGATCAATTAAAAAGAACCAGACAGTCTAGTCCAAAGTAAATCGCCATATGTTAAAATTAGAATCCCAGTGAGATGCAATATTTCTTATCATACATTTGTTAAGATCTCATTCTCTCAGCTTCCAAATTATTAATTCAGTAAATTTAACAGCTTAGCACTCTGTACTAGATGTGGTGTGTATTTTGAAAAAGGAAGAACAAGGGGAATTTTTACTTCCAGATATTTAAGAGGCTTTTATATGCAATTATAGGCTTATAGTTATTATACTTTAACATGTACAATTTAATTGTTTTGATTATAGTCACCCTGTTGTACTATCATGTACTAGGTATTATTCACTACTTCACATTTTTTTTGGTAGTAATTAACCACCACCAGCTCCCCTGCTGCACACTTCACTACCCTTCCCAGCCTCTAGTAACCATCCTTCTACTCTTTCTCCATGTGTTCAATTGTTTTGATTTTTCCATGCCACAGATAAGTGAGAATATGCAATGTTTGTCTTTCTGTGCCTGGCTGATTTCACTTAACATAATAACCTCCGATTACATCCATGTTGTAGCAAATAACAGAATCTCATTCTTTTTTAATGGCTGAATAGTACTCCATTGTGTATAATTGCCACATTTTCTTTATCCATTCATATGCTGATGGACACTTAAGTTGCTTCCAAATCTTGGCTATTGTGAACAGTGTTGCAACAAATACGGGAATACAGATATCTCTTTGATATACTGAATCCCTTTCTTTGGGGTATATACCCAGCAGTGGGATAGCTGGATCATATGTTAACTCTACTTTTAGTTTTTTGAGAAACCTCCAAACTGTATTCCATAGTGGTTGTACTAATTTACATTCCCACCAATGGTGCATGAGAGTTTCCTTTTCTCCACATTTTCTCCAGCATTTGTTGTTGCCTTTCTTTTGGATAAAAGCCATTTTAACTGGGATGAGATGATATCTCTTTATAATTTTGACTTTCATTTATCTGATGATCAGTGATGTTGAGAACCTTTTCATATGTCTGTTTGCCATTTGCATGTCTTTTGAAGAATGTCTATTCAAATCTTTGGCCGATTTTTAAATCAGATTATTCAATTATTTTCCTATAGATTTGTTTGAGCTCCTTATATATTCTGGTTATTAATCCCTTGGCAGATGGATAGTTTGCAAATATTTTCTCCCATTCTTTGGGTTGTCTTCTCACTTTTTTGATTGTTTCCTTTGCTGTGCAGAAGCTCTTTAACTTGATGTGATTCCATTTGTCCATATTTGCTTTGGTTGCCTGGGCTTGTGGGGTATTACTCAAGAAATTTTGATATCTGCAGGGATGCTGGAACTAATCCTCTCACAGATACCAAGAGATGACTGTGTAAATTGTCCAAAATGCTAGCCACTAGTCACATATGGTTACTGAGTGAAAATTGACCACTGTGACTGAGGAACTGGATTTTAAATTTTATTTAATATTAATCAATTTAAATTCAAATAGCCACATGCGGTTAGTGACTACTGTGTTGGACATCAAAGCTTTAAAGGGAAGGCTGACATAAAGCAAAAGATCAAATAATAACAATATTAGATAACAGTTACTGAGAGGTCATATGTTAAGTTATGCTTACTGAGAGGTCATATGCTAAGTTATGTTCTAAGTACTGTACATGTAACAACTTTTTCAGACCTCATGATAACCCTATGAGCTAGGTACTACTACCACCTCCACTTTACAAGTGAAGAAACTGAAAAACAGAGAGGTTAAATAATTTGCCCGTGATACACAGTTACTAAATGGCAGAGCTAGGATTAGAACTCAAGTTACTTGGCTCCAGAAGCCATGCTCTTAATAATTTCACAAAACTGCTAATTAGTTAAATCATAACAAGTTCACAAAGCATAGCAGTCAAAGCTGGAGGTTAGCATGTCTAAGACCTACAGGGAACCCTGTCCCATTTTTCCCACTGGCTTTGACATAACAAAGGCAAACTGACATAACAAGGAGGTAGCTTTTTCAAATTACTTACATTTATTATGGAATTACTGAGCATAACAAAAGATTATCTAATATAAATTCTAATCTAAGTAAATATTCCTATTAATACACACCACAGTCAGGCATATTTCTTTGGGGCAAGGGTAAAAGGTACATTAACCTTTATCTTATGTTTAACATTTAGATTGGTGCCTGAAATGGCCCACTGGTTGCTTTTTAGGTATGGATGTGCTTTCCTCCTGTGGTTACTTAGGCCATCATTGTGGATGAGCTCTGGTACAAAGGCTCTTTTCAAAGCAAGCTCAAGAGTCTCCAGCTAGAGGCACAACATTCCAGCCTTAGAAGAGTGGAGGACCTGCATAAAGCCTTGCAGTGGAAACAAGTGCCATCAAGCTATGCATCCTGAGAGTTCCTAGACTTAGAAAACCTTAATATATTTGTGTGTGGTATACTAATTGAGTGCACAACTAGCTCTGTTATTCCCATCCTTCTGGTATAGGTTTCACATTTATGCAAATTAGGCATACCGTTAGATTGATGCTAAATGTGATAAGTGCCCTTCTGGCTATGCTATCCCCACCTGGGTATAGCTTTTGCAAATAGGTAAGTTAGGCAACCCTAATATTGATCCTGATTATATATAGTGACACTTGCTGGGTTGTAAGCAGCCCTTCTGTGTTGGTACTAATGAGGTATTGTGACCAGAGCTGGGACTTGGAATTATAATTCACACACACACACACACACACACACACACACACACACACACACTGCAATTACCAAGGAAAAGTTCTGGGTTTGAATAATTAGGTAGTTGATATATAGGAAATAAAGTATGTGATAGTTCTGGCACACGTGAGTTTGTAGACTGAGAATCATATCCGCTATAGTTAAAAAAACAAAACTAGAATAAACAACAGTAGTCCAACGTATACATGAAGAACACTGTGAAAGCAGAAGTGGTTTAGAGATTTGCAAGCTCAGAGTCAATGATACAAAGAGCAGGAAGGAGCCTTTGGGAATTTCAGCATAAATAATGGAGAGCTGTATTCAGAGCATCTTAGATAACTATGCCTCTGGGGGGCAGTTCTTATAAAATTTTGCTGCTGCCTTTTGCTCAGAATAAGTAGAAATAGTTAGCAACCACACCTATATACATTATCGGCACACCCCTTCTAGCCATATACTGTTTCTTCCCCATAATTATCAAAGGCAGGTTTACTTTACAAGCCAACATCTATAGACAGTCTAATAAAGAGTCTTGAAAACAAAGATAAACACACAAACAAGAAACACCAATTAATATTTGAACAACAGACAGCATGTAAGAAACCTACCACAATCTATAGACGCAAAAACTAACTTCTGAAGAAACATAGTAAATATAGCAAATGAAAAAAGACTTAAGTATAAGTAATGCTCTCAGAAGGATAAGAGAAGTGATCACACCCATGAGCAAGGAAAATGCTGATGTGAAACAGAACCAATAATAGGTCCTGGAAACTACATAAATGAAGAATAACCAAAATAAAGAACACAATGGATATATGAAATAAAAGTAAAATTCTAAGCCCCCCAACCAACTGAATGGACCCCTCTTGGCCAAGAAAACCACAGAAAAACTTCTAAAATTTAGTTTCCTGGCCATGACGAGATGGGAGGTTAATCTCAGCATATCCACTTCCTCAATAACCATCACTAGACTTTTTTTCATAAGGGTTAAGCAGAAACCAGCCCTAGAAAGCAAAGAACAGAAGACTGTCACCTGACTAACGGCCTGATGCTGCAGCCAGACTCCCCTCCCTTTTCACGGTTTTGACGTGACAGCTGATCAGCTTACAAAGCATTCCTTCTTGATAAATGACCATCAGCCATGGACTGGTTCTAGTCAATTTATGAAGGCTGAGCACAAAGCACTTTTGTGCCCTAAGTTTCACCTTTTTGATGTATAGAGCTTAATTTTATTTCATTTTAATGTTGTCTCCACTCCAAAGTGAACATGGGATGTATGTGACATGTATGATCACTTATCATGCATGTGTGTGACACCTTTTCATGAATATTCATAGCTCCTCCTATAACCTGTTAAATATGTATGTTTAGCCAACCTGTTTAGCATAAAACTCCTGTCCCACCCTTCCTCCCTCCAAGTACTTGCTTTCAATCTCAACCGGAGGCTCTGCTTCCCAGCCTGCAGGTTGCAACCCTTCTCAGAAATAAAGTTCTCATTTCCAAATTTATAGATCTCATGATTTTAAGTTGACATAATTGGTGATGAGGACGACATCCGCAGAGATTCCCTGGGTTCCCTGCAGTGTGATTGGAGTCAATGCACCAGTGCCTGCAAAAGCCCATTGACAGCTCAGTTGTCTCCCGATTCACATTGATAGTGACCCTGGTAAGCTCTCCCTGGATCTAAGATTTCCTGCTTTTAGGCTGAGGTCCGAGAGATTTTCTTTCTTTCTTCTGATCTCCTCCATCTGGATCCTGGAGGAGACTTCTAGGTTGGCCCTGGGTTTCTAAGAGAGTGGCCTTTTCAGCTGGATTCAGCTGGTCCATCAGTATTGGCCAGGATGCTCTCCCTCTAGTGGCACTTGAAGGGATGCCTTCAGTAAGTAAGTGCTGTTTTCGGGAATGTAGGTTCTAAGGGGACATTCCCTGGCCAACCGCCATCAGGAACTCCGGTTGCTTACATGTTAAGAACTATGAATTCTTGTGAATATTTGGGATCCTAGATAAAACTAACCTGGGATGATTTAAAGCTTTGTTGACCACAATGGGGGTCTTAGGAGATTTCTAGATTAGTTTATCTGCATGCTCAATTGGAAGAAAGAGGATATTACACCTCCCAAAAACAATGAGGATTATTCTATAATTAGTATTTCGAGACTTCTAAAAGAAAGAATAATTTGAAATTAAACAAAAGACTCCATGAACTAGAAAAACCTAAAGAAAATCACACATGCAAAAAATTTACTGAGTCAACTCCTCTTCCTTTTTCTGTTCCTACCTCTCCTCCCCATTCTCCCTCTCTAACTCCTCCTCTCACCTCAGCTCCTCCCCCTCCTATGGCCCCTGAGGCCTTTCTCCCTTCTCCTCCCATATACCCATTCTGTCATATACCCAGACCCCTCTCAGCTACCCCTTTATTCCTCTTACTCAGCAGGTGTGTCCTCCCAAACTCCCTCAGGATTATGGGAGGTGATAGTAATGCTAACAGGTCAGGGTTTGTTCCCTGGAGAAAATCTGAGCTTCTGATGCTTACAAAGAACTTTCCCAATCCCCGATTAAACTCTTTAGACTTTGCTAGCCAATTTAATATGCTAATTACTACCTACCAGCCTGCATGCCCAGACCTCTATCATTCAGGATTACATGGAGCTACTGGTGTCCTGGTTGGGCAGTATGGCCCCAGCTGGGCCACAGGAATCCCTTGTCAGATTGCTAATTTGGCTGGCCACCAGGCAGAAATCATAGAGAGGAAGAGTTCGGGAGAGAGGTGCTTCCCATCTGGTGTTGCTACAATTGTGGCAGCTTCACGTGGATCTTCAGACACCTTGGATGCCAACCGGTTCTTTGTCCCAGGAGACTAGCATATCTGCTTCTTTTGTGTAGCACCCTGAGTATATTGAGAAGGGCTGCCATGAATATTAATGATGGCTGCAGTTGAAACCTGGCAAGGCTTATCTACCTAGACCTTCGGAGTGGCTGTGGGGCTGCTACCAGGAAATTTCGGGGACATTTCTTGTACTCAGGGCTGGTGCTATGGGAGAGCTGGAGGTTGCTGTCACCTATGAGACCATGCAGTTTTGGAGGTAGTTGACAACAGTTGTTTATGGTTTATAGTTGTCTCTGCGGGTGGCTGCTTGTTTCTTTGCATGTCTGTATAGGAAGGGCATGGTCTGAACGCTTTGAAAGATATCTTTATAGTAGGGTGTGCTGTGAAGACATTATGCAGCCCGGTCCCATGGCATTTCTCTTTTTGGGGGGACCTGAGATTCAGTGTAGAAGTCCTTGATTTTAAAGGTCTGGATGTTCTCTGCCTTTCAACTGTATTTTCTTTTCACATATTTAAATTATTGAGCCCTAAAAGCCACAAGGACTTTCTTGGCCCTGTTCCTTGATAGGCTCTGCCCTGAAATCAGTGATCCACTTGAAGAAACAGACTAAATTAAAAAGCTACCTATCCATATGAACTTGGTCTCCTTATGTAATCCTATGGTGAATTCCTGTGAATTTTTGTTGTCTTGGCATCCATTTTTGGTCTTCTGCTAGCACACCCACACTCCTTCTTGGAGGGACTTAGATTCTCTCTTTCTCTCTCTCTCTGTGTGTGTGTGTGTGTGTGTGTGTGTGTGTGTGTGTGCTTTGAAATGTGGATTACTATCCTGTTTTTTTCTGAGACTTGGTGAGGACTTAGACCATGTGGGACAAGTGTACATTGACTTCTTTTTGTTTGCAGGGGCACAATTTGAATCCAGCTATCATTTTGGACTGGTGAGTTTTGCCAGTCTCATAGCTATAGTTTTGAAATTGGGGCTATAGAGTCTTTGTTATCTGTTTGTATCTTTACGTGTGCATATGTGTGTATCTGTTTGTGAACTGTCTCTATGGACTTATAAATAACTGAGCACTCATAAGTTAGTCCAAATGCTTTTAAGTTCATGTTATTTTAGTAATCTTTAGTAAATAAAGTTTTTAAATTGTTGGTAAAATAAAAACATTTTCAAAATTTAATTTAGACATTTTTGCCTGTGTCTATTGGAAGGCAGGTTTATGCTATCTATGATAGATGTTTTAAGGTCATAAAACATCTATGTTTTGATTCTATGATATATTTGAGACTTGCTTAATTTGTCTGTAAGTTTATATCTTTGGATTTGAGCATTTAGATTCTAAGGTCTAGCTAAGTGGCCCTGGCGAGGACTGGAGAGGTACTGGAGCCGATCCTCCCTGACCCAGCTGTGCCTCCTGGACATACCAGGAGAAGTTGGATTCTCCAGGCATTGTCTTCACAGCTCCATCTTTTGTCCTACGATCTGCATCTAGTAAATAATTAAAATTGTCTACTTAGGTTTTTCAGTAAAAACAAGGATTACTAAGAGTTAACATTGTAATTAATATATACAATTAAAACTACTATAGATAAGAGAAACAGTTATATATACAAAGTGTATGAAGAAAATAGGATTTTTTTTTGGAGGGAAGGTTATAAGAAGTGATAAGAATCTGGTTCATTTTAAAAGAAAAGTAACTTGGTCTGGAGTAGGTATTTTTAAATGTTCTAAGTTGAAGGAATAAAAAGGAATGATAGATAAAATTGAGTGAATATGGAAAGTTGGAGAAAAACAGAATGGAAAAATTGTAATAAGTTATAAAAGGTTTATGGAAGTTTTATTTTTTGTGGTCAAAACTGAATGATATTGGATAAATCTTTTACAAGATGTCACTAAGATTAGATTTAGTATTAATAATATACTGAAGCAAAGATAAAATTTAGCATTGCCTTTGGAACAAGACTTTCATGTAGTATTAATAAGAGCAAAAGGCCTGGCAAGGTGGCTCATGCTTGTAATCCCAGCACTTTGGGAGGCCGAGATGGGCGGATCACGAGGTCAGGAGTTCAAGACTAGCCTGACCAACATGGTGAAACCATGTCTCTACAGAGCAAGACTCCGTCTCAAAAAAAAAGAGCAAAAGATTTTTGGTAACCTTCTGAGTAAACTTCAAAAAAAAGAAGGGGGAGAGGAAAAGACATGCAGTTTGCCTCATGCTATCTTTATTAGGTATTGTGATTGTTTGGGAAATGGAGTCTGCTCTATCGAAGAGTAAAATTTTGCTTTTTGAAACCTTGTGAATTATTACTTTGGCTAAATAAGTAATTATTACTTTACAGTGACCTGTGATCATATATATATATAATTTTTTGAGACAGGGTTTCATGCTGTTGCCTAGGCTGGAGTGCAGTGGCACAACCTTGGCTCACTGCAATCTCCGCCTCCCAGGTTCAAGTGACTCTCATGCCTCAGCCTCCAAAATAGCTGGAACTACAGGCACACACCACCACACCTGAGTAACTTTTATATTTTTAGTATAGATGGGGTTTTGCTATGTTGAGCAAGTGGTCTTGAACTCCTGACCTCATGTGATCTGTTGGCCTCAGCCTCCCAAAGTGCTGTGATTACAGGCATGAGCCACCATGCCTGGCCTGTGATACTACTTTGATCAAGTGTTTTAAAACTTTGATATTTGACACTTTCATATTTTATTTTCATATTTTAAATTCAGTCTTTTTGGACCTCAAACTAATTTGTTGGATATTAAGGCAGCTGGAAGTACAAGAAAGACATATTGGGCTTATTTAATATGTTAAAACCATACAGGAAACATTGTCTATTAAGAAATCATGTTTAACTTTCTTTGAGTTATATTTCTATAAAAGTATTATTAATATGTGTCAAAAAATTGTATGAGATTCCTAAAAATTCTGATATGTCTTGGTATATATGATCAGTAATAATTATAATTATCATGTTAAATTGTGGTATGTCACAGAAATGACCAGGTTTTTTTTTACTAATTGCTTTTTTTTTTTATTATTATACTTTAAGTTTTAGGGTACATGTGCACAATGTGCAGGTTAGTTACATATGTATACATGTGACATGCTGGTGCGCTGCACCCACTAACTCCTCATCTAGCATTAGGTATAGCTCCCAATGCTATCCCTCACCCCTCCCCCCACCCCACAACAGTCCCCAGAGTGTGATGTTCCCCTTCCTGTGTCCATGTGTTCTCATTGTTCAATTCCCACCTATGAGTGAGAATATGCGGTGTTTGGTTTTTCGTTCTTGCGATAGTTTACTGAGAATGATGATTTCCAATTTCATCCATGTCCCTACAAAGGACATGAACTCATCATTTTTTATGGCTGCATAGTATTCCACAGTGTACATGTGCCACATTTTCTTAATCCAGTCTATCGTTGTTGGACGTTTGGGTTGGTTCCAAGTCTTTGCTATTGTGAATAGTGCTGCAATAAACATATGTGTGCATCTGTCTTTATAGCAGCATGATTTATAGTCCTTTGGGTATATACCCAGTAATGGGATGGCTGGGTCTAATGGTATTTCTAGTTCTAGGTCCCTGAGGAATCGCCATACTGTCTTCCACAATGGTTGAACTAGTTTACAGTCCCACCAACAGTGTAAAAGTGTTCCTATTTCTCCACATCCTCTCCAGCACCTGTTGTTTCCTGACTTTTTAATGATCGCCATTCTAACTGGTGTGAGATGGTATCTCATTGTGGTTTTGATTTGCATTTCTCTGATGGCCAGTGATGGTGAGCATTTTTTCATGCGTTTTTTGGCTGCATAAATGTCTTCTTTTGAGAAGTGTCTGTTCATGTCCTTTGCCCACTTTTTGATGGGGTTGTTTGTTTTTTTCTTGTAAATTTGTTTGAGTTCATTGTAGATTCTGGATATTAGTCCTTTGGCAGATGAGTAGGTTGTGAAAATTTTCTCCCATTTTCTGGGTTGCCTGTTCGCTCTGATGGTAGTTTCTTTTGCTGTGCAGAAGCTCTTTAGTTTAATTAGATCCCATTTGTCAATTTTGGCTCTTGTTGCCATTGCTTTTGGTGTTTTAGACATTAAGTCCTTGCCCATGCCTATGTCCTGAATGGTAATGCCTAGGTTTTCTTCTAGGGTTTTTATGGTTTTAGGTCTAACGTTTAAGTCTTTAATCCATCTTGAATTGATTTTTGTATAAGGTGTAAGGAAGGGATCCAGTTTCAGCTTTCTACATATGGCTAGCCAGTTTTCCCAGCACCATTTATTAAATAGGGAATCCTTTCCCCATTGCTTGTTTTTGTCGGGTTTGTCAAAGATCAGATAGTTGTAGATGTGCAGCGTTATTTCTGAGTGTTCTGTTCTGTTCCATTGATCTATATCTCTGTTTTGGTACCAGTACCATGCTGTTTTGGTTACTGTAGCCTTGTAGTATAGTTTGAAGTCAGGTAGTGTGATGCCTCCAGCTTTGTTCTTTTGGCTTAGGATTGACTTGGCGATGCGGGCTCTTATTTGGTTCCATATGAACTTTAAGGTAGTTTTTTCCAATTCTGCGAAGAAAGTCATTAGTAGCTTGATGGGGATGGCATTGAATCTATAAATTACCTTGGGCAGTATGGCCATTTTCACGATATTGATTCTTCCTACCCATGAGCATGGAATGTTCTTCCATTTGTTTGTGTCCTCTTTTATTTCCTTGAGCAGTGGTTTGTAGTTCTCCTTGAAGAGGTCCTTCACGTCCCTTGTAAGTTGGATTCCTAGGTATTTTATTCTCTTTGAAGCAATTGTGAATGGGAGTTCACTCATGATTTGGCTCTCTGTCTGTTATTGGTGTATAAGAATGCTTGTGATTTTTGTACATTGATTTTGTATCCTGAGACTTTGCTGAAGTTGCTTATCAGCTTAAGGAGATTTTGGGCTGAGACAATGGGGTTTTCTAGATATACAATCATGTCATCTGCAAACAGGGACAATTTGACTTCCTCTTTTCCTAATTGAATACCCTTTATTTCCTTCTCCTGCCTAATTGCCCTGGCCAGAACTTCTAACACTATGTTGAATAGGAGTGGTGAGAGAGGGCATCCCTGTCTCGTGCCAGTTTTCAAAGGGAATGCTTCAGTTTCTGCCCATTCAGTATGATATTGGCTGTGGGTGTGTCATAGATAGCTCTTATTATTTTGCGATACATCCCATCAATACCTAATTTCTTGAGAGTTTTTAGCATGAAGGGTTGTTGAATTTTGTCAAAGGCCTTTTCTGCATCTATTGAGATAATCATGTGGTTTTTGTCTTTGGTTCTGTTTATATGCTGGATTACGTTTATTGATTTGCGTATATTGAACCAGCCTTGCATCCCAGGGATGAAGCCCGCTTGATCATGGTGGATAAGCTTTTTGATGTGCTGCTGGATTCGGTTTGCCAGTATTTTATTGAGGATTTTTGCATCAATGTTCATCAAGGATATTGGTCTAAAATTCTCTTTTTTGGTTGTGTCTCTGCCCGGCTTTGGTATCAGGATGATGCTGGCCTCATAAAATCAGTTAGGGAGGATTCCCTCTTTTTCTGTTGATTGGAATAGTTTCAGAAGGAATGGTACCAGTTCCTTCTTGTACCTCTGATAGAATTCGGCTGTGAATCCGTCTGGTCCTGGACTCTTTTTGGTTGGTAAGCTATTGATTATTGCCACAATTTCAGCTCCTTATATTGGTCTATTCAGAGATTCAACTTCTTCCTGGTTTAGTCTTGGGAGAGTGTATGTGTCGAGGAATTTATCCATTTCTTCTAGATTTTCTAGTTTGTTTGCATAGAGATGTTTGTAGTATTCTCTGATGGTAGTTTGTATTTCTGTGGGATCGGTGGTGATATCCCCTTTATCATTTTTTATTGCGTCTATTTGATTCTTCTCTCTTTTTTTCTTTATTAGTCTTGCTAGCGGTCTATCAATTTTGTTGATCCTTTCAAAAAACCAGCTCCTGGATTCATTAATTTTTTGAAGGGTTTTTTGTGTCTCTATTTCCTTCAGTTCTGCTCTGATTTTAGTTATTTCTTGCCTTCTGCTAGCTTTTGAATGTGTTTGCTCTTGCTTTTCTAGTTCTTTTAATTGTGATGTTAGAACAAAGACACAACATACCAGAATCTCTGGGACACATTCAAAGCAGTGTGTAGAGGGAAATTTATAGCACTAAATGCCCACAAGAAAAAGCAGGAAAGATCCAAAATTGACACCCTAACATCACAATTACTCATTGCTTCTTTAGTTATGGCTATTCCAAGTCTTTTTTCATCCAGAGACAATTATTGTTTTACTTTGGGTCTTCTGAAAAACCTGTTTAGAAATAGCCACAGTCCAACATTTACTTCTTCAAGAAAATTTGTGGAAAAGACCCTGACAAGTACTCTTGAATACAGGTTTCTGATAACTTTAAAGTTCATGCCATTGGACTAGATAAAAACTGCCAGTACTAGTTAAAAAGCTGGTGTGTTCATCAAGATTGATAACTCAACGTCATGGAAAACAAGAGTTAATTACATGAAACTAAACTGATAGAAGACCAAAATGCTTTTCTGAGTAACTTTTTGTTTGATACATTGCTGATTCTTTTTATGTTTTGTTTTCCAGAGTCAAGAGAGCAAAACTGAAACATTTACCTATCTCTTTACCTAATTTATCCAGAATTTGGAAGCTATTCTTTAGTATTCTTAATTTATGGCAATATAGTTATTTGCATATGTTCAATAAGAATTTGTTTTCTTTTGAGACATGACACAATTGGATACACTGGTTATTTTGCCAGGGCTTTGACTGGAATGATATATTTTCAGTTATGACCAAACTGCTTTGAGGAATTGAAGTTGACTTTATAGAGCCGAAAAAGCCTCTTGAAAATACTGACCTGCTACTTTATCAACACAGTTCTTTACTAGGTTTCTGACCTTGCAGTAAGTAAAAATTGTCACTTTCTGGCAGACCCGGGAACCTCAGGATATTATAGGACCTCCAAAAGGGAGTAATTTGCTGGATTCATACAGGTATTACAAAGTCTGATGGTGAATCCTTAGCTTGGATTCCTAGTCTGAAGCCTTTTAAAAGTCTAATCTGAGATTCCTTTTAAAAAGGTTCCAGCAGGTTGTGTGCAGTGGCTCACGCCTGTAATCCCAGCACTTCAGGAGGCCAAGGTGGGTGGATCACTTGAGGTCAGGAGTTCAAGACCAGCCTGACCAACATGGTGAAACCCCGTCTCTACTAAAAATACAAAAATTAGCTGGCTGTGGTAGCACATGCCTGTAATCCCAGCTACGAGGGAGACTGAGGCAAAAGAATTGCTTAAACCTCAGGGGCAGAGGTTGTAGTGAGCAGAGATCGCCCCACT
This sequence comes from Homo sapiens, assembly GCF_000001405.40. Lineage (NCBI taxonomy): Eukaryota > Metazoa > Chordata > Mammalia > Primates > Hominidae > Homo > Homo sapiens. Next base: position 111,576,906 of record NC_000023.11, read on the forward strand.
GCACTCCAGCATGAGCAACAGAGTGAGACTCCATCTCAAAAAAAAAAAAAAAAAAAAGGGGGGGTTCCAGAAAGTCAGCTTTAAGGGAGGTCTTTATGGCCAATCATTATTCTTGCTGCAACTTATGCAAATAACCCCTGATAAAAATTTAAAACCAGGCGGGGCGCCATGGCTTATGCCTGTAATCCCAGCACTTTGGGAGGCCAAGGCAGATGGATCACTTGAGGTCAGGAATTCAGGAGTTCAAGACCAGCCTGGCCAACATGATGTAACCCTGTCTCTATGACAAATACAAAAATTATCCAGGCATGGTGGCACATGCCTGTAATCCCAGCTACTCAGGAGGCTGAGGCAGGAGAATGGCTTGAACCCAGGAGGTGGAGGTTGCAGTGAGCTGATATCACACCCCTGCACTCCAGCCTGGGCAACAGAGCGAGACTCCATCTCAAAAAAAAAAAAAAAAAAAAAACAAACAAAAAAAAAAAAAAAAACCTAGAAAGAAAAAAATATGTTTTACAAAAAAAACTATAGTAGACCTGTTATTAGATTCTAGCCTTGCCCATGGTTTTTGAGTCTTTAACAATAAAATTGCCTATGGTTTGGACTGAATCCTGAATTCTTTCCTGGATACAAGTCCCCAAACTAATGTTTCTAAATTTTTCTTAGAGTTTTCTGGCGTGAAATCACCAGAAATTAAAACTGTGTTTTTCTTGAAGCCCTGCAAACTGAAGCTAAACAACTTCATATAAATTTCAGGAAAAATCACCACAGTAGTTTATATTTAAACAGCCTTTGTGCCTACTACAAAATGGGCTGGTCAGAAAGTTCAGTTGAACAACTGATTCAAGCTACAATCCAGAAAAATCTGTCAGATTGCTACAGCAATCTGAAGATGCTTCAAAGACTCTAGAAAAACTAGTTTATAGACTACTTGGGGCATTAACCTTTGTTTTTCTTCTGTTTTCATAGAGGTGCCTCTTATTAAAGATCTGTTTGTCTGCATCATATATAGGGATCTAGCTCACCTGCAATGCCATCTCATGGAACAGGACACAACTGTTTAACCGAGCTGTTCTATTCTTAGGACTAAGAGACTAATTAATGGAGATATGAGATGATATATTTAAATGTAATCTTTTCTTTTTATCCCTATTTGTCTTTCCCTCTCCTTTGTCTATCTTTTATCTAACAATCTCTAACCCAAATCACTCCAAAACTATAAACATGGCTTTTATGTGAAACATTTTATAGTTTCCAAGTGGGGACTGAGGGAAATCAAAATATTTTACCACAAAATATATTTATTTGACATATTTTGAGATGGCTGTTCAGAGAGCCAGAAAGCAGAAGTATCCCTGCAAAGCTGTCCTTTATGGGAGAGATTTTCATCTATACAGCCTCTTCATTGATGCTTGCTAGGCCTTCTCTTGTCTGGACCTAGGAAATATTAACTGAGAGTCTGACACCTTTCAGGGTCTGAAAGAAACATTTACCATTTATTCTCTTTGAGGGCTCCTACCTGTGAGGTTCCATTTACATAGCAAGACCACCTTTACTAGCTAGGCTTCCTCTTCTCTTGCTCCCATAACCGGTCTCACCTCTATACTCTGATTTATCACAACACCTAGTTTTGGTCATGTTCGAAGCCCCCAGTCCTTTCTGTAACCTCAGAATGGTATATAAGTTTCTGCATCCCATTGGAGCATTGAATTAATCACTCTGGTTCTCCTCCTTATGCACATTAATAAATTTATATTCCATTTCTCCTGTGATTCTCCTTTTGTGAGTTGATTTTTCAGCAAACTTTCAGAGGGCAAATGGAAAGCTTTCCCTGGGACCCTCCACCTTCATGTACATCAGAATAGTCTCAAGTAAAAAATAATTACTATTCCATGGATGCCACTATCACTTGGGAAAACTTTTGCCTATTTTGCAACTGATTTCTAAGCCAGTTTATGAGTCACACAAAAAAAGTTAAAAAGAAAATTTATAGTCATACCTCATATATAACTGATGGAAATTTTTAATCAGTATACAGGTCGTACTTATGGTTATAAAAGCTAAGGACATGGGAGCAGATTCAATGAAAATGATTAAAGTGCACAATTAATTCTGAGTAAATTAGCAAACGCCTAGACTCAGTCATTGATAAATTGTGGTATAAGAAATTGGCATTGAACCTGGCTGAATAATGTGCCTAAGTGAAACTTCATGGTATTATTGTGAGTGAAAATGGTAACTGAGCTTTAAAAAAATCTGTATACTATGAAATGGAAAATCCTAAAATAACCTGTAAAACAAGTAGGCTAAAAATTATGCCACCATTTTGCTGCGCTTTCACAGATAACATCACATCAGAAATCACAGAACAACAAATGGAGTGTTTAATCAGCCTTACAATATGATCTCAATGTTCTCATTGTGATGCCTTTTGCTTTACCACCCATGTGATTCAAAGGATTTTTGTCTATAGAAGAGTTGCCACTCTAGATCTTCTTTGTGGTTGATGAAAGTGTTTTCAAACTAGATAGAGGTAATGGTTGCACAACATTGTGACGCAGTAAATTTCACTGAATTGCACTTTTTTAAGTGGTTAATTTATGTTACATGAATTTCGCCTGATTTTTTTTTAAAAACTACCACTTGCTGAACATCTATGTTTTATGTACTTCATTTGGCCTTAATATACAGCATCCTATTCTCCCAACAACCCTGAAAGATGGAGATTATTATCTCTATTTTCCAGAAGAAGAGTATGGGGAACACACTCAGACCACAGCATCTCTTATCAGATATATGATTTGAAAATATTTCTCCCATCCATAGGTTGCCTTTTTACCCATTTGATTGCTTCTTTTTTGCACAGAAGTTTTTAAGTTTGATGCAGTCCTATTTGTCCATTTTTGCTTTTGCAGCTTGTGCTTTTGGTGTCATATTCAAGAAATCATTGCCAAATACAATGTCATGGGATATCTCCCTATGTTTTCTCTAGGAGCTCTGAAGTTTCTCTAGGACCTCCAAATAGGTCCTACCTCCTAATACTGCCATATTGGGAATCAAAGTGAATGTAAGGCCTTACATTTAGGTCTTCAATCCATTTTGAGTTAATTTTTGTATATGATGTAATTTCCATTTCCATGTGGATATACAGTTTTCCTAACATGATTTGTTGTAGAGACTATCCTTTTCCCATTGCATAGTCTTGGCGCTCTTCTCAAAGATCATTTGAGAGCCCGTTCTGGGCTCTCTATTCTGATTCACTGGTCTGAATGTCTGTTTTTTATTACTGTAGCTTTGTAATATGTTTTGAAGTCAGGTAGTATGAGGCCTCTAACTTTGTTCTTTCTCAATATTGTTTTGGCTTAGCAGAATCTTTTGAGAATCCATGCAAATTTTAGATTTTTGTTTTAATTTCTGCAAAAAAAATGTAATTGGGATTGCTAGGGATTGCGTTGAATCTGTAGATTACTTCAGGTAATCTGGACATTTTAATAACATTATGTTTTCTAATCCATGGAAACAGGATTTATTTCCATTTATTTGTGTCTTCTTTAATTTATTTTATTAATGTTTTACAGTTTTTAGTGTACAAGTCCTTTTTCCTTAGTTTATTCCTAAGTATTTTATTCTTTTTGGTGCTATTGTTAATGGGATTATTTTCCTAATTTGCTTTTCAGATTGTTCATTATTAATATAGAGAAGTGCACCTGATTTTTTTATGTTGATTTTTGCATGTTGATTTTTGTATCCTGCAACTATTGAATTCATTTACTAGTTCTAAATTGTTTTGTGGAGTCTCTAGGGTTTTCTACATAACAAGCATGTCATTCTGTGAACAGAATTTCACTTTTTTCTTTCCAATGTGGCTGCCTTTATTTCTTTTTCTTGCCTAATTGTTCTGGCCAGGACTTCCAGTCCTGTGTTGAATACAAGTGGTGAGAGTTGGCATCTCTCTTAGCCCATTTTGTGTTGCTTTAACAGAATACTTGAGGTGGGGTAACTCACAAAGAAAAGAGGTTTATTTATCTTACAATTCCAGTGGCTGAAAAGTCCAAGAGCATGGCACTGGCATCTGCTTGGCTTCTAGTGAGGGCCATGTGCTGTGTCAAGACATAGTGGAAAAGCAGAAAGGTAATTGGGAATGTGCAAAGAGGCATGCAGGAGAGGCTGGTCTTGCTTATGACAACCTGCTTTCTCAGGGAATAATCCATTCTGGTGAGAGTGAGAATCCACTCACTCCTAAGAGACAGACAGCATTGATCTATTCATAAGGGCAGCTCTCCCTTGATCCAAAAACCTCCAAATATGTCCTACCTCCTAATACTGCCATATTGGGAATCAAAGTTCAACATGAGTTTTAGCAGGGGCAAACCACATCTAAACCACAGCAGCATTCTTGTCTTGTTCCTCATCTAAGAGAAAAAGCTTTCAGCTTCTCACCGCTAAGTATGATGTTAGTGGTGGGGTTGGCGTTGATGACCTTGATTATGTTGAAGTAATTTTCTTCTATTCTTGTTTTGTTGAGTGTTGGAAATTGAAAGGAAGAATTTTGTCAAATTCTTTTACTGCATCAGTTGAGATGATCATGGGATTTTTGTCCTTTGCTCTGTTGATATGGCATATTGCATTGGTTGATTTTTTATGTGAACTATCCCTGCATCCTAGGGATAAATCCCATTTGTTCATGATGTATAATCTTTTTAATGTGCTATTAAATTATATGTGCTAGTATTTTATTGAGGATTTTTGTATCAATATTTATCAATACTTGTCTTGTAGTATTTTTGCCATTAAGGTAATGTTGGCCTCATAAAATGGGTTTGAAAGGATTCCCTTCTCTTCAATCTTTTGAAAGAGTTATCCACATATTTAAATTAAAGAAATAGAATATTATAAATAATATTAAAGTGCATTACATGCATTAAGGGTAAAAATAATTTTATGAGGCTTTTGTTTTAGTTTTATAAACATAGATGTATGCACATGTGTGTGCACATATGTATGTTCCTCTGTGTGTGTGTGTGCATGTGTTGGGTAATAATGTGTAAAGCGTTTTCTTACTGAGGGTTGTATTATAAGTTACTCATAGTAATGTCATTTCTCTTGCCAAAATTTGGTTTATGAATGGGTAGGTGATGAAATTCTATACAATGAGACATGAAAAGAGTCTGTTAACTGAAGAAGTTATCTATTTTAATTTTATTTTTATAGTTTAAAAAGGACATAAGGAACCGAAGCATTCTTTTGTTCTCATCCAGGCTTTAGGTTCTTTTGGTGAGTAGACGATATCTGAAGTGCTGCACCCACATTATGACTATGTGGTAAGTAACCAGTTTACTAAAGGTAGCAGATTGGAAAATCACAATGGATCTGGGTATTAATGACATTGTTAAATCTCTCCAGCAACCACTCCTGAAACTGCCCTGCACTCCAGATTTCCTGTTACGTAAGAAGAAAGAAATTTGTTTCCTTGTTGTTTAGCCACTTTTTTTTCATTTCTTTTTTTTTTTATATACTTTAAATTCTAGGGTACATGTGCACAAAGCGCAGGTTTGTCACATATGTATACATGTGCCATGTTGGTGTGCTGCACCCGTTAACACGTCATTTACATTAGGTATATCTCCTAATGCTATCCCTCACCCCTCCCCCCTTTTAATTAGATTTGTAATTCCCGTTTCATTTGATGTTAAGTGCATCAATAATATAGATATTTAATTTGTCTTTATAGTCCCCACATCACTTGTACATATTTGGTCATCTAGAAATTTTGATGATTGGAATTCAATCTTATTGTGATCAACAACAGCAGGGTGCCAATGTAGAGTGTTTCTGAAATTTCATCACAGGTGTTGCAATGTTTTTGATTAAAAATAATATTGATCTGCTTATTTTTAGAGAAAAAAGATCCCCAGTACAAAGACTAGGTTTTGTGTATGCAGAAAGCTAAAACTGAGTCAAAATAATTGAGGAGCTATCATGTGTTAAGCATCACTGAATGCAATTATAAAATGCCTAAGACTGTCTCTATTCTCCTAATTTTAATCTCTTTTGTAAATTAAATGGCCTTGATGATTAACCACTGTATGCTCAGTGTCTAGAACAGTCCTTGGCACTAGTAGGTGCTCAGTATCTATTTGTCAAATTAATTAAATAAATATAATAAAACAATTTGACACATGATTTAAATAATAGTAGGAGTGATGTCACAAAGTAGTGAACAATTAATTGCCAAATGAACAGTATAGACAAGTGTGTGCCCTTCCATTTTTTTGTTTTTTTGTCATCTGCATTTATATTTTTCTCTACATTACATCATAGTATTTTTTCAATATGTGTACTGATTTACTTGCTATTATATACTTAGCAGATGAATAAACAGGAAGGGCTTTTAAGCTGAAAGGTGTATAAAAATTAATATTTTATGATTTCTCATTTTACAAAGAAATAAATTAAGTCGTGGAGGGGTTTAATAATTTCCCAATGAGATGCAGGTAGATGGTGGTATCATATAAACTAGTCTATTAATATTCAAATAATAGATGAAATGGCTATGGGTCTATAAGGCATCCCTTTTATTTAAAAGTATTTCTTACATTACCAAAAAGATACTAGCTATTAAAGGTAAAATTGTATAATTCTATAGGCAGTTTCAATAAATAAACTATAGCTGTAGAACATTTAGGCAATTACAGACCGATAGAATAGATGCAAGTTCAGTCCTGATCAGTTTTAGAGACAATACATACAGATTTCCTCCAGTACTTCCCTGATTCTAGTCTACTCTTTGTCTAGGGTTTGTTTTTCTCCCCCAAGGATTCTATAATCTTGCTCATTCTCACTGGGCTAAGCAATATCTGAATTACATTTTGTCACAGTCTGAATCTTTTCCGGAACTTAGACCTTTACTTTATCAAAGGTTCTTCTTGCTTTTCTTCCTCATGGATTTCTTCTGACCAAATAGTTATCTTAGAAGTTTTGTTAAGAGTATGTATGCTAGAACCAGACTGACTGAATTCATAATCTCATTTAGCCATATGATTCTGGGTAAGAGTCTTAACCTCTCTGTTACTCAGTTTCTTCATCAGTGAAGTGATATTAATAGTTGTGAGAATTAAGTAAATTGATATTTGTTATAAAAGTATTCACTGCTATTATTTCAAGTATTATTATTAACCCTAATCGCTTATTTATTAAGAGAAATACAAAAGTATTTGGGTAAAAAAAAATGTGTATTTAGAGATTGACAGGTAGTAACTTTATAGATATCCAGGAGAGGGAATGATAGAAGTCTTTTTCTAATTCCATTTTATTTTCCCTTTTGTTCCCAATTGCACCCCCTTTGTTCCCAGTTGCACAAGTATACATTTCTGAGTTCTCATTAAACTACTTTAAATTGCAAGTGAAGTATAAACATTACTCCTCCTTTTGAAAGACTTAACCTATAAAGCACCTGAAATGGCGTTGTCTATGGAATAATCTCCATTGATTGGTATTGCAATAAACAATTTTTGCTTTTTAAAATCTTGAGATGCTAACACAAACATAGAAAGGAAAGCCACTTGATATTTCTAAGAGGTAATTTAAAGATTCTTTAGCATTTGCCTAGCATATCCTGTATTAGATTATGAGTCATACAGAGAAATTCAAGTGTTCATCTACCATATTCCTAGGATACTCTTGAAAATGTCAGACATTTCAACAAACTACATCAACAAGAATACAATTATTCAAGAAAATAATTACCTTTGGTATACTATAACATACCTTCTTGTTGGCAAGCAATTCGTTGCAGTTGCTATTTGATCAGAATTTCCAGATGAATCTGTGGAATAGAGGGCTCTTCTGCCCTTCCCTCAGCTCAGCTACTTCCTGCTTTCTTGAAAAAAGTCTTTTTTATTCTGTATTCGCAATGCATTTATCTTTCACTGCTCAGTGGATGAAATGACACCTTCATTTGCCCGGCACGGTGGCTCATGCCTGTAATCCCAGCACTTTGGGAGGCTGGATCACCTGAGGTCAGGAGTTGGAGACCAGCCTGACCAACATGGAGAAACCCCATCTCTACTAAAAATACAAAATCAGCCGGGCACAGAGGCACATGCCTGTAATCCCAGCTACTTGGGAGGCTGAGGGAGGAGAATCGCTTGAACCTGGGAGGCAGAGTTTGCGGTGAGCTGAGATCATGCCATTGCATTCCAGCCTGGGCAACAAGAGCAAAACTCTGCCTCAAAAACAAAAAGAGAGAGAGAGAGAGAGAAATGACACCTTCACTTACATGCTATGTAAACTATTAATGAACAAGAACTTATAGCCTGTGTCTCTGAAGACAGCCTAGGGAATATCAGGGAGGCAGCACAACATGCATTTATGAGCACATTCTCTCTGGAATCTGATATATTTGGTTTTGAAGTCAAGCTTTGCCATTTGTTAGCTGGATAATCTAGGCAAATTACCTATTATCTCTGAACCTTAGCTTTCTCATTTGCAAAATGTGATAATTATAGTACCTACTCATAGGACTGTGCTATGGTCTGGATGTCTGCCCCTCATGTTGAAATTTGATCCCAATGTTGGAGGTGGGGCCTACTGGGAGTCGTCTGGGTCATGAGGGCAAATCCCTCATGAATAGATTAATGCCCTTCCATAGGGGTGTGTGAGTTCTTGCTCTATTAGTTCCTGCAAAAGCCTGTTGTTAAAAAGAGCCAGGCACCTCCCCCACCCCTTGCTTCCTTTCTTGCCACTTCTGCACGTATCAGCTCCCATTCACCTTCTGCCATGAATAGAAGCAGTCTATGGCCCTCACCAAGAGCAGATGCTGGTGCCATGCTCATGCTTCTTGTATAGTCTGCAGAATTGTGAGCCAAATAAACTTCTTTTAAATAAATTATACAGCATCAGGTATTCATTTACAGCAACACAAAAGGGACCAACACAGACTGTTATAAAAATCAAATTGGATAATGCATGTTAAGTTATTTTTGGAGTGCCTGGCATATGGTGCTATGGTCTAAATGTTTGCGTTTCCCAAAAATTCATATATTGAAATCCTAACCCCCCAGCGTGATATTATTAGAAGGTGAAGCCTTTGACAGATAGTTAGGTCATGGGAGTAGGGCCTTTATGGATGAGTCTTTATGCCCTTATAAAAGAGGCTCCATGGAGACCCTTGTTCCTTCCACCATGTGAGGACACAGTGAGAAGGCATCCTCTATGAACGAGTAAATGTGCCCTGACCCGACAGGAAATCTGCCAGCACCTTGGTCATAGACCTCTTAGCCTCCAGAACTGTGAGAGACAAATTTCTGTTGTTTACAAGCTACTTGGTTTATGGCATTTTTTATGGCAGCCCAAACAGGCTAAGACAAATGGTATTGCTTAATAATGACAGAAGTTAACTTATTCCTGTATGATAAGGTCATTGATTTTTTAAAAAAGTGTAGGTAATTCAATGTGCCATGATATTCATTTTCTTTCTTTTTTTTTTTTTTTTTTTAGACAGAGTTTCGCTCTTGTTGCCCAGGCTGGAGTGCAATGGCGCTATCTCAGCTCACCGCAACCTCTGCCTCCCGGGTTCAAGTGATTCTCTTGCCTCAGCCTCTCAAGTGGCTGGGATTACAGGCATGCACCACCACGCCTGGCTAATTTTTTGTATTTTTAGTAAAGACGGGGTTTCTCCATGTTGGTCGGGCTGGTCTTGAACTCCTGACCTCAGGTGATCTGCCTGCCTCGGCCTTCCAAAGTGCTGGGATTACAGGCGTGAGCTGCCATGCCCTGCCCATTTTCATTTAAATACTATTTAGCTACAGTAAGTTCCTTTAAGACTCACCCTTATTAGGAGCAACTAAAACATTCAGAAAAGGGGCCTGAAACTTACATTCCTACTTCTGCAGGATTTGTTCCTGAAATATGCTATCCTACACATAAACCAAGCTTCATCCCTGCTAGTCTGTTGTATGATGCTCACATTGATCTTTGAAGCCTCCTACTAACTCTAACTCCTACAGTTTCTTTGATACTATCACGTTCTGCTTCTTTAGCAGCTGTTCCACATTGACTCCTGGACCTCTGCTCGCCTCTTCTCTCCTTCAGGTTGCTCAGAATGATTACCCAGGATCTGACCTTGCTGGCTAGGCTTCAGGATCCTCTCTCATTAACTGCCTGCCACAGTTTGTTATGGTACATTGAGCCAGGCACTCTTGAGACCTGCCCTTTTTCAAGTCTCTGGTCTCAGAGGATTCAACAACAGATAACTTATATAGCAGTGCTATGGTTTAAATGTTCCTGCCAAAACTCATGTATAAATTTAATTGCCATTGTAACAGTATTAAGAAGTGGAGTCTTTAAGAGGTGGTTAGGTCCTGAGGGCTCTGCCCTTAAGAGTGGATTAACACCAATATCTTAGGACTGGGTTAGTTATTGCAGACTTGGGCTCCTGATACAAGGATAAATTCAACCCCCATTTGCCTCTCTCTGTCTTACTTCCACCTTTCACCTTCCGCCATGAGATGACCCTCATCAAATGCCTGCAATATGCTCTTGGATATTTCAGCCTCCTGAACCATGAGCCAAATACAGTAAACTTCTGTTGTTTATAAATTACCCAGTCTCTGGTATTCCTTTTTAGCAATGAAAAATGGACTAAGACAGGTGCAAAGTATACCATCACCCATCAGCACTGTTTCTTACCACTCTGTTATTCATCTATTTTTCACACAAACCCCCTCTCTCCCATATGTAGTTTCTTTATTTACTGTCTATGAATGTCTGCTAGTTGTATAAAGAGAAAAATCATTCTGCAGCCATAAGCTTATGTATGATGGAAAGCTTAAATGTGTGCAATATGTGTGAATTAGTGTAAGTATATATCAGCTGCATGGAAGAGGGGAAGCTACCTAGTCAGTAATATGGGCACTCATAGAAAGAAGGTGGAAATGAATGTTGTGTAAGCAACCAATTAATGTCCATGGCAGTGAGTGAATATGGACGACTTATGAAACAAATCTCATTCATAATAGAAAACGAATATATAGTCATGTGCGACATAATGACATTTTGGTCAACTACAGACTGCATATATGACAGTTTGCCTATACAATTATAATGGAGCTGAAAAATTCCTATTGCCTGGTGATGATGTAGCTATGATAATGTCATAACACAATGCATTGCCTTTTCTATGTTTAGGTATGTTTAGATTTTTACCATTATGTTATAGTTGCCTATAGTATTCAGTATAGTAATGTGATGTATAGGTTTATAATGTAAAGCAATAGGATGTATCACATAGCCTAGGTGTGTGGTAGGCTATACTATTCAGGTTTGTGTAAGTACACAGTATGATGTTCACAGAACGACAAAATCACCTAACATCATCTTTCTCAGAAATTATTACTGTTGCTAAGTGATGCATGACTATATTTTCATGTGAGTATATGACTATAAATGATGCGAGTTAAATATAATGTGCTGTCTTGGGAGTGTACAGTGCTCAATTATGAGACATACAAATGCAGGATACAAGTTGTCAAACTGGTAAGTTTTCAATCTGCAGCTATAAAATTTCTTCCAAGTTTTATCCCAGTGGGCAGAATAGGAAAAGAGATGAATTCAAGTGTAGACCTTCAAAATTGTCCTGAAAAGAGGAAATATAACATAAACGTTGTGGTATAATCAGTAAAGATTACTCCCAATGAATATTACTGCCACGTAGGCAATGGGCATTCCATAAAACTCTTATTGAATTGATTCAGATTTTCTTTTTTTTTTTTGTTACTACTATTATTATTATTATTATTATTTTTAATTATACTTTAAGTTTTAGGGTACATGTGCACATTGTGCAGGTTAGTTACATATGTATACATGTGCCATGCTGGTGCGCTGCACCCACTAACTCATCATCTAGCATTAGGTATATCTCCCAATGCTATCCCTCCCCCCTCCCCCCTCCCCACCACAGTCCCCAGAGTGTGATATTCCCCTTCCTGTGTCCATGTGATCTCATTGTTCAGTTCCCACCTATGAGTGAGAATATGCGGTGTTTGGTTTTTTGTTCTTGCGATAGTTTACTGAGAATGATGATTTCCAGCTTCATCTATGTCCCTACAAAGGACATGAACTCATCATTTTTTATGGCTGCATAATATTCCATGGTGTATATGTGCCACATTTTCTTAATCCAGTCTATCATTGTTGGACATTTGGGTTGGTTCCAAGTCTTTGCTATTGTGAATAATGCCACAATAAACATACGTGTGCATGTGTCTTTATAGCAGCATGATTTATAGTCATTTGGGTATATACCCAGTAATGGGATGGCTGGGTCAAATGGTATTTCTAGTTGTAGATCCCTGAGGAATCGCCACACTGACTTCCACAATGGTTGAACTAGTTTACAGTCCCACCAACAGTGTAAAAGTGTTCCTATTTCTCCACATCCTCTCCAGCACCTGTTGTTTCCTGACTTTTTAATGATTGCCATTCTAACTGGTGTGAGATGGTATCTCATAGTGGTTTTGATTTGCATTTCTCTGACGGCCAGTGATGATGAGCATTTTTTCATGTGTTTTTTGGCTACATAAATGTCTTCTTTTGAGAAGTGTCTGTTCATGTCCCTCGCCCACTTTTTGATGGGGTTGTTTGTTTTTTTCTTGTAAATTTGTTTGAGTTCATTGTAGATTCTGGATATTAGCCCTTTGTCAGATGAGTAGGTTGCGAAAATTTTCTCCCATGTTGTAGGTTGCCTGTTCACTCTGATGGTAGTTTCTTTTGCTGTGCAGAAGCTCTAGTTTAATTAGATCCCATTTGTCAATTTTGGCTCTTGTTGCCATTGCTTTTGGTGTTTTGGACATGAAGTCCTTGCCCACGCCTGTGTCCTGAATGGTAATGCCTAGGTTTTCTTCTAGGGTTTTTATGGTTTTAGGTCTAACGTTTAAATCTTTAATCCATCTTGAATTGATTTTTGTATAAGGTGTAAGGAAGGGATCCAGTTTCAGCTTTCTACATATGGCTAGCCAGTTTTCCCAGCACCATTTATTAAATAGGGAATCCTTTCCCCATTGCTTGTTTTTCTCAGGTTTGTCAAAGATCAGATAGTTGTAGGTATGTGGTGTTATTTCTGAGTGCTCTGTTCTGTTCCATTGATCTATATCTCTGTTTTGGTACCAGTACCATGCTGTTTTGGTTACTGTAGCCTTGTAGTATAGTTTGAAGTCAGGTAGTGTGATGCCTCCAGCTTTGTTCTTTTGGCTTAGGATTGACTTGGCGATGCGGGCTCTTTTTTGGTTCCATATGAGCTTTAAAGTAGTTTTTTCCAATTCTGTGAAGAAAGTCATTGGTAGCTTGATGGGGATGGCATTGAATCTGTAAATTACCTTGGGCAGTATGGCCATTTTCACGATATTGATTCTTCCTACCCATGAGCATGGAATGTTCTTCCATTTGTTTGTATCCTCTTTTATTTCCTTGAGCAGTGGTTTGTAGTTCTCCTTGAAGAGGTCCTTCACATCCCTTGTAAGTTGGATTCCTAGGTATTTTATTCTCTTTGAAGCAATTGTGAATGGGAGTTCACTCATGATTTGGCTTTCTGTTTGTCTGTTGTTGGTGTATAGGAATGCTTGTGATTTTTGTACATTGATTTTGTATCCTGAGACTTTGCTGAAGTTGCTTATCAGCTTAAGGAGATTTTGGGCTGAGACGATGGGGTTTTCTAGATAAACAATCATGTCGTCTGCAAACAGGGACAATTTGACTTCCTCTTTTCCTAATTGAATACCCTTTATTTCCTTCTCCTGCCTGATTACCCTGGCCAGAACTTCTAACACTATGTTGAATAGGAGTGGTGAGAGAGGGCATCCCTGTCTTGTGCCAGTTTTCAAAGGGAATGTTTCCAGTTTTTGCCCATTCAGTATGATATTGGCTGTGGGTTTGTCATAGATAGCTCTTATTATTTTGAAATACGTCCCATCAATACCTAATTTCTTGAGAGTTTTTAGCATGAAGGGTTGTTGAATTTTGTCAAAGGCCTTTTCTGCATCTATTGAGATAATCATGTGGTTTTTGTCTTTGGCTCTGTTTATATGCTGGATTACATTTATTGATTTGCGTATATTGAACCAGCCTTGCATCCCAGGGATGAAGCCCACTTGATCATGGTGGATAAGCTTTTTGATGTGCTGCTGGATTCGGTTTGCCAGTATTTTATTGAGGATTTTTGCATCAATGTTCATCAAGGATATTGGTCTAAAATTCTCTTTTTTGGTTGTGTCTCTGCCCGGCTTTGGTATCAGGATGATGCTGGCCTCATAAAATGAGTTAGGGAGGATTCCCTCTTTTTCTATTGAATGGAATAGTTTCAGAAGGAATGGTACCAGTTCCTCCTTGTACCTCTGGTAGAATTCGGCTGTGAATCCATCTGGTCCTGGACTCTTTTTGGTTGGTAAACTATTGATTATTGCCACAATTTCAGCTCCTGTTATTGGTCTATTCAGAGATTCAACTTCTTCCTGGTTTAGTCTTGGGAGAGTGTATGTGTCGAGGAATGTATCCATTTCTTCTAGATTTTCTAGTTTATTTGCATAGAGGTGTTTGTAGTATTCTCTGATGGTAGTTTGTATTTCTGTGGGATTGGTGGTGATATCCCCTTTATCATTTTTTATTGTGTCTATTTGATTCTTCTCTCTTTTTTTCTTTATTAGTCTTGCTAGCAGTCTATCAATTTTGTTGATCCTTTCAAAAAACCAGCTCCTGGATTCATTGATTTTTTGAAGGGATTTTTGTGTCTCTATTTCCTTCAGTTCTACTCTGATTTTAGTTATTTCTTGCCTTCTGCTAGCTTTTGAATGTGTTTGCTCTTGCTTTTCTAGTTCTTTTAATTGTGATGTTAGGGTGTCAATTTTGGATCTTTCCTGCTTTCTCTTGTGGGCATTTAGTGCTATAAATTTCCCTCTACACACTGCTTTGAATGCGTCCCAGAGATTCTGGTATGTTGTGTCTTTGTTCTCGTTGGTTTCAAAGAACATCTTTATTTCTGCCTTCATTTCGTTATGTACCCAGTAGTCATTCAGGAGCAGGTTGTTCAGTTTCCATGTAGTTGAGTGGCTTTGAGTGAGATTCTTAATCCTGAGTTCTAGTTTGATTGCACTGTGGTCTGAGAGATAGTTTGTTATAATTTCTGTTCTTTTACATTTGCTGAGGAGAGCTTTACTTCCAAGTATGTGGTCAATTTTGGAATAGGTGTGGTTTGATGCTGAAAAAAATGTATATTCTGTTGATTTGGGGTGGAGAGTTCTGTAGATGTCTATTAGGTCTGCTTGGTGCAGAGCTGAGTTCAATTCCTGGGTATCCTTGTTGACTTTCTGTCTCGTTGATCTGTCTAATGTTGACAGTGGGGTGTTAAAGTCTCCCATTATTAATGTGTGGGAGTCTAAGTCTCTTTGTAGGTCACTCAGGACTTGCTTTATGAATCTGGGTGCTCCTGTATTGGGTGCATATATATTTAGGATAGTTAGCTCCTCTTGTTGAATTGATCCCTTTACCATTATGTAATGGCCTTCTTTGTCTCTTTTGATCTTTGTTGGTTTAAAGTCTGTTTTATCAGAGACTAGGATTGCAACCCCTGCCTTTTTTTGTTTTCCATTTGCTTGGTAGATCTTCCTCCATCCTTTTATTTTGAGCCTATGTGTGTCTCTGCACGTGAGATGGGTTTCCTGAATACAGCACACTGATGGGTCTTGACTCTTTATCCAACTTGCCAGTCTGTGTCTTTTAATTGGAGAATTTAGTCCATTTACATTTAAAGTTAATATTGTTATGTGTGAATTTGATCCTGTCATTATGATGTTAGCTGGTGATTTTGCTCATTAGTTGATGCAGTTTCTTCCTAGTCTCGATGGTCTTTACATTTTGGCATGATTTTGCAGCGGCTGGTACCGGTTGTTCCTTTCCATGTTTAGCGCTTCCTTCAGGAGCTCTTTTAGGGCAGGCCTGGTGGTGACAAAATCTCTCAGCATTTGCTTGTCTGTAAAGTATTTTATTTCTCCTTCACTTATGAAGCTTAGTTTGGCTGGATATGAAATTCTGGGTTGAAAATTCTTTTCTTTAAGAATGTTGAATATTGGCCCCCACTCTCTTCTGGCTTGTAGGGTTTCTGCTGAGAGATCCGCTGTTAGTCTGATGGGCTTCCCTTTGAGGGTAACCCGACCTTTCTCTCTGGCTGCCCTTAACATTTGTTCCTTCATTTCAACTTTGGTGAATCTGACAATTGTGTGTCTTGGAGTTGCTCTTCTCGAGGAGTATCTTTGTGGCGTTCTCTGTATTTCCTGAATCTGCACGTTGGCCTGCCTTGCTAGATTGGGGAAGTTCTCCTGGATAATATCCTGCAGAGTGTTTTCCAACTTGGTTCCATTCTCCCCATCACTTTCAGGTACACCAATCAGACGTAGATTTGGTCTTTTCACATAGTCCCGTATTTCTTGGAGGCTTTGCTCATTTCTTTTTATTCTTTTGTCTCTAAACTTCCCTTCTCGCCTCATTTCATTCATTTCATCTTCCATTGCTGATACCCTTTCTTCCAGTTGATCACATCGGCTCCTGAGGCTTCTGCATTCTTCACGTAGTTCTCGAGCCTTGGTTTTCAGCTCCATCAGCTCCTTTAAGCACTTCTCTGTATTGGTTATTCTAGTTATACATTCTTCTAAATTTTTTTCAAAGTTTTCAACTTCTTTGCCTTTGGTTTGAATGTCCTCCCGTAGCTCAGAGTAATTTGATCGTCTGAAGCCTTCCTCTCTCAGCTCGTCAAAATCATTCTCCATCCAGCTTTCTTCCGTTGCAGGTGAGGAACTGCGGTCCTTTGGAGGAGGAGAGGCGCTCTGCGTTTTAGAGTTTCCAGTTTTTCTGTTCTGTTTTTTCCCCATCTTTGTGGTTTTATCTACTTTTGGTCTTTAATGATGGTGATGTACAGATGGGTTTTTGGTGTGGATGTCCTTTCTGTTTGTTAGTTTTCCTTCTAACAGACAGGACCCTCAGCTGCAGGTCTGTTGGAATACCCTGCAGTGTGAGGTGTCAGTGTGCCCCTGCTGGGGGGTGCCTCCCAGTTAGGCTGCTCGGGGGTCAGGGGTCAGGAACCCACTTGAGGAGGCAGTCTGCCCGTTCTCAGATCTCCAGCTGCGTGCTGGGAGAACCACTGCTCTCTTCAAAGCTGTCAGACAGGGACATTTAAGTCTGCAGAGGTTACTGCTGTCTTTTTGTTTGTCTGTGCCCTGCCCCCAGAGGTGGAGCCTACAGAGGCAGGCAGGCCTCCTTGAGCTGTGGTGGGCTCCACCCAGTTTGAGCTTCCGGGCTGCTTTGTTTACCTAAGCAAGGCTGGGCAATGGCGGGCGCCCCTCCCCCAGCCTCGCTGCCGCCTTGCAGTTTGATCTCAGACTGCTGTGCTAGCAATCAGCGAGATTCCGTGGGCGTAGGACCCTCCGAGCCAGGTGTGGGATATAGTCTTGTGGTACGCCGTTTTTTAAGCCGGTCTGAAAAGCGCAATATTCGGGTGGGAGTGACCCGATTTTCCAGGTGCGTCCGTCACCCCTTTCTTTGACTCAGAATGGGAACTCCCTGACCCCTTGCGCTTCCCAGGTGAGGCAATGCCTCGTCCTGCTTCGGCTCACGCACGGTGCGCGCACCCACTGGCCTGCGCCCACTGTCTGGCACTCCCTAGTGAGATGAACCTGGTACCTCAGATGGAAATGCAGAAATCACGCGTCTTCTGCCTCGCTCACGCTGGGAGCTGTAGACCGGAGCTGTTCCTATTCGGCCATCTTGTCTCCTCCCCCTCCAGATTTTCTTTTTTCTTTTTTTTTATTATACTTTAAGTTTTAGGGTACATGTGCACAACGTGCAGGTTTGCTACATATGTATACATGTACCATGTTGGTGTGCTTCACCCATTGACTCGTCATTTAACATTAGGTATATCACCTAATGCTATCCCTCCCCCTTGCCCCCACCCCACAACAGACCCCAGTGTGTGATGTTCCCCTTCCTGTGTCCATGTGTTCTCATTGTTCAATTCCCACCTATGAGTGAGAACATGCGGTGTTTGGTTTTTTGTCCTTGCGATAGTTTGCTGAGAATGATGGTTTCCAGCTTCATCCATGTCCCTGCAAAGGACATGAACTCAAAAAATGCTCATCATCACTGGCCATCAGAGAAATGCAAATCAAAACCACAATGAGATACCATCTCACACCAGTTAGAATGGCGATCATTAAAAAGTCAGGAAACAACAGGTGCTGGAGAGGATGTGGAGAAATAGGAACACTTTTACACTGTTGGTGGGACTGGAAACTAGTTCAACCATTGTGGAAGTCAGTGTGGCGATTCCTCAGGGATCTAGAACTAGAAATCCCATTTGACCCAGCCATCCCATTACTGGGTATATACCCAAAGGATTATAAATCATGCTGCTTTAAAGACACATGCACATGTATGTTTATTGTGGCACTATTCGCAATAGCAATGACTTGGAACCAACCCAAATGTCCAACAGTGATAGACTAGATTAAGAAAATGTGGCACATATACACCATGGAATTGATTCAGATTTTCAAACAGATAGGCCTGGAGTTTCACTTCACTAATAAGTGGAAAACACATATATGAATTGTCTCATTTTCTTTTCCTAACACCTCCAAAATTACTTATATTTTATCTAGTGTATCAATTATGCATCTACATTTGACTGGTAGTGGTAGAAACTGGGAAAAAAAGTGGCTCCAACAAATTGGGGGTTTGTTTTTTTCTCATGTAGAATTCCAGAGGTGAGTACTGCAGGACTGGTATGGCAACACCACCATCCTTAGGGTGTGGCTTTGTTGTCAGTTCTCAAGAAGGCTGTGGAAATACCAGCTAATATGTCAGCTGGGTCTTCCTACTCCCTTTTAAGGAGTTTCATCAAAAGTTCTAACCAATAACTTCTCCTTCATATCTTTGACAAGAAGTATAAAATATAGCCAAGCTAATCTGCTGGGGGTGCTGGGAAATGTTTCCAAAACATTGAGACACCTGTTAGAAAAAAAAAAAAGAAAGGAAGAAAGGAAATATGGAAAGGAGGAAAGGAAATATGGATATTGGGTAGGCAACTTTTTTTTTTTTTTTTGAAATGGAGTCTCACCCTGTCACCCAAACTGGAGTGCAGTGGCACGTTCTCGGCTCACTGCAACCTCCGCCTCCCAGGTTCAAGCGATTCTCATGCCTCAGCTTCCCACGTAGCTGGGATTACAGGCATATGCCACCACGCCCGGCTAATTTTTGTGTTTTTAGTAGAGACGGGGCTTTACCATGCTCGCCAGCCTGGTCTGAAATGCCTGACCTCAAGTGATCTGCCTGCATCGGCCTCGCAAAGTGCTGGGATTACAGTCCGGAACCACCATGCCTGACCTGGGTAGGCAACTTCTATTCTCTGCTCTAGTCTATCCTTCTGACTATGAAAATATTTATGCACATCTTTCTTCCCATGTATTGACCACCACACTTGCCCTCCACCGCACTTGCCCTCCTCCCAACAGAGGTAATAATTTCATCTAATTACTGTATCCAGTAAAAAGAAAAAAAATCAGTATTTCTTCATCAGGTTTGGATGTGACAGAGAATATCACAATAAAACTCCTGTTCAGAAATAGGGGGATGCAAAAGCCTGAGCCCTAACAATCATCAAGTCATTCTGAACTAGAACAGTGAAATTTGCTTTCATTGGCAGTAATTTCCTTGGTTAACCCATCTGGCAGTCCTTGAAATATTCAGAATTTTCTGGGAGGATTTCCCTTGTCCACTGTCTTCTGTTTTCCTTGGTTCTGCTTTTGCATAGTTATTCCTCATACATTATCCTTCTGGATACATCTAAGCTAAGCTTTGGGAATGATGTCCTTTCTGGAAGCCACACAACTTTGGGCAGCTTGCTTCCTTTTGGTGCAGGTTCAAGACCCTGGAGATTGCTACGGAGTTTAACAGTCACAGACTGTTACAGGAAAGCTTGGGACTTTCTTAGGAATGTATTCCCTTAAAACTTAGTAGATTTCCAGCATATTTATTTCTAGTTAATTCATGTGCAGGTCATTATAGCCAAAGATCTTTTCTAGACTAGCGCTACTCAAAGTTACAAATTATGATAAGATTAGGTGCTTAGACCAGAATGTAAATCAACACACTGCTCCCGTCACTGAGAAAATCTTGATTTAAAAAATCATTTGACGTCACCAATCATAAGGGAAATGCAAATTAAAACCACAATGAGATACCACCTCACACCAGTTAGGATGACTATTATCAAAAAGACAAGAAAAAACAAATGTTGGTGAGGGTGTGGAGAAAGGGAAACCTTGTTGGTGAGGATGTAAATTGATACAGCCACTATGGAAAACAGTATGGAGCTTCCTCAAAAAAATTAAAAATAAAACTACCATAAGGTCCAACAATCCCACGTCTGGGTATATATCCAAACTAATTGAAATCAGGATCTTGAAGAGATATCTGTACTCTCATATTCATTGCAGCATTATTCACAATAGTCAAGATATGGAAACAACTTAAATTTCCACTAGTGAATGAAGGGATAAAGACATTGTGGTATATGTACAAAGTGAAATATCATTCAGCCTTAAAACTAAAATTCTGCCATTTGCCATAAAATATGGAGGACATTATGCTAAGCGAAATAAGACAAGAAGAGAAAGAAAAATACTGGATAATATTACTTATATCTAGAATCTTTAAAAAGTCACATCCATAGAAACAATAAAATGGTGGTTACTAGGGAGGAAAGGAGGGAGATGAGGGTAGGAAATGGCAAGATGTAGGTCAAAGGGTGCAAAGTTGCAGATATGTAGGATGAATAAGTCTAGAGATCTAACGTACAACATAAGGGCTATAGTTATTTTATTGTACACTGGAAATCTGCTAACAGAGTGGACTTTAGGTGCATTTCCCACAAACAAAAGGGTAACTATGTGAGATAATGGATACGTTAATTTGCTTGACTATAGTAACCATTTCACTATGTATAAGTTTATCAAAACATTATATTGTACACCTTAAATATATACAATACAAAAAGTCAGCTAAACTAAATGGTATGCATAGTGTCATAGTTGATTTACATTCTGGTTCAAGCTCTTTATTTCCTCACTGATCAGTACCAAAAATTCATGAACTTACAGCCAGTCAGTGAACGACACTTTAAGTATCACTGGTCTAGATAAACTTTCTAAGCCTGAGAATTTGGGGCTTTTAGCTGCTTATCTTTGCACTCCAGCCATTCTCCTCTTCTCCTTTAGCTTGATGGTTACCACCTTCAGGACATTTGACACAATAAGCTCTGTTGAGAACAAAGCACTATTAATTCGATCAGAGAATTTGTCCAGCAGAGCATCAATCTTATGGCTTCCCATTGGAGTACAAAGCCTTTAGCTTTTTCAACCCCTAAAGGCTACAAATTACAAGAATATCAGTAAACTTAAATTTCAGGCCAAAGGCTGAAAGCATCTTAGTACATTTATATTTTCTTCCATTTTTGCTGTCTGACTTCATCACTTTCTTATAAAACTTTTCTAAAAGCCATAAAAAGGAGCCAGAATATGCCAACTTCTGAAATTTCCTACCATTTTTCTTAATGCTATAGCCTTGGTTGACACTTGGTTTACGGTCTAAGGAATAGCAGGCAAGAGCTTGACCATGGTCACAAGCTTTCCAGACTGAAATGCTTGCGTCTTTAAAATTAATTTCCCCATCTGTTCAATTCAGCCAATACTACATTTTAGATTCTGTTACTTGCAGCACCATTCTTCGGATACCAATTGCTGTCTATATAAGGATTCTTAGACATAGACCAAAAAAACCCATTCTACTTAGTTTAAAAATTATACTTAGCTTAGTTTAATAAGGGCTATTAGATAATTCTCAGAATCACTGGGAGACCTGAAGGAACACACTGTAGACTAAATTTCTAGGAAGAACACCCTAAACCTAACTGTATAACTGGCTTATTAAGGAAGCTGTTATTGAGACAGGCCCAAGAACTATGCTGTTTCTGCTATAATTCCAAGACAGCTGCCTCCATGGCTGATCCTAGAAGAATGAAATGCCTTTGTTATTTTCAAGTAGATACCATCTTCTTACATGTGGCTACTACCACACGTTGCTCACAATTTCCTTGCAGGTCTCACACCTGCAGATTATTAGCTCTAAGGATGAGAAATAAAGATTTTAGCAGGAAGTATATTGGGGTAGGTGTTGAATGAGCCAATCTACAGTATCTGCCATACCTAGTCTTTTCCTTCTGTTCTATCTAAGAGGAAGAAATGTTTCTATCCCTTTTAATGCCACATCTTCTTGAACTTTCAGGACCTGAATCCACCAACTGTTGCTGAATCTATTTTCAATCTCTCCTTCACTGTGTGTTTTCCCTCAATCCAAAATCTTTCCCCACCTACACCTTCCTATCAAGGTTCTTGCATTCTCTTTCTTTTTCATTTCCTCAACATCAAATTTATAGAAAGGATAATCTGTATTAACTATTCAGCCCACAGCAATTTAGACAGACCTGTGTAGTCAAAATTTTCTTGAAAATTTGAATGAATAAAAAGCTTTTATTTTGCCTTAGTCTAAATGCAGAACAAAAATAGGAATTTAGGCCGGGCGCGGTGGCTCATGCCTGTAATCCCAACACTTTTGGAGGCCGACGCGGGTGGATCACGAGGTCAGGAATTCGAGACCAGCCTGGCCAAGATGGTGAAACTCCGTCTCTATCAAAAATACAAAAATTAGCCAGCCACGGTGGTGGGTGCCTGTATTCCCAGCTACTCAGGAGGCTGAGGCAGGAGAATTGCTTGAACCCAGGAGGCGGATGTTGCAGTGAGCCGAGATTGCGTCACTGCACTCTAGCCTGGGCAACAGAGCAAGACTCCATCTCAAAAAAAAAAAAAAAAAAAAAAAAACAAAAAACAAAAAAAAGGGGGGGGGGAATTCACCAACACTGTGTTAATAGCATAGACTTGATGTTTATATTTACCTAAGAACAAAGTAAGGTCCCTCATAAATTTTAAGCTTAAAGTTTACAAAGCATAATTGGAGCAATATACAAGGAATCATTTTTTTCTGCTTTGGCCCATGTTCTTTAAAAACAAAGTTTTTAGTGAACATATTTGGGTACACAAATTACATGACAGATTAAAGCATACTGATAAATTTGTAAGCATGTGGTCTTATCAAGTATCTTCTAACCTCATATTTTCTGACCTTTAAACAAGGGTAATTTATTTATATAACACTGAAATATACAGGAAAACAACTTTAAATTCTAGACCACTTATTCCCACTCTTCCAAACTAGCATATTTCACGTGACAAAGATTGTTTCCTTGACCAATCTATAGTCAGGCTCCTGAATCTTCTCCTTGGCCCATATGTGTACTTTCTTGTAAAATCCAGTTTTAGCAAAGAACCCTTCTAGGTCAGTTTAGCAAAACCCCCCTATCCTTGACATCTGATCACTCTCAATATCTGATATGGCTACTCATTATCCACTATTCCCCAGGTGATGTCTTATCACCCTGGCCTGTCTTCAGCAAGAATCCTGTTAGGTCAGTTTAGCCAGAATTTCTCCTTCCTCTGTTATTTCCTGTCAGTAATTTTCCATTCACTTAAACCATCCTGCTTCTTGGCTATAAATTCCCACTTTTTAATACTATATTTGGAGTTGAGCCCAGTCTCTCTCTCCCCCTGCAAAATCCCATTTCAGTGGTTCCCTATCTATTGCAACAGTCACAAATGAAGTCTCCTCTACTCTGTTTTAACAAGTGTCATTGAATCATTTTTTTCTTTAATATAGGGCTCCCAGAGACAAAACTTTATATCTATTTCCTGCCTAAAAAATTAGAAAGCCCCTGTTTGTAACCTACTGAATACTGCAAGGTCTATGCGATCATCTGCTTCTGCAATATAATCACTACTAGCACAGTACAATAATTGATCAATCATGAATTCCCTAACCTAGATAATTAGCCTGAAGTAGAATCATGGCTAAAATGTCAAACTTTACACTGACATTATTTGAATCAGAAAGAAAAAAAATCAAAGATGAGCATCCACATTAAGCCCTACTAAACTGATATTCACTTATTAAGTAAAACTTACTTTCTTGAATTATCTATTTGCTGTCACAATTCTTTATTAGTAGGAAACCTAGCCATGGAAGAGCTTTCTTGTATCTTAGAGTAAGAAGTTTTAGTTCTCCTAGAAGCATACCAGGAGGGCTTACTCAATATGACTGAATGGGAAAATAGATTGGTACATGTCAAAATGACTTCATAAATAGGGAAGACATTTACATTAATATTGTGTATATGTATTCTGATGAGAACCCTACTGTAAAGCTTTCAGGATTAGAAACGTTTTGTTCAATTTAACTGCATCAATACCACCTTGTGACACATGGAATATCCCAGCTTAAAATTCTTTAAGGCCTGTGGTTCTATGTTTAAAGTTCCCTAATTTACTGATTCTTCTCCATGTTCAGCTACTCCAAGGAAGCGGGGGCCTGTGGGGGGTGGGGTGGGAAATCACTTTGGCTTTTGTTCAGTATAAAGTAAGATTTTTATTATTGCAGGTGCCAATAAGAATGATGAAAATAATTACTTTTTCCTTTTTGCTACATGAAGTTTTAAAAAATAGCTTTATTGAAAAAAATAGCATAAAATAAACTGCACATCTTTGAAGTACACAATTTGTTAAGTTTTGAAATATATATACACATGTGAAACCATCTCCACAATCAGAATGGTGACCACACCATCACCCCCAAAATCTCCTCTTGCCCATTGGCAATGCTTTCCTTCCATGCCTCCTCCCTCTCCCCTTCCCCAAGCAACCCCTGGTTCACTTTCTGTCAATACATTAATTTGTATTTTCTTAAGTTTTGTGTAAATAGAACTATATGGTATGCAGTGTTTTTTGGCTGGCTTCTTTCACTCAGTAAAATTATTTTAAGATTCATCCATGTTGTTGTGTGTATCAACAGTTCATTCCTTTTTATTGTTGAGTAGTAATACATGCTATGAACATACCACAATTTGTTCACCCATTCACCTGTTGATGGACATCTGGGTAGTTTTGACTTTTTGGTTACTACAGACAAAGTTGCTATAAACATTCACATACATGTTTTTTATGGATATATGCTTTCTTTTTTCTTGGGTAAATACCTAGAAATGGAATGGCTGAATAATACGTTAGCTATATGTTCAATTTTTAAAGAAATTTCCGAAGTAGTTGTGTCATTTTATATTCCTACCAGCAGGATATAAGAATTCCAGTTTGGCTGGGTATGGTGGCTCACACCTGTAATCCCAGCACTTTGGGAGGCTGAGGTAGACAGATCACAAGGTCAGGAGATCAAGACCATCCTGGCTAACATGGTGAAAACCCATCTTTACTAAAAATACAAAAAATTATCTGGGGGTGGTGGCTTGCACCTGTAGTCCCAGCTACTCGGGAGGCTGAGGCAGGAGAATCACTTGAACCTGGGAGGCAGAGGTTGCAATGAGCCGAGATCATGCCACTGCACTCCAGCTTGGGTGACAGAGCGAGACTCCATCTCAAAAAAAAAAAAAAAAAAAAGAGAGAATTCCAGTTTCTTCACATCATTATCAATATGTGTCATTTTAATAGATGTGTAGTGACATTTCATTGTCATTTTAATTTGCAATACCCTTAGTGACTAATGATGTTGAGCATCTTTTCACATGTGATTTTTGTTGTTTTTTGTTTTTGTTGCAATCCATGTATCTTCCTTGGTAAAGTGTCTATTTAAGCCTTTTGCCCACTTTTTTATTGAGTTGTTTGTTTCTTATTAGGTTTTGAGTGTTCTTTATATACCCCGCACACAAGTCTTTTATGATATGTATGCTTTGCAAATATTTTCTCCCAATCCATAGCTTGACTTTTCAGCCTCTTAACCATGTCTTTTGAAGAGCAAACGTTTTCATTTCTCACAAAGTCTTTTATATTTTTTCTTTCATTGGCTGTGCTTATTGTGTTGTATCTAAGTGAATGTTCCCTAATCAAAGGTCACAAAGGTCTTCTCCTGTTTTTTCTTTGAAAATCTTTATAGTATTAGCTTTACATTTAGGTCTATGATACACTTTGAGTTAATTTTTGTGTATGTATGTTGTGAAGTTTTATGGGTTTTTTTTTTTTTGCATATGGATAGCCACTTATTTCAGCAGCATTTGTTAAAAAGACAATGCTTTCTTCATTGAATTGCCTTTGAATATTTGTCAAAAATCAGATGTCCACATATGTAAGTCTATTTTGGACTGTGTTCTGTTCCACTGACCTATTTGTCTATTGTGATGGCAGTACACATTGTTTTGATTACTGTACCATTATAACAGACTTGAAATCATTGTTGTGCCCCCAAATTTGACCTTCTTTTTCAGCCTAGTTTTGCCTATTCTAGGTTTTTTGCATTTCCATCTGCATTTTAGGATTAACTTGCCAATTTTTAAAAAATAACAAACTGGGATCTTAATTGAGATTGCATTGACTCTATAGAACTATTTTGGGAGAATTAAGCTCTTAATAATACTGAGTCTTCCAACACATGACCAAAGTATGCTGTTCCATTTATTTAGGTCTTCTTTCTTCTTTCAGTTATCTCAGCAATAACTTTCAGTGTACAGGTCTTACACATCTTTTGTAAGCTTTATTCCTAAGTATTTATCTCTAAGTATTCCTAGGTGTTTTCGATTCCTAAGTACTATTATAAATGGTATTGCTTTTGAAATTTTAATTTTTAATTATTCATTACTAATACAGAAAAATATAATTGATTTTTTGTATATTGATCTCATAACCCACAATCTTGATGAACTCATGCATTAGTTCTAGTAGCTTCTTAGTGGATTCCATCAGATTTTCTACATAGGCATTCATGTTGTCTAAGAATAAATATAGTTTTAATTTTTCCTTTAGGATATAGATGCCTTTTATTTCTTTTTCTTGCCTGATTACACTGGACAGAACCTCTAATAGAATGTTGAACAGAAGTGGTAAGAGTGGACACTCTTGTCTTATTGCAGATCTTAAGGAATGTCTTAATACGTTTTGTGCTACTATAACAGAATACCACCGGCTGGGTAATTTGTAATAAACAGAAATTTATTCACTCACAGTTTTACAAGCTGGAAGGTCCAAGATTGAGGGGCCAGTATCTCATAAGGACCTGTTTGGTAAGTCATTCCATGGCAGAAGGGCAAAGAGAGGCAGGAAAGAGCAAGAGATCAAACTTGCAGTCTCAAGCCCTTTCATAATTGGCATTAATCCATTCATGAGGGTGGAGCCCTCATGACCTAAACACCTCCCATTAGGCCTTACCTCTCAACACCATTGCACTGGGGATTAAGTTTTTAACATATATTTTTGTGGGGTAAGGGCACCTTCAAACCATAGCAGGATAAAAACATTCTGTCTTTCACCATTAAATATGATGCTACCTATGTATTTTTCATAGTTGCTCTTTATCTAACAGATAAAATTTCATTTAATCCTATTTTGTTTAGATTTTTATGAGAAATGGATTTTGGAAATTGTCAAATGATTTTCTGCATCTATTAAAATCGTGTGTGTGTGTGTGTGTGTGTGTGTGTACTAATTTGTTAGTATGATGCTTTTTAGTGTTAAATTAGCTCTCCATTACTGAGATAAGCCAAACTTTGTTGTGATGTACTACCCTTTATATATATTGTTGGATTCAATATTCTGAAGTTTTAAAATTCTTGCCTCTAGATTCATGAGAGATATCAAACAGTAGTTTTCTTTTTTTCTGATGTTTTTGTAAGGTTTTGGTATCAAAGCGATACTGGCTTCATAGAATGAGTTGAGAACAGGTCTCTCATCTTCTAATTTCTGGAAGAGTTTTTGTAAAATTATTTTTCCCTAAATGTTTGGCAGAAATCACCATTAATCACGTTTTAATATAAAAACTAAAAATGAACAAGTATAAGAAACAAATTAAAGAATTTTAGTGATTTAATAGATGTTTAAATACAGCTATAACTTTTCTAAAATCTGTCCTTTGGGATCACTAATTTTTGCTGTGTTTAATTTGGCTGAAAGAAATTTCTCCTTATCCATATGTATTTTTAATAGATGCATTGACATAAAGTATATATAGCATAACATTTATCCATTTAAGATATACATTTCAGTGTTTTGTAGTATATCCAGAGTTGAACAATAATAACCATAATCAATCTAATTTTAGAATATTTTCATCAACTCCAGAAGAAACTGTACCTATTAACAGTCACTCCCATTAACCCCTCTCCAGTTCCTGGCAACCACTAATCTACTTTCTGTCTCTATGGATTTGCCTGTTCTGGATATTTCATATAAATGGAATAATATATGTAGTCCTTTGTGACTGGCATCTTTCACTTAGCATAATGTTTTCAAAGCTCATCCATGCTGTAGCTTATATTAGTACTCCATTCCTTTTTATTGCCTAATAATATTCCTTTGTAAGGACCACATACATTTTAAGAAAAATACTTCCAACTTATATTAGATATACTTATGCTGTAGGAAAATCTAAATTTTTCAGTCAAAGAATCTGCCATTTTCAGTTAAGATGGTGGGCTCTTAAGGATACTAGGAACCTAATTACATTAATAATGATGAATAAAATCTAATTTTTAAGCTAAAAACCATAACACAGATTACAGTGACAATTGCACAACTCTGTGAATATACTAGAGGCCATTAAATTGTAACTTCAACTATGAGTTATATGAATTATATATCCTTAAAGTTGTTTTTCATAAAAAAAGATATAACAGATACAAACCTGTTCACCAAAGAGGGAATGGAAACATACAGCAATGAGCAAGAGGCTGAAGCCACAGGCTTTTTGGGCTTTGGGACCAAAAACATGATATGGTGTTAGAAAGTGAACTCAAGTGGGACAAACAGAGTTTTTGAGCATCTACTTATAAGAGGTGTTGAAACCTAGTTCACTAGGTGAAATGAGGGGTGGGAGTGGGAGTAATGAGTTGGGCATTCTTCTCTTCTCTGATAAATCCACCACTGCCCAGGGATATAAGCAATAACCAGCTGCCTGCTTGGGGTGGCAAGAAAGAGTAATGACAACTCTGCAGCAGGGAATACAGTCAAGCTATGCACTGAAGTGGAATTGATATAGAAAAAGAGCAGTGGGCTGCTATAGATGAGTTGGGTCTAAACTGGGGACCCTGGGGGCCTGATGGCAGCAACCTCAAAACTGTAAATGTGGAGTGGAAAGCATGAAAGATAGAAAAAAGATACCCCCACTCAAGGAAACTTACGAAGTGTAATGTCAAGTATGTAAAAGAAATTTATGCCTGTAATCCCAGCACTTTGGGAGGCCGAGGCAGGTGGATAACCTGAGGTCAGGAGTTCGAGACCAGCCTGGCCAACATGGTGAAACCTCGTCTCTACTAAAAATACAAAATTAGTCAGGCATGGTGGCGGGCACTTGTAATCCCAGCTACTCAGGAAGCTGAGGCAGGAGAATCACTTGAACCCGGGAGGCAGAGGTTGCAGTGAGCTGAGATCGTGCCATTGCACTGCAGCCTGGGCAACAAGCATGAAAACACCGTCTCAGAGAAAAAAAAAAAAAAAAGAAAGAAATTCATGGCATGAAAGATAGCTAATAAACTCAACAAGTGGGAGAATTCAACTTCCAAATAAATGGAAGTAAGAGAGTACTCTGGAGAGATTTTGAAGATCTTTAAAGAGATACAGATTGGAATAACATATAAAAAAGCAGCATGCTTTGAAATAAAATTTGTCAGAAATGAATCAAGAATATAAATAAAGATGAGATCAACTATAAATTGAATAAAGTGGATGAAAATGGGTAAAAAGGAAGATAGACATGAGAAACTTACCAATGCAGCATAGGAGCTACACATACCAAAAATAGATAATGGAGTGCTAACCTAAGTCTAACCTTAGCTCTAACCTACCTAAATGATGGATTAATTTTCTCTGGCTACTGTAAGAATTTACCACAAACTTCGAGGCTTAAAACAAAAAAAAATTATTTTCTCATAGTTCTGGAGCCCAGAAGTCAAAAATCAAGGTATTGATAATGCCGTACCCCCTCAAAGGCTCTAGGAGAGAATCTTGCCTTGCCTCTTCTAGTGTCTGGTGGCTTCTAGTGTCTTTGATCTATGACCACATAACTCTAATATCTGCCTCCATCTTCACATGTTCTTTTCCTTTTCTTCCTATGTTTGTCCTCTGTGTGTCTCTTATAAGGATACTTGTTATTGGATTTAGGGCCCACCCAGATAATCCAAGATGATCTTTAAAGATACCTTTTTTTTTTTTTTTCAAATAAAGTCATTCACAGATTCTGGGGATGAGCACATGGATATATCTCCTTGGAGGCCACCATTCAACCCACTATAAGGGGAGACTAAAAGGAATAGCAGAGTGGCAATATTTTTAAAATACTGACTATTTTTTCAGAATTGAAGAAATACAAGAATTTTCACATAGAAAGTACACACCAACAGGCAAAAAGGATAAATAAAAATGATTCTACATGTACACACATCACAGTGAAAATGAGGGACATTTAAGAGTTTGATCTTAAAAGCTACCAGACAGACTAGACTATCTATAGATAAATGATTATACTGACAGCAAATTTTCATCAGCTATACTATATGTCAGGAAACAATGAAATAAAATTGTGAAGGAAAAGGACTTCCAACATAAAATGTATCTTCATTTAAACTATCATTCAAAATTGATGATTGATTAAATTTTTTTCATACATACAAATATAAAAGAACAGATTTGCACACAAATACGTGCTTTAAAAATAATTAAAACAGGTACTTCAGCAAGAAGAAAAATAAACCCAGAATTAGGAGATAAGGTGGAAGAAGAAACATGAAATGAAAGAAAGTTGAGATGAAAGATAAAAGAAATCAGAAAATATGCTGCTAAATCTAATTATCTGATGACTGGAAATCACTAATTTTTATGATTAAACAAAAAGTTGGAGACAAAAAGACATAGGATGGAAAAAGAAAAATGGAAACAAAAAAATCTAGAGGATAAAAAGATGAGGAGAGAGAACGGAGGAAGATGGGGGAGAAAGAAAATCCTCTTTGAAAGCATCATAGAAAAAATGTCCTACAAATGTGAAAAACATTTGGTCCAGCCATTTCACTTCTAGAAATTTATCCTAGGAAAATAATTAAGACATATGTAAAAATTTGGTTCCACGAGGGTGGCCCTTATTGGATCAAGATCTAACAAAAGAAAATTTAATAAATAAATTATAAAATATTAAGACAGTAAAATATTATATAACACTTAATATTTTATATAAATGCTTGGCATGTGAATATTTTTCTGATGCATTGTTAAGTAAAAGAAGACTGTTTACAAAACAATATTGACCATATGATCCCATTAAAAAAATAGGTGCATGTATGCATTGTAAAATATCTGAAAGTTTCCATGCCAATATGGTTAATACAGTGATGGGATTGTTTTTTAAATGTTAATCAATATGCTTATCAATCTGCATTTCTATTTTTACAATGAATATATGTTGCTTTTGTAATCATATTTATTTATGGGGAGCAATTCTTAGAGGAAAGGGGGGTATATTAGTTTTCTATTGCTGTACAGCAAAATACCACAACTTTAGCAACTTAACAAAAATAACATTTATTTCTATGGGTCAGGAGTTTGGGCATGGACTAGTTGGGTTCTCTGATCATCATCTCACTAGGCTGAAAGCAAGGTGTTGGCCAGGGCTGCGGTCTCTTCTAAAGCTTTGTGCTCTCTTCCAAGATCATGTGGTTATATAGATAGCGTTTGTTTTTTTGCAACTGTTGAACTCATGGTGACTGCCTTCAAGGCCAAGAGAAAGCATGTCTGCAGCTTCTGTTTGTCTCCTTTAAGGGCTAACCTGATTAGGTCAGACTCACCCAGGGTAAACTCCCTTTTGTTTGACCCAAAGCAACTGATCAGGAACCTTAATGGCATCTGCAAAATCTCTTTTGCCATCATATCCCCAAGCCCCACCCATAATCAAGGGGAGAGTATTTGATCCCCTAAGATTCTGCGCTCTTCTTTCCTAACTGAATAAACTGGAAAATGTTAATTCTTCTTCACAGTTCACTATTTAAAATGTGCTTCAGTAATGAACCTCTAGGAGATGTCTTTTTTTATTCCATAATTCCACCTCCCAGTTTGGTGTGGGGAACCTAGCTGTTTCAATACAAGCAGGGTATTCGTTCATTTATTTATTTATTTTTGCAGGCTAAAAGCTGTATTGCCAAAAGAAATAAATCAAATACAGCCTTTTGAAAATTGAACCTATTATGCTAAGCTGATGTATTCTCACAGAGGAAAAGAGCATAGCACTTGGAACTAATGGAATTGGCTGAGCACCTGGGTTTTTAAAAGGCCATGGACCA
Organism: Homo sapiens; assembly: GCF_000001405.40. Lineage (NCBI taxonomy): Eukaryota > Metazoa > Chordata > Mammalia > Primates > Hominidae > Homo > Homo sapiens. The sequence goes on from NC_000023.11 coordinate 111,609,433, forward strand.
TTTCCTGGCTGACCCTCTCATGGCAGTAAATTGTAGTGGCATCTGAGTAATACAGACACATATTCTTGACATATACTAGTCACAATCATAACGTTTTAGGTAGTATTTATTATGATTTTTTTTCGGCTTGAAATGTGCAGAACACATACTCAGAAATGAAATGTAATATTGGATTATTTTTTCAAAATTGATTGGGGTAGTAGAAGGTAACCAGAATGTTCCCTAGCAACAATAACATTAGCTGATTTATGAACATTAGCGGATTTATGAACATTACCATTAGCCAGCAGAATCAGACAAAGCAGCCTTGATAAAATTTAAGCTGACAGGAATGCCATATTTTTGAACACCAACTTATTAGGACCAAGAAAACAAAAGGTTCAACCAATCATCCCTTTAATTTAGGCAGTCGTTACACAGGGCTTTTCTATTGTTTTCTTTCTTCATTAGTAACTTACAACTTGGACCTGGGAACTTAATTACATCTTAGACTATTAATTTTCAAAGAAGTCTAGTAGTGTTTTGAAAACACTTATCCACAGAAATTATTAGGATGCTTGAACCTTTCATTTATAGTTGTTAAGGGAAAGTGCCTGATGAAATTTTGGATAATATTTACAAAGCTGCTTTGCTGTCCTGTGGATAGAGATGCTTATGTGTATTGATATCAAATCATGTTCAAATTAGCCAAATTAAAAATAGTTTGTTTTCATGCACAACTCATATACATGTGGGAGTGCTCAGTTATGAGTACCTGAAAGGGAAGCTTAGAGTCTGTGGCTTACATATCTCACTTAGTAGGGGAAAGGGAGAGGTGAAAGGGCTTCTATGGGAAGAACAAATAGATTTCTTTAGGAAAGATAAATAGGCTTCCAGAGAAAAAATAGGAGATAAGAAAGTTTGTGATAATGTTTATCTATGCAGGTACAAATGGTCTTTCTATCTCCTTCATATCCATGAAACTCCCCAAGAGAGAGGATTTATGGTAGGTTTAGTCTTAGTTTTTCTCCTGGTAACGGAAACCACCCCAAGGAGGGAATTTATGGCAGTTTTCATTTCTCAGAAATTTCTTCATCATAGAAGAAAAGCTCTAAGAAGGCTTGTTTCTGTATCTATTGAATCTCAAGTATCTTCAGCATAAAATAACCTTTATAACAACTCTGGGGTTCTCAGTGAAAGCCATTTTGGAATGGAGTGTGTTCAGGCATTAAAAGTCAGAGCACTACCAATTATACCTCAATAAAGCTGTGGGGAAATGCCATAGAAGGTATTTTCACTCTAAAGGAGTTAGGCAAATAGAGCAAGAATGTATACAAATAATTGGGCAAAGCACGTTGTGTATCAGATACTCATGAAAACTGAAGGCAACATTTTTTTATTGTCCCTCTGTTCAATAATAGTGATATCAGGCACACTTTCCTATCCTTAAACTGAGACCAGGCATTGAAATTTAGCTACTCACCTCAGGAATACTTGCTTTTGGAAGATAAAATAGTATGATCATCAAGATTCACTTCAAGATACTCATTATTGCTGTGCTCAACAATCCCAGGCTATTATATCGTAAACTCTATCCAATATGTATCAGGTCCCTGCCTTTACGTCACCAAGAAATCACCCATTCCAGGCTCTAAAACCCCCAAACACCCTATAAAACCCCGTTTCTAATTTATCCATTTTGAGATAATGCTGAGACTATCAAGGTAGTGTTCTCTCCTACCAGAGTAAGTCTAATAAACTTAGCATTACTTGGCCAATAAGTTTTTCTGGTATCTGTCAAAATTGTGAAATATTGAAAAATAAGCAAAAGATTGCTAGACGTCCTTTGAAAGCAATGCTAGATATTGTGTAGGGGACCTTTAGGGATTATCTGCCTCTATTAAAGTATATGTTTTTTACTCTCTTTGAGCTATTTTATAATTCTGTATATTATAAAAACCGACAACAATGCAAATCATTATATTTTGTAAAATGATTTTCTTTTTTATTTTTGTTTTAGATTCAGGGAATACACATGCATGTTTGTTACATGGATATATTGCATAATGGTAGGAATTGTGCTTCTAGTGTATCCTTCACCCAAATATTGAGCATTGTATCCAATAGGTAATTTTTTAACCCTTACCCCCCTCACTCTTCCCTTTTTGAGTCCCCCATGTCTATTATTTCCATCTTTATATCCACATGTACCCACTGTTTAGCAAGATGCAAATGAATTTTTCTGGTTGAGGATACAAGTGATTGAAGAGATGATTCCAAATATATATATATGGAGAGAGAGAGAGAGTGTGTGTGTGTGTGTGTGTGTGTGTCTCGCTCTGTTGCCCAGGCTGGAGTGCAATGGCACGATCTCAACTCACTGCAACCTCTGCCTCTGGGGTTCAAGCGATTCCCCTGCCTCAGCCTCCCGAGTAGCTGGGAGTACAGGCAAGCACCACCATGCCCAGCTAATTTTTGCATTTTTAATAGAGACACGGTTTCACCATGTTGGCCAGGATGGTCTCGATCTCTTGACCTCTTGATTTGCCTGCCTTGGCCTCCCAAAGTGTTGGGATTACAGGCATAAGCCACCACGCCCGGCCTCCAAACATACTTTGTTTCCCTGTGGGTATTGATCAGTTTTGTTTCTATCAGGAAATTCATTTGATTACTTATATATTAATAAATGTATGCTCTTTGGATTCTCCTTTGAATCAGTTTGAACATTATTTTTTCATACCAAGTCTTTGAAATCCAGTAATTTTACACTTTCAGCACATCTCAGTTCATACCAGCCACATTTCATGTACTCAATACCCACATTTATCTGGTAGCTATCATAGTGAACACTGTTGTGCTAGCCCTTTCATGTAGGAGTCATAAAGGAGCATTTGGTTGAGTATTTGACAAACTTCTTTTGCTCACTTTCTCATTACTTATTTTAGATAAGTCTTTTTTACAAGTGTGTTTGAACACAGACATTAACACAACATCCAAGCACATGGCTGAACTATGCAGATCAACAAAACCTTTAATTATTTGTCTCTCTCTTAGGTAGAGAAACATCTCCATTCAGTAAAAGGCATAGTAGGAGATGAGAAACCATTGCACCAGTCCCTGAAGGTTGACTGCACAGATAACCTTTGCCCCATCCTGACACAGTCCTGCCAGATGAGACTGGGGTCCATGCAAGGATTCTGGACCATGACGCTGGCATCTCAGAAAAGCTGATCAAGATAGCTGGCCAAAGGAGATGTCCAAAGGCAACCTCAATCCCATTACAGTGCCCCAACATTCTCTGTTCCCCAGTACTGATTCTTTTCTATATCACATCCCATAGCTAAAATAAAGATTCCTTCTGCTGGCAAGAAGTGGATCACACAATGCTTCACTGAGGGGTTGCACTAAAGCTGGCTCTTGATAGACTTTCAAAAATTGTGCATGAAAAGTTGGAGGAAATAATATTCCAGAAATAAAAAAAATGAACAAAAGAATGTATAAGCCTAAAAGTAAAGAGGATTGGCTTGATTTTGAATCATTGCTCTAACACAAACACTACTGTCACTTTCATCCAATTTAGTTATCAATGAGAAATCCCTGTCTTACTACTTCTAGTTTCTTGCTCTCCTGTTCAATAGCCCTATCTCCATAGCTCATGCTCAGTTAGTTAGCTAGTTGATTATTTTCTGTCTCAAGGTGGGAACATTCCTTTTCATTTCACCCCCTTTCCTCACCACCCCTTATTGAACAGATGAAGTTATCTATTGGGCAGCCATTTGATCTCACTCCCTGGTATACAAAAAAAGAAAGACAACTAGATTTGAATTCAGAAGAACTATGTTTATGTCCATATTTTTTTTTCTATGTTGCCTTACATAATAAATTTAACATCTTTGGACTATTTTCTTTGTTTATATAATAGTGATAACAGAGTCTTCCTCACACTTTTGCTAACATTAAATACAATATGTGAGAATGCCTAGTAATTAGTAAATTTTGATGTTACTTTGTCCCCATTTTTTAAAAGTTTGAGTGGGAAATATTAGCAACTTACAAAGGCAGGGGCTAAATAATGGATCTTTCTGAGAGGGAGAAAATTTAAGGATTAAAGATATATTTTAATCAGTTAGCTTTTCTTCACTCTAGCAACATCAATTTTCTACCTTCTGGAAAGATTGTTTATTTGCATTTATAGTTAGAACTTTGGTGGAAAATGTAAATAATATTAATAAATAAAAATTGATTACATGCATCTAAACAACTCTAAGGAACTTGTTCAGGGTCAAAATGGCAGTGGTGTATATATAGTATAGCAGTATCTCAGTTTATCTACCCAAATTGAAGTTGTGGTATGACCTGGTGGGTCAACAAGATAAGACTGAGTCTAATAACTGCAGGAAGACTCACAAACTAAAAAGAAAGAAGCTAATAAAAGGCCAAATATCTACACTCTTGTCAGGATACAGATGGCCATGTTCAATTCTTCTGAATAGTAGTTGTTTTCCTTATGGTTAAAAATCTAATGTCCTTCTACTGAACTATGTGCTTTAATTTCTAGGATTTTACATAGACCAGGTTGTTGCTCCAAAAAGGCTTTGTGAAAGAATATGTCAGCTCCCTACTTGCATTTTATTTTCTGCAAAGTATTAAAAAGCACCATGGACATCTCTATAGCTAGTGCTGGGAACATTAATTTCATAAGAACATGCTAATGTTTCTGAGGTCTCCTTAGCAAAGCCCAATACAAATAGTATTTCATTGTATTCTTTATTTCTTTGTACCACTTAGAATTTGTTACCAGACGGGGTGGGTGGCTCACACCTGTAATCCCATTACTTTGGGGGGCCTGGGCAGGAGAATCGCTTGAGCCCAGGAGTTCACGACCAGCTCAGGCAAGATGGCGAGACCTCGTCTCTACAAAAAAAATTTTTTTATATATATATATATTTCTATTATACTTTAAGTTCTAGGGTACATGTGCACAACATGCAGGTTTGTTACATATGTATACATGTGCCATGTTGGTGTGCTGCACCCATTAACTCGTCATTTAACATTAGGTATATCTCCTAATGCTATCCCTCCCCCCTCCCCCCACCCCATGACAGGCCCCAGTGTGTGATGTTCCCCTTCCTGTGTCCATGTGGTCTCATTGTTCAATTCCCACCTATGAGTGAGAACAGGCGGTGTTTGTTTTTTTGTCCTTGCGATAGTTTGCTGAGAATGATGGTTTCCAGCTTCATCCATGTCCCTACAAATGACATGAACTCATCATTTTTTATGGCTGCATAGTATTCCATGGTGTATATGTGCCACATTTTCTTAATCCAGTCTATCATTGTTGGACATTTGGGTTGGTTCCAAGTCTTTGCTATTGTGAATAGTGCTGCAATAAACATACGTGTGCATGTGTCTTTATAGCAGCATGATTTATAATCCTTTGGGTATATACCCAGTAATGGGATGGCTGGGTCAAATGGTATTTCTAGTTCTAGATCCCTGAGGAATTGCCACACTGACTTCCACAATGGTTGAACTAGTTTCCAGTCCCACCAACAGTGTAAAAGTGTTCCTATTTCTCCACATCCTCTCCAGCGCCTGTTGTTTCCTGACTTTTTAGAGCTTCTGCACAGCAAAAGAAACTACCATCAAAGTGAACAGGCAACCTATAGAATGGGAAAAAATTTTTGCAATCTACTCATCTGACAAAGGGCTAATATCCAGAATCTACAAAGAGCTCAAATTCACAAGAAAAAAACAAACAACCCCATCAACAAGTGGGCGAAGGATATGAACAGACACTTCTCAAAACAAGACATTTATGCAGCCAACAGACACATGAAAAAATGCTCATCATCACTGGCCATCAGAGAAATACAAGTCAAAAGCACAATGAGATACCATCTCACACCAGTTAGAATGGCGATCGTTAAAAAGTCAGGAAAAAAATTTTTTTTTAATTTAGCCAGGCGTGTTGATGCGTGCCTGTAGTCCTAGCTAGTCAGCAGCTGCGGTGGGAGGATCCCTTGAGCTCAGGAATTTGAGGCAGCAGTGATCTACAATCGCGGCACTGTACTCCAGCCTGGGTGACAGAGTGAGAACCCCCATCTAGAAAACAACAACAGCAAAATAAAGTTTGCAACCAGATTAAATAAGGATTCAGGACTTAGATATTTTGCACAGCTTTGTAAAGTGTATACAAATGTGAAATTATGAGAGAGACACTTTTCTCCATTCCTGTTCTTCAAATTGAACTTTCACAAAAACCTGTCCAAATCTATAACAAAATGCTGAATTCAGATTATTTATACATATAATATAAATAAAAATACATTACCTGGTTTTAAAAAGTGTGGTGTCTGACATGTATATACTTAACAGATTATTTTTCTGCATAAGTGAAATTGGCAAAGTCCTCTATTCAAAGCAATTCATTAATTTCACAATATTTTCTTTTTTAATTTTTTTTTTTTTTTAATTTTAGGGCCGGGTGTGGTGGCTCATGCCTGTAATCCCAGCACTTTGGGAGGCCGAGCGGGCAGATCACTTGAGGTCAAGAGTTCGAGGCCAGCCTGGTCAACATGGTGAAACCCCATCTCTACTAAAAATAAAAAAAATTAGCCGGGCGTGGTGGTGTGCGCCTATAGTCCCAGCTATAGTCCCACCACCAGGCCCGGCTAATTTTTTGTATTTTTAGTAGAGACGGGGTTTCACCGTGTTAGCCAGGATGGTCTCGATCTCCTGACCTCGTGATCCGCCCGCCTTGGCCTCTCAAAGTGCTGGGATTACAGGCGTGAGCCACCGCGCCCGGCCTGTGCCCGGCTAATTTTTGTATTTTTAGTAGAGCCGGGTTTTCGCCATGTTGGCCAGGCTGGTCTCAAGCTCCTAACCTCAAGTGATCCGCCAGCCTCTGCCTCCCAAAGTGCCGGGATTATAGGCGTGAGCCACCGTGCCCGACCTTCATAATATTTTCCAGAAATAAAATTACATTGTTCCTGAAACAATGCACTACTTCGTATAGTCAAGTAGTTTTGCATTTTACTAGGATTTATAAAAACGTTGTCAATGTTTATAAAATGTATCTTCTACAGGGTTTCAACAATGTTACATGAATTTGCAATGCACAATTTGTGGCAGTGAGAAAAGTTCAGTGTAAAAACATTGTAGCTAGAATAGAGCCAAAGAAACATTAGTAACAGAGATAGATGCCTTGAGAAGAATGATACCATACTATGTTAACACTGAGCTATCCCAATTTAATTTTGATGACAATTACTAAAAATGATATGAGTGAGTTTGGTATAAGAGTCACAGTCATTTAAAAATCTCTGAATATTTGTAGTAATCACCAGAAAAATGATAAGCAATAGTTTATTCATGTGTTTACTATCCCTTAGGTCACAGTCAATATCCTTGATCAGAATAAAATTGGTTAACATGATTTCTTGGTTAAGGAAATCCCCATTTGGGAAAATAGGCCCAACAGGGAAATGAAATGAAGGTCAACTGAGGTCCAATTCAGTATTGTTAAGCTGCTATTTTTACTCCTCCAACAATCTACTACTGAGCTGTCAATCATTAATGGGAGGGGTTACATCTTACCTATCTGAAATTTTGGCAACCAATATAAGGTTATTTTCAGGACCACTGAGAAGGACCTTGAGACCAGAGGTTTCCAAATTAGACATGTACATCCCAGGGCATGAACAAGACCATGAAGCATGAGAAGGAAAACAGAAAAACTGTTATTTATATTTTTTATTTCTTTTGTTTTTATTTTTTTAAATTCATTTTATTTTTTAACTTTTATTTTTGGTTCAGGGGTACATGTGCAAGTTTGTTATATAGGCAAACACGTGTCATAGGGGTTTATTTCTTAAAATCACTTTATCAAGTTACAATTTATGTACCATAACATTCACTGGTTTAAAGTGTGAAAGCCAGTGGTTTTTACTATATTCAGATTTGTCCAACTATCATCATAATCTAGTTTTAGAACATTTTCATTACTCCACAGATACCTCATTTCTATTAGCAGTCACCCCCATCCCTTCTTTACCTGATCTCCAGGAAACCACTGATTTACTCTTTATATATAGATTTTCCTATTCTGGACATTTTATATAAGTGGAATCATATAATTAGTTTTTTATGATGGACTCTTTCACTTAGCAGACCATTTTCAAGGTTAATCCATGTTGTATCAGTACTTCATTGTTTTCTTTTTTTTCTTTTTTTTTTTTTTAAAGATCATATTTATTTGGAGAAAACAAAAAACCCACAACCCACAGGATGGGATTTTACATCAAGACATCTCCCAGGTAATAAGTCTACAGGTTACAAATCATTTTCATGGAAGATATTTTTGTACAAATTTTACGTGTATTCAGGAGTGGGACATTAATCAATCCCTGTTTCTATTTTAATAGGGGGGCAAGGTAGGGGAAAGGGAAAAACAGTTTTGGATATAACTATTTGGAAGGAGAGTAGACATGAAGAGGGCAAACCCTAGCTTTTCATTATCTACAATCAATAGTTTTTTTTTTCTTTTTAAAAAAAGAAAAAAAACCTTTCAATCTTCAATACTCTTTAAAAGCCCACTTCTTAGCTACTGGCCAATCCACACCAATTATTTAAATTCACTTGGTACACACCTTTGTCCACTGGGTAAATTATATTCATTATGCCCACTGCTGCAGCACGCATAAACCAACACCCCTGCATGGCTGAGCAGGGCCTAATCTAGGACTGATGGGGGAAGGGCTTGCAAACCAAGATCAAGGTGTCGTTTCTCTGCTAATACTGTCTATCAAGCTGATCCCTACAAAGAAATGCATATAAAAGCAGGCAAGTTTAGCTACTGTGTTGCAAGAGAAACCAGGACCTTGTTAAATAGTTCTCTCCATTACCGTTTATTCTCTCAAGGGAAGCTAAAAAAACAAAAAAACAAAAAAAACAAAAAAACAAAAAAACAAAAAAAACACGTTGGTCTGGCCACCTCATGAATCCAACAAGCATTAGTGTGGCATTTCAGTGGAGAAGGAAACTTGGGGGGAAAAAAGCCTATCAAGGTTGTAAGAAAGGCTCCCAATTTAACTGTCCCTGTCCCTATTTATCCACCATCCAAGACCATCCATTATTCTAGAGCACTCTGATCTATAAAAGGGGTCAAAGCATCAGGAACAGGCAAGGAGTGAGAACCAAAAGACATCAAGAAACCGATTTGCTTGAGAAAAGCAGCGATTCTTCCTTTCACAGCTCTCCATGGCTGAGAGAGAAAATGCCCAAGACATCATGTATGTGACTTAGATACTGCTTTTTGGGAGGTTAAGAGTATCATGAAGAACTTAAGATGACGATAAGAGTCTAAATTTTTAGTTTCAAGGTTTCAATACAATGTGGATATATTCAAACTTTCAAAAAGGACAGTGTTTAGAAAGGGTAAAACTAGGACACAGAAAACATTGGGAATTACCACGACCCCCAAGTGCTTCCGGCTCCAGGAAATAACCATTCATGTGTTTGCTGGAGGTCACGCAATTTTCCCCTATTACCTGGTGCAAAATGACTCATCACTTCCCAAAAGCTTCTTTTCAAACCACGATTTTCCCATTTATTTTGGTCCAATGCAGTCCCATTCTTTATGGCCTATAGTCTCACTCCCAACTACCCCCCTGGGGGGTAAAAAAAAAAAAAAAAGGGAATTCCCTCTAGGGTGGCCCCCAAAACTCAGAATTAAATAAGAGGAGGGGCTGGCAGCCTCCTGGAGACTAAAACAACTTGAGGCTAAATCTACCTTTCCAAGAGTGGAAAATTTATTCAGATAATGTTTGAGAATTCATATATGCCACAATAGGATAAAAACTAAAAAGTAGAAATCTCACACTTTTCCTTCTCCCTCCCTCCCCTACTGCCCAACCAGGTTCCAGGGGTTATATCACTCTCATTACCATTTCTGCTAAATGGAGACCCTTAGGCGCTAATCACACTGGCAACTGCGTGGTGACATAACGCACCACAACTTTTCCTCTAAAAAGCTGTAGTCCCTTTCTCTCTGGCTATATTGGCGATTCTCCAGTTACTTCAATACTTTAAAGGCTGCAGCAGCATGCAAAATAGTTTCATTTTTTGTTTTTAAAAAAAGGTAAGAAAGATCTTCAGGAGATGGTGAGTTTTATTTTGTCTTGTCTGGATAGAGGTTTTGATTTGCTCTCGAATGTTCCAGGGTGGAGAGAAACTAGGAGAAAAGCACAGGATGTAGAGGTCTATTCGGCATAATCTTCTCCCTCATTTTCATCTTCACCATCAAGAGAGAGCAGCATAGTTGCTTGCAGAACTGAACTTGGAAGCTGGATTTTCCTCAGGTTTCTTTGGCTCAGGTGCAGATCTGGAGTCTTGATCCTTTTTGCCATCTTTCCTATCTGACTCCTTCCAGTGGTCTTTGTTCCCTCCGTCTCCTGGACCACGGCTAGAGTTCCCAGTTTGGCCTTTTGGGACATTCATCCCATCTACTTTATTTTCATCTTGCCTTGCTGGTCCTTCCTCAGATGGTTGAGCTGGAGCTACTTTTCCCCCACCACTTGTAGGGGATTGCTGCTCTGCGTCTGAGCTCTGAGATCGAGCAGGAGGGTTAGAACTTCGCTTCACCCAAGCATTCTCCTTTGGTGGAGGGGCTGGCATTACCTTTAGGGGCTGATCAGGTTTGGGAGGTTTAGAAGTTGGAGAGTGGCAATCTTCCTCCTTATTGAGTGTTTCATTTTCTAGAGACTTCTTACTCTCTCTCCTTCGTGCATTTCTGCCAGATGTGGTGGAGGTCCCAGTCTGCGATGACTCACTTCCTGTCCTTGACCGTTCCCGTTCCTGAGTTTCTTCACTTCGCCAGCTTGGGTGTCTCTCCCGAGGCCGTCGTTCTAGTTTTGGCTCACTCAGCTGACGCTGCAACTTCTCTTGTTCCTTCTGTAGCCGTTCTTCTACTTCTCTTTCTCTAGCAGCTGTGTCAACAGGCTTTGCCCCTCCAAAGATAGAAGCAGCTCGAGTGGACTGGGAGGTACTAGCAGAGGAATCATCTTGCTTAAGAGTACTCCAAGGCTTTAGATTCAGTTTGGGTCTTTGGGGGGGACGTCTATCATCACACCTATAATCATCCCGAGAGTAATCATCTCTGGAGCTCCACGACCGATCATCCCGTCTGTCATATCAGTCTTCATAGCGGTCCCCGCCTCCTCTGTAGTCATCATCCCTGCGATACCCGCTGCCAAATGCTCTTCTGCCACTGCCTATCCGGGAATCATAGCCTCTATCATAGTCTCTGCTGCCTTGGTCATCATAGCGATCCCGGCCACCATATCCATCCATATCCCGGCGTGGGCCATCCCGATACCCATCCCGATACCGGTCTGAATCATAACGATCCCGATACTTGTCTCCAAAGCTATCATCACCTCTTCTAGTCATCAAAGCTGTCTGTAGCAGGACAAGCCCTCCAGTCCGTATCTGTTTTGTCAGAATCCCGATTTCTATCACGGCCAAAAGAACGATCATCCCTGTCTTTATCCTGTGCTTGATCAGCAACATCCACTCGAATTCTCCTGTTACCTAGAGACTCTTCATTGAGACTCAGGGCACTGAGCAGGGAATCCAGGTCCTCAAATTCAGCATAACCAAAACCTTTCAACCTCTCTGGATTGCTGGGTTCACGTGGTAAACGCACTGCACTGATATTTAATCCTCGAAAGAATTCCTTAATTGACTCTTCTGTAACATCATAGGGTAGGTTTCCTAGAAAAGCAGTGTAGGGTGGCGATTTGGGAAGACGGCTCCGGTCGATATTGGGTTCCCGAGCAGCCCGTGGAGCAGTGGGAAGGATGGAACGGTCAATTGGAGGCACCCTATACACATCGTCATTGTTACTGTGCCAAGTTGTCGAAACATCTCCTTCCAGGTCATCGTTTCATCAGCCCAGCTGACTGGTTTGGAAACATAGGTGCTTCCTCCACCAGTACCCCCATCCTCAGCCAGAAAGTCTGTTAGGGAGATAGTCTTCCCCTTCTTATTCTTCTTTTTTGCTGAGGCCGCCATGTTGGGAGAGGGAAAGAGAACGCAAAAAAGGGTACTTCATTGTTTTCAATGCCAAAAATATTTAATTGCATGGATATACCACATTTTGATTATCCATTTATCAGCTGATGAAAACTTGGGTTGTTTCCACTTTGGGGTAGTATGGTTAATGCTGCTATGACCATTGAAGCAAAAGGTCTTTGATAGTACAAATGTTTTCAGTTCTCTTGTGCATACATCCTTGAACAACATGGGGTTTAAGAGTGCTGACCCCTTGCACAGTCCAAAATCTACAAATAACTTTCAACTCCCTGAAAACTTGACTACTAATAGCTTACTGTTGAGGAAGCCTTGCTGGTAACAGTTGATTAACACAAACTTTCTATGTGATATCTATTTTATACTGCATTATTACAATAAAGTAAGCTGGGAAATGAATGTTATTGAGAAAATTATAAGGGAGAAAAAATACATTTGCTATCATTAAGTGGAAGTAGATTATCATAAAGGTCTTCATCCTTATCATCTTCACATGAGTAAGCTGAGGAGGAGGAGAAAGAAGAAGAGGAGTTGGTCTTACTGTCTTGGAGTGGCAGAGTTGGAAGAGGTGAAGAGGAGGCAGGAGGAGCAAGCACATTCACTAAAACTTTTATTGAAAAAAATGTCTGCATATAAGTGGACTTGTGCAGTTCAAACCGATGTTGTTCAAGGGTCAACTGTACACCTTAGGAGTAAAATTTCCGGACCACAGGGTAACTCTGTGTTTAACCATTTGAGGAACTACCAGACTATTTTCCATAACAACTGCACCACTTTACATTTCTACCAAGAATGTATGAGGGTTCACATCTCTTCACATTCTCACCAACACTTGTTATTTTCCATTTATTTGATTATAGCCACCTAATGCGTGCACAGTGGTATCATACTGTGAGTTTGATTGATATTCCCCTGATGACTAAAGATGTTGAGAACTTTTTCATGTGTTTATTAGCCATTTATATGTCTTATTTGAAGAAATATCTATCTAAATTCTTTGTACATTAAGAAGTGTATACTTCGGCCAGGCTCGGTGGCTGAAGCCTGTAATACCAGCACTTTGGGAGGTCGAGGTGGGCGGATCACCTAAGGTCAGGAGTTCAAGACCAGCCTGGCCAACAAGGTGAAACCCCGTCTCTACTAAAAATACAAATTAGCCGGGCATGGTAGTGGGCGCCTGTAATCCCAGCTACTGTGGAGGCTGAGGCAGGAGAATCTCTTGAACCCAGGAGGCAGAGGTTGCAGTGAGCCAAGACCACACCATTGCACTCCAGCCTGGGTGACAGAGCAAGCTTCCATTTCAAAAAAAAAAAAAAAAAAGAGGATATACCTCATTATTATTTTTACTATTTTATTTTTTAATTGGCATATAAAATTGTATGTATTTATTATGAATAAAATGATGCTTTTTGTTTTTGTTTTTTGAGACGGAGTCTCACTCTGTCACCCAGGCTGGAGTGCAGTGGTGCGATCTCAGCTCACTGCAACCTCCGCCTCCCGGGTTCAAGCAATTCTCCTGCCTCAGCCTCCTGAATAGCTGGGACTAAAGGCACATGCCACTATGCCCGGCTAATTTTTGTATTTTTAGTAGAGACGGGGTTTCACCATGTTGGCCAGGCTGGTCTTGAACTCCTGACCTCAGGTGATCCACCCACCTCGGCCTCCCAAAGTGCTGGGATTACAGGCATGAGCCACCATGCCCAGCCCAAAATAATGTTTTGAAGTTTATATACACTCTGGAATGACTAAATCTAGCTAATTAACATATACATTACCTTACATAGTAATACTTTTTGTGGTGAGAACATTTAACATTCAGTCTCTTAGCATTTTTCAAGAATACAACATATTACTGTTAACTATCTTCACCATGTTGTACAATAGATCTTTTGAACTTATTTCTCCTAACAATTTTGTATTCTTTGACCGACATCATCCCAACTCCCTCCGGCAACCATCCTGACTCTGGTAACAACCATTGTACTTTCTACTTCTATGAGATCAACTTTTTTAGATACTTCATTTGAGTACAATCATGTGGTATTTGTCTTTCTGCGTCTGGTTTATTTCACTTAACAAAATTTACTCCAAGTTCATCCATGTTACTGTAAATGACAGGATTATCTTCTTTTTAATGGCTGAATAGTATTCCATTATGTATATATTCCTTATATCCATTCATCTGTTGAGAGACAATTAAGTTGATTCCATATCTTGGCTATTGTGAATAATCCTGCAATAAACATTGAAGTGAGTATTCTCTCTTCACGATCTTATTTCCGATTCCTTTGGCTATATATGCAGAAGTGGAATTGGCAGATCATATTGTAGCTCTATTTTTAATTTTTCAGGGAATCTCTATACAGTTTTTTTTTTTATCATGGCTGTACTAAATTTACATTACCACCCACAGTTTGCAATGGTTCTCTTTTTTCCACATCGTCACCAACATTTATCTTTTGTCTTTCTGATAGTAGCTATTCTAACAAGTCTTAGGTGATAGCTCATTGTGGTTTCAATTTGCATATCCCTGATAATTAGTGATGTTGAACATTTTTTCATATACCTGTTGACCCATTTGCCTGTGTTCTCTTGACATATATATATATTCAGGTCCTTTCCCCATTTTTATTTATTTATTTATTTTTATTTTTTGGCCTTTCCGATTTTATTTGGGGCACACCTGGGCGAGGGCCCTGCATCTAGAAGAAGGTGTTGGGCCTCTTGGTGGTGAAGCGTGGCTTGTGCTGACGGCGCAGGACCTGGTGGGGCAGCGGGAACTTGACCTTAGAGTCGTGGAACTGCTTGACGGACGGCCGGCGGCACTTGCCGGCTGCGATCTCCTCCACCTTCATGATCTGGATGGAGTGGGCCTGGGCGCAGTGCCGAGAGTCCATGACTCGGTAGCACTGGGTGACCGCCCGCCGTGGTCAGGTCCTGGTATTCCCGATACAGGTTGTGGGTGCCGCTCAGGGAGTCACAGCGCAGCCAGATGCGGAAGTTCTTCACCCGCAGAGGGGACTTCTCAAACACCCACCCAGAGTAGGCAATCTCCCCTGAAAACTTCTTCATCTTCTTTAACTGAGATACGAAATACCAGAAGCTGGACTTGGCGACGACATGATTAGGCGCAAACATTCACATGCCATAGAGGGGCGGTGTGTGGCATTTGGGGGTGGGCTGGTAGCGACCCACCACCTTGTACTCTCTTAAGTGCGCTATGCCTTCAGGGCGTCCTCTCCAAGCTCGCCGCCACCCGCAAAAGGGCTTTCCCCATTTTAAAGTCAGATTATTTGTTTTCCTGCTATTGAGTTGTTTTAGCCCCTTTATATTTTGGATGTTAATTCCTTATCAGGTATATACTTTGCAAATATTTTCTCCCGTTATGTAGGTTGTCTCTTCACTCTGTTGATTGTTTCCCTTACTGTGCAGAAGTTTTTCAGTTTGATGTAATCCTATGTGTCTATTTTTGCTTTTTTTTTGCCTGTGCTTTGGGTTCATATCCAAATTTCATTGCCCAGACCAATGAATCTTGCTCCAATGTCATAGAGCTTTTCCGCTGTGTGTTCTTCTAGTAGTTTGATAGTTTGAGGTCTTACAATTAAGTCTTCAATTTGAGTTGGTTTTTATATAATGTGTGAGTTAGGGTCTGTTTTCATACATGTGGATATCCAGTTTTCAAACACCATTTATTGGCAAGACTATTCTTTTCCCATTATGTGTTCTTGGCACCTTGGTCAGAAATCAGTTCCTTTGCCCATTTTTAGATTGGAGTATTTGTCTTTTTATTGTTGAGATTTAAGAGTTCTTTATATATTCCGTCTAGCAGTTCCTTGTATTTAGATTTTTTTTCATCTTGTTTTACAACTTCTAATGTTTAACATGTTTTACAATGAACATAATAGTACAATAATTAATGTATATTACCTATAACTAAATTTGGGGGGTTTGCTCAAGTTTAGGAGCCTGCAATTAAAAGTCTAGAGACCACTGCTTTAGACCAAAATTATTTTTTTCCTCTCTCATCTGTTTGGTGTTTGCAAGAAGGGGAAGCTGAGTATGCTAAAGACAGACTTCAGCTCTTACATCTTTTAGCTACTGGCCTATTGATCTGTGCCTGGCAAGGGAAAGGTACTTTATGTTATGCTAAACAATTAACACATATTGCTTAGGAAACCCTAAATATGACAGAGAAGGAAGGGTGGCTAAAATGTAAGTGCTTACTATGTTAACAAAAAAAAAAAAACAAAAAACAAGGCCTAGCACATAATGACTGCTTCAATAAATATTAGCCTAGGTAAACATCATCATTATTTTTATTCTACTGATTAGGACATAAAGAGTCATGTTAAGTAACATTAAGTAACACAGCTAATGAATTGTAAGCCTGGACTCTGAATTCAGGTCTGACTGCAAAGCCCATTTTTTTCTATGGGACACTGTGTATTAGTCAAACTACAGGTCAGATTTTTGCAGTGAGTGGGAAGTTGGACTAGATGACTTCCCTTCGAATTCTAAGACATTATGAAAACATTTGATGTAAAGAAGCATTCAGGTCTGCGTCAGTGGTGATTTTCATAGCTTATAAACATCTAGAGGCAAGAACCATTTTGTCTTACTTCCTTTGAATAATACCCAGTGACATGTATAAATGGAATTAATAACTGTCTGTGATGGTGATATGCCAAACATTGACTTAAAGCTGATTAATGCAGAGATATATGATATTATTTGGGAGTTTTTATTATTGTTTATCTAATAATCAATTAGATTTTATTTATACTTATTATAGTCAGAATGCAAATTTGTATTTATAATACAATTTGTATTTCTACTTATTCAAAGTAGATTTCATTAAATACCCTGAAAGAATCTAGGCAATACCATTCTGGACATATGGAAAGGCAAAGATTTCATAACAAAGACACCAAAAGCAATTGCAACAAAAACAAAAATTGACAAGCGGGATCTAATTAAACTTAAAAGCTTCTGCACAGCAAAAGAAACTATCAACAGAGTAAACAGACAACCTACAGAATGGGAGAAAATATTTGCAAACTCTGCATCTGACAAAGGTCTAATTTCCAGCATCTATAAGGAACTTAAACAAATTTACAAGAGAAAAACGAACAACCCCATTAAAAAGTGGGCAAATGGACGGGAGCGGTGGCTCACACCTGTAATCCCAGCACTTTGGAAGGCCCAGGCAGGCAGATCACCTGAGGTCAGGAGTTCAAGACCAGCCTTGCTAACATGGCAAAACCCTGTCTCTACTAAACATTCAAAAATTAGCTGGGCATGGTGGCAGGCGCCTGTAATCCCAGCTACTCGGGAGGCTCGGGCAGGAGAATCACTTGAAACCTGGAGGCGGAGGTTGCAGTGAGCTGAAATCATGCCACTGCACTCCAGCCTGGGGAACAGAGCGAGATTCAATCTCAAAAAAATATATATTATAATAATAATAAAAAACTGGGCAAAGGACATGATCAGACACTTTTCAAAAGAAGACATATATGTGGACAACAGGCATATGAAAAAAAGCTCAATATCACTGATGATTAGAAAAATGCAAATCAAAACCAAAATAAGATACCACCTCACACGAGTCAGAATGACTATTACA
Organism: Homo sapiens; assembly: GCF_000001405.40. Classification (NCBI taxonomy): domain Eukaryota; kingdom Metazoa; phylum Chordata; class Mammalia; order Primates; family Hominidae; genus Homo; species Homo sapiens. The sequence continues at coordinate 111,627,131 of NC_000023.11, forward strand.
ATGTCAAAAAATAACAGATGCTGGTGAGGTTGGGAAGAAAAGGGAACTTACACTGTTGGTGGGAGTGTAAATTAGTTCCAAGCAGTATGGTGATGCCTCAAAGAGCTAAAAGCAGAACTACCATTTGACCCAGCAACCCCATTACTGGGTATATACCCAGAGGAATATAAATCATTCGTTCTACCATAAAGACACATGCACACAAATGTTCATTGCAGCACTATTCACAATAGCAAAGACATGTAATCAACCTAAATTCCCATCAATGACAACCTGGATAAAGAAAATGTGGTGCATATACACCATGGAATACTAGGCAGCCATGAAAAAGAATGAGATCATGTCTTTTGTGGGAACATGGATGGAGCTGGAGGCTATTACCCTTAGCAAACTAACACAGGAACAGAAAACCAAATATCCCATGTTCTCACTTATAAGTGGGAGCTAAATGATGAGAATTTATGAATACAAGGAAGGAAACAACAGACACTGGGTCTACTTGAGGGCGGAGGGTGAGAGGAGGGAAAGGAGCAGAAAAGATAACTATTGGGTACTGGGCTTAATAACTGGGTGATGAAATAATCTGTACAACAAAATCCCATGACACAAATTTACCTATGTAACAAACCTTCACATGCACCCCCAAACCTAAAATAGGAGTTTTTTAAAAAAGATAAAAACCCACTAAATGCCCATAGATTCCCCATACCCAGAGTGATACTTACTTGTGGGATGCTCTGTTTCCTGTATCAGAAATAGCCCTTTGGTTCCTGGCTCCTCTCCAAGGAATCCACTCCAGTGGGACTCTTTATTCACTGCCTCTTACCACACCTTGTCTTCTCCCCAACCCATGCCTTTCCTGATGCGTTCTGCCAACTCCCTGCCTGCCCATGCACCTTCACATCCTGCCATGCCTTGAACACTAGGTATAGACAGACTACCTCCCCAGGGCTTTCCCTGCCCACTTCCCTAAGGATCTTACCTGCTTCTGGATCCACAGTCCCTTCCTGGCTTGTTTCCTGGTGCCATTCTAACCTTTCCAGCTAAAACATAAATGCCCAGAGAGCACAGACAAATTGCTGTGGTCTGAATGTTGATGTTTCCTCAAAACTCGTATGTTGAAACTTCATCGTCACTGTGATAGTATTAAGAGATGGGATCTTTGGGAGACGATTAGATCATGAGGGCTCATGAATGGGATTAGTGCCCTTACAAAAGAGACTTGCAGGATCCCCTTTTCCTGGGACACATAGAAGGAGCCATCTATGAAGCACAGGCTCTCACCAGACAATGACAATCTGCTGTTGCCTTGATTTTGGACTTCCCAGCTTCCAGAATTTTAAGTAATAAATTTCTGATGTTTATAAATTTTTTAAAGTAGATTTCATAAAAAATGTAATATCCTTTTATTTTAATGAAGAACCCATACTCCATGTCCAAGTGAATTAGATGAATGGATTATGGCATGAAGATCAGTTCATTTCAGCCAACTAATTTTTACAAACCACCATACAAATAATTAAGCTATTGTCATCAGCATGAATTAAATGGCCTTGTTTTTGTTTGTTTGTTTTTGATATATATATATATAATATATAGAAATGGCCTTGTTAATGTCCAGTTAAATCATAACATGTAAGCCTTGCCAATAGTCTAAGAGCTATAGATTATATTACCACCCAAATTATGTTATGAGCAGTAAGTCCATTTTATACAGCTAGCAAACTAAATGAGAGGGAATAAGAGTATAAGAGTGCATTATTCTTTATGAAATAAAGCTCATTTAATTTTACCCAATAGCAGAAAACAGATATAAAAACACTCCCAGTTTAGTGAAGCAAAATCAAGATATAAAGTTGAATGAGCTATTCCATATACTCAATGCTTTTACTTGCTTCCAATATAGTTTATCTTTCCCTTAACTGCCATGATTTTAATTCACTGACTGATGCATACTTCCTCTGGCAAAGGTATTGAGAAATGTATAATAATTGGTGTTCTACAAGATATAAGATTTCTGTTGGGAATTATTTCTTTATAGATGAAGATTATTTTCCACTGAGAGATTTATACAATAATTAGAAAAATGATGGTCTAAGCCCTAGTGGAAATATCATACTTTAATTGGTATTCATTTGTTTCAGACAAGCCCATGGAGAAAACTAGGAGCTCCTTTTTATTGATGTTAAATTGTTAACTGTGAAATCAACTAAATTGCATTCTCACTTAAATATCTGAAATGACTAGCCCACTTAATTACTTTTTAAAACAATAGTTAGTATCTTCCATTAGCTGAATAATCCTTCATACCAAAAATTTTTAAAACCCTTTACACAAAAATATAGGCTCAGGTAAAATTGGAAAGGCAGTAAAATATTTTAAGTATGCTTAAAATTACTGTATTTTAGGAAAACCCAGAGATTTTACAAATATCTCAAGCTGAAATAACATATTTCATATTTTGAGCATTTATATATTTGATTCAATGTCAGATGAGCCAGGGTCAAAGCCTGCTAATGGCAATAAGACTATGGTTGAACTACGCATTTATAAGCTAAAAATGAAAGCATTTACTGTTTATCCACTTCCTTACCCTTCATGATAGGAGGAAACTGTATTTCAAATTAATTCAGATTATATTTACTGAGTACAATTTGCGTGATGACTTGAAACTTTAGGGCAGTCAAGGTAACATTCAGCCTACTTGTCTTCATATACCACCCAAATATCCTGGAAAACCCAAAATTTCATCATTCAAACTCCAATTGATCCTTGAACAACATAATTTTGAACTACACGGTTTCACTTACAAGTGGATTTTTTTCCATAAAAGTTACACTGAGTGTTCCTGCCTCTCCTGCCTCCCCTTCCACCACCTCCACTTCTTACAACTCTGCCACCCCTGAGATAGCAAAACCAACCCCTCTTCTTCCTTTTCCTCTTCAGCCTACTCACAAGAAGATGGCAAAGATGAAGACTTTTATGATGATCCACTTCCACTTAATGAACAGTAAATATATTTTCTCTGTCTGATAATTTTATTAATATTATTTTCTCTAGCTTACTTTATTGTAAGAATACCATATATAATACATATAACCTACAAAATTTGTGTTAATCGACTGTTGTCAGTAAGGCTTCCTGTCAACAGTAGGGTATTAGCAGTTAAATTTTGGAGAAGTCATAAGTTATTTGCAGATTTTAAACTGTGTGTGTGGGGGAGTCAGGGTTCATAACCTTCACATTGTTCAAGGGTCAACTGTATATATTCTAAATTATATGTTACATATGAAAGTAACAAAAAACTATTTGTCACAACATGTTTCCATTTTTTAAATTGAAACATATTATTACATAAAAATACTTTTCAACATTTTGGCCTTGTCAATACTGGCTAAACTTTTATTGAACAAATGTGTTAATTTCTAGTAAGAACAATAAAATACAAATTATATTTCATGGGTCTAGTGACATTCTGCTATAGTTTGGGTAGTTGATCCTCCAAACCTCATGTTGAAATTTGATCCCCAGTGTTGGAGGTGGGGCCTAAGGGGGGGGGTTTGGGGGCCATGGGGCAGATCATGAATGGCTTACTGCAGTCTTCCCAGTAATAAATGAGTTTTTACTCCATTAGTTCCAATGATTGCTGGTTGTTGGTTGTTAAACAGAGTCTGGCATCTACCTCTTCTCTCTTGCCTCTGCTCTCACCATGTGATCTCTGCACAGGCTGAAGCCCCTTCACCTTCTGCCATGAGTGGAAGCAGCCTGAGGACCTCACCAAAGGCAGATTCTGGTGCCATGCTCCTTGTCCAATCTGCAGAACTATGAGCCAAATAAACCATTTTTCTTTATAAATTACCCAGTCTTCGGTATTCCTTCATAGCAACACGAACCAACTATGACATATTCCAAACAGGTAACTGACAAATTATATTCACATCACAAAGATGGAGGAACTATGGCACATTGTAGGTAAGTGATTGGATCCTTGAAGATAAATAAATTCAGTAGAAGAATTAGTAATATTTTTACATTTTTATAATTTTGTATAGGACTTCATTTACTCCCCCAGCCAACTATCTTTGCAATCCTCCCTAAACAATCCTAACCTCCAGGCTTCCCTGAGCCTTCACATTCACATTTTAGTTTTGATTCCATTAATTTCAGCAAAGATTTGTTGAATATTTACTATTTTCAAGGCCCTGTGCTTAGTGCTATAGCAGACACAAAGATAAATGAAATCTTCTCAATGAGCTGAAATCTAGTAAAGATCATAATACCGTAATATAATGTTATAAGAGGGATAAAAATAAATGAATGAACCCAAAAGTGGGAGAGCATTTCTACCAAGGCAGAATCAAAGCAATATTAGAAAAATTATCAGAAAAGTAATGCAAAAAGAGTTATGGATCACACAGTTTCAATCTCATAAGAAGGTGTAGGCAACTCAAGCATTGCCTAGGGCAATGGTGAGAAAACTTTTTCTGTAATGGTCAAGATAATAAATATTTTTGACTTTCTGGGCCATATGGTCTCTTTCACAAGTACTCAACTTTGCCCTTGTAGCATGAAAGCACAGCACCCACACACCACATGCAAACAAGTAAGCATGGCCAGATTGGCCTATAGGCTATAAATTGCTGACCCCTGGGCTAGGGGACCCAGGTTAGTAAGTCATTCAACTCACTGTTACTATTTGTTTAAGGTTCCAGATTTAGTGAAGTTGCATATTAACATGTAGATTTTTGTCTGGTCTAGATGCAAATAATTTCTCTCCAGTAGAGAGATAACCTCAAAGTTTTATGGCTTCATGAGACATTACCCACTTTGTATCTAATCCAGGAAGTTTATCATCCTATCAATATTCTATGTTTTAAAATGGTGTTTGACCCTGTCATGACATCTTAAAAGTTCCCTCATTTATTAATAAGTCAAATAAAATCTTTGATACTTTTTCACTTTATATTTGCCTGAGTATTATGATTTTACTTGGTTTGAAATTATATATTGACAGTTTTGGAGGGTGCGTGGAGATGTCCAAATTGACTCATCTGATGGAGACAAGTAAGCTGCATTCCTGGAGAAATGCACCTCAAGTTTGTTTAAGCCCAAGCATATTTTTCTTGGCTGCCAGAGAGAATCCCAGGCAGCAAGAGAACTTTAACTTTGCTAATTCTATTTCTGTAGGTTTAATTTTCTTCTTGCTGTTGATTTTTGTGTTGCACATGACAAAAAGTTATTTTCATTTGGTGGCAGCAACAATTGGGAATTTGTTTTTATTGTTTGGCCATTTGGCAATCTTTATTGGGTGGATGGTGAAGTACTGTTCTCTGTTGGGTGAGAAGCAGAGAAACCGGTTTGTTTAGGCTTTTTGTTTGTCTATTTGCAAAATCGAATCAACTAAGAATTTTGTGCCTGTTGTGAAGGAGAACAATTCTTTCATATTTAGACCTATAGGTTTTTGTATTTATATGTTTACACTTGACCTGTGGCAGAAGCTGTAGAACTGAAGCTATAAGCTCTCCATATATCTTATGCTTTTCTGTAAACCTGAAAGTTCTTTCTCTCTCATGTAGAGTATAAAATAATTTCCTACTTATGAAGGGTAATACTAAATCTGATCATAATGTATCTCTGAGGAGGTCAGTTGTGATTAATTTATAGATAAATAATAACATATGAATCTAATAGTGCTATAAATAACAGAAAATTTTTAAATGAACTTCTAACACTTTAAATGTGCTATATATTTACAAAATTCTTACAGAAATGTCTAGCTCAGAAACATTTTAAGAATTAACGTTTACTTAAGATGAATCTTTGGACAGTTTAGATTGGTTTGATAATTTAGATTTAAGGTTGGGCACAGTGGCTCATGCCTGTAATCCCACCACTTTGGGAGGACAATGTGGGTGGATCACTTGACGCCAGGAGTTCGAGACCAGCCTGGTCAACATGGTGAAACCCCGTCTCTGCTAAAAATACAAAAATTAGCCGGGTGTGGTGATGCGCGCCTGTAATCCCAGCCACTTGGGAGGCTGAGGCAGGAGAATCGCTTGAACCCAGGAGGCAGAGGTTGCAGTGAGCCAAGATTGCACCACTGCACTCCAGCCTGAGCTACAGAGCAAGACTCTGTCCTAAAAACAAAAGAAAAAAAATAGTTTTAAGAAAGAAAGAGGAAATCTTTAGGTCTTTTTCTCAAATGTGTATTAAGTATAATAAAATTTACATTTTATTTTTATGATTGTTTTCTTTTATGAAGAGACTATTTAATGTGAACTTCTTAAACATCTTTTGGTTTACCAATCAAATAAGCTAACACTCCTACTTAATCTTTAAGATTATGAAAAATGTAGATTTGTATTTTATTAAAAGTCATCTGTCAAATGTTTTACTCCTACTATAATTATGTTTTGTAGCTTGAACATGATTTTCAATATTCTTAGGTAAATTAAACACTTAGATTTGAATCAAATTAAACTAATTAATGAATAATTTTTGATTGCTAGATAATTTCTAGGTGAAGTAGAATACTAAAAATAATGATTATTGAGCATAATTTCAAACTGCCATACATTTACTTCGTATTTTTTATATGCTATAGGGTGACTATGTCTTTGGTCATGTTAACAAACATGTTGCTTTTTTTGACACATTAAGATGTAAAAAGAAATTTGAGTCTGTAAAAAGTTGTGCATTCACAACAAGCTTTGCTAGTTGGCTTAAATTCTAGTGTGTGGCATTTCTCAATTATTTACCTCCCAGTTTTTTCTGTGAGTGGAAGTTAGTTACTCTGGTTAAAAGTTATTATTAGCATGAGTGGTTGAAACTATTCTAGGAAAAACAGTAACAGAGAAATAAACCTGAGTATATAAGGTTATGTGCTTGTTTATCAAGATAAAAAGTTAATGCTTTTTTTCTTTAAAGCATCTGATTGTTCCAGAATTTAAAATATAGGAAAACACAAAGCTTTAAGTTACAGAAAGTTATAGATTTTCAGAAAGAACATTTTCGTTTGCCATAGTTTATAGTACTGACTCTGAAAAGAAGCAATAACGTGTAAAAATTGGCCAAAATTTGACTCAATTTTAAAGGATTTCTTCATAAGCAAAAACAAAGCTTGTGAAATTTTACTGCCAATATTACTGCAAAACTAGAATTGGCTCTCTCTATATTAAAATGATAAATTACCAAGGGACATATAAATAGATCAATGGAATAGAATATAAAACCCAGGAATATTAGGTTAGTGCATAAATAATTGTAGCTTTTGCCATTAAAAGTATAGCAAAAACTGCAATAACTTTTGCACCAATTTAATTTATCCCCACAAATATGTCCAATTAATTTCTGACAAAGAAGCAAAAGCAATTCAATAAATGGTGCTGAACAAATTGGATATCCATTAGCAAAAAAAAAAAAAAGAACCTTGACCTAAACTTCATACTTTATATTAAAATTAACTCAAAATGTATAATGAACATAAGTGTAAAATGTAAAACTACAAAACTTCTAAAAATATATATAGGAAAAAATCTTTGAGACCTAGATAAGACTAAGCAAATTTCTTAGAATTGACACAAAATAACATGATTGATTGAATGAAAAATTGATAAATTGGACCTCAACAAAATTTTGAAATTTTGCCTACAAACGATTCTGTTAGAAGAATGAAAAGACAAGTTCTATGTCCAATAAAGGCTTTGTATCTATAAAGGACTCTCAAAACTCAACATCAAAACAAGCAATTCAATTAAGAAATTGGCAAACAATATGCATAGATATTTAATCAGTGATGATATACAGATGGCAAATAAGCATATGGAAAGATGTTTAATATCATTAGCCATTAAATAAATGGAATTTAAAAGTACAATGAGATATCACAACATACCTGTCAGAATGGCTAATGAACAGAATGAAAGATAGCGATAACACCAAATGCTGATAAGGATATGGAGAAACTGGATTATTCATACATTGCTAGTGGGAATGTAAAATGGTACAGCCACTCTGAAAAATTGGCAAGTTCTTTCAAATCTAAAAATGGACATACCATATGATCCAACAATTGAACTCTTGGCATTTATCCCAGAGAATTGAAAAGTTATTTTCATGCAGGAACTTGTACATGAATGTTCCTAGCAGCTTTATTCATAATAGTAAAAAACTGGAGACTATTCAAATGCTCTTCAATAGATGGATGGTTAAAAAATACTCAGCAATTAAAGAAAGAATGAATTATTGATACATGTAACAATTTGGATGGATCTCAAGGGCATTATGCTGAATGAAAAGAAAGCCAATCTTAAAACCTCACATACCACATGATTTTATTTGTGTAATACTCATTAAATAGCATAATTGTAGAGATGGAGAAGAGATTTGTGGTTGCCAGGAAATAGGGGTGGAAGGGAGAAAAAGTAACCTGAAGGAGTATTGTGGTGATGGTATAGTTGAATATGCTGATTGCAGTGGTGGTTACACAAGGCTACACATGTGATAAAATTGCATAAAGCTACACATACACACACACACACACATAAATGCATGTATAACATTTGAAATCTGAATAAACTCTATAAATTGTACCAATATCAATTTATTGGTTTTGATATTGTTCTATGGTTGAATAAGTTGTTAACACTGGGGGAAGCTGGGGGAAGAGTACATAGAACTTTTCTCTACATTTCTTTGCAGATTTCTCCACATTTCTTTGTAGATTCTGTGAATCTACAATTATTTCAAAACAAAAGAAGTTTTTAAATGAGAAATTGATCTTCAAGCTCTCCTCAAGGGGTAATAAGAGGATATATTTACCTTCTGTATAATATGCCTGATAGCAGAGATTTCATATATCACAAGAATAACTTAATCTGCATTGTTTTGCCTCTATCGTGTCCTTGATTTAAATATATATAAATATATATTATATATATAATATGTATATATACACCCAAAGATGGAAACAAAGAACATAGATGAAAGAACTAAGTTTTCTTATAACCATGTTACCTTCCTCTATAATTATTTTAAAATATTTTATTGTCATTTTTATTAAATAGATAACCAAATTGTTGTTTTTAAGGTACTCATGATTCTATCTTAATCGACTTTGGCCAGTTGTTTTGATTTTGTCTTCCCCAGAAAGGATTCCAATTTTTAAAAACTAAAATACAATTTTGGGGATACCGTCTTCATATTGCATAAACTCAACACTATTGTAAATTCTCAATTCTGAAGAAATGGTTAGCCATACTAGGTGAAATTTGAATAGATAACATGGTATTAATGTAAATATTTCAGAAATTATGCACTGTATGAGAAAACACTGGAGACTTGTCAGTGTCCTCACTGGTAAGTATGTTTTTAAACTCAGGGGAAAACATTGATCAAACCCTTATGAAATAGTTCTGTTCTGTGTGCCAATGGAGAATTTTACTGTCTGCCAATCTAATATTTGTGACTGTAATAAACTAACCATACAATACCCTCTCAGCCATTATTAGACAGATTTCTGATTCCTGATGCATGCGTAAAGTCTCTACTGTAAGGTTTTGGTTGGAATTTGTGTCTACAACAAAAGTACAATCCCAGAGGCTTGTGGATAGGATTATATCAGGTACTCTGAACATTATTTTTTTTTTTTTGAGTTGGAGTCTCGCTCTGTCTCCCAGGCTGCAGTGCAGTGGCGCCATCTTGGCTCACTGCAACCTCCGCTTCCTGGGTTCAAGTGATTCTCCTGCCTCAGCCTCCCAAGTAGCTGGGACTACAGGCGCCCACCACAACGTCCGGCTAATTTTTTGTATTTTTAGTAGAGACGGGGTTTCACCGTGTTAGCCAGGATGGTCTTGGTCTCCTGACCTGGTGATCCGCCCGCCTCGGCTTCCCAAAGTGCTGGGGGATTATAGGCATAAGCCACTGTGCGCGGCCCTCTGAACTATTAATACTTTAAGAATACACACTTGCTCAAATCTCATGTTGGAGGAGTGGCCTGGTGGGAGATGATTGGATCATGGGGCGGATTTCCCCCTTTCTGGTCTCATGATAGTGAGTTCTCACAAGATCCGGTTGTTTAAAAATGTGTAGCACCTCCCTCTTCACTCTCTTCCTCCTTCTCCAGCTGTGTAAGATGTGCCTGCTTCCCCTTCACCTTCTGCCATGATTGTAAGTTTCCTGAGGCCTGTCCAGCCATGCTTCCTGTAAAGCCTGTGGAACTATAAGTCAATTAAACTTCTTTTCTTGTAAATTACCCAATGTTAGGTAGTTTTTATAGTGATGTGAGAATGGACTAATACATTGCTTACACAAGTTTCAGACTGAATGGAGTGAGTGTTTCCAGGACTCTTTATAGTATAGAAATAGATGTATTTCATGAAGGAAGACTTTCATCCAAAATGCAGTGGACACAAATGAAACAAGAATTAATTGCACAGACATAAATGAACTTATGAGGGCACAGGTAGTAAGCCATGGGGGGCAGCGCCACTGCAGAGTTCCCATTAAGGCAATGCCCAGAAGAGCTGTGGGTACAGGGTCACCCCTGAGCCCCAAGACTGTTAGAGTCTCACAGCTCCGTTAGTCACTGCCCTAGTGGAGGCTCTCTGTGGTAGCTTTGCCTTCGGGGTGGCACGCGGCCTGGGTCCTGTTCCTGAGGCACCAGGGGCCTCCACGCTTTGAATTCTAGGTGGAGACAGACATGCCCCCACAGTTCATGTACTCTGCCAGCCAGTGGAGATGGCACCACACAAACACTACCAAGACTTACTGTGTATGCTCTCCAGAGGGATGGCCACTGGAGCCCTAACCACACTTGGGATCTCTAGAATCACACCTGGGATGACTGAGGAGTATTGTGCCAGAATGTGGGGAACAGAGACTTTAGGTAGTGAGTGTGGAGGTCCTACCAGTACCTGAGGCCCCTCTTTTGACATACTTCTGACCCCAAGCCTTAATGCTCTGGGTCTATGATGGGAGTGGTGGTCCTGATGATTTCCAAAAAGCCTTCAGGGTCATTTTTCCATTTTCTTGATAAAAAACACCTGGCTTCCACTGATACATAATAATCTCATCAAAAAGTGGCCTTGGCTTTTTCTGCATCTATTGAGATAATCATGTGGTTTTTGTCTTTGGCTCTGTTTATATGCTGGATTACATTTATTGATTTGCGTATATTGAACCAGCCTTGCATCCCAGGGATGAAGCCCACTTGATCATGGTGGATAAGCTTTTTGATGTGCTGCTGGATTCGGTTTGCCAGTATTTTATTGAGGATTTTTGCATCAATGTTCATCAAGGATATTGGTCTAAAATTCTCTTTTTTGGTTGTGTCTCTGCCCGGCTTTGGTATCAGAATGATGCTGGCCTCATAAAATGAGTTAGGGAGGATTCCCTCTTTTTCTATTGATTGGAATAGTTTCAGAAGGAATGGTACCAGTTCCTCCTTGTACCTCTGATAGAATTCGGCTGTGAATCCGTCTGGTCCTGGACTCTTTTTGGTTGGTAAACTATTGATTATTGCCACAATTTCAGCTCCTGTTATTGGTCTATTCAGAGATTCAACTTCTTCCTGGTTTAGTCTTGGGAGAGTGTATGTGTCGAGGAATTTATCCATTTCTTCTAGATTTTCTAGTTTATTTGCGTAGAGGTGTTTGTAGTATTCTCTGATGGTAGTTTGTATTTCTGTGGGATTGGTGGTGATATCCCCTTTATCATTTTTTATTGTGTCTATTTGATTCTTCTCTCTTTTTTTCTTTATTAGTCTTGCTAGCGGTCTATCAATTTTGTTGATCCTTTCAAAAAACCAGCTCCTGGATTCATTGATTTTTTGAAGGGTTTTTTGTGTCTCTATTTCCTTCAGTTCTGCTCTGATTTTAGTTATTTCTTGCCTTCTGCTAGCTTTTGAATGTGTTTGCTCTTGCTTTTCTAGTTCTTTTAATTGTGATGTTAGGGTGTCAATTTTGGATCTTTCCTGCTTTCTCTTGTGGGCATTTAGTGCTATAAATTTCCCTCTACACACTGCTTTGAATGCGTCCCAGAGATTCTGGTATGTTGTGTCTTTGTTCTCGTTGGTTTCAAAGAACATCTTTATTTCTGCCTTCATTTCGTTATGTACCCAGTAGTCATTCAGGAGCAGGTTGTTCAGTTTCCATGTAGTTGAGTGGCTTTGAGTGAGATTCTTAATCCTGAGTTCTAGTTTGATTGCACTGTGGTCTGAGAGATAGTTTGTTATAATTTCTGTTCTTTTACATTTGCTGAGGAGAGCTTTACTTCCCAGTATGTGGTCAATTTTGGAATAGGTGTGGTTTGGTGCTGAAAAAAATGTATATTCTGTTGATTTGGGGTGGAGAGTTCTGTAGATGTCTATTAGGTCTGCTTGGTGCAGAGCTGAGTTCAATTCCTGGGTATCCTTGTTGACTTTCTGTCTCGTTGATCTGTCTAATGTTGACAGTAAAGTTCATATGGAACCAAAAAAGAGCCCGCATCGCCAAGTCAATCCTAAGCCAAAAGAACAAAGCTGGAGGCATCATACTACCTGACTTCAAACTATGCTACAAGGCTACAGTAACCAAAACAGCATGGTACTGGTACCAAAACAGAGATATAGATCAGTGGAACAGAACAGAGCCCTCAGAAATAACGCCGCCTACCTACAACTATCTGATCTTTGACAAACCTGAGAAAAACAAGCAATGGGGAAAGGATTCCCTATTTAATAAATGGTGCTGGGAAAACTGGCTAGCCATATGTAGAAAGCTGAAACTGGATCCCTTCCTTACACCTTATACAAAAATCAATTCAAGATGGATTAAAGATTTAAACGTTAGACCTAAAACCATAAAAACCCTAGAAGAAAACCTAGGCATTACCATTCAGGACATAGGCATGGGCAAGGACTTCATGTCCAAAACACCAAAAGCAATGGCAACAAAAGACAAAATTGACAAATGGGATCTAATTAAACTAAAGAGCTTCTGCACAGCAAAAGAAACTACCATCAGAGTGAACAGGCAACCTACAAAATGGGAGAAAATTTTCGCAACCTACTCATCTGACAAAGGGCTAATATCCAGAATCTACAACGAACTCAAACAAATTCACAAGAAAAAAACAAACAACCCCATCAAAAAGTGGGCGAAGGACATGAACAGACACTTCTCAAAAGAAGACATTTATGCAGCCAAAAAACACATGAAAAAATGCTCATCATCACTGGCCATCAGAGAAATGCAAATCAAAACCACTATGAGATACCATCTCACACCAGTTAGAATGGCAATCATTAAAAAGTCAGGAAACAACAGGTGCTGGAGAGGATGTGGAGAAATAGGAACACTTTTACACTGTTGGTGGGACTGTAAACTAGTTCAACCATTATGGAAGTCAGTGTGGCGATTCCTCAGGGATCTAGAACTAGAAATACCATTTGACCCAGCCATCCCATTACTGGGTATATACCCAAATGACTATAAATCATGCTGCTATAAAGACACATGCACACGTATGTTTATTGTGGCATTATTCACAATAGCAAAGACTTGGAACCAACCCAAATGTCCAACAATGATAGACTGGATTAAGAAAATGTGGCACATATACACCATGGAATATTATGCAGCCATAAAAAATGATGAGTTCATGTCCTTTGTAGGGACATGGATGAAATTGGAAATCATCATTCTCAGTAAACTATCGCAAGAACCAAAAACCAAACACTGCATATTCTCACTCATAGGTGGGAATTGAACAATGAGATCACATGGACACAGGAAGGGGAATATCACACTCTGGGGACTGTGGTGGGGAGGGGGGAGGGGGGAGGGATAGCATTGGGAGATATACCTAATGCTAGATGACGAGTTAGTGGGTGCAGCGCACCAGCATGGCACATGTATACATAGGTAACTAACCTGCACAATGTGCACATGTACCCTAAAACTTAAAGTATAATAAAAAAAAAAAAAAAGTGGCCCTGGCCACACCCTTGGTATTCTCTCCTGAACATGCTTTTTTATTCTTTGAAATATGGCCATGCTGAGAATTTTCCAAATAATTGAGTAATGCATCCTTTTTTTATTATAACTTCCATCTTTAACTGGTTTTTCTTTTCTCATATTTTACTATAAGCCTTCAAGAAAAGCCATGCTGCTCCTTCAAAACTATGCTTAGATATTTCTTTTGACAAATACCCTATTTCATTGCTCACAAGTTTCTCCTTCCACAAAACAGTAGGACACAAACACAATTTAGCCGAAATATTTTCTGCTTTATAACAAGGATTGCTTTTCCTCCCTTTTCCAATAGTGTGTTCCTTATTTCTTTCTGAGACCTGTCAGTATGGCTCCCACCATCCTTATTTCTACCCACATTCTCTTCACAACCTCTTAGGTAATCTCTAGTAAGATTGAGACTTTTTCTATATCTCTCCTTTTCTACTGAGTCCTCGTCAGAACCACTCTTAATGCTCAGTTCATGGTAATATAGCCTTTTTTTGTTTTGAGATAGGATCTTGCTCTGTCACCCAGGCTGGTGTGCAGTGCCACAGTCATAGCTCACTGCAGCCTTGAACTCCCAGGCTCCAGTGATCCTCCTACCTCAGCTTCCTGAGTAGCTGGCATTACAGACACAAGCCACCAAGCCAATGTAGGCTTTTTCTAGCAGGCACCACCACATTTTTCTAGCCTCTACTGATTCTTCAGATCCAAAGGTGCTTTGACATTTTTACGTATTTGTTACAGCAGCACTCCACTTCTTAGTACCAGTTTCTGTCTTAGTCCATTTGGGCTGCTGTGGCAAAATAACTTAGACTGGCTAATTTATAAATAATAGAAATTTATTGCTTACATGTCTGGAGGCTGGAAACTCCAAGACCAAGGCATTAGAAAATTTGATGTCTGGTGAGGGTCCCACTCCTCATAGATGGCACCTTCTATACATCCTCACTTGGTGAAAGGGGCGAACAAGCTCCCCTGGGCCTATCTTATAAGGACACTAATCCTATTCATGAGGGTGGAGCCCTTATGACGTAATCACTTCCAAAAGGCCCCACCTCCTAATACCATCACTTCGGGGATTAGGTTTCAGTATATGGGTTTTAGGGGGAACACATACATTCAAACCATATCAATGGGCATCCTTATTTTGTTCCTGATCTTAGAGAAAAAGCTTTCAAATTTTCACTATGGAGTATATCTGTGTGCTTGTGATAAAAGGCCTTTATTGTGTCAAGCTACTTTTTTCTGTACCTAATTTGTTGAGTTTTTATCATAAAAGGATGTTGGATTTTGTCACATGCTTTTTCTGCCTCTGTTGAGATGATCATATGATTTTGTTCTTCACTTTGTTAATGTGGTATATCACATATATTTATTTGCATATGTTAAAACGTCCTTGCATCCCAGGGATAAATCCCATTTGATCATGGTGAATGACCCTTATAATGTGCTATTGATTCAGTGTGCTAAGAGTTTGCTGAGGATTTTTGCATTTATGTTCATCAGGGATATTGGCCTATAATTTTCTTTTCTTGTAGTGTCCCTGTCTAGCTTTGGTATAAGGTAATGTTGGCCTTTTAAAATAAGTTTGGAAGTATTCCTTCCTCTTTAATTTTTTAGGGTTTGAGAAGTATTGGTATTGGTTCCTCTTTAGATGTTTTGTGGAATTCAGCAGCAAAGCAATTAGACGCTGGGCTTTTCTTTGATGGGAGAGTTTTTATTACTGATTCAGTCTCCTTCCATATTATCAGTCTGTTTATATTTTGTATTTCTTCATGATTTAGTCTTAGGATATTCTATGTGTCTAGAAATCTATCCATTTCTTCTAGGTTATCTAATATGTTGGTGTATAACTGTTTATTGTAGTTTCTTATGAGCCTTTGTATTTTTGTATCAGGGTCTTTTTTTAATTTTTTTTAACCTCTCTTATGGTGCTGATCAGTTGTAATGTCTCCTCTTTCACTTCTGATTTTATTTATTTGAGTCTTCTCTCTTTTTAGTCTAGCTAAAGGTTTGTTAATTTTTTTATCTTATCAAAAAACCAAACAACTTTTAGTTACATTGATCTTTTCTATTGATTTTCTAGTTCCTATTTCATTTATTTCTGCTCTGATCTTTATTTTCTTATATTTACTAACTTTAGGCTCAGTTGGTTTCTCTTTCTACAGTTCCTTGAGGTGTAACTTTGGGTTGTTTATTTGATATCTTTCTTCACTTTTTGATGTAGGCATTTATTGGTATAAACTTCCCTCTTAGAACTACTTTTCTGCATTCCCTAAGTTTTAGTATGTTGTCTTTACTTTTTCCTTTTTCTCAAGATATTTTAAATATCCTTTTCAATTTTTTGTTTGACCCATTGGTTTTACAGGAGCATGTTGTTTAATTTTTATGAATTTGTAACTTTTCCCAAATCTTTTCTGTTATTGATTTCAAGTTTCATACCATTGTTCCCGGAACTGAGCCGGGTCTGACTGCGTTTTCTTGTGGCCCAATGACAAGAAGCAGACCAACTAGGGAGTTTATTGCTGTAACCGGATAGAGGGAGAAGGCAGGAGATGATTTCACCAAACCAACTCAAACTGTTACAATTTTCTTAGTGCTTATATAGGTTGGAGTTATATGCCTATGTGTGATATCACATTCGCCTAAGTCTATAGGTAACTAATTTTGTTTTAACTAGAAGGTCAGAGGCCAAAAATGCTTTCTAAGTCTGATGAAGCTGTGAGGGCACCGGTACCATCAAGGCCTGTCTCCTAAATTCTAATTAGTGAAGACTGTGGTACTGAAGTGATTATTTCTAGCTTATCTCATTTACAGTTTGGTCCGGAGAGCTGCCTTAGACTCTCCAATAAATCTATTCAAACAGCTGCATCTGTTACCTTGACTCATCTCAGATTTCATAGACGGTAGATGGGTCCTGGCATGAGGAATGTAAGATTGTCTCCATTATTTTGACTTGCTTCAGGTTAGGGAGAAGTCTGTGCAAGGCTCCTACTGACCGTATGTTTCATTTCTAGCTTTGATGTCTGGGCATCGATTTCCCTAGGTTTAATTATTTGCACAATGTTAAGGCAGCACTATGGACATTTGTTGGTGTAACTGGCATGCTATGCAGGCCTGTCTGTGTGACTGTCATGCAGGCCTGTCTGTGTGATTGTCAGGGAGAATTGGCCTGCCACACCATTGTGGTTGAAAAAGATACTTGATATGATTTCAATCTTCTTCGATTTTTAAGACTTGTTTTGTGGCCTGAGATATGATATATCCTGGAGAATGTTCCCTGTACAATTAAGAAGAATGTGTACTCTTCTGCTGTTGGATGAAATATTCTGTATATGCCTGTTAGGTCCATTTGGTCTAAAGTATAGTTTAAGACCAATGTTTTCTTATTGATTTTCTGTCTGGATAATATGTCCTTTTTGAAAATGATATGTTTATATCCACTGCTATTATTGTACTGCAGTCTTTCTCTTCCTTCGGATCTATTAATATTTGTTTTATATGTTTAGGTTTAGGTATTCCCATGTTGGGTGCATACATATTTACAATCACTTTATTCTCTTGATGAATTGATCCCCTTATCATTATATAATGACAATCTTTGTCTTCCTTTACAGTTGACTTCAAGTCTATTTTATGTAAGTATAGCTACCTATCCCTACTCTGTTTTTATTTCCATTTGCGTATAATATCTTTTTCCAACCCTTGGCTTGCAATCTACTTGTGTCCTTAAAGGAGAAGTGAGTCTTTTGTAGGCAGCGTGTATTTGAGTCTTGATTTTTATTCATTCATTGTTATTCATCCTTCAGTAGGTGGATCAAAAGACTTTAAGTCTTTTGATTGGCAGATCGAATCCATTTATATTCAAGGTAATTATTGATAGGTAAGGGCTTACTACCGCCATTTTATTAATTGTTGTCTGGTTGTTTTGCAGATCCTTTGTTTCTTCCTCTCTTGCTATCTTCTTTACTGAATTCGTAACTGCCCAAGGGGTTCACCTTGCGCACTGCCTAGACAGAGACGATTTATCAAGACAGGGGAATTGCAATAGATAAAGAGTAATTCACACAGAGGCAGCTGTGCGGGTGACCGGAGTTTTATTATTACTCAAATCAGTCTCCTGAAGCATTCGGGGAGCAGAGTTTTTAAGGACAACTTGGTGGGTAGGGGGAAGCCAGTGAGCCAGGAGTGCTGATTGGTCAGGGATGAAATCATAGGGAGTTGAAGCTATCTTCTTGCACTGAGTCAGTTCCTGGGTGAGAGCCACAAGATCAGATGAGTCAGTTTATCAATCTGGGTGCTGCCAGCTGATCCATCAAGTGCAGGGTCTGCAAAATATCTCAAGCACTGAATTTTAGGAGCAGTTTAGAGAGGGTCAGAACCTCATAGCCTCCAGCTGCATGACTCCTAAACCATAATTTCTAATCTTGTGGCTAATTTTAGTCCTACAAAGGCAATCTAGTCCCCAGGCAAGAAGGAGGTCTGCTTTGGGAAAGGGCTGTTATCATCTTTGTTTTAAACTATAAACAAAGTTTCTGCCAAAGTTAGTTCAGCCTACCCCCAAGAATGAGCAAGAACAGCTTGAAGGTTAGAAGCAAGATGGAGAAGATTAAGTTAGATCTCTTTCACTGTCTCAGTCATAATTTTGCAAAGGTGGTTTCAATTTGATGGTTTTCTGTAGTTGTATGATTTGATTCTTTACTTTTTATCTTTTGTGTATCTACTATAGGTTTTTGCTTTGTGGTTATCATGAGGCCTATATAAAACACATTATAATTATAACAGGCTGTTTTAAGGTGGTAACAACTTCAATCACATAAAAAAAAAACTCTATACTGTTACTTCCTCTCCTTGCTACACATTATAGGTTTTTTGTTGTTGTTGTTTTGTTTTGTTTGTTTGTTTGTTTTGTTTTGAGACAGGGTCTAACCCTGTCACCCAGGCTGGAGTGCAATGGCGTGATCTTGGCTCACTGCAACCACCACCTCCTGGGTTCAAGTAATTGTCCCATGTCAGCCTCTTGAGTAGCTGGGACTACAGGTGCCTGGCTATTTTGTTTTGTGTTTTTAGTAGAGAAGGGGTTTCGCCATGTTGGCCAGGCTGGTCTCAAACTCCTGACCTCA
The DNA here is from genome assembly GCF_000001405.40 of Homo sapiens. NCBI lineage: Eukaryota > Metazoa > Chordata > Mammalia > Primates > Hominidae > Homo > Homo sapiens. The sequence goes on from NC_000023.11 coordinate 111,646,248, forward strand.
AATGATCCACCTGCCTCGGCATCCCAAAGTGCTGGGATTACAGGTCTGAGCCACCATGCCTGGCCCATATTATGTTTTTGATGCCACATTGTATATATTTTTATATTGTGTATCCCTTAACAAATTATTGTAGCTTTTTTTTTAAGTTTTGTCTTTTAACCTTAACACAGAAGATAAAGTGATTTACATACCACCATTACAGTATTAGAGTATTCTGAATATGACTGTGTACTTACTTTACTAGTGAGTTTTATATTTTCATGTTTTCATGTTACTAATTAACATCCTTTTCTTTGAGCTTGAAGATTTCCTTTTAGCATATCTTATAAGTCAGGTCTAGTGGTGATGGACTCCCATAGCTTTTAATTGTCTGGAAAAGTCCTTATCTCTTCTTCATTTTTGAAGGACAGCCTTATCATGTCTAGTCATGAAACATTTAATAACTGACACATGGGTTGAGAAATGTGTCATTAGGCAATTTCATCATTGTGCAAACAGTATAAGGTGTACTTACACATAGCTAGATGGTATAGCCTACTACGCACAAAGGTTCTGTGGTATAGCCTATTGTCCCCAGGCTACAAAACTGTACAGCAAGTTACTGTACTGAATATCATAGGCAATTGTAAAACAGTGGTAAATATTTGTGTATCTAAACATAGAAAAAGCCAGTAAAAATACAGTATAAAAGATAGAAAATGGTACACCTGTATAGGGCACTTACCATAAATGGAGCTTGCAGGAAATGAATTTACTCTGGGTGAGTTTGTCAGTGAGTGGCAACTGCATGTGAAGGCTTAGGACATTAGTGCACACAACTATAGACTTTATAAACTCTGTATACTTAGGCTATGCTAAATTTATTTTAAACATTTTATTTCTTCAATAATAAACTAACCTTAGCTTATTGTAACATTTTTACTCTATAAACTTGTAATTTTTTAACTTTTTGACCCTTGTGTAATAACATGGGTTAAAACACAAAAGCATTGTACAGTTGTAAAAATGTTTTCTTTATATTCTTATTCTATAAGCTTTTTTCTATTTCTAAATTTACTTTATTTTATTTTATTTTTTACTTTTTAAACTTTGTGTTAAAAACTAAGACACAAACACACACATTAGCCTAGGCACACATGGGATCAGAATCATCAGTATCACTGTCTTGTTTCACTGGAAGTTCTTTGTGGGCAGTAACATGCATGGAGCTCTCATCTCCTATGAAAATAATACCATCTTCTGGAATATCTCCTGATGCACCTGCCTGATGCTGTCTTACAGTAAACTATTTTTTAATTAGTGGAAGGATTACCCTCTAAAATAATTATAAAAGGTATAGCATAATAAGTACATAAACCAGTAACATAGTTGTTTATGATAATTATCAAATATTATGCACTGTACACAATCGTATATGCTATACTTTTAATATAACTGGTAGTGCAGTAGGTTTGTTTACACCAGAATCACCACAAATGTCTGAGTAATGTGTTGCACTATGATGTTAGGACAGCCATGACATTACTAGAGGGAAGAAATTTTTCAGTTCTGTTATAACCTTATGGGACCACCATCATATATTCAGTCTGTCATTGACCAAAATATCATTATGCTGCACATGACTGTGTAGTATTCTTGGTTGGCAGTTTTTTTTTTTTTCAGTCCTTTGAATATATCATCCCACTGTCTCCTGGCCTGCAAGGTGTCTGCCGAAAATTCTGTTAATATCTTATTAAGGTTCTCTTGCACATGATGAGTTGATTTTCTCTTGCTGTTTTCAAAATTCTCTTTGTCTTTGACTTTTTAAATTTTTATTTTTATTATTATTTTTTGAGACAGAGTCTTGCTTCCACCCTGTTGCCCTGGCTGGAGTGCAGTGGTGAGATCTTGGCTCACTGCAATCTCTGCCTCCCAGGTTCAAGCGATTCTCGTGCCTCAGACTCCCAAGTAGCTGGGACTACAGATGTGCACCACACCACCTGACTAATTTTTTGTATTTTTAGTAGAGATGGGGTTTCGCCATGTTGCCCAGGCTGGTCTCAAAGTCTTGTGCTCTGTTGATCTGCCCACCTTGGCCTCTCAAAGTCCTGGGATTACAGGCATGAGCCACCACACCCCACCTGTCTTTGACTTTTAAGCAGTTTTTTATAATGTGTGTTGGTGAAGATCTCTTTATGGTAAGTGTTCACTTAACATCATCAATAAGTTCTTGGAAACTGCAGCTTTAAGCAAAATGATGTATAACAAAACCAATTTTTTCTCACCAATGTTGAAGGAAATGATATTATTTTGAGGATCTGCTATATGTTGCTTCATTTAAAGTTTCAGTTTCCATGAACTTATCGATGTTAAGTGAAAATTTACTGTATATTTCATATATTTGGGGTTCTTTGAGCTGCATGAATCTGAATGAATGTTCATTTTTCTCTACAGATTCGGAATATTTTCAGTCATTATTTCTTTAAACAAGCTTTCTGTCCCCTTCTTTTTCTCCATTCCTTCTGGAACACCCATAATGTGTAAATTGTTTAACTTGATGGCATCCCATAATTCCTGTAGGCTTTATTCACTTTTTGCCATTCTTTTTCCTTTTTGTTCCTCTGATTAGGTAACTTCAGATGGTGTCTTTGATTTCACTGATCTTGGGGCTGGCCTGGTGCTGGGGTAAGCCTGGAGCCTGTGACCATGGGTGTCCTAGTGCCTGGAGCCACAGGGGCTAACCTGTAGCCTAGGGCCATGGGGACTGGCCTGGAGTTTGGTCACGTGGGTGCTAGTCTGGAGGCTAGGTTCATGAGGGCTGGCCTAGAGCATGGGACCATGGACGCTGGCCTGTCTCTGGGATGAGCTTTCAAGCTGGGTCTATGGCGGCAGGCCTGGGTCCTGGGGTTAGGAGAGCCAGCTTGGTGCTGGGATCTACTGAAATAGGCCTGAACCCTGGGGTTATATGGGCCTGCCTGCCTGGAGCCTCAGGCCACAAGGAGCAGCGTAGCACTGGGTGGGCCTGGAGCTTGTGTCTGCCAAGGACTGGGCTGGAATTGGGGGTCTAAAGGTTTTGATCTGGTACTGGGGTGGGGCTGGAGGCTGGGTTTGCACGCTTTAGTGGCCTAAAGCCTGGGGTCATGGGGTCTGTTCTTGTGCTGAGGCAGGTCTGAAGCCTGGGGCCATGTGAACCTGCATAGCACTGTGCCTGCCTGGAGCCTGAGGTAGGCCTGGATCCTAAGTCTGTGGGGAAGCCAACTTATATAGCTTGGGGCTACAGGGGCTGGCCCCACACTAGGTATGTTTGGAGCCTCTACAAACGGGGGCCTGTCTGAAGGCTAGGTCCACAGGTTCCAGCTTTATGCCTGAAACCATAGGGGCCAGTCTCGAGCTGAGGTCAGTGGATGCTGACCTGGTGCTGGGGTGTGCCAGCAGCCTAGGGCTGCAGAGGCCAGCCTGAAGGCAGGGTCTGTGGGTGTTGGCCTGGAAGCTGAGTCTACAGTCCCAGCTTGGAGTCATGGATGCAGGGGCCAGTGTGGCACTGGGACTGGCCTAGAGGCTGGGTCTATGAGTGCTGGCCTGAAGCTTGAGTCAGTGGGGGCTGGCCTGGAGGCTGGGCGTGTGAGTACTGGCCCAGTGCTGGTGACTAAGTAGGTCTGTGAAGACTCCCTTGTTGCTGAGGGCAGGCCTGAAGCCTAGGGCTGCAAATGACAGCCTGATGCTGGCCATAGTCTAGAACCTGGAGCTGCTGGGGCCCACCTGGCAGTGAGGCCTGGAGACTGAGTCTTTGGAGGCCAAACTGGCAGTAGAGTGGGGCTGAAGATTGAGTCTGTGGGGCTGGCTAATAGCCTGCTGTTCACCAGAAGACTTACCAATAACTTAAACAGTCGATTAACACATATATTTTTTAATGTGATATACATTATATATGGTATTCTTACAATAAAGTAAGCTAGTAAACTAGAGAAAAGAAAATGTTAAGAAAGCTATAAGAGGAGACAATATATTTACTATTCATTAAGTGGATCGTCATAAAAGTCTTCATCCTCGTTGTCTTCAGGTTGAGTAGACAGAGGAAGCAAAGGAAGAGTCGGGGTTGGTCTTGGTGTCTCAGAGGTGGCAGAGGCAGAGATAAATCTGCATATAAGTGGAACTGCACAGTTCAAACCCATGTTGATCAAGGGTTAACTGTACTTTAACTGACAATGTTCCAAATCAGGTGAGTTCTTTTCAGTAGCAGCAACAGCAACAGCAAAGCTTCTAGTTCTTACTGCCTGCCTCATCCTTGTTGAACCACTGTGCCAACAGAGCTTGAAGGGAGTAAGTGGGGGAGGTGATGAATAGACAGGCCTAAGCAAGAACACCACAGACTTATTATTTTCTTACTCAAAATCCAGAAGTTCTCAGTTTGTGGTATTCTTGGGTCAATTTCCAGAGTGCTGAAATGGTTGTTTTTGGTCATTTGTCCAGTTTTTTAGCATTTATGCAGATTCCCCAAACTCAGGAATTTATTTATTCAAATGAGGAGGATTTCCTCCACCAAGTTCAAAGAAACTCTTTCAGCTGGGGAAGATGTCAGTTCTTGACCACCATCAGTGCAAGAACCAACAGTAACACTGACCAGAAGATTTTTCTACTATTTTGCCATATAGCCTTTAGCTCAAACATATGAAGAAAGGAACTAATATTTAATAGAAGATGGACATCAGTTTTGATATACATTCTGCTAATGTCATTTGAACTTTGAGCCATGTGAGTAAATCTAGGTGGCAGAACAAGAGAACAGAAGGCCATAAGTCTGCAGGATGGAAATGATAAATTAGCAATGAAGGAGATAGAGGAGAATGTGAATGGAGTCTAATGACTTTTCTTAAGGCATCTTTATACCCAGATCAATTTTTCCAATTACTTTGTAAAGCCTTTAACAGCAAGAACAATATTTTATGTGCTGTGCAATGCTTTAATGTAATGTCAGTACTGCACATGTGTTAAAATAATAATAACTAGCTCAAATAGTGTGGGTAGTTTTTGAAGGTTAGATTTATTGGGTTTTTTTCTGTTTGCTTTGTTTTCATTTGTTTTTTTTGTTTGTTTTTTTTTTTTTTTGAGACAGAGTCTTGCTCTGTCACCCAGGCTGGAGTGCAGTGGCACCATCTCAGCTCACTGCAACCTCTGCCTCCCAGGTTCAAGTGAGTCTCCTGCCTCAGCCTCCCGGGTAGCTGGGACTACAGGCACATGCCACCATGCCTGGCTAATTTTTTGTATTTTTATTAGAGACGGGGTTTCACTATGTTGGTCAGGCTGGTTTTGAACTCCTGAGCTCGTGATTGGCCTCCCAAAGTGCTGGGATTATAGCCATGAGCCACCGCGCCCGGCCGATTTGTTAGTATTATCTGAAAATGAGCCCAAAATTCCAACTCGGTTATGCAATACAAATCTGTCCGCCCAAATCTAGAAGATGGGTCACTGAGACATTGATACTAACAAAATTTTAGACACATAAGAGTCAGATTTTCTGCTCTTTATTTATGTAAACAATATCAACAAGCAGGCACATATGGAACCAAGGATAGTTGAGCTTCCAAAATTTAGAATACTCTTCATGTAATGAGGAACAGCATCTAGACACAGGTATACAACTTTAAAAATACCCAGGAGACATAAATTTACTAAAAATCCTTGAATACTATACTTGAAATGGTAAATTATATGATTTTTTAAAATATGCCTCAATAAAGACATACCCAGGAGAAAGAAAAAACTATAGTTCTCGAGTTATTATATGAATTTTAGAAAATACACAGATAACCAAAAAGTCCATTGTAGTAAAAAAAAAAAAAAAAACAACAGGCAACCTGTTAGGTATTGTAGATATTAAAATCAAACAGATGCCTTACACAGCTGTAGTTTAACACAGGTGATACATGCCACTTTGGAACTGGATTTATTAATTAAATGTCAGATGCAATTAGAACTCTACCTATTCAGGAATAAAAATTTCAACAAGTGTATTTTTTTTTCCTTTTCTGGAACATTTATTATCATGCATACATTCAGAAATGTGCAGTTCATATAACCAACCCATCAACAACTTTCACCTTGACCACAGACATTGTATGGAAAAATACCAACAGTATTTGCTAAATATGTGCAGTATCTTCTACCTAATTAGTACCTCAGGGCAGTTTGTTTATAAACAGAAAACAATAAGGGACATATTAAATATCCCCAGCAGTACTTTCTGCATACTATCAGGTTTAGATATAAGGAAGATAGTTTGCATTTGAAACAATAAGCCAGCTAGCTACTAGACTGCCATTAAGTACAAGAGAACCAACTAGAATAACTTGTGATCCATGAAAAAATAATACTGTCTGTAGCTTCGTACACTGAATAAGTGAATATAATTCCTTTTAGCTTCAAATCAAAAATATGATTAGAGGGCAACATGGAAATAGATACTATATTTTTTGTCTCAATAGTAATAAAAAAGAATGATACTAAAACTATTTCACCCTTGATGCTAACTATGGCCTAATTGTGCCTATCCCCCAATTTCTAATAATCACCCCCAAATGACTACCTAGTATCCATTAACGGATCACTATAGAAATCGGCCACTAATCAGGGAGCCTCTGGCTCAAGGGACCTGCAATGGGTTGCAGAGGATTGCACATCACGTTTCACATGCAGATGAGGTTGCCATCTGGTGGATTTTCTCTAACTAAAACCTAATAACATTTATAGATATAAGCAAAGCAACTTTTTTTATAGTTGGGCAAATGCTGCCATTTTTAGAAAACATATAGTTTCTTTTAACATTTATTGTGTCCATTTTCTGGTTTGCACTGAATGGGTGCCTATTCTTTGTAACTGAAGTATGAGAATACTAGGAAAGTGAATATAATAAAGCTTTAGATTTAAATGGTAAATGTGACTACATTTTTTGAATTTAGCAAGTTTTTGATAAATAAAATTTTGTTACATCAATATTAAAATATCTAGAAGTAAAGCTTATGACATCACAATGGCTGTGTTTTAAATAACAAAGTGACTTTTGATGTCACGTATGTCTTTACCTGATAGCTTTGCCATGGGAATTTGGGTTCAGATACATGCAAGAACTATAAACGGTTCAATCTCTAATCTACTCTAATGCAGAATAACTGTTGTTTCACACACCACTACCCACATTTTCTAGTTTTGCTCTTCTCTCCATCCTTTCCCTATTGGAATTCTCTAAAAGTGAGCCCCCATATATTACAATATGACATTTGTTCCTTAGAAGGCATGGTAATTGATTAAAACAGTGTGCGAGAAAATTGGTCATTCATTCTGTGTTTACACATAGGCCAGTTACCTGAACTCTGTCCCATGGTCGTCAGCCATCTCACAACTATATATTGTCTGTTAATCATAAATGACAGCAGGGGTTAAAAAAATAAGAACATGGACTTGAGTTAGACCTGGATTAAAATCTTTCCTCTGCTCTTTTTTTTTCCTCCTTCATAAATTAGTTCTCCTTCATAAGTTAGTTCTACCTACTAAATAGTAAGTTTTAGCACATCTCAGTCAAATGTGAGAAATTTGTTTTGGAAAAGTATGTGTTTTTCTGGCTTAATACAGTTGTAATGTGAATCATTGCCTTTTTTTTTTTAAACTGGAGCCCTATCTACTTTTCTACTCCAAAGGTTTTTATTGACACTATGATGTTTGCATGAAATAACCCACATCAAAGCTAGTCTAAAAATAAATATTAAATATGAGCAAGCAAATACATATATATACACATACATACATACATAAAAGTCTCAATTTAATACTAATGTAGCAGCTATTCCGGGGTATGACATCACCATTGCATATGTGATATTATGTGAATGGGTATTTGTGACCTGGGATAAAATTTTCTTGACAGCGAGATGATAACAATTTTATATAATATGTCATATAACCTAGAAATGAGGACAATGAGCTCTGAAAAACATTTAGATAACAAAACTAGACTCTAGTGATGTTCAAAATGCATGTAAATAATTCAAATGAATTATTTCATGAAATGGGATAAAGCAACACAGCAAAATTCATGTATTTATATAATGTAGCTTTAAATAATTATTTTACTAGATTAAAATTTTAAATGCCAAGAATAGGCATTTGATTCATTCATCGATATCCATAAAAGATTTTATAATCCATTTGACAAAGGAAACTTTCTATTGTCTTCTTTTGAAGTCTCCTTATATTTGAGGATATATAACACATGTTGATTACTACTAAATCTGTATCTCTAACCTAACCCTTTCTCTTAAACTCCTGATATCTACATACCTCCTATACATCTCCACTAGCATGTTCCACAGGAAAGACAGCAGAGTCAAATGGTTATCAGTACAGACCACAGGAGTTAAACAGACTAGGTTGGACTCCTGACTCCATCATTTACCAGCTCCATAACTTTGGGCAATTGTATTAGTCAGAGTTCCCTAAAAGGACAGAATGAATTATATGCATATATATATATGATGCATATATATATGGATATATGTATATATATGTATATATATGGATATATATGCAAATATATGGATATATGGATATATATGCATATATATGGATATATGCATATATATGCAGATATATGGATATATGCATATATATGGATATATATATGCATATATATATGGCTATCTGGATATATATGGGGGATATATATATATATCCATATATATATACCCATATATATATATGGAGGGTTCTTCGGGGTCTCCCAGAGGTGAAGGCCACTTCTGGGGGGCGGCTGGTGCCAACAAGGGCCTGGGTATTCTTGAGGGTGCACACAGAAGGTACTGTGGCTCCAGGCCGCCCTCCCCGGGGGTAGCTGGGGGCCTCTGGGCAGCATAGGCACAAATACCCATTCACATAATATCACATATGCATATATATATGTGTATATATATGTATATATATATGGGGGAGATATATATATATATGGGGGAGTTTATTAAGTATTAACTTACACAATCGCAAGTTCTCACAATAGGTTGTCTGCAAGTTTCAGGAAGAAGGAGAGCCAGTCAGAGTCTCCAAACTGAAGAACTTGGAGTCCGATGTTTGAGGGCAGGAAGCATCCAGCATGGGAGAAAGATGTAGGCTTCGAGGCTAGGCCAGTCTCGCCTTTTCACATTTTTTTTGCCTGCTTTATATTCGCTGGTAACTGATTAGATTGTGCCCACTAGATTAAGGGTGGGTCTGCCTTCCCCAGCCCACTGACTCAAATGTTAATCTCCTTTGGCAACACCCACAGAGACACCCAGGATCAATACTTTGCATCCTTCAATCCAATCAAGTGGACACTCAGTATTAACCATCACAGCAAGTTACTTAGTTTCTCTGAGCCTCACTTTCTTCATCTGTAAGATGGTGACAAAAATAATACTGACCTCATAGGGCTATTGTGAAATTAAATGAGATACATACCTAACACACTTGGCTGAATGGAATGCAGTTAACACTCAATAACTTACATATTCCATATGAGCCAAACACAAAAATACAAGTTCTGATTTGGTATGCATATCAGTATCATGGAAACCGGCAAGGCATCGCTGAACTCAGGGCAACCGGCACGGAGCAGATGAGCTATGAATCAAAGCCTGAAGAAAACTGCTGTTGATGGAATTATGGACTCAGATTGCTTCTCACCCTACGGTTCCCTTTAATTCTGAACCGGGAGGCTTAAACTTGACACTTCGATGGACTAGATCATCGTAGGGCATCATTTCTCATTTGTAACCCCAAGTAACAAAACTGTTAGCCATTTAGAATACAGATATCCAAGTATAATATTGTTTCAGTTACTATTTCCGGTTAGAAGGAATACATTTGTAGAAATCTTCACAATGTTGTTTTCTTATTCAAACAACAAAATAAATACTTTTCTATGTCAGGCATTTAAAAAAGTTATGCATTCCATTAAGATAAACACATACACATGTACGTCTTTGAAATCAGAAATTTTTTCTCTTGCATGACATAGCTGGTAGCCCTTTTTCTAGACTTGCTCTACCTAAAATGCTTTTGATGGTGTTTTGTAGCTGTTATAGAAGACTGACATGTATGATTAGGGTACAAAGAAGCACATATATTTGGAATGTCAGTTATATAATTCATTCTGTATATGTTGCAGGTTGGCAAAATGGAAAATGAAAATATTTGTGTCATTCATTTGGCATTTTTCACTTAATACTGTGTAGAGTTTGGCAGTTATTTTGCATATGTCTTATCTTCAACACTTGATTATGAGCTTCTTGGTAAAATAGATAGCATCTTAGACTTTTTAATATTTTTCCCTCCATAATGCTTATCACAATGCCTTGCACAAAGCAGGCACTCAGTAGATAATAATTAAGTAAGAAAGAAATCTACCTTCTTTTTTTTTTGAGACGGAGTCTCACTGTCACCCAGGGTGGAGTGCAGTGGTGCGATCTCGGCTCACTGCCACTTCCGCCTTCCAGGTTCAAGCAATTCTCCTGCCTCAGCCTCCCAAGTAGCTGGAATTACAGGTGTGCATCACCAAGACTGGCTATTTTTTTTGTATAGTAGAGATGGGGTTTCGCCACGTTGGCTAGGCTGGTCTTGAACTCCTGACCTCAGGTGATCCGCCCGCCACCTTGGCCTCCCAAAGTGCCAAAGTGCTGGGATTACAGGCATGAGCCATCACACCCGGCCTCTTCTTTAACAATAAAAAAGAATAACGGAAATTCTGATTCTTAAATAATCTGTAGGCTCAAGTATATCTTACTAGTCTTTTGGAGAATTATTTATATTCTCATTTTATCTCTAGATTATTTCCATTAATCCTAGACCAATTTTATACATGTTCCGGACTTATGCATTCTTGTTAATTTGTTTGACTGGATATGTATTAAGTCTTCTCAGGCTAATATTATTTAAGACTTTTTAAAGTTTGGTCATTTTGGAAACAGCAGCCACATTGCTTTCAAAAACAGATTTTAAAATCGTAGTAATGCCTTGGCAGTTTTCTCTTTCTTCTCTGTCTCCTTTTATTCTCTCTCTTCTTTTACAAAGTATCTGATGGTATATTTTAGAAAACTGTAATCTATGTGTGATTTGAGCATTTACTACATATGCAAAATCAAAGCTCCTGCCTGAAGTTTCAAATCATTAATCTTCAAATTCAAGTAGCTAAGATGAACTATTTAATATTAACATACTAAAAGAACACCAAAAAGCACGATAACGTTCAAAATTATGCTGTGAATATAAATAAGTCTAGAACAGCCCTTGAGATTGGAAGGCATGGGGATGGAAAGAAAATGAGAACACCATAAATCTTTGGTGGTGTTTGCAACCTCTCTCCTCCTCCTTTCTCATTTGTCCTTCCTTTTTTACTGCTTAAATATATTTATCAAATAATCACTAATGATTTGCTATTAAATAATATATGAAAAATGTTTAGCACAATTATTGGTGCATAGTAAACACTCGATACAGGTCAATAAATGTTAGTCATTGTATTGTGTGCAACTCACTCACTTCTTTGCTCTTACTGTACCTTTTTACTCAAATTTATATACAGGCTGGGGTGTGGTCAGGATTATGATAGAGGAAGACCATGCAGACTCTTTTTTAAAAATACTTAAGTTCTGTCTGAAAATTTTTTTAAAAACTGTGTCTGCAATTCACCTATTTCATAAATCTACAACATTAAATGCCCTGCTCCATCCTTCCAATCTGGAGCTGTTCCAATGAGTCACTAAATAGCATGCTTCTTAAGGTTCCTAAATGAGGTCAATTAATGTCTAAAGGCAATTTTCATAAAATACACTCAATACATTCTGTATCCACAAATCACTAGACAAGCCCATATATTTTATGTTGATTTATTGACTTATCTATAATTTTAAGTATTTGAAAATTCATGTAATCCAGTTTTCTATAGCAACAGACCTTTTGCTTTTCACAGAGCAGTGAATAGTCATATATATGGCTTATAGAATTTTTAAATTTCATCTTTCTCTGAAACAGATTTTCACGTTTGTGTTGCAAAGTGGGCTTCTTATTTTCACACCCTTAGTGTTATCAGCTTTTGGCCATATTATTTCTCAATATAGAATGTGCTATAAACTTCCAGTTAGACAAGGCAGATTGAACACATGCATTTATCTCTGCTGTTTCATGAGGTTCCACTAAAATAACAGTAAAAAATTTTGTAAGGTGCAGAAGGACAAATGCAGTATAAATGCAGAAGGATGCTGGGCATGGTGATGCACACCTACTCCAGAGGCTGAGGCTGGAGGATTACTTAAGGCCAGGGGTTAAGAGGCTGTAGTGTGCTATGATTACATCTGTGAATAGCCACTGCACTTTGGCCTGGACAACATAGCAAGACCTCATCTCTAAAAAAATGCAGAAGGGGCCAGGCACAGTAGCTTATGCCTGTAATCCCAGTACTTTGGGAGGCCGAGGAGGGCGGATCATTTGAGGTCAGGAGTTCGAGACCAGCCTGGCCAACATGGTGAAACATAGTCGTCTCTACTAAAAATACAAAAATTTAGCCAGGCATGATGGCACACACTTGTAATCCCAGCTACTTGGGAGGCTGAGGTGGTAGAATTGCTTGAACCCGGGAGGTGGAGGTTGCAGTGAGCCAAGATTGCGCCACTGTACTCCAGCCTGGGCCACAGAGTGAGACTCTCTCCCCACCACTCCCCCACCCAAAAATGCAGAAGGATAAAGAGAACAAGAGAGAAGACAACAGAAAACAAGTAAATTCGTCAAAAATTCAGAGGCTGGAACACAATATATGAGATGAGTGCTAAACCAGCATAATTGGAGAAAGCTGAAACCTGAGGCTGGTGGTGATGGGCTCAGTTCTTAGAGGTACTGTATACTTCTGAGGTACAGGGTAAATGGAAAGCTGAAAAAAGGAAAATTGATTGAAAGTCCAACTCAAGAAAAAATTAGATCAGGCCGGGTGTGGTGGCTCAGGCCTGTAATCCCAGCACTTTGGGAGGCCGAGGCAGGTGGATCACCTGAGGTCAGGAGTTTGGGACGAGCCTGGCCAACATGATGAAATCCCGTCTCTACTAAAAATACAAAAATTAGCTGGGTGTGGTGGTGGACACCTTAACCCCAGCTACTGGGGAGGCTGAGGCAGGAGATGGCTTGAACCTGTGGGGCAGAGGTTGCAGTGAGCCAAGATCGCTCCATTGCACTCCAGCCAGGGCAACAAGAGCAAGACTCTGTCTCAAAAATAAATACATACATACATACATACAAGATTAAAAAAAATAAAAAAGAAGAAATTAGATCTCAAGAGTCCCTTGTCCCTTTCAACAAAAGATTCAAGTTTTATTTTCTGGAGTAATTAAATCATCTCTCCAGAAAAGAAGCTCTAGTCATATAAACAGGCATAGCTGAGGGCTGGGATGATGAACTGTAATGAAAATGGGGATTGAGTCTCTATATACTAAAAGGTAAGACACCCCCACCCTAATTCCACACCCCCAGCCTAAGCACCTTTCTGCTGCTTGCTTGCTTTCTTTTTCTTTCTCTTCTTCTTTCTTTCTCTTTCTTTCTTTCTTTCTTTTTCTTTCTTTCTTTCTTTCTTTCTTTCTTTCTTTCTTTCTTTCTTTCTTTCTTTCTCTTCTTCTTTCTTTCTTTCTCTTCTTCTTCTTTCTTTCTTTCTTTTTCTTTCTTTCTCTTCCTTCCTTCCTTCCTTCCTTTTTTGACTGTCTCACTCCATCACCCAGGCTGGAATGCAGTGATGTGATCATTGCTCACTGCAGCCTCAATCTCCCAGGCTCAAGCAATCTTCCCAGCCTCCTGAGTAGCTGAGACCAGAGGTGCACACCACCATGTCTGGCTATTATTTATCATTTTTTTTGAGATGGAGTCTCTCTCTGTTGCCCAGGCTAGAGTGCAGTGGTGAGATCTCGGCTCACTGCAACCTCTGCCTGCTGGGTTAAAGCGATTCTTCTCCCCCAGCCTCCAGAGTAGCTGTGAATACAGACGTGCACCACCATGCCTGGCTAATTTTTGTATTTTTAGTAGAGACAAAGTTTTGCCATGTTGGCTAGGCTTGGTCTTGAACTCCTGACCTCAGGTGACCCACCCACCTCAGCTTCCCAAAGTGCTGGGATTGCAGACGTGAGCCACCACGCATGGCCTGGCTATTTTTTTTTTTTTAGTATAAGTGGGGTATCGCAATGTTGCCCAGGCTGGTCTTGAACTCTTGAGCTCAAGCCATCTTCCTACCTCAGCCTCCCAAAGTGTTGGGATTACAAGCATGAGTCACTGCACCTGGCCTGCCACTTGGTTTCTAAGATATTGGCAGCTCAGCAGGAGATTGGAGGATTCTCGAGAAACAGAGTATCTCTAAAGTAAAGCCTTACATATACTGATGTTTGGGGTTTTCCTATTGAACACTGGATTTCTGTCCAGTTACTCTTCAGTGAAGCTCAAAAATCTAGACATAATTTCCAATCATCATTTTGGCACCTCACTTTTATTTATGGTGGCTAAATCACTAGACATTGAGGACACTTTCTAAAATGAAAGAGACCAAAACAACAATAATGACAACAGAAGTCAAAGGGAAAAGAGAAAACAGAGGGAATGAAAAAAAGGACTTAAAATATAATTAATAATATTCTTTAGAAAGATACAAGAAGATACGTTAGAGACACAAGATTAGCATGCTATAAAATGGAACTTTTAAAGAATGAGAAGGAGCTCTTAGAAGGTCAAAATATTATAGCAGAAATCTAGAAAATAAATAGAATACAAATTTAACGTTGAGGAGATCTTCTAGAGACTAGAATGAACAGAAAAAGAAATGAAAAATAATAGAGAAAAGATGAGGAAATGCAAGGATTTGGTACTGCAGGGCCAAATTACAGCAAGAGAAGTTCTAGAAAGTGAGGTTAGGGAAAGTAGAAAAAAATAAATTATTAAATAAATAATACAAAGAAAATTCCTAGCACTCTAGGATGATGATATGGTTTGGATTTGTGTCCCTGCCCAAATCTCATGTCCAATTGTAATCTCCAATGTTGGAAAAGGGGCCTGGTGGGAGGTAATTGGATCATGGGGGCAGACTTCCCCCTTGCTATTGTGATAGCCAGTGAGTTCTCATGAGATCTGGTTGTTTAAAAGTGTGAAGCACCTCCCCCTTCCCTCTCTTCCTCTTGCTCCAACCATGCAAAGAATGCCTCCTTCCTCTTTGCCTTCTGCCATGGTTGTAAGTTTCCTTAGGCCTCTCCAGCCATGCTTCCTGTACAGCCTGTGGAACCATGAGTTAATCTCTCTTCTTTATAAATTAGCTAGCCTCTGGTAGTTTTTCATAGCAATGCGATAATGGACTAATACAGATGAGAATACAGATAGAAAAGGTCCACCAATGTACATGACAGTGAAGTTTCAGAAGATGGAATAAAGAGAAGATTCTAAAATCTTCCAGAGAGAAAAAAACAGGTCATATACAAAGGATTGCAAATAATATTAAGTACGCACTTCTCAATTGTATCCCTAGACTCCGGAAGACAAGTTCTGAGGGAAAATAATTGCCAACTGTGGTAGGCTGAATAATGTCCCCCCAACCCCCACCCAAAGATGTCCTAATCCATGGATCTATGAATATGTTACCTGACATGGTAAAAGGGATTTTGCAGATGGCAATTAATTAAGGATTGTGAGATGGGCAGATGATCCTGGATCATCTGGGTGGGGCTGAAGTAATCACAAGGGCCCTTGTAACAGGAGGACCAAAGTAAGATGTGAAACCTGAACCAGAGGTTGGAGTAATATGTTTTGAAGATGGAGGAAAGGTCCATGAGCCAAAGTATGCAGGCATCCTCTAGAGACCGTAAAGAACAAGAAAAAGGATTCTTCAATAGAGCCTCCAGAAGCAAGCAGTGTTGCCAACACCTTGATCATTGAAAGTGATTTCACATTTGTGATGGAAAGATAATAAACTTGTACCATTTTCAACCACGGAATTTGTGGTAATTTGTTACAGTAGCATTAGAAAACACATACACCAATCTAGAATTATATATCCGTTGAACTAACAATCTGATGAAATATTAGAACAAGGTGTTTTCAGATGTGTAAAATCTAAAAAATTGACCATTTTTTCTCGTGAAGTCACTGGAGGATATTTGCCCACCAAAATGAGGAAGTTAAATCGAAAGTGAGGAAGACAAGAGTCCAGAAAACAGAATCTGACATAAGAGATGGGCAAAAGAGATTTTCAGGATAAGGGTGAGGGGAAATCCCAGAGGACAGCTATTCATAAGGACTAAACCAGTTCACATTGGAGAAGGACAAAAATATCTAGCACAGACATCTTTACTAATAATAAAAAAGAAAGTTATTGATAATCTGATGTATTTGAACATACAAAGGGAAGATATACAGATCATTTGGGAAGATCTGTTTGAGAATGAGTGATAGATTCATAGAGAAAATCCTGAGCAAATAAAAATTAAATAAAACATGACAAAATTTTTATAGGGAAGGAAATGTTATACTCAATACATGGTTAAACTCTGAAAAATGTTTACAAAGTCATAGTAATATAACCACTAAATATTGATTTCACCAAAAATTGTGATGTGAATATTCTGAGAGGAAAGACAGTATGTGTTTATGGCTGTATAAGAGAGCCTAATTGTCACCTATTGTAATAAAAATATCAATAGATTAAAGCTGAACAATCAAGATATAGCAATACAAGCATGTTATATGGAAACATGGTAGTAAACACCATAGGGAATAGCGAAAACTGTTTAAAGTTATTGCCCTTCAGTAGTGAGAATTAGAAATGGAGAGAGATGGGATTTTCTCAGTAGACTATTTTTTAAAATCTGTGCATATGGCATTAATTTAATAAAATTAACATTTTAGTTTTAAAATGAATTATTCCCATGAACAGGACCAGGGGCAGTGGCTGACACCTGTAATCCCAGCACTTTGGGAGGCTGAGGCGGGAGTATTCCTTGAGCCCAGAAGTTCGATGTTGCAGTGAGCTATCATGGGACCACTGCGCTCTAGCCTGGGCAACAGAGCAAGACCCTGTCTCTAAAAAACACTTTTTTTTAAAGGAGTTATTCCCTTGAACAATACACTTGGGCTTAGCTTAATTATTCTGGGTTGTGTTGTGTGCATGTTCTAATCTGGAAATGATAATTTTTAAGACAAGTAAAAGCCATCTAAATATGTTGCCACATTTGCCACTTGCTCAATTCTTGAGGAATAGAAATCAAACTCCTTCCCATGACCTGTAGGTCTTGTTGAGCTGTCTGCTGGCTCCTTTGCTTATTGTGCTCTACACATACTGTCCTTTTTCATTTCTTAGTTCAAACAAGAAAAGCCCCTTCTCTGATGGCCTGCTCACATTCTATTCACTTTGTTTGGAAGATTATTCCCTCTGTCTTCTCCTGGTTGGCTCCTTATTTTTCAAGCCTCAGCTTAAATGTCACTTCTGCCAAGAAGCTTTCCCTGACCATTAAATCTAAAGTTGGTCCCCACCCCAGCTACACATCGCCTGCTCTCTTGCATGGCTCTGTTCTTTACCACAGTTTATAAAAATATGTTTGCATTCATGTTTGTGTGTATCCTCTAGACTGTAAACTGTCTAGTACATCTGTGCATAGCAGAGGGCCTTTCACATAGTAAGTGCTTAATGAATATCTTTGAATGAACTTGTTTTAAGTGATACGGATGTGCATTTGACATTTACGAACAATGGTATATTACATTCTCTTATTTTTGCTGTATGATAGTAAAAATTAAGGAGGATTGAAACAAACTAACACAATTCAGACTTTTTTTTCCTTTTTCAACTTTTATGTACGAATCGGGGGGTACATGTGCAGGTTTGTCTCAAAGTTATATTGTGTGATGCTGAGGTCTGGGTATGACTGAACCTTTTTGAAAATTTCTTAAGAAACTTCCAAATCATAATACATCCTGTCTCATTTAAGCACTAGCCCTTTATTATACAACAGATTCAGAGCAAGGTCTAGATTTTGAGTGCTTATTGATTAAAGGGGCTATACTCAGACTATACTCAGTCTCCTTTCATCAAACATTTTATCATTTGTAGCTTAGTTGATTAAGATAATTTTACAAATCAGGGGATTAGTTAATAACATCACTGATCCATACAGGAGGCATATACTCATATAATCAAGTTCACATAAATATATTTTCCTCCTTTTCAAAATACTTGGTAATGAGATATATTTAGCCTAGTAGTCACCGTAATAGAGTTAAATGTTTGACCAAAGTGACTTGCTCCATATTCAATTGGATTTTACTTAAAGAGATCCTTTCATGGTTTTTAATCTTTGTCATTGTGGCCTAGGAAGGATGTGTGGTTAAAAAAAAACAATCACAAGAGGGCAGGATTCGGTGGCTAGAACAGCATAGGCAACATAATGAGACCCCCCCCCATCTCTACAAAAAAATAAAAAATTAGCCAGGTGTGGTGGCATGTGCCTGTGATCCCAGCTACTCAGGAGGCTGAGATGGGAGGATCACTTGAGCCCAGAGGGTTGAGGCCGTACTAAGCCATCATCACGCCATTCCACCCCAGAGCAAGACCCTGTCTCAAAGAAAAACCAAACAAACACGAGTTTATTTTAATTATTTCAGTAATATTGTAGCTTTAATATGATTTGTAGTATAATTTTCTATAAGCAGCAATTTCATGTAAAGATTGATTTTATAAAAATCTTTAAATTTTAGTTGGATAAAATCAGATCAAGCATGTAATGTGTTTACCACAATGCTTGGCACATTAGGAGTGTTCAACAAAAATTAGTTTCTCTCTCTTCCTCTGGTGACACAAGTAGTGATACAGCCAACTCTCATTTATTATAGTCCAATAAACTCCAATTTTGTACTGCACAGTTGCTTTTTTTAAGCTGAGACTCATCTGATTTATTTCAGCTGACTGTTTTGCTACTTCATATTTTTAAAAATTTCCTTCATATCTTTTTTTCATGTATCCAAATCAGTTTCTTTCTTTCAAAAGAATCGCAACACATTTATTCTTACAAAATTGCCATTATTTAATCCTTTTTGAATCTTGATTTTTCCAGTTCTCTTGCATACCCTTGGGTGAAAGGAGCCCTTTGTTTTACTTGCTAGAATCTTGAGAAACAAAGCAACCTACTGTAAACATTTTAAAGATAATTTCAATAAAAATATCAATTAATAAATTGAACAATCTTGAGGTTGTCCAGAAATTGACTCTATTATAGTATTATTTTAACTCTGGATTTGACCAATATAGCTAGAAAATAATTATTTTGGTGTTCCTAAAAGTAAGACAGTTGCCAATAATAATAATGTGATGGTTAATACTGAGTGTCAACTTGATTGGATTGAGGGATACAAATTATTAATCCTGGGTGTGTCTCTGTGGGTGTTGCCAAAAGAGATTAACATTTGAGTTAGTGGGCTGGGAAAGGCAGACCCACCCTTAATCTGGTAGGCACAATCTAATCAGCTGCCATCCAATATAAAGCAGGCAGAAAAATGTGAAAAGGAGAGAGTGGCCTAGCCTCCCTCCCAGCCTACATCTTTCTCCCATGCTGGATACTTCCTGCCTTCAAACATCAGACTCCAAGTTCTTCAGTTTTGGGACTCGGACTGGCTCTCCTTGCTCCTCAGCTTGCAGACATCCTATTGTGGGACCTTGTGATTGTGTAAGTTAATACTTAATAAACTCCCCTATATATATATATATATAGGTTAGGTTTTGGCAACTTCTTAAGAACATAAACATCCACAAAGTGGAGATTATAAGTGGGTTTTATAACTTGAAACTTTTCATCTTTGTTCAAAGACATTTACTATAATAATAAAGAAAAAAGTATACAGAAAGTTTTGATGAATGATGGAAAATTAAAGAAATAAATCTAAAGTCACCTCAAGGATTCTGCAATGTGCTGTGTTTAAAAGATTAAGAAGAAACATTTATGATTTATCATCCTTTCAAAGTTATATTACTTTATATTTTAATGCATATGCCATTATTGAAGGTTCTTCATTAAAGGATAGGTCAGCATAGTGTAGAGCAGCACAGAACAGGCATCAGGAGGGTTGGAGTCAAGCCTTAGCTCTGCTATTACCAGTATAATCTTGAAAAAAAAAAAAACTATTGATTTGAGCTTCTGCTTATTGTCCATAAAATAAAAATAATGGGTTCCATAGGTTTTTTTTTGTTAAATCTTTTGAAATTTCACAAACCATTAATCAACGCATGAATAAGACAAATCAGCTATTGTTGGGATAGAATAGGAACTATGTTTTATTTATCTTTGTAATCCCAACAGGCCTAGGTATCCCATTAAGTACCTAGTAATTTAATTATTTTTTGTTCAATAAACATTATCGAGTATCATCTAGGTTCCAGGAATAGCACTAAATGCTGGGAATTTAGAGATGTTTTAAATATGGTCTCCATCTTTTAAGATTTTACAATACAAAAGAGGAGAAAAGTATACAGGTGATTTAAACATCAAGAATTATGACAGAGGTAGGCAAAGAGTGCTACTGGTGGCACAAAATGGGCACAATCTTAAAAGGGGTGGAGAAAGGCTTCCTGGAGTAAATTACACCTCTGATGAATCTTGAAGGAATAGTTAGCCACATTGATGAGGCGGCAGAGGTTAATAGCAAGAGCAATAACAAAGAAATGTAAAGATTATAAATAAATGAATATGTGATACATTCATTCCAAATTCCTTCTAAATGTTTAAAATAAAACATATCCTGTTATATAAAATGGGTATGAAACCACCTTTATCATATAATAACTTATGCTACTTTATTTTCCATATTTCCTTTAGATTCTAAGAAATAGCCACATGTTTATATTATCTGGGTAAGGGTATATATTTCTTTAGAAGAAATGGAAAACCTGGGTTTTATATTTATATTAATAACATTTTATCAAAACAAACTTAGGGAAGATTGAATGTCACTTCTGCATAACAATTATTCCCATGCAACTTTCACGATAGTAACACATACCAGTTTTGATCAGGGTTACACCTGAAAGTAAAATATCATTATGGACAGGTAGGGCACTGAAAATTGCCAGGGACTTCCCATAAAGCACACAATTTCTGAAATATTTATATTAATAACATTTTATTTTATTTTTTGAGACAGAGTTTCGCTCTTGTTGCCCAGGCTGGAGTGCAATGGCGTGATCTCAGCTCACCACAACCTCCGCCTCCCAGGTTCAAGCGATTCTCCTGCCTCAGCCTCCTGAGTAGCTGGGATTACAGGCATGCACGACCACATCCGGCTAATTTTTGTATGTTTAGTAGAGACGGGGTTTCTCCATGTTGAGACTGGTCTCGAACTCCTGACCTCAGGTGATCCGCCCGCCTCGGCCTCCCAAAGTGCTGGGATTATAGGCATGAGCCACCACGCCCGGGCTTATATTAATAACATTTTATTAAAACAACTTAGAGAGGGCTGAGTATCTTTTTTGATCTAACAACTATTTCCAACATCTCTTTTTATAAGGTCAAATAATGAATCTCTGTGATTTTCCAAAGGCCCTCTGAGAAATTTCAGTGGTTTTAGGTTAAAAGTTTTAGTTTTAGGTATAAAATATATCCTAAAGGGCCAGGCGCGGTGGCTCACACCTGTAATCCCAGCACTTTGGGAGGCCGAGGCGGGCAGATCACAAGATCAGGAGTTCAAGACCAGCCTGACCAACATGGCGAAACCCCATCTCTACTAAAAATACAAAAATAGCCAGGCGTGGTGGCACGTGCCTGTAATCCCAGCTACTCAGGAATCTGAGGCAGGAGAATTGCTTGAACCTGGGAGGTGGAGGTTGCAGCGAGCCAAGATCGTGCCACTGCACTCCAGCATGGGGGGGACAGGGCAAGACCCCGTCTCAAAAACAAACAATTACATTATATATATATATATATATTTATATATATATATACACATATTATATATATATACATTATATATATATATACATTATATATATATACATTATATATATATATACATTATATATATATACATTATATATATATATATATATACCACCTGAAATGTTTATTTTATTTGATCAAATTTAGAAACTGATTTTGGGAGGGCAAAATTAAGAGTTGTGGAGTTGATTAGGTGAGATCATAAGAGTCTAAGAAATAATACTTCTTTACCTATTTAATCAAAGTAAAAATAAAGCATTTGGAAAAAACACAGAAGGTAACACTATTGTAAAAATGTTCATTATTTCATAAGTAAAAACCATATGCTCTATGGGATTTTTTTCCCATAGATAAGGACACAATAAAGACAATTTAATCATAGAACATTTTTCTTGAAAGGCACAGAATCTCTTCTATTTACACAGATTACACAGAAGATAAAGATTAACTTTTTACATTGCAAGTGGAAGCATTAATTTCTAAATAAAGGAAGCAAACCCAACTAAACTGAGGGACCATTGTAAATTTTATCTTACTATATTTAATAGCTTCTTTTCAGACTCAGGTATTATAAATCAAGGCAAATAAAATGCACTTTCCAAGTTTTGTTTTTCTTTCTGCTCTTTCATATTTGTTTTAGAGGATCTGTGAGGTCAAAACAATTTTCGTAATAATGAGATGTCATCTGCCCTTTTGACTCTCATTCTCTCATGAGTATACAGTGTTGTTTTCCATAGGTTACTTAATATGTGATATTGTAAAGGATTAAAAGTAGAAGCTAGGCCGAGCGCAGTGGCTCACACCTGTAATCCCAGCACTTTGGGAGGCCGAGGCGGGTGGATCACAAGGTCAGGAGTTCAAGACCAGCCTGACCAACATGGTGAAACACCATCTCTACTAAAAATACAAAAGTTAGCTGGGCGTGGTGGTGCACACCTGTAATCCCAGCTACTCAGGAGGCTGAGGCAGGAAAACTGCTTGAACCCAGGTGGCAGAGGTTGCGGTGAGCCGAGATCGCACCACTGCACTCCAGCCTGAGCGACAGAGCGAGACTCCATCTCAAAAAAAAAAAATTCTGTCCAATGATTACCCATTAATTAACTCAATGTAATGTCAGTCCATGATTTTGAGTTGCTTAAAGATCTTGGAAATAATCTTCAATCTGGCCTACTTCAAAGCATAATAGCTGTTGATATAAAATTTGTCAGAGTAATGATTTCATTTTCTTGAATACAACTTTACCTCTTTTATAATCAAAAACATTTTTTGGAATAATGTTAACTTATTTGATCAGTAAACCTATGCAAGTTTAGGAAAAAGAAATCCAAGTAAAATACAATATATCCTTGTATTTTACTTTACACTAATCAATCAGAAAAAACCATAATTGTCAAAATAATGCTAATTATGTAATCTTGGTTTCTGAATTAGTTTCTGTAAGAGATGTTTTGTTAAAGTCTAGTACATTTAAAGTATTATAAGTCAATTTGTTTGTTTTCTGGGAACTTAACATAAGTACTTTATGTACTTATGTTCTCTAATCAGAACAGTGCTCCTTTATTTTTTTATTTTTAATATACAAAAAAATTTTTTTAAGCCAACAGCAGCTTATATTCCCAGGAAGTCTCCCATCCAAGTACTAACTAGGCCCCACCCTGCTTGGCTTCACGAGATCAGATGAGATCAAGCACATTCAGGGTGGTATGGCCATAGACTAATTTAATATCTTATAGGAAAAAGTTTCACAGATTCAATGAGACGTAAAGGTCTTTCTGAATTACAGCCACACAGATTCACAGAGAACTTATAACTTCAGATCTACAACTTCAGCCACAGATCAAGATTAAACACAGAAACACAAATATTTGCCAATCCTGATATCAAAAAGCTATTCTTCTTCCTGATGGCATAAATTTTTAATTGACTTGAAGACAAAATTGGCAGACAAACAAAACTCATAAGGGAATTCTGTTTTCTCTTGCCTAACAGGAAATACTCCTTTATAATACATTGCTATTAATCTATATAACCTATTAATGCAGAGATTGAATAATCATGCGATGATATCAGATTCCCAGCTATTGCTGCACCAAATGGGAATAACTTAATGGTCATGTATAAATTAGAAATAAAATAATAACCCCCAAAATAATCCAGGAAGGAGAATAACAAATGAAACAGAGTGTACAAAGTTAAAGTTCATTGGTTGCTTTGATTTACCTCTGGGAGGCAAGAAAAGACCTGCCCAGGCTTAAGCAGCTCAAGAGCTGGACTTCTTCAGTAAGTTGCTTCCTAGCCATGTGATCTCGAGCAAACAGCTTAACTTCTCCCATTCTGTTACTCCATAGGGAAGCTGTGTGATTAAAATATGATGATGAACATGAAGACATTTAATAAAACTGTAAAGTGCCATACAAATGTTATTTATAAATATAAGAATCAATATGATCAGTACAAGATATGACATTAACATTAAATATGGATTTATATTATGTATTAAGAATTTTACTTTTTCCTTTGTTATCAAACAGCAGAATATTTGCTCTTAGAGTCACAGAGTGTATAGTTGAAAGACCTAATCTGAATCTGTTATTTTCATTATAAGTGAGAAAACTGAGGCTCAAGAGAGGTTAAATGATTTCTTGGAGGTCATATAGCTAGAGTAGCGGCGTGGTGTAATATGTAGGACACATTGGTCTATTCTGCTTCTATTCTAATGTATCAGCTAGAAGTTGTTTTGTAAACTATTTTTAGAGTTTTATTTTAATAGTTAATGTATTTCTTTATTAGCCCACATATAAGAAATGGTTTCTGTAGCTTATTGTGCTTTGTGGTATAATTCATAGCAAATAAGGCATTATAGTCTCTGATTCATGTGTAGAAATCTTAAGTCCTAGAATTTTTTTTTTAGGATAGGTAATACGTTTGAATATTTTTGTCTTTATATTTCACTAAATATTCATATTTTATTCTCTCTTTGGGCAGAAAATGACTGTGCTTGTTTCATTATTCAACCATGACCTTTCTATATTTATTGTTATAAAACTAGTTTCACCGTTATCACTAATTTTGTTAACAAAAGACCATGAGGTCTGCAAAGGAAAAAACAAAACAAAGAAGAGTCTTCTTTTCTTTCCTCTTTTTTTTTTTTTTTTTTTTTTTTTGAGACAGAGTTTCACTCTTGTTGCCCAGGCTGGAGTGCAGTGGTGCAATCTTGGCTCACCGCAACCTCTACCTCCCGGGTTCAAGCGATTCTCCTGCCTCACCCTCCCGAGTAGCTGGGATTACAGGCATGCACCACCATGCCCAGCTAATTTTGTGTTTTTAGTAGAAACGGGGTTTGTCCATGTTGGTCAGGCTGGTCTCGAACTCCCGACCTCATGTGACCCACCTGCCTTGGCCTCTCAAAGTGCTGGGATTGCAGGAGTGAGCCACTGCGCCTGGCCGAAGAGTTTTATTTTCTAAAAAAACAATCACAGCCTCTGTTGTAAACTGAAAGCATGCTATTGGGAAAGTTCCCACCCCAGCCCTCGATCAGGTCCATATGTGCAAATGAAGAATTCAAACTCTTTCAGCCCGAATTCGTTGAAAACTTCTGAGTCCCAGATGGGTAGTTTTCAAGCCAGAACCAGAAGTCTCTGTTGGATGCTCCTTTCAGGCTGCTGGTGGGAGTTTTCCTGCCACTGTGTCTCAGCTCCAATTACTGGTTACAGGAACTGCCTTAGCTCAGAGGCGCAAACAGGATGTTCGTCTGGAACTGCCCTGTCTAGGAACTATTTTAAATTTTAACATGTCAAAAAAAATGTCTAAAATACAGAGAATTCCCAAAGCTATGACAATCAAGGCAGAAATAAAGTAAATGTAAGGGCTGAGCATATTACTCATACAGTCCTGGTCTGGTGTCCTGGGTTAGCTGTCAACCTTAGATGTTGTCTTCTTGGCCTGGAGATGGGGTTTTAGTAATCTGAATTTGGTATTAAACACTGGCATTTATGTCCAAGATTCTCCAGGAGTTGGTGCCATTTTTAGGTGAGATATATGTATCCAAGAGTCAATACACTGTAACTTGGCAGCACAGAGATTGATTAACAGTACCTGAAAAGAGTGCTTCTTCCAACAAGGCTGAAGGTAATCTTTCAATTGATGTCTCTACCAACGTACATAATCACTAGGCTGGAGGCTGCGATGCCAGAGGTCACTATCTGATTTGGGCCTGTAAAAGGATTCCACAACCTTGTGGCGGTTAGTCTTTAAAGCTTTGACAAGGCATTGGTAGTAGGTTAGGAAGTCTCCCTGTAACCGAGCAGGGAAAACGTTTCTTCAACCAGGTGCATGAGCAGACCGGCAACGATCTCAAAAGGGGAGAGACAGTGTTTCCTACTAGGTGTGGATTGTAAAACTAGCAATGCCAATGGGAGGGCCTTATGCCAGGGCAGGTTAAAAGTACTTGGGATCTTCACAAATTGGGTTTTTATAACCCCATTTATCTATTTAACCAGCCCAAAAGACTGGAGTGGTATGCATAATGAAAATGCTGCAGAATGGGCTAAATGTTCCAAATTTTTGCTAATACTTGGCCAGTTAAATGAGTTCCTTGGTTACTATATAGCTCAGTTGGAATTCCCCAAGAGGAATGATCTTTTCAAGGAGTACTTTGGCTACTGACATGGCCGTAGTCTGTCTGCAGGAGAAAGCTTCAACGCAATGGAAATACATGTCAACCATTATAAGGACATTTTTGTATCCATGAGATGGGGGTAATTGGATGAAGTCAAGCTGCCATTCTGCAAAAAGGCCATTGGGAAGTGATACTTGGCCTGAAGGACATTTTAGGGGTTCACCTGGAGTATATTGGGGACAGAGGCTACAAAGTTTGTATACCTAAAAAGCAACTGTTGGGGAAATTTCTCCGAAGTATTGTCTGACCCATTTATTCACTGTATCCAGATTGTAGTGAATTAGGTTATGTATAAAGGTCTGTTTGTGTCTGTAGACTGCTAGGGAGGATTGGATGTCTATTTGTCCCTTCTCATAATCTTGTTTGGGAGTTAAATGTGCAACTTTGTTTCATCCATTTCCCCCTTTCAAGATATGAAACTGCTTTCTGAGATGTGAAAAGTCTAGAAAAATGGTAATCAAATGGGCAAGCATGGGGGCTGAGGATTGAATGAGCATGATCAAGGGAGTTACTTGTAGGGCTGTAGCTTCAGCAGCTGCATCAGCAAGATGATTGCCCTTACTGTCTTCAGAGTTTTCAGGGGAGTATCCTTGGATCTTGATAATAGCAAGAGATAATAGAGCCTGAATAGCTTTTAGAAGTGTCAAAACAAAAATCTTTATTTTTAATAGGTTGTCTGGAGGAGGTCAAAAAACCTCATTGTTTCCAGGGCATACGAAATTATGTGCAACACCAAAGACGAATCTACCATCTGTATAAAATGTTAGTTGTTTTGCCTCCAGCCAGCAAACAGGCTCATGTGAAGGCATGCAATTCTGCTTGTTAAGCTGACCAGACCGTGGGAAGGGGGTCCTATTCAATAGTCTCTGCTGGGGAAACTATGGCGTATCTTGCGAGGTAAGAGCCAGCAGGGCTCTTGAGAGAAGACCCATCAGTGTACTAGACAAAGTCCAGATTGGGCAGAGGCATTTCCTTTGGGTATATGCTGGGTAAAAGGAGGGTATCTGTAAAACTGACACAGTCACAGGATGTCTTCCACTGGAGATGATAAAAGGGTTTTAATAGATTGCAGTGGGCAATGGCTAAATTGGGAGAAAAAGAAAATAGTATCTCATAGGTCAATCGGCTGGCTGAAAGATGTTGGGTATGATGAAAAGTGAGGAGGCTTTCAATGGAATGAGGGGCATACATAGTGAGAGGGGACTGTATGACTATTTTTTAGTGGCCTTTATAAGCATAGAAGTAATAGCAACAGTTCTCAGATAGGGGGGCAATACTTGTGCCACAGGGTACTGCTATTGGCTATAATAGCCAGTCAGTTGATCGTTGCCCTCAAGGGGCTAAGGCAAACCCCCTAATGTGTTACCCTCTCCTTCATGCACAAAAAGGGAAAATCATAATAATTTGGATGTCATAGGTAGGGGTAGTGGACAATTGAGTTTTTTAAACTTGGAAAGCTTGTTCACCATCAGTAATCCAGACAAGGAAATGGGGAAAAGAGGCTTTAGGTAAGGAATATAAGGGTTGTACCATCAGAGAGAAATTAGGTTCCATATTCTGCAATAATCCACAGGCCCTAAAAATACTCTGAGCTGCCTTTTTGTAGCAAGTAAGGGGAAGAAAAAGATAACTTGAATGTGAGAGGGATCAAGGCTTAGCCTTGAGGAAGTTAATACATATCCAAGGAATTTAATTGAATCTTGACCAAATTGTAATTTTTCTTTAGAGACATTATGACATTTATTGAGGGTCAGTTGGCAGAAAAAAAATGAAGAGTGTCAGCAGGGTAAGTGTTTTGAGAGGGAGAACATAAAAGCATATCATCAATATATTGTAAAAGGGTTGAACCTTATAAAAAGGTTATCTTTTTCAGGTCTGCTCAAAGAATCTGGAAAAAATAGATAGGGCTCTCAGTATATCCCTGAGGAAGCACTGTCCATGTATACTGTTGGCCTCTCCACATGAAGGTGAAAAGAAACTTTCAGGTAAACAGGGATGCTGAAAAAGGCAATGCAGAGGTCAAGAGTAGAGACATATTGGGTGTCAGAAGGCATATTATGTAAGAGTGTAGGTGGATCAGGCACAATGGGGTGTCAAGAATAACAATATTGGTTACGGCTCTAAGTTGTTGAACAAACCTCCATCCTCTCCTGTTATGTTTCTGCACGAGTAAAATTGAGGTATTGCATGGGCTAGCACAGGGGACAATGAGTCCCTCAGAAATAAAATAATCAATGATCGGTTCCATGCCTGCTAATGCCTCAGAATTGAGGGGGTATTGTTTCACATTTAGAAGAGAATTGTTAGGATCTATCTGAATGAAAATAGGTGGTGCTGAGTGAAAAAGACAGATATTGGTATTCGTTTTTGCCCATAGGGTCTCAGATAATTCCCTTAAGGTAGGTTATTCAGAAATGGCTGGACAGACAGGGGCTCACAAGGGAAACACATAAGTGAGGTCTTAGACTGGGCGCAGTGGTTCATGCCTGTAATCCTAGCACATTGGGAGGCCAAGGGGGGAGGATCGCTTGAGCCCAGGAGTTTAAGACCAGCCTGGGCAACATAGCGAGACCTCTTCTCTATATGTAAAAAAATTAGCCAGCTGTAGTGGCGCCCACCTGTGATCCCAGCTACTCAGGAGGATGAGGTAGGAGAATCACTTGAGCTTAGGAAGTCAAGGATGCAGTGAGCCACGATTGTGCCACTGCACTCCAGCCTGTGTGAAAGAGCAAGTCCACCTTATTTAAAAAAAAAAAAAAGTAGAGGTCTCAGGTGAGCTTATTCTTAAAATAACACATTTCCCTTATGGGTAAAAGATGTTGGCTTGACTCTTTTCAAGGAAGGCCCTTGCTAATAAATGTATGGGAAGAGAGGGGAGGAGAAAGCTATGGTATCCAATGATGGGCCCTATCTGATAAGGAATTGGATTTCACCTGACTATCATTGGCTGGCTGGGGATCCCTACCATTTGGGTGGTTTGACTACTCTAGGGAAGGCGATCTGAAAAAAAGAGTTGGAGTTTAGCACTGAGAGTGTGGCACCAGTATCTATCCACGCCTGGACCAATTTGTTATTTATTTGCAAACCAACCTTCTTCAGCTGGTTCACAGAAGGAAGAAGATTGCCTTTATCTCCCTGAAGCACCCCAATCTTGTAATGAAGAAAAAGCTTGCATTTTTCTTAGCTTTATCTGGGTTCTTCTGAAGCCATCATTTGTATATTTCATAATCTCTTTTGTAGTGATAAAAGCCCTTGCGAAAGAAATAGATCCTGTTTCCCAGACTCTTGAGAACATTTTGGTTCTGTGATTGTTTTTTAAATTGCTGAATATGTAGGGCCATGAACGTGGTGGTCTTTTCCTGATAATCAAGTGTCTTATTTATTCTTTCTTTGTCTCTTTACAAAGTTTTAGAGAGATAGTTTGCCAAGGAGGCAATTTCGTGGGGTTTCTTAAAGGTCCAATTGAGGTAATGTTGTTTGACTAAGGCATTAAGAGTTCAGTTAAGCCCTGAAAGAAAACTAGAATCAAAAAGATTAATGGTATCCTCTGTTAAGTCCTTGACACCAGAATTTTGCTGGAAAGATTTTTTTTTTATTTTTATTTTTTCAGACAGAGTTGCTCTGTTGCCCAGGCTGGAGTGCAGTGGTGCCATCTCAGCTCACTGCTACCTCCGCCTCCTGGGCTCAAGTGATGCTCGTGCCTCAGCCTCCTCAGTAGCTGGGACTACAGACATGCACAACCATGCCCAGCTAATTTTTGTATTTTTAGTAGAGACAGGGTTTCGCCATGTTGGCCAGGCTGGTCTCGAACTCCTGACCTCAAGTGATCCTCCTGCCTCAGCCTCCTAAAGTGCTGAGATTACAGGTGTGAGTCACCACACCCAGCTTGGAAAGCCTTTTTGAACCAGTCAAAATAATCTAAGCAGACTCATCTTTTTTTTGAGTGAATCGTTGAATGGCTTTCCAATTAATTTGCCAGAGAAAAAGCACTGGAATGACCTTTAACAAATCACAGGTTATTTTCTTTGCTTTTGTTATGGCCATGTCCCTTTTGAAATGGCAGTCCTCTGGAGGTTTTATCCATTTAGTTAGGCATATACATGTTTGAGCCACAAAAATGACCCCCAGCATGTGAATTAATTGATAGATTTTGGTGAGTCTGGGCTAGTATGCGCTTACGATTAAATGAAAGTGGCATTCAAATTCAAGGAAGTCAGTTTTAGGACAATCGCCAAGAGTTCAGATTTAGACTAAGGAATGTAAGAAATGGTTTGACCTCCCTCTACATTTTCACTTATTTTAAATGGGGCAATAAGAGGAGTTGAGGGGTTATGGGTAGTGTGCCTGGGATAGACAGTGAGGAGAAAAAAGGAGGTTCAGAAAGTGAAGAAGGTAGTGGCAGAGGAGAATAAAGTAGAGGTAGTGCAGAGGGAGTGAAAGGAAGAGGAACAAAGGGTTTGAGTCCTTCTTGGGAACAGAATCTGGGCTAGGAGGATTTTCAAGTTTTTGGAGGCACTGAGTTCGGAATTAGTTTCTCTCAAGAAGGCAGTCTGAAATTCTTGATTCCATTTGGAGTTTTCATAGTACCTATTAAGGAAAGCCTTATATTGTCTTTGAGAGGCCTAGATTCGTCTTTGTTCTAATTGCAGGCATAAATAAATTTGATTAGGGATACAGAAAGCTCCCCAATGTAGCCAAAGAAGTTTTAAATCCAAAAGTTTCATCCAGAGCCTTAAATAGGCACAAGAATTTTCTCCATAGGTTTTTAAATATAAAAGTCATCAGTGCACCATAAGGTGGCTGGTTGGAGACCATTACCTTAGAACATGGGTTACCCATGGCACTATAACAAAGGCATCCCTTTGAGTACAACAGAAACATGAGTGTCCCCACAAAACTTGAAATGTGAGCATACTCCACCAAGCACAAGTACATTGCAAAATGCAAAAGTACTCCACGAAGTGTGAGTGTACCCCACAGGGCCCATAGAGGCAAGTGAACATGCTCCCTGGAGAAAACAAAGTCTCGGAGACCTCAGCCTAAGAGCCCGAGATCTGCAGATGGGGGAACACAGCCTCCAATGTAAACTAAGTGCTCCGAAGAACAAAGAGTGGGTCTGGCTTAAATAGGGAAAGTTCTCCTCCCAGCCCTTAATCAAGTTTGTGTATGCAAATAAACAACTCAAAAGTAGTCCCCATTAGTTGAAAACAGCTGAGTCCTGATTGGGTAGTTTCCAAGTCCCAACCAGAAGTCTCTGTTGGATGTCACTTTCAGAAAGGCAGCTGGTGAGTTTTCCTGCCATTGTGCATGCTACTCTTCAAAAGGACAACTGCCTAAGCTACAAGATTTAAAGGAAACATCCTGTAGAAATAGGCCCAAGGGTCTTCTCAGGCTATGTTCTAGGCCCAATTTACCTCCAATCCTTTTCCTCCTTAAAATAATTTCTTCTCACAGCCTCTCTTCTGTATATATCCAGGCAGGGCAAAGCACAAATATGAGCTAAGGTGATATTTTAAATAGGGAATACACAAAACATTAGAAGGAGATAGAGTGAGCAATTATCTTAACAATGGTTATGATGGTGGTAGGAGAAAAAAGGAGAGTTTTGAGAAATAACCTCTCCTATATGTGCCTGCCTAAGTGTAATTTATCTGTGGTACTTTATCGTCCTAATGTGTAATGTTATATTTAAATGGTTCACTGGAATAATTCAATAGATTGTAGATCAATGCTTCAGGCTTTATCACCTCTATTTTACAAGTCATGCTTGCTAATGGAGGTTAACTGTTTGCAGCTTCCAGGGGACCCTAGAGGGCCCTGGTTTTCTGAGAACCACAGTTGGTAGAAGAGCCCAAGTTGGAGCGATTTTTTTTTTTTTTGAGACAGAATCTTGCTCTGTTGCCCAGGCTAGAGTGCAGTGACACAATCTCAGCTCACTGCAACCTCCGCCTCCCAGGTACAAGTGATTCTCCTGCCTCAGCCTCCCAAGTAGCTGGGATTACAGGTGCCCGCCACCGTGCCTGGCTAATTTTTGTATTTTTAGTAGAGATGGGGTTTCACCATGCTGGCCAGGCTGGCCTCAAGCTCCTGACCTTGTGATCCACCCACCTCGGCCTCCCAAAGTGCTGTGATTGCAGGCGTGAGCCACCGTGCCCAGCCAGTTAGAGTGATTTTCTAAAAGCCACTTTTGATGCACCTGTAGTCCCAGCTACTTGGGAGGTGGAGGCGGAGGCGGGAGTGCTCTCGGACCAAACTGAGGGTGGGGCTGCTATTTCTCGTGACCTAATAACAAGATGCAGATAAACTGTGGAGGAAGAGAGTTTTTATTTCTGTAACTGTTTACAGGGAAAAGGCCTGGATATTATCACGAAACCAACTCAAAATCACGATGTTTTCCAGAGCTTATATACCTTCTAAGCTATATGTCTACATGTAAGTGTGCATTCATCTAAAGACATAAGTGATTAACTTCTTTTAATCTATAAATAAGGTCTGAATCTTGAAGATCTTCCTCTGGAGCCTCAGTAAATTTACTTAATCTAAATGGGTCCGGCAAGGTGCGGTGGCTCACGCCTGTAATCCCAGCACTTTGGGAGGCCAAGGTGGGTGGATCATGAGGTCAGGAGTTCGAGACCATCCTGGCTAACATGGTGAAACCCCGTCGCTACTAAAAATACAACAAATTAGCCGGGCGTGGTGGTGGGTGCCTGTATTCCCAGCTACTTGAGAGGCTGAGGCAGGAGAATGGCGTGAACCCGGAAGGCAGAGCTTGCAGTGAGCCGAGATTGTGTCACTGCACTCCAGCCTGGGTGACAGAGCGAGACTCCGTCTCAAAAAAAAAAAAAAAAAATCTAAATGAGTCCAGGTGCTGGCGTGATTACCCTTATCTTGTCTCCTGCTAAATCACAGAGGTTTGGGGAGTTCCTTCGGACTCCCAACAAACTTGTTTGTGGAGGCCTGGGGAGTTTCTTCAGACCCACAATAAAACTTGTTTAATCCTAAATGGGTAATGTTAAGACTTCCTTTGTTATTTTGTCATGCTTTAGGGCCCAGGAAAGGCCTAGGCAAAACTCTTGGTGGGCTTTAGTTACATTCCAGCCTTTGTATAAGGGCACTGGCTTTTTTTAGCTTTTAATATTAACTTCACCACTCAGTACTGAAACAGTTGTTATGGAGGCCTCCGTTAGTGAGACGTGGCCTGCCACAGGAGGACTGCTTGAGCCCAGGAGTTAGAATCAAGCCTGGGCAACAGAGCAAGACCCCATACCTTATAAGATGCCTTTTATTTTTAGTTTTTTTATTTTTTCGAGACGGGGTCTCACTGTCGTCCAGGCTGCAGTGCAGTGGTGTGATCATGGCTCACTGCAGCCTCAGCCTTCTGACTAGCTAGGAACACAGGTGGGTGCTCCCACCCCCGGCTAATTAAATTTTTTTTGTTTGTTTGAGACAGGGTCTCATTCTGTGTCACCCAGGCTGGAGTGCAATGGCAGGATCTTGGGCTCACTGAAACCTCTGTCTCCTGGGCTCAAGCAATTGTCGTGCCTCACCCTCCTGAGTAGCTGGGATTACAGGAGCCTGCCACCACGCCCGGCTAATTTTTGTATTTTTAGGAGAGACAGGATTTCACCATGTTGCCCAGGCTGGTCTGGAACTTCTGACCTCAATAATATACCTGCCTTGGCCTCCCAAAGTGCTGGGATTACATACTTGAGCGATGGCACCTGGCCTAAAAAATAATATTTTTAGAGACAAGGGTTTTGCTATGTTGCCCAGGCTAGTCTTAACTCCTGGGCTCAAGTGATTCTTCCCAGTAGCTTGGGATTACAGCCACTGTGCCTGGTAAGGCACTTTTATTTTTCATATCCCCTTAGCCAACTCGAAGTAAAACCATCTCTCAAATGTATCTTGACAAAACCTGGCAGCAAACAAAAAAATCTCAAACTTGTCTGTCATTAAAAGATTGTGGTACCCACGCAACGACACCAACTCAATGCTTAGGGTATGATGTTTTTTTTTTTTACCCATCAGTTTTGAAAAAGTTAATTACATTTGGCAATTCCCCATTCCCTTATAGTGAGGGGTCTCAAGAGCTGGCTCCTACACATAAAGGGCTTAGAACAGTGGCTGGTACCTAGGCCACCAATAGTCTTTTGCCCCACCCAACCGGTGACACAGCCCGGGGCCCCGCCGCCCCCTGGCGGCCATTACGGATTTCCGCCTCCCTCACAGAAGGCAGTCACTGCAACGTGCGTGGCCTCAGTTGCGTCATATCCGGCCCTTGCGATCAGGGCTTGAGGAACCCGCGCCATGAAGTGCGTGTTTGTTACCGTAGGGACCACCAGCTTTGACGACCTCATTGCGTGTGTGTCGGCGCCCGACAGTCTGCAAGTGAGTGAGGGAGGCGAGCAGGCGGCGGCTTGGCTCGCCACCCGCCATCTCCGGCCATACTGCCAGCCGCGTTAGCCTTGCCTGACCGTCGCGCTCGGAAAGAAACCCCCGCAACTCTACCACAGGTGCCGCTGCCCCTTAGCTGGCTTCTGCCCACGCCCGGCGGGGCCCTTCTCCGGCTACCCGGCCACTCGGGGTTGCCTGTTTCCTCTTCCCATTATTCCGGCCGCTCCTCTCCCTCATTTCTTCAGCTCCTTTTCCGGTCTGCCCCCGCGCTCTATTCTCCGCCTCCGCGTCCTCCGCCCCTCCTTCCAACGGCTCCGCCCCTCCGAGCTCGGGTTTTCCACCGGGCTCGGCAGTTTTTCCTCAGGCCCCCCTGTGGACCGCACGTCGGCGCCGGCGTCTGAGCCAGCCGAGCTCGCCTCAGAGCCCGGCTCCTTCCCCTCAGCACTTGGCCGGAGCCCGCGCGGTTCCTCTCCTCAGCGCGCGTCGTCCCCTCAGGGCTCCCGGTTCTCGCAGTTGATCAAGTGAGGCAGAACGGGTAGTGCCTGGGTTCCCCCCGAGTTTGCGACTCCTTTTCCAAAGTCTTTTCCTGCTGTGGCTTTCGCGGGACTCTGCGAGCTGGGTCGCTTAGATTCATGAGTGCTTGGGAGGTTCCTCGTCGGGCCCCGGACCAGAAAATAGTTTTGAAAACTAAGTGAAATCGGCCACAGATAGGCTTTTTGGCGGCCGTGCTCCGATGTTAACGTCAAACTTTAGTAGTGGTGGTGGTTCCTGCTCTGTTTTACATAGCCAGTTTAAAAGGCCCTCACATTCTGATTTCCTCTTTCAGAAAATCGAGAGCCTTGGTTACAACCGACTTATCCTGCAAATTGGTAGAGGAACGGTGGTACCTGAACCCTTCAGTACTGAGTCGTTTACTCTGGATGTTTACAGGTACAAGGATTCCTTGAAAGAAGACATTCAGAAAGCAGATCTTGTTATTAGTCACGCAGGTAAAGGTGCCTAAGAATCTCAGGGTTGGGTCTTTTAATTTTAATTTTTTTTAAGTTCTGGGGTATTCTGGGGGTACATGTGCAGGATGTGCGGGCTTGTTACAAAGGTAAACGTGTGCCATGCATCACCTAGGTATTAAGCCCAGCATCCATTAGCTTTTTATCCTGATGCTCTCCCTCCAATAAGGAACTGACACTTGAACCTTTTCGAGGTAAAATAAAATCGCTAGCTGAACTCACTGTAGCCCTTTTTGAATACACAACTTATTTGAATATGACAATTGAGAACTTTACTGGAGAGAACTTAGTATTTTGGGGTGAGAGAAGAATGGGAAATTAACCACTGTAGTCCACCTTTACAATAAAAAACCCTAAACACAGAGGAGCAAAATAATTTACCCGGGGAAGTGTAATAAATTGTCAACTTGACATTAGTACTTGGGCTTAGATCTAAAGGAGTGTTCTGCCTGCTGATTGGTTGGATTGGTCATGGAGAAATTGGAATTGTAAGATTGTTTACATTTCTGTTGAATGTGAGTGAAATGAATCCAGTCAAAAATAATAACAGCTACATACTGTGTAAATTGTTTCCTCTTCAGAGGACCGCCCTGATGGTCTAGTTAATTAGACTTCTAGTGCATTCAGAAGAACTGCTTTTGGGGAGCAATGCAGTTTTGACTGTTGTGAAGAAAGGTGTTTCGTTTTTTCCTTTCTTTTTTTTTTTTAAAGTCTAGTTTGAGGAGAGAAAAGTCTTTAGAAATAGACATTACCAACAGATTCGTGATTAAAAATGTATCTCCTAGGAGGTAACAGAGCCTTTGGCACTGCTCTGAATGCTTTGTGTATATTAACTTTACTTTTTTAAACAATCCTGTGAACTAAGTACTGTTAGTATCTCCATTTTACACATGAGGAAACTGAGACACAAGAGTGGTTAAGTAATTTGTCCAGCCGGGAAGTGGTGGACAGATAACAATCTGGTGCTGGAGTTTATGTTCTTTTTTTCTTTTCTTTTCCTTTCCTTTCTTTCTATTTTTTTTTTTTTTTTTTTCTGGGACGGAGTTTCACTCTGTCACCCAGGCTGGAATGCAGTGATGCTATCTCGGCTCACTGCAACCTCCACCTCCCGGGTTCAAGCGATTCTCCTGTCTCAGCCTCCCCAGTAGCTGAGATTACAGGTGC
The DNA here is from genome assembly GCF_000001405.40 of Homo sapiens. Lineage (NCBI taxonomy): Eukaryota > Metazoa > Chordata > Mammalia > Primates > Hominidae > Homo > Homo sapiens. Next base: position 111,683,477 of record NC_000023.11, read on the forward strand.
ACACTACCACGCCCCGGCTAATTTTTTTTTTCTTTGTATTTTAGTAGAGACGGGGTTTCACCGTGTTGCCCAGGCTGGTCTCAAACTCCTGAGCTCAGGCAATCCACCTGCCTCGGCCTCTCAAAGTGCTAGGATTACAGGCATGATCCACTGCACCCCTCCGGAGTTAATGTTGTTAACTAACCACCCTAGCATAAGATACCCAAAAAGGACTTATCTACTCACTTATCAATCTCCTTGCTCTCATTTAAAATAGTTAGATGATTTTACATTTCAAAATTGAATTGATCCTAATATTCTATATTTGCATATTCATGGAGATCTATCCTTGACTATTTCTGGGATAGCACCTCACATGTAAACCCATAAGAAGTGGTCAGGGTTTTTCATTATTGATGCCTGTCTGTCTCTATTGTAGGCTTGCTTTTCTACTTGGGGTTGAATAGAAATGAAGTATAGTTTCACATACAGTATGTCAAACCTGGATCTTATTTGGATTCAAGGCCATGCCCAAAGCATACTCCAGATGGCCCATCGTACAATGGTTTCACTTAGAGTTTTTCAACTTTATGGTGGTGTGAAAGCAATACGCATACACATTCAGTAGAAACCGCTCTTCGAGTACCCATATAACCATTCTGTTTTACACTTGGAGTATTTAATAAATGGCATGAGATAGTCAACACTTTATCATAAAATAGGTTTTGTGTTAGATGATTTTGCCCAACCACAGGCTAATGTAAGTGTGTTCTGAGCATGTTTAAGGTAGGCTAGGCTAAGCTGTGATGTGTGGTGGGTTAGGTGTATTAAATGCATTTTCTATTTAGAATATTTTCAACTGCTTTTTTTTTTCCTTTTTTTTTGAGGTGAGTTCTCACTCTGTCACCCAAGACAGGGTGCAGTGGTGCAATCATAGCTCACTTCAAGCTCCAACTCTTGGGCTCAAGCAGTCCTTCCGCCTCAGGCTCCCCAGTAGCTGGGACCACAACCACCATGCCTTATTGTTTTTGTTTTTATTTTGATTTTTTAGTAGAGACAAGGTCTCTCTATGTTGCAGAGAGTGGTCTTGAACTCCTGGGCTCAAGCGATCCTCCCACCTCAGCCTCCCAAAGCGTTGGGATTGTAGGCATAAGCCACTGCACCTAGCCTGTTTTCAACTTATGATGGGGTTATACCCCGTCACAAGGCTATACCCCATCGTAAGTTGAGGGTCATTGGTACTAGAGAGCAAGTAGCATAGCACTGAATCATAGGCCATAATGTCATCATCAGTGATAAAGTAATGTATTTTTCAAATAAAGTTTCTAGCACTTTTTATTAGAGAGCAACTGATAACTATACTCTTGTCATTTTGAATGTATAATTGAAAGACCTAGTTTGTAGTTCTGTCAACTTAAGTTTTTTAACTTTTGATTTCTAGCTATAAAGCTTCGTGGGGACCTTAACTTATTTCAAATTGTGTTGAACAAATTTGATTTATATTTGTAGGTGCAGGAAGCTGTTTGGAGACTCTGGAAAAAGGAAAGCCACTCGTAGTGGTTATAAACGAAAAGTTGATGAACAATCATCAGCTGGAACTGGCAAAGCAGCTACACAAAGAGGGTCATCTCTTCTATTGTACCTGCAGGTATGCTAGAGACTGATTATTATTATCTCTTGCCTTAATTCGTCCCTTGCACTTCCTCTTATCCACCTACCTAACCCATCTGTCTCTTCTGCCTCTTACCTTCTCCCAGTTACCAAACCTTTTGATTTTCTCAGCTGTAAAATCCTCCCATTTGTTTGTCTCCCATTTTGCAATCTCTGTGTTGTATTTCTATGTGTATCTGTGGCTGTTTCTTTGCATATGTGAATATCTGAGAGAGTGTGTGTATGTGTGTTTATTTAGGCGTGCATGTCTCCAAGACACTAATTTTGGAGTTCTAAATTTTGAGTTCATTATTTAGATTTTCATTATTCAAGGAAGACAATTTGCTCATTTTAGTTAAAAGTTTTGCCTATAGTAAATCCACTAAAATCCCTAAATTATATTTACTCTTTCATTTATTCAGTTACACCCAATATATAAAAGGCACTGTTTTAGGTGCTGTGGATACAGTAGTAAACATGAGATAAAGTCCCTGTTCTTATGGTGCTTACATTCTAGTGGTGGAAAATTGATAATAAGTTCACAAATAAATGATCAAGGTATTTCATGTGGTGAAATGTACTATGAAGAAAGTAAGACAGGGTGATGTGGTAGCTGGGGTGAAGACTGATTAGAATTGTCAGAGAAGGCTTGGCAGAGTACCTAACATTTTGATCTGAGACCCGAAATACAAGGAAGAGCCAGTCATGTGAAGATTTGGAGGCAGAAGGAACAGCAAGTGCAAAAGCCTAAGTAAGGAATGAACTTGGAGCTTGGTGTGTTTGAGGAACAGAGGGAAGATTAGTGTTGCAGGAGCATAGTGAGCAAGGGAATATAATAGAAGATGAAGTTGGGTGGGGGTAGCTTATGTAAGAGTTCTGATTTTATTCATGTTTATTGAGAAGCCATTGAAGTATTTTAAGCAGAGAAATTATGGTAAGGAGTATTATTTTCTACAAGTATATTAGAATTCAACAGGAACTGATCATCGTAATAGAAGGATGAAGAAAATTACTTGTTTGTTTTCTATTAGTTCTTCCTTGAGACACTAGAAGCTTGCCAAAGGGCCAGGTCAGTAATTCCCACTTGTTTGACTTTAAAACCTATCCTAGTTTGATGTTGCAAGAAGTAAATGCCTCATAGAATTACTATATATGTGTATATATATATTTATTTACATTATAGTAAAATGAAATTAATTTTAAAATAAAAAACCTGAGAAGAAACTGGCTGGAGCATAATTTTTCTTTTAGTTTTACTGCTTCTGTCTCTTAGGCACTCAGTAAATACTTATTCATTCATTAAATATTTATTGAGTACCTTCTATGTGCCAGGCATTGTTCTAGGCACTTGGTATACATCAGTGAACAAAACAAAGACTCCTGTTCTTAACTGAGAGGAGGCAGATTCATTGATTATTTCAGGAGTGAAATTGTTGGTGTCCTTATCACTATAATGTTGGAGAAGAGGGAATGTCAGGGTGGCTGTGTAACATAGAAGCCAGTCTTGAACTATTTAGTGAGTCAGGAGAGAAGCTAGATTAAAGAGGAATAAACTTATCTTCCTAACTGCTTTATGCAAGTCAATTTTTTCCAGATACTTTTAATTAGTATTTTCATTCTAAATGTTAAATCAGCTTTGATTTTGTGTTAGTACATTAAAAGGAAAACACTGATTTCATAAACATATCCTGACTTTTTACTCATGCTGAAAAGGAAGGAAACTGTACAAGTCTCCAATTTATTTTATTTTTATTTTTTTACAGTTTTAAATGTCTTTTTTTCTATATTAATTTCAAGAAAGTCACATAAAAGCAGTAAGCAGTGAGAAAGAATCAGTAATTGATTGGTTATATTTTCTTTTCTTTTTTTGAGACGGAGTTTCGCTCTTGTTGCCCAGGCTGGAGTGCAATGGTGCGATCTCGGCTCACCTCAACCTCCACCTCCCAGGTTCAAGCAATTCTCCCGAATAGCTGGGATTACAGGCATGCACCACCATGCCTGGCCTAATTTTGTATATTTAGTAGAGACGGGGTTTCTCCATGTTGGTCAGGCTGATCTCAAACTCCTGACCTTAGGTGATCCGCCTGCCTTGGCCTCCCAAAGTGCTGGGATTACAGGCATGAGCCACCACACCCAGCCAATAATTGGTTATATTTTCATTTTAGGTAAATCATTTATTTTCCCCAGACCTAGGCTGGGGGGTAGTATGTTTGTTCTAATTTAAGCGATTGGTTTAAATAAATTTCCGATGTAATGGTTCTATGTTTAAAACCTTATTTCCAGCATACATGGTGGTGTGGTATATTGTTTAATTGTATATGAAGTTATGATAGTAAATTACTGGCAAAGATTATTTCACAGTCTTCATGCATGGTCTAGTAGTTTCCCCAGCTTATTATCTTGTCTGGCAGCTATTACTTTTGGTTTCAATTTTTAAATTCTGTTTTCATGAATGAATTGTGCTTCAGTTTAAATATGCCCAGTCCTGAGAAGTATTACAAAGCCATGTGAAGACATTTTTCATGAAATATCATTTCTGAAATATATCAGTTGACATAGGAGATAAGGTATCTGCTGAATTTATATTGACATTTTATAGTACTCTTTGTATTGCTTTAATAATCCTAGTATGTATACTTATTAAAATATATAAAAATTCACATGTGCAGTTTTTAGAAGTACCACTATATTCTTGGAAGTTAGATTCAGTCATCAGTGGGCAGCAGATGAAGTATGGAATTTTCTCCCATGTTACCTAATATTTTTCTTCTTTTGTTTTAGCACGCTTCCTGGGCTGTTACAGTCAATGGACTTATCAACACTGAAATGTTATCCTCCTGGCCAGCCAGAAAAATTTTCTGCATTTTTGGATAAAGTTGTTGGATTACAAAAATAAACACTAAACTCTCAACACTTTAAAAGCAACCCCCAAATTCAACCTATGTAATGTGATTAAATCAAATTAAATACATAATATATATTTACAAAATAATATAATTAATAAACTTCCTACATCTATAGAATGTATAGGAAATTTTATGTTGTGCACATTTGCATTGGGTCCAAATCCTAATTGCAGTTTAGTGAAATTACTAGATTTTTTTCTAATCTTCAGTATGTAGTGAGCATTCACAGGTTTTCTCCTAGAATCTCAAGTGGAATTGGAATCATAAAAATGAATGAGATTTGAAAACTTTCACAAAGATTATAAATGTAGTTAGTTTGATACTCCTTAGAATAAAAAAATGAAACAGTAACAACTTTTATGTAAAAAAATTTTACATAAGAGTTAGCATCTTTAGCTTTATAATCTAAGGAACCAAATTTAAAAAATGATGGATTATGCTCTGTGAAATGAAAAGTTCAATCATTGCCTAAAAAAGATGATCAAGTTAGTTGATCTCTTGTACTTGGAAAAGCTACTTTTTTCCTAAAGAACAGAGTGGAGTGGATATATTCACTTTTTTTTTCTAAAACATACAAAGTGATAAAATAATCGTGCCTAATGTCAAAACTTTACTGGTTTGAGAAGAATAATCAAAAAGGACTTATACCAATAGGACTTACTATTGTTTTTTAAGGATCTCCTCTCACAGTGGTAATGAAACATTAACTGTAACAGAAATTTACAATTTATGTGCTTATAAAATTAGTTTTATGAATGAACAATAAACTGATGCATATAATGGCTTAAATATATGGTTTTAAAATTGACTTAACTTGAGCAAGATACATTATGAAGTTCTTTCTGATTAGAGTGTGTGGTCTCAAGACCTTTACAGTAGATTATCCTTAAGTGTCCATAGCTCTCTGGTACAATGTTTAGATATAGTTTATCTATCAAAATAGAACATTCACTATAAAGACCTCTCTTCCATTCCAATCATATTATCCCAACATGCTAAATGTTCCAAACATTTTATTTGGAATGCATTTTATCATGTTTTTATAGGTTTATTTTTCTGATTGTGTTTTATTTAGGCTAATATTAAAAAAATGCTTACTAGTGGTAGAAGGTGGTGACAAAGAAATACTCTGGGTAGCAGGAGGAAGCCAACTTGGATTAAAATTTTGCTGAGAATAATCTAAAAAGTGAGTAATCTGGTTGAGAATTCACAGCACCATAATCATAATTGTATATCAATGTTATGTTTTAGGAAAGGTCCTATTCAAATCCAGGGAGAGAATCTTTAGTGTTTTCTGGGCCCTCATAAATACGTTTTTCTCATTTGAGAAAATTGTGACTTTATGTTGGTCACTTAGTTTTTATAGTTTATGATGAAGAATTAAAGAGAAACAAATGAAAGGCAAGGTCTACTCAAATATCAGACAACTAAAAGGCTATACAGCCCCTAAATCCTTTGCTATCTACTTCCCCAGAATAATGCATAACCTAAATTCCATTATTTCATTTAGCAGAGGTTTAAGCCGTTGTTGTCAATTGTGTGCAGTAACGCCTCTGACTTCCCTTTTGTGGAATTTTGTATCGATTTTGGATTTTTAAGTCAAAGGAGACTTTAAAATCATTTTGATTTGGCACGGATTCTTGAGATTATCTAGTCCAATTCCATCATATTCAGATTTTACCATTTGCTTAAAGTATAGCTTTTGGCAGAACTGCCCCTAGGAGCAGCTCCTTGATTCCCAGTCCCCTGCTCTTTCTACCCTGCATAATATATGTTGTAAGCTTTTTGTTTCTTTATAGTTGTTTGCCTAGTGTTCATTTTAGTTACTCGAATTCCTTGCAAGGTAGGTTTTGTTTGTTTATTTATGGAAGTTATTTAGTAGGAATTTCACACTTAACTGGGTTTTCCTTTGGCGTATGACAACCTTACCTAGGACTTAGAAATCTGTGATTTCTGAGTTTTTGGAATTTAGGAAAATGCTCTGGGTAGGATTGATAGTAGATTGAATAAATTAAGACTTTAAGACAGAATTGTAGACTTTTGGAGTTGGGAGATAATTTAAAGAATATTTTAAACCACCAGTTTTACAGATGAGGAAACATGCTAAATTAATCACCACATTTACATCTTATTAGTCCTTATTAAAGAATGGTAACCAAAAGTCTGTTTGAAATGTTTGCTCTATTTGTTTGGTTTCATTACATGACAGAGCTGCAGGTTCTTGATATTAATGAGTAAGTGGAATGCAGTTTATTTAGCAGTGTTCTATTAGAGGTACTGAAATTTTCAGGGATAAGGAAATGAAAGAGAGTTTAGCATTGGGAAATTTGCACCATGGATAGATTAAGAGGTAGACAGTTAATAGAACATTTACGGGTTGGAGTAGATGAAAAGAGATGTGATGTTTTGGGATGACCTTGGGAATTAAGGATTTTAGATACTTATAATTTGGGAGGAAAGAAAGCTCAAAGGATTTGTTGGTAAGATAGTATAACCAATGAATTTGACATAGGGTTCTGGAACATTTAAAAGTAGTCATTATCTGCAAGTACCATCAAGTATCTGATTTTGGACACCTTAGACCTCTACTTTTTAATTTTAATTTTTTTTTTTTTGTATTTTAGTAGGGACGGGGTTTCACCGTGTTGCCCAGGCTGGTCGTGAACTCCTGAGCTCAGGCAATCCGCCCGCCTCGGCCTCCCAAAGTGCTGGTTTTACAGGCGTGAGCCACTGCACCCGGCTCTACTTTGTATTCTTTTAAAGGCAAGTCATATATAGGCACAAAAGAGTACAAAAAGGTTGTTTGCCACTTTAATATTTAGTTTGAGGAAGTTTTTCAAGACTAAGTAATGACTAGCAGTAATATAAATATTCTTCCTGGCCCTTTATTGTGGTATAAGCACGTAATTCCTCTGATTTGTTCATAAATGTAAAATTTGTGGAGATGACCAAAACACTTCATATAGTCTGAGAAATGACACATGGACAGATCATTTGAAATTAATTTTGGGGAAACATTTGGAAAGGGTCATCATGATAGCCATGTGGTGATCAATTTTCTGCTGTACATGTAATACCATTTATTTATTTATTTATTTATTTATTTTGAGACCAAGTCTCGCTCTGTCACCCAGACTGGAGTGCAATGGCGTGATCTCGGCTCAGTGCAACCTCCACCTCCCAGTTTCAAGTGATTCTCCTGTCTCTGCCTCCCGAGTAGTTGGGATTACAGGCATGTGTCACCCCGTGGGGCTAATTTTTGTATTTTTAGTAGAGACTGGGTTTCACCATGTTGGCCAGGCTAGTCTCAAACTCCTGACCTCAGGTGATCCTCCCACCTTGGCCTCCAAAAGTGCTGGGATTACAGGCGTGAGCCACCACACCCGGCCGTAATACGATATTTTTATTGGGGAGTGGGGAGTGAAAAATAATTTTGGTTAACACTAGTGCTTAGTATGTATCAGGTACTATTCAGAGCACTTTACACATATATACTCATTTAATCTTTAAATATTCCTGTGCAATAATTGGTATTGTCCATTCTACAAATAACATAATGTGAAAAAAGTTGTATTTCATTTTAGGGTCCAAGAGATGTTGTGGAAATTGTAATTTGAACACTGAATTCCAGTATACTTCCATCCTTTATGGGGACAGTAGGAGAGAATATTTGAAATCAGAGGATTTTCCTAAGAAATTTAGATTGTATGTTAGCCACAGGCGTAACGGTATGCTAGCCATAGGTGTATAACCTTTTTGAATTTTTACATTGCTACTTAAAAAACCACAGTGATGGCTACTCATAGAATCCATGTGTAGAATCCATGTGGAGAAACTCTTTCAATTGGTTTACCTGATTGCAAGTTATTTACAAATCTTTTTCTTTTTTCTTAGTTGTATTTTAAAGTTTCATTTTGGTCCTTGCTTTATTTCTTTTCTTGGAATTTTCAGCATTCCCACAGCTTCTACTGTTGACTCCTTTATCTGTATCTCCCAACTCTGATTTGGGCTCCTAAATGATATTTCCAATTGCCTTTGGCCCTGTCTGTCTGTTAATTCTGTAAGCACCTCAAACTCAAGGTGTGCCCCAAACTGAAATCATATTTCTTTTCATTCTTCTGAGGTGCTTATCTTTATTAATGGTATCATCATTTAGTCATTCTTCTAGCCTTTAACTCTGTCTCCAACCCCTTATATCTAATTGGTTTCCAAGCACTCACAGCTTTATTTCCTAAGTACCTCAAGCTTATGTATTCATCATTCAGGCTTTTAATATAAATGCATAATGAGAATCTACCTTTTGTATCAGCAGGATCCAAGACATGATTCCTGCTCTGAAGGACCTATGTCTTACTCATTTTTGAGTCCTTTGCCTGAAACACAGTAGGCTTTCCATAAATGATGAATGCACTTCTGTAACCTAGTACTCTTTTTTGATTGTCTTGATTAGGATTAGGTATTGTTCTAGGAAACACTGTCATCTTGTACACATTTATTTCATACTGACTTTGATTTGACAGCGAAGTATCTAGTAAGTCTCTTGTTCAGAAGATGTGACCATCATATTGTATGGTAAGTTTGTAGGATCAAGCACATATAAGAATAGCATCCCAAATATAACAGTGCTGATTCTATGCAGTATCTTAATGGTATTTAAGGGTCTGTCAAATAATGGTACCTGTCAGGGATTTGTGGCAAAACATGATGTTAAAAATCAGGTATATGAAAAGCACTATAGTGTTTTCTAGTAAAAGCTTACATAGAGAAAGGTTTAGGATATTACCAAACAATTTTTTTTTTCCTTTGAGACAGGGTCTCTCTGTCACCGAGGCTGGAGTGCAGTGGCAAGATATTGGCTCCTCTGCCTCCCCTGGTCAAGTGACCCTCCCACCTCAGCCTCTGGAGTAGCTGGAACCACAGGCATGGGCCACTACACCTGGCTAATTTTTTGTAGAGACGGGGTTTTGCCATGTTGCGCAGGCTGGTCTTGAACTCCTGGGCTCAAGTGATCTGCCTGCCTCAGCCTCCCAAAGTGCTGGGATTACAGGCGTGAGCCACTGTGCCCAGTCATCAAATGATATTTAATTACTTATTAAGTGGCTAATGGCTAATTCCCTACGTGAATGCTCTATTTATTATACAGTTTTTAATTCTTTTTTTTTTTTTTTTTTTTTTGGTAGGCGGCTAAACAAAAGGTAGACAAATCTGGCTAGGTTCAAACAGGAATGTAGAATACATGATGCTATTTATTTTTTTTTTTTTTAACGGAGTCTCGCTCTGTTGCCCAGGCTGGAGTGCAGTGGCATTATCTCCGCTCACTGCAACCTCCGCTTCCCAGGTTCAAGTGATTCACCCTCCTGAGTAGCTGGGATTACAGGTATCCACCACTACATCTGGCTAATTTTTGTATTTTTAGTAGAGACGGGGTTTTGCCATGTTGGCCAGGCTGGTCTTAAACTCCTGGCCTCAAGCGATCCACCCACCTCGGCCTCCTAAAGTGCTGGGATTACAGGCATGAGGCACTGTGCCCGGCCAGAATACATGCTTCTTAATGTTGATACTGATTCTTGAAAAATATTTTGACAGGCTTTTAATACCATTATATACCATCTATGTTGGTATTTCTATATCTTCATTGTCTTATAAATTTTTTACCATATTCTGGCCAAAATTACTTATTTTGATTGACACTTGTATCATAGCTTTGAACATGATTTTATTTTGGTGGCTGCAGTCCTGTTCTCTGAGGCAGTGGTTCTTAAGCTTCTTTCAGCCATGGAACTCTTTAATTTAAAACTGTGGCTTTTCTTCTCTATATACATGATTTTGCAGTGACTTTCAGAAAGTTTGCAGGACCTCATGGCCCCGGGTTAAGAATCCCTAGGCTGAGGCGAACTTCAGTAACTTCATTTCTTGGTCATTGTTTATTACTATTTTGGTCTTAATTCCTAGACTCATTTGTAATTAAACCCTTTTGATTAATTACATTTAAATTTAGTAATTCCCAGTTTTTATTTTTATTTCTATTTTTATTTATTTATTTTTTTTTTGAGACAAAGTCTCGCTCTGTCGCCCAGGCTGGAGTGCAGTGGCGCGGTCTCTGCTCACTGCAAGCTCCGCCTCTCGGGTTCACGCCATTCTTCTGCCTCAGCCTCCGGAGTAGCTGGGACTACAGGCGCCCACCACCATGCCCAGCTAATTTTTTTTGTATTTTTGGTAGAGACAGGGTTTCACCATGTTAGCCAGGATGGTCTCGATCTCCTGACCTCGTGATCCACCCGCCTCAGCCTCCCAAAGTGCTGGGATTACAGGCATGAGCCACCACTCCCGGCCAGTAATTCCCAGTTTTTATAATGTAACACAAATTCAATACTTTTTTTGTTTAAAGCATACTAGCCAATACATTTTTGAAACTAACCTTAATATTCTTATGCTATTAACTCAGTATCTGTAACCCATAATGTCATATAGTGTCTTTTCTAATAGATAATAAGGACTAAATGGAATTTTTTATTTGTAGTAATTATTTTAGAATATCCTATAATAGACTGGTGAAGAAATCCAGTAAGGCAATACAATATGGTGTTTACTCATGGTTAAGTGTGCTACTAAAGTACTTGGTTGCAGGACCCTGATAGTCACTGTTGGAATGATGTCTATGAGACGCATATAGTACATCTTTTTGAATGATCATTTCTCCTTTTGTGCAGCATTACATACTGGTCAATTCTCCACTGCCAGTGTGAAGTGAGGGGATAATACACTCCCCATATTTAGTAATGAAAAACATTCCTAAGTCCTTAGCCTAAATTAGTAGTTTTCTGGATCTCAGTTTTCCTGTTTGTGAATTAATAAAACTAACTTCTCGGGTGATTTCTAAGACATAAACCTAGTTGTGTGGCATGTTTTAAAAATTAAAAATGCTGTTGAAATAACACATTTTCTCTTGGTTAGTTTTTGTTTTGAGAAGTAGGACTAAGATCTATTTTTAGAATTCACAGAATATAGTCCTAAATGATACGGAAAGCAGATTTTTCATTGAATTTCATGTTTAAACTCATACTCAGTTTCTAATTGGGGTTATAGTTAGATAATTTAAGTTTATTTAGAAGTTTAATTGAATGAGTCTTTCCAGTGCTTCAAATGTTCTGGGTTTTTTCCCTCCTTCTGCTAATCCTGTCTCTAGACTGATCAGACACTGCAGGTATCTTAAGTCAAAAAACAACCTTCTGCTGGGCGCGGGGGCTCATGCCTGTAATCCCAGCACTTTGGGAGGCCAAGGCAGGTGGTTCAGCTGAGGTCGGGAGCTTGAGACCAGCCTGACCAGCATGGAGAAACCCCGTCTCTACTAAAAATACAAAACTAGCCCGGCTTGGTGGCACATGCCTGTAATCCCAGTCGCTCAGGAGGCTGAGGCAGGATAATTGCTTGAACCTGGGAGGCAGAGGTTGCAGTGAGCCAAGATTGCGCCATTGCACTCCAGTCTGGGCAACAAGAGCGAAACTCTGTTTAAAAAAAAAAAAAAAACAAACCCTCAGTGTTTGTGTGCCAGTGTGGTATATTTTAAAGCAAAGTAATATTTTCCTTTAAAAAAAAATCTGTATTGTCATGCTATCAGGTGGAAATGGGGAAGAGAAGAAAATGAAAGCAAGTGGTTCTTGATAATATTTTATTTTGCAATTCCGAAGAAGGATTACTTCTTTGGGAAATCCATTCTTTGTCTTGCCTTTATTTCTCCTTCCTAAAACTTGAGGAGGAGGTTGAACAGGGCTGCCAGGCCATGCTTTGTTTTAGAACCATTGTGTTCCCTTCCTTCATAAATCTTGCTTTGCTAATTCTGCTTGAATGTTCACCCTGAAAAGTTGATAGGCTCTAGTTCCAGGGTGCTGTTAAAATACATTTTTAAAACACATTACCATTATATTTTCAGTAATGAAAGACCCTAAAAAGAGGTTCTGTAGAGTTATTTCCCTTAATTTGCTTCATGTTATTTGGTACTAAAAATAATTGAAGTAAGTTATTTAGGGCTAATTTTTAAAATACTGGCTTTTCAGTAGGTTCTGTTACAAGTTGTTATATGTTAATACATGGGTTTGTTATCTTTAAAAATCTAGGTCTGTTTATGTGGTAATGTCAGATTTATTCATTTTTATGTGGGCCAGTCATCCCCACTTTTTGCCAAGATAATAGGCTAACACCCAAAAGCTATTTTTAATATTGATCACAAATTTGACCACTTAAAGGAAGGTGTTATCAATATTTTAATATTGATTACAAATTTTACCACCTAAAGTCTGTTATCCACTGTTGAATCACAGAGTAATTCCCTACATTTGGAAGAGTGCTTAGAGATTATGCAGCCCATCTACTTATTTTACAGATGAGGAAACTGAGACTTAAAGTGGTACAGCCAAGTTCATAACATTCTTTTCATGATACCATATTGCCTCTCAGAAACTAATAACTCATAGCATTTTGTCATACACATTTACAACTATACCTTGTATGTCACAGGTAATGTATGCTTTAAAAAAATAATTCCGGACATACCTCATTTAATTGGTTGAAACGTGAAGTGTTATTTTAGAATTAAAATCATTAGTATTTATATGTCACACTACAGTTTCCTTGTTTATCAGTGAAGAAATAAATATAGCAATTAAAAGGGCAAATTACGTATTCTAGCTAAATTTCAGTATAAAAAGTAGTCATTGCAAAATTAAAGCCCATCAGTTTCATGACAAGTAAACTATGTTATTTAAAGTTACTTTAATGTTTTTTCAACTTATTTTAATCTGTACCCAGAGATACAGTGCTTAAAACTTAAAATGTCTTTTTTAAGACATTTTCTTTCCATTATACTTAGATGTCAAAGGGAATAATTCCATTAGGGATGGGGAAACAGGATATGGACCCATATTAGAACTTTGATTTCCAGTAGAATTTCAGTGAAATTGCTCTGGTTCTTACCTTTTTTTTTTTTTTTTTTTTTGGACCAAAGAATGATTGCTTGCTGAATGTTTTGTCAGGTAGCAGCTAACAGCCATCCATATTTAAGCACGAACGTGCTAAACACTGAATATACAGTGTCTTTTGTATTATTCTAACAACCTTAGGTTTAAGTCACAAAAATTTCTAGAGCAGTGTTTCTCAAACTTTGAAACATTAATAGGTGATCTATGGAGGGAAGAAGGTGTTTGATAAAGGCTAGGTCAAAAATGTGAAGCATTTACTATAAGCATTCCTTAGGACCTTTAATGTTGCTAATGGGCACTGTGAATCTCAAGGATAGGATTATAATATGCAAAGTTTGCTGAAATTTTGGCCTTGAAATTCTCTTTTTAGGAATATGTTGTTCTAGAGCAGTGGTTTTCAAAGTGTATTCCCTGGACCAGCATCATCATCACCTGGGAACTTGTTAGAAATGCAAATTCTTGGGATTCATCCCAGACCTGCCTCAGAATCCCTTGGGCAAGAGGCAATCTTTTAACAAGCCCTCCACTTGAGAACCACTGTTCTGGAAGTTTTTCAGGACTAAAGTAGTTTGCTGTGGAGAAAGCCAATTGGGATTTCAAGTGCGATATTTCAAAGGACAGTATTAAATACCTTGAAGTGGCTTTTTATTATATGCAAGACAAAGTCTAGAATCGACCCACAGTTCTCTTTAAAATATCCTATTGTACTAATCTGCAGAATGGAACCTCTGCTTTACCACTTCTGGGCTTTTGTTCATGTTTTTTCTGCCTTGGTATGTAATTCCTCTTTATGGTAATTGTGCAAACATCAGGAGATTTTATATAGTTTTAGTTTCAGTACTGTTACTGATTGGATGTGAAAACTTAGGTAGGTCTTAAAACTATTTCAGACCTGTTTCTTCATCTGTAAAGTAAGAGATCCCTTGGAGCTGTAAAATTCCAATTACTTGTTTTCCCAGTTTATGATGCTATTGTTTCTTGCTCACTAATGATAAAATGTTTAAATTTGCTTTCTAAAATTAAGGTAATACATGTGAATAGTTAAAAATGTTAATTGATTATACAAGGCTTACAACAAGAAACAGCAGTTGTATGTCCTATTCCTCCGCATCTCTGTTCCTGCTTCTTATAGATGACCGTATTACTTTATGTTTTATAAATAATATGCTTAAACTGGTTTTGTTTTGTTTTTTAAATTTGAATATCATTGTAACCTTCCTACATGGAAGAGGAGACTTTTCAAAAATTAATGTTTTTAATTTACACGTCACAATTGTATATGCATTTATAGGGTACAATGTAATGTTTTGCTATTTGTGTACAATGTGGAATGATTATGTCAAGCTAATTAACATATTCACCTCACTTACCTATCATTTTTTATGGTGAGAAATTTGAAATTCTTATTTTGAAGTACACAATATATTATTATTGACTGTAGCGACTCTGCTGTACAAAAGATCCCAGAACTTATGTCCTCTGTCTGTCTGAAGCTTTGTACCCTTTGATCAACAACTCCCATTTTCTCTTTTCCCACTCACCCCCCAGCTTCTGGTAACCATCATTCTAACTCTCTACTTCTATGAGTTCAACTTATTTAGATTCCGCATGTAAATCATGCCCTCTTTGTCTTTCTGTGCCTGGCTTATTTCACTTAGCATATAACGTCCTCTAGGTTCATCTATGTTGTCACAAATGACAGAATTTCGTTTTTCTAAACACTGAATAGCATTCCATTTTGTATATGTACCACATTTTCTTTATCCATTCATCCACTGATGGACACTTAGGTTGTTTCCTTATCTTGGGTACTGTGAATAATTCTGTAATGAACACGGGAGTGCAGGTATCCCCTGACATACTGATTTTATTTCCTTTGGATATATACCCAGAAGTAGAATTACTAGATCATATGGTAGTTCTATTTAATTTTTTGAGGAACTTCCATACTGTTTTCTATAATGGCTGTACTAATTTACATTCCCACCAACAACGTACAACAGTTTTCTTTTCTCTGCATCCTTGCCAACACTTGTTATCTTTCATCATTTTAAATAAAAACCATTCTAACAGTTGTGAGGTGATAATCTCATGTTTTGATTTGCATTTCTCTAATGATTAGTGATGCTGAGCATTTTTTCATGTACTTGTTTGCCATTTTTATGTCGTCTTTTGAGAAATGTTCGTTTAGTTCCTTTGCTCATTTTTAAATTGGGTTGTTTTCTTGCTTGTTGAGTTGTTTGATTTCCTTACAGGTTTTTTTTTTCGAGTTATTTGATTTCCTTACATATTTGGATATTAACCCCTTATCAGATGTATAGTTTACAGATATTTTCTCAATTTCTGTGAGTTGTCTCTTCACTTTGTTAATAGTTTCCTTTGCTGTGCAGCAGCTTTTTAGTTTGGTGCCATACCATTTGTCTATTTTTGCTTTTGTTACCTGTGCTTACAGGGTCATATTCAAAGAATCATTGCCCAAAGAAGTGTGGAGCTTTTCCCCTATGTTTTCTTCTAGTAGTTTTGCAGTTTCAGGTTTTATATTTAAGTTTTCAATCCATTTTGAGTTGATTTTTTAATATGATGTAAGGTAAGGATCCAACTTCATTCTTCTGCCCGTGGATAGTCAGTTTTCCCAACCCCATTTATTGACAAGACTGTCTTTTCCCCATTGTGCATTCTTAATACCTTTGTTGAAAATTGACCATAAATGTTTAGGTTTCTTTCTGGGCTTTCTATCCTGTTCCTTTTTTTGATGTGTCTGTTTTTATACCAGCATGATGCTGTTTTGATTATGCTCACTTTATATATGATTTGAAGTTAGGGAGTGAGATGCTGCCAGCTTTGTTCTTTTTACTGAAGATTATTTTGTCTATTTGGGATCTTCCGTGGTTCTATATAAATTTAAGGATTTTTTTTTTTCTATTTCGGCAAAAATGTCATTGGAATTTTGATAGAGATTGCATTGAATCTGTGGATCACTTTGGTAGTGTGGACATTTTCACAATATTCTTCCAATCCATAAACATGGGATATTGTTCCGTTTATTTGTGGGTTTTTTTTTTTTTTTTCAGTTTTTTTCATGAGTGTTTTATAGTTTTCAGTGTTATATCAGTCTTTTACCTCATTGGTTACATTTATACCTAAGTATTTGTTGCTATTGCTATTGTAAATGGGATTGTTGTCTTAATTTTCTCTTTGGATAATGTAGAAACACTACTGATTTTTTATATGTTGATTTTGTATCCTTCAACTTTACTCATTTTTTTAATCAGTTCTAACCATTTTTTGGTGTAGTTTTTAGGTTTTTCTATATGTAAGAGCATGTTATCAGCAAATAAAGATAATTTCATTTCTTCCTTTTCTAGTAGGATGTGTTTTCTTTCTCTTGCCTAATTGCTCTGGCTACGATTTGTATGTTGAATAGAAGTGGTGAGAGGGGGCATCCTTGTCTTGTCCCTGATCTCAGAGGAAAAGCTTTCGATTTTTCACTCTTGAAAATGGTCATAGCTATGGGTTTATCATATGTGGTGTTTATTGTACTGATATACATTTCCTGTATACCTAATCTGTTGAGAGGTGTTTTTTTTTGTTTTTTTTTGTTTTTTTTTGAGATGGAGTCTCACCCTGTCATCCAGGCTGGAGTGCAATGGCGTGATCTCGGCTCACTGCAATCTCCGCCTCCCAGGTTCAAACGATTCACCTGCCTCAGCCTGCTGAGTAGCTGGGATTACAGGCGCCCGCCACCATGCCCAGCTAATTTTTGTATTTTTTTTTTTTTTTTTTTTTAGTAGAGATGCGGTTTCACTATGTTGGCCAGGCTGGTATTGAACTCCTGACCTCGTGATCTGCCCGCCTTGGCCTCCCAAAGTGCTGGGATTACAGGTGTGAGCCACCGTGCCCGGCCAAGAGTGTTTTTGTTTGTTTGTTTTTTCATTATGAAGGGGTGTTGAATCTTGTCAGATGCTTTCTCTGCATCTATTTAAATGATCATGATTTTTATTCATTCTGTTAATGTGGTGTATCACATTTGTTGATTTGTGTATATTGAACCTTCCTTGCAGCCCCAGGATAAATCCCACTTGAGCATGGGGAATGAGTCTTGTAATGTGTTGTGGAATATAGCTTGCTAGGGTTTTGTTGACGACTTGCATTTATGTTCATCAGGGATATTGGTCTGTAAATTTCTATTTTTGTAGTGTCCTTGTCTGGCTTTGGTATCAGGGTAATGCTGGTCTTGTAAAATGAGTTTAGAAATATTCCTTCTTTTTCAGTTTTTTGAAAGAGCTTAAGAAGGATTGGTACTGGTTCTTTAAATGTTTGGTAGAATTCAGCAGTGAAGCCATGGGGTCTTGGACTTTGGTGGGAGACTTTTATTATTGATTCAATCTCCTTCCTCATTATTGGTCTGTTCAGATTTTCTATTTCTTCATGATTTAGTCTTGGTAGGTTGTATGTGTCTAGGAACTCATCCATTTCTTCTAGACTATCCAATTTGTTGGCGTATAATTGTTTATAGTAGTTTCTTGTGATCCTTTGTATTTCTGTGATAACAGTTGTAATGTCTCCTATTCCATTTCTGATTTGAGTCTTTTTCTCCTAGTCTAGCTAAGGGTAGGTCAATTTTGTTTATCTTTTCAAGGAACTAACTCTTAGTTTCGTTTATTATTTTTCTATCATTTTTCTAGTCTCTTTCATTTATTTATGCTCTGATCTTTGTTTCCTTCCTTCTGCTAACTTTAGGTTGTTCTTTTTCTAGTTCCTTGAAGTATGTTAGATTATTTGAGATCTTTCTTCCTTTTTAGTGTAGGCATTTACCACTATAAATTTCCCTCTTAGAACTGTTTTTGTTACATCCTGTAAGTTTTTGTATGTTGTGTTTCCATTTTCATTTGTCTCAAGGGTTTTTTTTAATTTCCTTTTTGATTTATTCTGTGACACATTGACTTGTTCAGAAGCATTTTGTCTAATTCCCACATATTTGTGTGTTTTTCAAGATTCTTTCTGTTACTGATTTATAGTTTCATGCCATTGTGATCTGAAAAGATGCTTGATATGATTTCAATTTCCTTAAATTTGTTAAGACTTGTTTTTTAGCCTAACAATGTGATCTATCCTGGAGAATGGTCCATGTGTGCATAGCAAGAATGTGTATTCTGTTGCTGTTGGATTGAATATTCTGTATATGTCTGTTAGGTCCATTTGGTGTAAAGTATAATTCAAGTCTAATGTTTCCTAATTGATTTTCTGTCTAGGTTATCTGTCCATTGTTGAAAGAGGGGTAATGAGATCCCAAAGAGGAGACTTTTTCTTTTTTCTCTTCCCCATTTTCCTTCCTATCCTCCTAATTTAGTTTTATCAGTTCTGTGAGATTCATTTTCAATGTTGACATTATTATGACTGCTTAACTACGGTATTATTCACATCTGAGCCATGTAGTGTTCAATGATTTTATTTCCTTTCCTGTAAAACTTTGTTTTATCTCATTTTGTTATTTCATCATTTTCCCACTTTTTGATAGTAACATCTCCAAACTTTCCAACAGAAGTGTACATCTCTCATTATATTCAAACACATCGGGTTATCTAAACCTTTATTATCTTTTTTGAGATATCCACACTGGAGTTCTCTGTCCTATTTTTGGAAATGCTTATTTTCTAGTCCTTCTGAGTGTCTATCTTCCTGCGATTTCCCCTTCATCCTTATCCTGTAATTTCTCTTTGCTTTTCTCTTGTGTTGAATCTCCTATTTCCAAGATTGCTCCCTTCCACCCCCAGACTTTAAAAAAAAAATTCTTTATTTTGGTTTCACATATCTTCAGTAGCTTTTCTGAGAAAGGGTGGCAACATTTTTGAATCTTTTTTTTTTTCTAAAAACACCTTGTTTTACTCTTTCATTTGATAGCTTGCAATAGAAATAAAGGTTGGAAATAACTTCCCCTCTAATCTAGAGCTTCATTGTTTTCCGAATCCTAGTTTTTCTTTTGAGAAGTATATTGTGTTCTTATTTGTGTTCTTTTGTGTATAAACTGTTCTTCTTCTGTGAAAGCTTTAGGATCTTCTCTTTATCCCCTGACTTCAGAAACTTTATTGTTATGTCCAGGGATGATCTTTTTTGCTTTCATTGTTGTGGCTGCTTCATGGGCCCTTTCAGTCTCAATATGGATACTCATGTTCTACAGTGCTAGAATTTTTTTATATTGTCATCATCATCATCATCATCATCATCATCATTATCATTTCTTTCCCTCTGCTTTCCTCATTTCACTTCGGGCTTCCTGTTGGTTAGATGTTGGCTTTCCTAGATTAATAATCTAATTTTCTTATTTTTTCTTCCCAATATTGTTGACTATTCTGTGAGCTCCTCAACTCTGTTATTTCTTCTGCTTTTTTGTTTTACTTAACTGTTAAATTTAAATACAGTAAAATTGGCCTGTTTTCTTATATAGTTCTATAATTTTGACAAACGCGTAATCATGTAACCACTACCACAGTCGAGATGCAGAACAGTTCCAGTGCCCCCATTTATCCTTTCTCTTTGTAGTCAGCCCTTCAACCCTAACTACTGGCAAAAACTAATCTGTTTTCCTTTCCTATAGTTTGGCCTTTTTCAATGTCATATAAATGCAGGCATACAGTGTGTAGCCTTTTGACTCATGTCTTTTTTTGCTTCGCATGTTACATTTGAGATACGTGTTCTTTTATGTATCAATATTTCATTATTTTCTATTCCTAGGAAGTATTCTATTGTTTGAATGTACCACAGTTTTTGTCCATTCACCAGCTGAAAAATGTTTAGATTGTTTCCAGTTTTGAGAGCTCATGATTATGGATAAAGCTACTATAAACATTCACATAGAGGTTTTGGTGTTACCATTTCTCTTATGTAGTTACCTAGAAGTGGGATTGCTTGATCATATGGTAATTCTGTTCAATTTTATAAGAAACTGTTAAACTATTTTCCACAGTGGTTGTACTATTTTACATTCCCACTAGCAACGTATGAGAGTTCCAGTTCTATATCCTTTTCAACACTTGGTATTGTCAGTTAAAAAAATTATTTTAGTTAGTATGCAGTAGTATCTCATTAAAGACACACAAATGGCCAATAAGCAGATGAAAAGATGCTCAATATCATTAGCCACTGGGGAAATGCAAATCAAAACCACAGTGAGATACCACTTCACACCCACCAGGTTTACTATAATCAAAAGATGGAAAATAACAAGTGTTGATAAGAATCTAGAGAAAATGGAACCCTCATACACTATTGGTAAGAATGTAAAATGGTGCAGTTGCTCTGAAAAACAGTTCCTAACATTAGGTTAAATAGAGTTACCATATGATCCAGTAACTCCACTCCTAGGTATATACCTAAGATAATTGAAAACATAAGTCTAAACAAAAACTTGCATGTGAATATTTATGGAAATATTATTCATAATAGCCCAAAAGTGGAAACAACCCAAATTTCTATCAACTAATGAATGGATAAACAAATTTTGGTTTATGCAGGGGATTGAACTATGTAGTGATGCACCATGCTCCAACATGGGTGGACTTTGAAAACCTTATGCTAAGTAAAAGAAGCGAGTGACACAAGACCACATACTTTATGATCCCATTTGTTTGAAATGTTCAGAATATGGAAATCTATAGATTCAGGAAGTAGATTAGTGGTTGTCTGGGGTTGGTGGGGATAGAGGGATTAGAGGTTGACAGCTACAGGATGCAGAGTTTTATTTTGGGATAAAGAGAATGTTCTAAAGTTGATTATGGTGATGGATGCACAACTCTATACAACAAACCATTGAATTGTATACTTTAAGTGGGTGAATTATATGGTATGTGACATATCTGAAAGCTGTTAAATTTACCAGTTTTAAGAGTACAATTTAATTTTTAGTGAATATACAGAATTGTGCACATATCACCACAAAATAGTTTTAGAAGATTTTTATTATTCCAGAAAGATTCTTTGTGCTTATTTGTAGTCAATGCCTATTTCCACTCCAGCCCCGGGCAACCACTTCATCTGCTTTCTGTCTCTAGATTTACCCTTTTGGCATATTTCATATAAATGGAATCATATTCCTTTTGAAATCATACAGTTTTTGCTTCCATCTTCTTAGGACCAGTTTCTCCAATCCTTGTTAATGCTTGTTACTGTCTGTATTGTTTATTACAGCTATCCTGGTAGGTATGTAATGATGTCTTATTGTGGTTCTAATTTTCATTTTCCTAAAGATCAATGATTTTGAATATCTTTTTATGTGCTCATTAGTCATTCTTATATCTTTGGTGAAATGTGTATTCAAATCTTTTGTCTATTTAAGAAATTGGATTTTTTTTATTGTTGACTTTTCAGAGTTCTTTATATATTTTGGTACAAAGTTTTTCTGGTTAGATATGTGATGTAAAAATATTTTATTCCAGTCTATGGCTTGTATTTTCATTCTCCTAACAATGTCATTTGCAGAGCAAAAGTTTTTAATTTTGATAAAATCGAGTTAATTTTTTTTTCTATTATGTATCTGAGAACTCACTGCCTAACCCAGGATCTTAAAGATTTTCTCCTATGTTTTATTTTTTAAAATTTTGAAGTTTTATTTTACATTTATACCACTTTGAGTTAATTATAGTACAAGGTGTGAGGTATAGGTTGAGGATCCTTTTTTTTGCATGTGGATGGTCAATTGTTCTGGCACCACTTGATGAAAATGCTATCTTTTTTCTATTCAACTGATTTTGCACCTTTGTCAAAAATCAATGGACCATATTTGTGTGGATCTACTTCTGTGTGCTTCCCTGTGTGTTAACTTTTCTCTTGCTCTGTCTCCTTTTGTCTTCCTGTCCCTACTTGTGTTTTTTTTTCAGTTTTCTATTACTTTTCTGATTCTCTCCCTCCTTCTCCTGATTTTCCCTTCCCCCATTCCCTTCCTCAAAATGAAGCATTTAGATTGCATTGTTTTATATATCATACTTATTTTTAGTTTAAAAAGCAGATGTGAAGCATTTGTGTTTTTCTTTACAAGTACAATATGCTGGAAACAAATTAACTTTTAAATTATAATCCCTTTTTTTTTTTTTGAGACGGAGTCTCGCTCTGTTGCCCAGGCTGGAGTGCAGTGGTGTGATCTCGGCTCATGCCATTCTCCTGCCTCAGCCTCCCAAGTAGCTGGGACTACAGGCGCCCACCACCACGCCCAGCTAATTTTTTGTATTTTTAGTAGAGATGGGGTTTCACCGTGTTAGGCAGGATAGTCTCGATCTCCTGACCTCGTGATCTGCCTGCCTTGGCCTCCCAAAGGGCTGGGATCACAGGCGTGAGCCATTGTGCCTGACCAAATTATAACCCTTAATTAATTTTTCTCAGTGAATTAGTGACCTTAACGAAAGATGGCAATCTCTCTTCCCAAACTGTGTGTTTCAGAACTTCTGCAAAAGGCATCACTTCTCCAGTGTTACAGTTTCTTTAAAAAAGAAATTAGTGGCTGGACATGGTGGCTCATGCCTCTAATTCCAGCACATTGTGAAGCTGAGGTGGGAGGATAGCTTTAACCCAGGAGTTCGAGACCAGCTGGGCAATGTGGCAAGACCCCATCTCTACAGAAAATAGAAAAATTAGCTGGGTGTGGTGGTGGCATGCACCTGTGGTCTTAGCTACTTGGGAGGCTGAGGCAGGAGGATTGTTTGAGCCCAGGAGGTTGAGGCTGCAGTCAGCTGTGTTCACACCACTGCACTTGCACTTCAGCCTGGGTGACAGAGTGAGACACTTTAAAAAAATAAAAAGAAATTAAGGTAATTTCAAATTGGCATGCAAAGGAAGTCAAGATTTATTCCTTTTTTACCATGTCAAACATTATTTCATTCCCAAATTATAAAATATTGCTGCTTTTCCTAGAGGGAGCAGTCATGATTACTACTGGATCCACAGATACAAAAAAAAAAAAAAAAGGAAAAAACAATTTTGAAAGCAGCTTAATGTTGTGCCTTCTCTAAAGCCAGCTTTTGACCTATTTATTTTTAATACTTAAAAAATGTAAGAAAGGAATTGGATTTTTGCATTTAAATAAAAATAAAAGACACTAGATAGTATAGATAATAGGAACAAATAAAACAAGCAATTGGGCCTGCCTTTGGCACTTAGTATTTTCTTTGGTTTTCTCAGAATCCAGAGTAATGTGTCTGGAAAAGTACACTAGTAAAACATTGAAACACATCTCTCATTGTCCAACTCATCTCATACTCTACCATACCATTTCAAATGTAGTCTATCCATTTGTGGATATTTTCATGCTGCTTCCATTTAAATTTTTATTTCCATTTTTAAAGAAACACACTTTTTTGCATTTTTCTTTTTTATTGGTGCCATATAGTAGTTTGGAGGCATTAGTCAAGAATTGTATAAAGTTTCCCTAGCATGGCTAATAAGATTTAGTTTCTGTGATCCTGGCAGAGATTATTATCTAGAATTAAATGAGAAGATTACTTCAACCCTATATCTGAAATATCCAGGTAATAGCCTTGGCACTTAGCTTGAACTGTGCCCTCTGCCGCTATAGATTAAGGGAAGTTCCTTCTCCTTTTTTGTGTTTATTAAAAAGGTATTAATGCAAATGCTTACTGGTTAACTAGGTTCATGAAGATTCTGTCCCTCCATGTTTCCCTGAAACTATGAAAGGAGCAGGGAATTTGGGGAGAGACTGTAGTTGAAAATTCAGCTAGAGATCTTAAAGCAATTCTTCAAGCAATGTAATGTGGACCAGGCTGCATCCTACACACCTGAGCCTTATTGTAGTCCCTTTTCAGCCTCGTGCAGCAGTTGCCCCGAGTTAAGCTGCAAAGTCAGTTTCCTTCTAGACCCAAAGCTCAGCTGCTTATGCATACTTTTCTCAACCTTGGTCTGATTGGGTTAGATTGGGTTAATTCCACTCTTTCCCAAGGAGGTAACTCTAAGTACTTTCTCCCTCCCTCCCATGTCTCCTGCTTAGTCTGAGTTCCCTATTCCTAGGAGGATTGGCTCTTCCTCTTCTTTTCACAGGGTCCTGACTTGTCCTGGGCAAGCCAAGTCCATTGCTTCTGCTCCTGGGAAGTGCCAAGATTCTGCAGCGCTGACTTCAACTGCCTTTTCAGGCCTAGACTTTGGGCTGCTTTCCGGATACCTGCATAAGCAAGCCCTTGTTACTGCTACCCATCCTACCTGCACCCTGCTTTTTCCCTCTTGCCACGCTTTTTTTCCTCTCCCTCTTACCCCCACCCTGTACAAAATGCATAAAGGATGGAAAAACTACTGCAGCCAGAAGTCTTTGAATGAGGCATCAATGGATGAATATTTAGGCAGCTTAGGGCTGTTTCGAAAGCTGACTGCCAAGGATGCCTCTTGCCTCTTTCGGGCCATTTCGGAGCAGGTAAAAGGAAAACATATCTTCCCTGTACTGAGTTTTCAGAGTTTGAGACATGGGATGGTCCTGTAGTTTGCCAGAAGAAACAAAAAAATTCCCCTGCTTTCTAGTGAAAACATCGGGCCTGTCAAGGTCCTAGAGAGAAGCTGCCTGCTCTTATTAGCTTGGTGCATGCCTTTGCTGAATAGTCTATATTGCTGAACCTTTGCTATCTTTTCTGTTTTTTTAAATGCCAGTTTGTAATGTAGGAGGGGTAAGATAAGGAGGCTAAAGACAACTTTGAAATATATCTTGATCCTTTGTAAGCATCCCCTGCTTCCTCTAATTTTAATGCCTAAGAAAAAAATTATAGGCTGTGCACATAAGGAGTAGAAAAGGGGATGGGGCATGACAGTCATCCTTCCCCCATTTCGTTGAAGATGATATTAAAAAAACTTTTAGTAAGATGATTTAATTTCCCAATTTCCTACATATGTTCTGAATAAGGAAGCCTTAAGTGTCCAGTTCATAGTCTTGATTTAGAAGTGCCTATTTTAAATGACTACTGACAGTGGGCTGGTCTTTCTCTTCTTTTTAGTTGTTTTGCAGCCAGGTCCATCATTTGGAAATCAGGAAGGCTTGTGTCTCATATATGAGGGAAAATCAACAAACTTTTGAGTCTGTAAGTAGAATACATACCCAGGGGAGAACTGGTAGAGTGTGTAGCAGGTGGAAAAATAATTGTGAGCACCTACCAAAATTAAACTATATCATGCTGTCTCCTCAATAGCAAATATATAATTCCCAACTGGCTCCCTTCCCAGTAGCTAACATGCTTCTTGAGCCTCTGCTAGAATTAGGTTGTTTAGGACTCTAATTAAAAATCAAGAATAATCTACATTTTCCCACTACTTACCTCGTCCTACGCCAAGAACTCCAGACCCTAAAAAGTTATGTTTTGATTGCTGTTTTATATTATCCATACAGTTTTATTGAACAATTAATAATAGTTCATGAAAGGTTTGGCTCTGTTAATATTTTGCAATGCATATTTTAAAATACGTAAAAATGGGAACCCCCTCTATTTTCTTGCTTAATCCTGTGTACAATAATCTTCAGCCAGTCAATTTGAGGAATCTTGTAAAACTTAATTGTAAGGGAACAAATGAGTCTAAGTATCTAGTCTTTCCATGTCACAAATTGTATAATTAGAGCTCTGCCACTAATGATTAACTTTAGGTAAAACAACTTACAGAAGACATATTTGTACACCTTCATGTATTTGAATTCTTGTTAATGAAATTGGAGGCTTCCTTTTCTTTTTTTTTTTTTTAAACACTTCTGGCCCTTGCAGTGCTATTTGTTTCTTCTGTTTATTGTGGGTATTCGCCTGCTGTTCGAGTTTTACTCCTAATTTTCTCAACTGGTTTCAGTGAATTTTAAAACTATGTGAAGACTTCTTGACTTAAAAGCTTGTTACCTTGAAGTTCATTGTAGTCTTCTCTACACCTGGGGAAAGGATTATTAGTAACATTACTTCAAATGCAAGGCCATAGTGTAAAGCAGTGCGTCTCAAGTATTTCTGTGCATACAAATCACCTGGAGATCTTGTTAAAATACAGGTTTTCATTCAGTAGGTCTGAGTTGGGGCCCGAGATTTCTTTTTTTTTTTTTCTTACCTTGAGACAGGGTCTTCTCTGTTGCCCAGGCTGGAGTGCAGTGGCAGGATCACGGCTCGCTGCAGCCTCTGCCTACGAGGCTGAAGCAATCCTCCCACCTCAGCCTCCAAAGTAACTTGGGACTACAGGCACACGCCACCTCACTGGGCTAAGTTTTTTGTGTTTTTAGTAGAGATGGGGTTTCGCCATGTTGCCCAGACTGGTCTCAGACTCCTGGGCTCAAGTGATCTGCCCGCCTTGGCCTCCCAAAGTGCTGGGACTACAAGTGTGAGCCACTGCGTGCAGTGGAGATTTCTGCATTTTTAACGAACTGAAGTAATGCTTGCTATTGGTTTGTGGACAACATTTTGAGTAACAAAGATGTGTGTAAAATTTTAAAACTACGTAAATGAATCTCAATTCAGTACTGAGTGATAGAAACCAGACCCCATGCAAAGTTTATACTGTTTGATTTCCCTTATATAAAACTCTAGAAAAAATACAAGCCAATCTGTAGTGACAGAAAGCAGATCAGTGGTTATATGTCAGTTATAGAGGGGCACAAGGGTACTTACGGAAGTGATACATTCACCATCTCAATTGTGATGATGATTTCATGGGTGTATACATAAGTCAAAATTTGTACTATTTAAATTGTGCAGTTTATTGTATGTCATTTATTTATTTTTTGAGATGGAGTCTTGCTCTTTCACCCAGGCTGGAGTGCAGTGGCACGATCTCGGCTCACTGTAAGCTCCGCCTCCTGGGTTCATGCCATTCTCCTGCCTCAGCCTCCCAAGTAGCTGGGACTACAGGTGCCCGCCACCATGTCTGGCTAATTTTTTTGTATTTTTAGTAGAGATGGGGTTTCACCATGTTCGCCAGGATGGTCTCGATCTCCTGACCTCATGATCTGCCTGCCTCGGCCTCCCAAAGTGCTGGGATTACAGGCGTGAGCCACAACACCCAGCCTGTATGTCATTTATATCTCAAAACTTTTTAAAAGGAAAATTTAAATGATTTTTTAAAAGTCTAGTGATATGTATCCATGGAACTAGAAATAAATCTATTACAGTCCCTGAGTTTAATTTCATTTTTATTGAGGCATATTTTACATTCAATAAAACTCGTCATTTTAAGTTTACCATTTTTAGTTTTGGAGATGATATGCAATCATGGAACTACCACTGCAGTCAAGATATAGAATGTTTCCGTCACCCCTAAAAGGTTCGCTTGTCCCATGGTCTTTTTAGAAACTAATGAAATTCTCTTTAAAGTTCCTCAGTTTAATTTTGTAAATGCATGTTTTGTCAAATTTGAAATCCTTAGAAATACTGGTCTTGCTTGATTTATGAAAATTGTCATTACTTAAATTGGCATTTCAAATGAAACTCGAAAGCATACCATTTGATGAAATGCACTGGTATGTGGATATGCCAGGACCAATTCCTAAGATACTTTTATACTCCAGCTTTTCTCCACTCATGACTTTTGTGTATGTGCAAATCTTCTTGAGGTGCTGTGCAAAGTAGATACTTACACCATAATTGTTGAGCTGAGCAAAAAACGCATTGCAGGATAATGTAGAATATAATCAGATTTCAGTAATGCTGTGTATTTGGTTAAGTTGAGTTTGTTTTATTTTTGAAGTATGTGGAGGGATCTTTTGAGAAATACCTGGAACGGTTGGGAGATCCCAAGGTAAGATCAAATATGGGGGTTTAATCTTTTCAGAGTTATTTGGAATAGTAATGTAAATTTATTCATTCAACTGTATTATTTTAGCCAGACCCCAAATATTTTATTTAGTAGCCAGCTGTGTTGAATCCAATAGTTCTCACATAAGTTTAGAGGCTGGCAATTGACCAATTGTTTTGTGTTGAATATTGATAATTGTGTGTTAATCCCATCAACCATAGACTAGCAAAAGAGTATACACTACTTGGAAACAGGACAAGCTTAAGCCTTTTCACTTTAACGGGGGAGGAGGGTGGTAATGAATTTTACCAAGAGGTCATTATTTTGTTATTAAACAATTCCCCTGATTTGTAGTTGTCTTCCTCTTATGTGGGAGTAAAATTCATAAATTCATGCTTTATTTAGAAATAATTTTTATGTGATAAAGTTAATTCCATAGTTCTGGACTTAAAAAAGCACATTTACTAAATCCCTACTGCCTTTTTATTATACTAGTTCCATTTTTATTGTGTTTTTAAAATCTCTCCTATTAACTGTCCTTATTACTTAATGGCTAAGTAGGGCTTTAGATCCTTCTTTCAGGATAAGTTTATGTTAATAAGTAGCTATCACAGTATTCCAAGCCTTAAAACAGGTTATAGTGTGTTCTACAAATTCTTCATCTAAAACAGTGCTAAGCAGCTAAAAATTTGTTGTGCTTGAAAAAACTACCTCCTAGCTACAGAATGTTTTTTAAAACTCAATACACTATTTATGTTTAGGAAAGTGCTGGCCAGCTGGAAATAAGAGCTCTTTCTCTAATTTATAAGTAAGTTATATCCTCTTTTCTTTGAGAGTGGGTATGTGCATGCATGTGTGTATAAGATCTCAACGGTCTCTTCAGGATTGGGGAAATTTGAGATTTGATGTATTGATACCTAGAATGAAGAAAGCTAAGAAAAAGTGTTAAAATATTTTAAATGGTTGAAAAGTCAAAAGAAGAATGTTTCATGGGATGGAAAAATTATATAAAATTCAGATTTCAGTGTCTGTAAAGCTTTGTTGGAACACAGTTATGCTCATTCACTTACGCATTGTCTGTGGCTGCTTTCATGCTACCAAAGCAAAGTTGAATAAACCATATAGTCTGCAAAAGCTGAAATGCCTATTTTCTAGCCTTTTGCCAAAAAAATTGCCAACCTCTGCTTTAAATAAAGGAGAGCACCATCCCCCAACTCACAGACATACATACAATTGATAATTGGTTGTCTTTACCCCTTCTCCTCCCAAATTAAGATACATAAAAAAAAATCCATAGGACTTTAGGGGCAATTAGCTGTCTACCTTGAATTAACATCATTTAGCCCTTTTGGGTTATTTTAAAGCCAAACATTAAACCGGATATTTATATTACTTTATATGAATAAGGTAGGCAACTTAAAAGCACAAATAGTTGTTCCTATAACTATCTCTTACGTATGCCAAATTATGTCTTCCCACTTACCTTTGTTTTCCCCATATAGTCGGGATTTCATTCTTTATCGCTTTCCTGGAAAACCTCCAACTTATGTCACAGATAATGGCTATGAAGACAAGGTAAGAAGATGAGTGAATGTTGACTTATATAAAAGAAGTTGAATGATGCTTCTGGCTTGCCTGGATATTAAATCATTTTTAACCTAATTAATGAAAAGCATAGTCTGAATGACAGGTTTCTCTGTTACTAGCATTTTCCTCTCTAGTCAGTTAATCTCAGTGTTGTTAGCCCTCTAAACAGACCTGATCGTCATTTCTCTGTGATAGGAAAAAAGCCACCCCAAACCCTAATTGGCTTCTCAATGACTAAAAAGGATAAGGTTCAAACTTTGAAGCTAGGCATTCAGCATCCTGAAAGGTCCCAAACCAGCTTCATTTTCTTCCATCCTTATTATGCCATGCTTCCAGGTATTCTGCTTTTCATACTTTGTGTCTTTGTATTTGAAACTTTCCCAATGCCCCTGGAGTCATTTTCTCACTTTGTGCTCCCTTAGCAGCTCCCAAGTAATTGTAGTGTTTATTATATTGTGTTTGTTTTCATATGTATTTCTTTCATTATCTGAAAGTTTCTTGAGGGAAGTGACAGTGTCTACTACTGCCTGGTAAAGTACTTGATTGTTAGTTGAGAATACTCAGCAGATAAATTGTTTGTCAGCATACAGCTTCTCCAAAAAGTTTATAAAAGAAAAGCCCTTTATCCTGATTATTTTATTAGTGAAATATAGACTACACAATGTTTGAGTTCTATATGTCTTATTTCACAACATGGAACACAATTTAGACACAATTCTAATGATGGCATGACAAGACTGGAGACCAGGAGAACTGTTAGGATGCTGTTACGATAATCGAGGGTGAATACCTGAACTAAGGAGAAGTAGCATTAGGAATAGAGAAGACTGAATAGGAGATAACTTAGAAGATAAGTATGAACGGGGTACGTTAATTATCTCTTTTCTGAGCTTTGGGGACACCAAAATGAATACAGTGAAATCCTTGCCCTCCAAGAGCTTAAGGGACAATGAAGACAGACCTGCAAAGGGTTAATTACAGCAAAGTGGTAAGTTTTATAATAAAAAAAATTGTGCTAAAAGCATAAGGGAAAAAGCCCTTCTTTCTGCTTGAGGGAGTTTAGAAAGCTTCATGGTGGTAGTGACATTTAAGTGGAGTATAAAAGAGTCCATCAAATATGAAGAGCAGTCTATTCAGAGGAAACACTATATACAGAGGCATAGAAGCAAGAGACCCTTTGGGAGTTAAGTAGTTGGATGTGAGGAGGATGATGCTGGAAAGATAGTCTAGAGTTACATAGTAAGAGGTAGAGCAGGCCATGCCAAATAATTTGTCTTTTCATTGTACAGAATAGTCATTTGAAACTTTTTCCCAACGTTTTATTATGATGTTCAAACATACAGAAAAGTTAAAAGAATTTTACAGTGAGCATCCATATACCTACCCACCACCTAGAGTCTGCTGTTAACATCTTAGTATTCTTATCACATATCTATTCCTCGATCCATTCATCTGTCCATCTTTCTTTTTTGATATATTTTAAAGTAAATTTCAGACACCAGAAAACTTGACCCTAAATGCTAATGGAAAGTTTTTAGGCAAAGGTGTGACATAATCTGAATTGTTTGAGGAAGAGGAGTGTTAACTTTTGTATCTAAGCAGTTGTACATAGCATTGCTTGAGATGAAATTTGGATCTTTACCAGGGATCTTTAAACTCCCAGTTCAGTTTTTCCTCAACATTGTATTCTGAAATTTTTCATACAGAGAGAAGTATGAAGACTCATGCAGTAAACATTCATGTACCCACCACTTAGTTCCTACAATTACACAGTTCCATTTATAAATGTCTTGTGTATCTTACAGAGAGATTATTTAGCTAATTTAGGGGGAACGTTACCCATTGGGAACCATGAGAATACAAAAATTTCAGACCTTTTGAGTGTGTACAACCTACAAATATCCATACATGTATACAGAGCTAATACTTACCAGCACTTGGGTATTTTCATGTACAGGATAGTGCATATATATGTCTGATTTGGGAATTTATGAAGTGGGAGTGTGTGTTTATATTGAAAAGCCAGGTGCTTTTATTTTGTGATGCTTTGCTTTGCCTAAAACTTTGTTGCTTTATCTCAGTTCACACTCCTAAGATTGGCATCAGGATTGAATTTTTAAAAATGAGGCCGGGTGTGGTGGCTAATGCCTGTAATCCCAGCACTTTGGGAGGTCGAGGTGGGTGGATCACTTGAGGTCAGGAGTTTGAGACCAGCCCGGCCAATATGGTGAAACCCCGTGTCTATTAAAAATACCCAAATTAGCTGGGTGTGGTGGCGCA
This sequence comes from Homo sapiens, assembly GCF_000001405.40. NCBI lineage: Eukaryota > Metazoa > Chordata > Mammalia > Primates > Hominidae > Homo > Homo sapiens. Next base: position 111,715,590 of record NC_000023.11, read on the forward strand.
TGCCTGTAATCCCAGCTACTTGGGAGGCTGAGGCAGAAGAATCACTTGAGCCCAGGAGGCGGAGGTTGCAGTGAGCCAAGATTGCGCCGCTGCACTCCAGCCTGGGCGACAGAGCAAGACTCCATCTCAGAAATAAATAAATAAAAATGATTGTATTATAGGCAGTGAACATTATTAATGAGCCTTCTAAAAATATTTTAGAACAAACTTTCATAGAAATAAATGTCTAATATTCACTTTGGCATCTTTCATCTTGTGTGTTGACTTAATTCTGCATTCTACATAGTTATCTTCAGTTTCTTAAGTGTATTCAGCTGAAATCGAGCCATCTTCACTCAGCTCATTTGCTCTATCTAGATAGAAGTACATACTTACATTAAAAAGAAAATAAAATTAAGTCTTGAAATGTAGAGTAAGAAAGTCCCCACTCATCCTCTTCAATTTTATGCCCTTCAAAGTAACAAGTATTGGTTCTCATGCACTTCAAAGTAACAAACTATTAAGTATTGGTGAGTATCTTTCTGTATCATTTTATTTGTGTTTGTCTTTTAAATGTAAATGGGCCCATATTTAACATTGTTACTTGTTCTTTTTAAATATCCTTCTTAGTAATATAGATCTACCCCATTTTTTCACTAGTTTACTGCCATTAATTACATCCCATCTGCCCACTCCCAACCACCCACAAGTATGTATGAATTACTTTCATGTTGGGAAAGCCATCATGCCTTGTTTTGCCTCTTCCAGTCAAAATGGAAATTCTTGCCACTTGAATAGAGAAATTATATAGTTGTCTGTCTTCTTTCTATAAGAACTGCTTATTCATCACTCTGGTTAACTGGATTCCTTTATTCCTTAACAACTGCCTCTAAGTTATTAATATTTCTTAGAGTTCCCAGTTCTTGTAGCCCAAAGTACAAAGGATTTCTCTGCTCAAAATCTGCTCACTGTTCTTATGGGTTAATAAACTCTTAAATGCAAATACCCCTTGTGGTGGGAGAAACTTATAACTTAAACTTTACTGTGAGTTACTTAAGCTTGACACTTGACTTCAGTACTTTGAAATGGATTATTACTGAAATAGAATTGTGATTTCCAAAAAGACAAGTGAAGAATAATAGACCTGGGATCAAATAACTGGATTATTGGGAGAAGTTAGCCCAGGGAAGAGTAGGAAGACAGAAAAAAAGAATGCTTAGGATAATTTTTTTTTCTGCCAAGGAGGCTTGGTGGCAACATCTTTCCACAGATTGCAGAATCATTTTGAGTAACTCAGGTTGCTGATACCTTCAAAATGGAAGAACCTTAATCACTAGGGATTATATCCCTTATATAAGACATTTTTTTTTGTTTTTTTTTTAAGAGATGGGGATCTCACTATGTTGCCTAGGCTGGAGTGTGGTGGCTATTCACAGGTGAGATCATAGCACACTATAGCTTCAAACCCCTGGGCTCAAGTGACCCTCCTGCTGTAGTAGCTGAGACTATAGGCACACACCATCCCACCTGGTGAAGACAGATTTTTTCAACAAAAATTCAGAAAGGTTTTGGAACAGTTATATAAACAAATTTCATCACATGCAACATTTTGACTGAAAAAATTTTGCTTAACAAGCATGGCCTTTGAATTGTTTTGGGAAAAAAAAACCTCTAGGGATTCAGGGAATCAGCTCAGACGTTAAACTGTCATTTTTGTAGCCTGAGATGTGCCTTAATTCATTGAGGAAGTCTCTCTAGCAGTATTGGTGCTATATAGTGTATTGATATATTGCTATTCAGTTAAATGGATAACTTTCGAAATAATTGAATAAAATCCCTTTCCTCCCTTAGTCTGAGTTTGGAGTATTTGGGTATTTGACCTAATTTTTCCAGTCATTCTTGGAAGTTAGCTGGGTCTTTTGGCATCTGTTAGGCTTTCTGTTATGTTCAATAACTCAATTTCTAAGTGTTCCTTTTTTTTTTTTTTTTTTTAGCAAATTTGTAAATCAGGACTTGTTTGGTATATTAATGTGATTGAGGCTCACAGTGTAACCTTAGTAGTGATTTTAATCTTGGCATTTAAAAGTCACTGCCAAGAAAATCTCTATGAGGTACAGGTTGCATTTCCTTATATTTAGATTTTAAAAATCACTTTAAAAAAATTCAGTTAGTTATCAGTTACTGACTACTGACTCAATTTCAAGTTAATTATCATCTTAATTTCATGGTTTTAAGATGTGTAACATTCACTTAATTGTTCTGTGTGTTTTTCTTTAGATTCTACTCTGCTACTCAAGTAGTGGTCACTATGATTCTGTGTACTCAAAACAATTTCAGTCAAGTGCAGCTGTTTGTCAGGGTATGTGAAGGCTTTATAAATTGTGGGTGTGATTTCAGATGACTTGTTTTCACTCAGGGACCCACCATGAATAGCCCCTTTAAAACCTTGTTGGTACCTATTTGCACGCAGGATTATGACTATTTTCACATAGTTAATATAAATCTTATTTTGACAATTGGAATTTTGACCATTTTTTCTTCAGCTGTATTGTACGAAATTCTCTATAAAGATGTGTTTGTTGTGGATGAAGAAGAGTTGAAGACTGCGATTAAATTGTTTCGAAGTGGTTCTAAGAAGAACAGAAATAATGCTGTAACTGGAAGCGAGGATGCCCATACTGATTACAAGAGTTCAAATCAGAATAGGTAATAAAGGGAAAGGGGATATCATGATAATTATGTTTCATACTTCTGTGCATAATCATTTGAAAGTGGAAGGGGCCTGGCAAGCTTATGAGTTAGGTTACATATTCACACGTACACATATGTTAGGATATATATTTTTAATGGGGGGAGAGTTTTACCAAAGAGATGTGTCGTGAGATGCCCAGACTTGGGGGTTTTGTTCAGGTCCGTTTTGTATTGCTAGAAGAAACTTCAGAACTATCTAATTACATGATTCTCAAACTTTAGTTGTATAAGAATTATAGTGCTTGTTAGAAAGGCAGGTTCCTGGGCCTACTGTCACAAAATTTGAGGTCAGGATGGGACCAGGAATCTGTTTTTTAAACAAGTGTGCCTAAGCATTCTGATGTAGGTAGGCTGTGGATCATACTTTGAGAAAATACTGATTCTAAAGTAGCACCATCATTTTCTAGGTAATAACTGAGGTTAGTTGACACATCCAGCCAGTAGAAAATTTCTCAGTGTAAGTTTTGGGAGTGTTTTAGTGTCTGCCTTTGGTATGCACTGTGAGTGTGCCTCTGAGGAAACAACTGTTGAACAGCTCTAGTTGAACACTTTGGGTTTGAAATAATAAAGTACATGTCTTATATTTCTTCCTAATTCCTAGTTCTGCCTGCAAATTCAGATAGGTTTGGTGCTAGGTAAGTGTCACCTTGTGTTTTTTGTCTTGCAGTTCTATTTCTTGGATGTTTAAAGCTTACAATTTTTTTTCTTTTTTTTTTTTTTTTTTTGAGACGGAGTCTCGCTCTGTCAGCCAGGCTGGAGTGCAGTAGCGCGATCTCAGCTCACTGCAACCTCCGCCTCCCAGGTTCAAGCAGTTCTCCTGCCTCAGCCTCCCGAGTAGCTGGGACTACAGGCGTGTGTCACCAAGCCCGGCTAATTTTTTGTATTTTTAGTAGAGATGGGGTTCACAGGTTTAGCCAGGATGATCTTGGTCTCCTGACCTCGTGATCCATCCGCCTCGGCCTCCCAAAGTGCTGGGATTACAGACGTGAGCCACCACACCCGGCAGAAGAGGGTTTTTAAAGCTTATTTGGGACTGCCAGGAGTGGCAACCATGTATTAGGGTAAAGGTTGCTTCACTCTTCACTGATCACTTGTCTTAAGGACTTCAGGCTTACGGAAACTACAGTAGTCGGAAAGCAAGGTGTATTAGTTATGTTTTGCTGTGTAGCAATGTTACTACAAACTTGCCAGCTTAAAACAGCACATTTTTCTCACAATTTATGTGGATTAGGAATCTGGACACGGCTTAGCTAGATCTTCTGCTGAGTGTCTCATAAGACTGTAATGAGGATGTTGGTCAGGACTGAGTTCTTATCTGGAGCTTTGACTGGAGAAAAGTCTACTTCCCCACTCATGGTTCTTGGCAGCATTCAGTTCCTTCGAGCTATAGGACTGAGAGCTTCAAGTTTTTGCTGTCAGTTGGCAGAAGTAACCCTCAGCTCTGCTACATTGCAGTGGTGAATATGGCTGTTTGCTTCCTTATAGGCAGCAGAGGAGAGAGAGAGACCAGTAAAATGAATGAGGCAGGGATCATAGGGATCACCCTAAGAGTGTGTTCTCACAGGAGTTGTAAAATATAGGAGGTAATCTGCTAAGTATATTGTAGCACATACTTATAAAAACGAAGCATAAATGCAAATGTTGGAATGAAAAAGCATTTGCCTTATTTTTAGAACTGAGTTAATTTACCACTAGGTGGTGGTGTAGTCATTAGGCTTAACATAAGTAAATTCTTCATTTATAAAAAGCTCTTTGCTCTAAATCTTTTGAATTAGGATGGAAGAGTGGGGTGCCTGCTACAATGCTGAAAATATACCAGAGGGCTACAATAAAGGAACAGAAGAAACAAAGGTTTGATATTTTCTAAGGCAAAGAATTTTCATAGTCTTGGCTTGCAGCATCATGACTTAAACTAGTTAAAGTCAGATATTATATTCTAGTTATATGGGTTGAGGGAGGAGTTGGTCATTTTCCTTTGTGAAAGTCTTACCTATCTTTAAACTTCAAATGCATACTTAATGTTCTTTGAATTCTTATTTTTACAGAATTTTAGATTTTTCAGAACAAACTGAACACTTCAGAAATTTCAAGAGCAATATGTTTTTAAGTTAAATATTACAAACCCAATATTTAGTTTGTAATCAGTCTTCTGACGCTAAGGTTTTTTTCATTAAGGAATACAATGCCTATCTTTATTTTATTCAAACTAGGTGATAATCATGGTTTAAAGTTAGAGAAACAGAAATTTCACCATCCGTATAGGACTAAAATCAAATAGGCCTTCAGTTTGAGGCTAGCTAAATAAGTCAAATACTATTATAGCAATCTCTGTGTATACCTGAGGTGCTTATAATTTTGGAATAGTATTGAATATGGTGAAATTCTAGGAAAGCAGAAGAAAAATGGTAGTTCCTTTGGAAATTTTAACAGGATTTGACCATAATGAAGTAACCTTCAGATATTTCCAGGTGATTGTAGAGTACAGAAATATTGCACCTCCATGTGTATATCATGATAACACTTCCTGAATAGCTCTGAATTTTTAATCCTGGTTTGTGTTGCATTGGTTTATATGGGATGTGTCCTGAGTCATTGCCAGGTTTAGACATTATTTCCCTTCTGCCATCTAAAACCTTTTAGATTACTTGCATTTTGCTACTTTAGTCTCCTGATTTTTAAAATATATGGCAAAATTTATTGTGCGATTTATTTCTTGTTTTAATAAAGAACGACGTGGTTTTTTTTTTTTTTAAGAAGGAAGAAACTTAATTCTTCCTTCTTCATAGAAGGAAGAAACTTAATTCTTCCTTCTTCATAGAAGGAAGAAACTTAATTCTTCCTTCTTCATAGAAGGAAGAAACTTAATTCTTCCTTCTTCATAGAAGGAAGAAACTTAATTCTTCCTTCTTCATAGAAGGAAGAAACTTAATTCTTCCTTCTTCATAGAAGGAAGAAACTTAATTCTTCCTTCTTCATAGAAGGAAGAAACTTAATTCTTCCTTCTTCATAGAAGGAAGAAACTTAATTCTTCCTTCTTCATAGAAGGAAGAAACTTAATTCTTCCTTCTTCATAGAAGGAAGAAACTTAATTCTTCCTTCTTCATAGAAGGAAGAAACTTAATTCTTCCTTCTTCATAGAAGGAAGAAACTTAATTCTTCCTTCTTCATAGAAGGAAGAAACTTAATTCTTCCTTCTTCATAGAAGGAAGAAACTTAATTCTTCCTTCTTCATAGAAGGAAGACTAAGGATTGTGAGTTTGTAGCATGATTATTTTTGTTTTAGTCTCCAGAAAATCCATCAAAGATGCCCTTCCCCTATAAGGTGCTCAAAGCCCTGGATCCAGAAATCTATCGTAATGTAGAATTTGATGTTTGGTTGGACAGCAGAAAAGGTAAAGAAATATCAACAGGATACTTTTGAATCCTGACAAATCCAGGAGTATAATTTTGCAAATTATGGTGAACATCTCTTATAAGAAATACTGTTATAAAAAATAGCCTGATGCTTTTTATCTTACTTTATATATGATTTAAATCCAAAGGAGGGAACATAGCTTTAGAAGTGGGAGGGATCTTTTAAAGCCTGATGTTTGCCTGGGACTTCAACTTTGCAAAGACTGTGTGGAGACAATTTTTAGATAGCATTAAGAAACTTAGTGACTGAAAACAAGCTCATCTTAAATTCCAGGTGTTAAGACCACCTTCCTTGATAAATGAGTAGGTTAGGCCTGTGGGTCAAATCTGACACACCAACTGTTTTTATGTGGTCTATGAGCTAAGAATGGTCTTTAATTCTTAAATGGCAGAAAAAATTAAAAGAATAATATATCGTGACACATGAAAATTATATAATTCAAATTTCAGTGTTCATAACATTTTACAGCAGAGTTTGAGTAGTTCTGAGAGTCTTATGGCCCAAGAAACTGAAAATACTATCTGGCTCTTTATGGAAAAAGTTTACCAACCCTTGAAAATAGGTCATTGTTTCTCTCCTTATAAGATAACTAAAGTGATCAACCTAGGCCTTAAAGTTTTGCCTTCAAGATAAGCCTTTAGTATTTCACATTCAACTCCTTGAACCCTGGTAAACCTAGCTGTAGTTAACAATCTAGAATGAGGTTAAGACCTTGGGAAACACAGTAAGTTGTTAAAAAAATAATAGGTTGATTTGAGAAGCTGAATAATGTTACTTTCAAATTGTACCTCGTTAGTGTTTGACTATCTCTGATTACAAACTCCCAATTTCCACCTATTTGTTTTTTAAAGCACAAAATTATTCTGGCACGTCTTTTTAAATTGACTGCAGAAATAACTCATCCAGAATGATAGAATCGCCCTTTGGGACTTTACCCCTATTTTCACTTATAGTGGTAGCGTTGTCAAAGGCACTACGGTAAAAGTAAATGAGGAAATTAAATGATATAGGAAAGGAACCAGTTTAGTTGAGCTTGAATCTTCATTTTCTTTTAATAGAACTTCAAAAATCTGATTACATGGAGTATGCTGGGAGACAGTACTATTTGGGAGACAAGTGTCAGGTTAGTTCCTTCTTCAAGAATCAGTAATTTTTTTAAGAATGTGCTTTTTGTCATGATATGAGTTGAACAAGACTTATTTACAAAGTACTAGAAACTTTTTATTTATATTTTTAAAGAGATAGGGTCTAGCTCTGTTGCCTAGGCTGGAGTGTAGTGGCATGATCCTGGCTCACTGCAGCCTCGAACTCCTGGGCTCAAGTGATCCTCCTTTCCTCAGCCTCTCTAGTGGCTGGGACTACAGGCACATACCACCATGCCTGGCTAATTTTTTTTATTTTTATTTATTTATTTATTTATTTTTATTTTTTTTTTGAGACGGAGTCTTGCTCTGTCTCCCAGGCTCTGGAGTGCAGTGGCATGATCTCTGCTCACTGCAAGCTCTGCCTCCCGGGTTCATGCCTCAGCCTCCCAAGTAGCTGGGACTACAGGCGCCTGCCACCATGCCTAATTTTTTGTATTTTTAGTAGAGACGTGGTTCCACCGTGTTAGCCAGGATGGTCTTGATCTCCTGACCTCGTGATCCACCCATCTCAGCCTCCCAAAGTGCTGGGATTACAGGTGTGAGCCAGTGCACCTGGACTATTTTTATTTTCTTTTATAGAAACAGGGTCTTACTATGTTGCCCAGGCTGGTCTCATTCCTGGCCTCAAGTGATCCTCCCACCTTGGCCTCCCAATGTTGGGATTACAGGCATGAGCCACCACACCCAGCCGAAAAAAAAAATGTTTCTTTAATGTCTGTGTTAAATTTTAATTACAAATTTAGTGATTAGATGTAAGGTTCTTTCAGTATGTGCTGTCTCCATTGATCCAGACTGGCAGTGTTGATACGAATTACTTTAAAAAGTAGACACTGAACTCCATTTGGGGAAAAGTGGTATTTTGTTTGGCATTAGCTGTATCTGTCACTAGTCTTGAGACTAGAAGTATTCTCTTTTCAGGTTTGCTTGGAATCAGAAGGAAGATATTATAATGCTCATATCCAGGAAGTTGGAAATGAGAACAATTCAGTAACAGTCTTCATTGAAGAATTGGCGGAAAAGTAGGAATATGATAATTTGTTGAATTACTGAAATCTTTGGTTCCTGGTTCCATTTCGTAATATTAAATTGAGAATTACCAGGATGCTAGTAAGAGAACCAGAATTGTATCTACTGTTGGCCTAGGATGACTTATCTTGAATTATAAAAGCATGTGCTGAAGTATGAATCAATATAGATATTAGATATGTATAAAAGTTTTCAAATCTTAAGACACTAGCCTACTTATTAGAAATATTAAGTACAACAGAATTCTGATACAAAACTGTTCATAGTAATTGCAAAGTTGAATTAATAACTGAGCCTCTGCCAGCATGAAGATAAGCTAATCTAGTCTTTCTCAAACTTTACCATGCACCAGAATTACCTGGAGGGCTTGTGAAAACACAAGATTAGTGAGCCCAGTCTCTAAAGTTTCTGATTCAGTAAGTCTGAGGTGGGGCCCATGAATTTTAATTTTGGACAAGTTTCCAGGTGATGATAATGCTGCTGGTCCACTTTGAGAACCATTAAATGAGGCTGTGCTGCTCTAACAACCAAAACATTTCAGCAGCTTAAAACAGTAAGGTCCTTCCTCCTTCATTTAGCATGTCCATAGTGGGTCAGCAAATGGGATCCGGTTCAACAGAGATTCTATTTTAACACGTGCATCCATGATCATAGGGAATAAAATGAGAACAAACCACTTGCTGAATCTTAAAATGTCTCATACTTTATTAACCAGAGTGGTTTACATTCCCAAGCCTCATGTCAATGGGGTGGGGAAATTTAATCCTCCAAGGAGGCACAGCAAATATTTGTGAACTAATACAGTCTACCACAGTCTTTCTTCTGAAATGTCATCGGTACTAGAAACAGCAGTGAAATTGTACAAACTACTCTTAAGTTTTCTAAACTAATAAAAAATTAAACAAGGAAACTGGTGTCAACCAGGTTTTAATAGAATACACTTGAAGTATAAGGGGTGGGATACGTGTATTGAATGAAAGTTAAGTCTGTGTTGCAGTATCTTCATGGTGATACCTTTAACTTTTAAGGCATGTTGTTCCACTGGCTAACTTAAAACCAGTTACCCAAGTGATGTCTGTTCCTGCCTGGAATGCTATGCCCAGTCGGAAAGGAAGAGGTTACCAGAAAATGCCTGGGGGTTATGTCCCGGAAATAGGTTTGTATGCTAAAGGTTGTTATTTTGTTTTTCCCTTCCTGTACCTGCTTTTACTTACCTGCATTGTACTATTTTTTAAATGTATGTCATATGTCTTGTTGTAGGGTAGGGTTTCTCAACTTTAGCATTACTGATAATGGAATGGATACTACTTCACTGTCGGGGGTTTGTCCTGTGCATTGTAGGGTGCTTCATAGCATCCCTGGCTTCTATCCACTAGAAACAAAAATGTTTCCAGACATTGCCAAATATTCCCTAGAGGAGGGAGAGGCACAGTTGTCCCTGGTTGAGAACCATGGTTCTTAAGGGACTTTGTGTAAACTTAAGCACTCATATTTGAGAGCTAAAAAGAAAAAAATGATCTTGTGGAGATGAGTAGAATGATGGTTACCAGAGGCTCAGAAGGGTATTGGGGGTGGGGGATAAAGAGGGATTAGTTAATGGGTACAAAAATAGGTAGTAGGATTAAGATCTAGTATTTGGTAGCATAATAGGGTGACTGTAGTTAACAATTGCATATTTCAAAAAAACTAGAGGACTGGATTTGGAATGTTCCCAACATAAAGAATTTGTAAATGTTTGAGGTGATAGATATCCCAGTTACCTTGATTTGATCATTATACATTGTATGCTTGTATCAAAATAGTGCATGTACCCCATAAATACGTACTGTTCTACACCTATAAAAATTAATTTAAAAAACTTAAGCTGACATGGATCTTAACCTGAGGGGGAAAAATATTTCTTAGAGACCTGAGGGGGAAAAATATTTCTTAGAGAACTAGGAAAATACCTCATAGAAGCAGCCAGGGATATTAACAGGCATAATTTATTAGAGAATAGTAATGTGTGTGATTGGATGACTCGGAGTTTTTGGGGTTTTTGTTTGTTTGTTTGTTTGAGACAGAATCTCGCTCTTTGGCCCAGGCCGGACTGCAGTGGCGCTATCTCGGCTCACTGTAAGCTCCACCTCCCGGGTTCACGCCATTCTCCTGCCTCAGCCTCCCAAGTAGCTGGGACTACAGGCTCCTGCCACCGTGCCTGGCTAATTTTTTTTGTATTTTTAGTAGAGATGGGGTTTCACCGTGTTAGCCAAGATGGTCTCGATCTCCTGACCTCGTGATCTGCCCGCCTCGGCCTCCCAAAGTGCTGGGATTACAGGCGTGTTTTGTTTTTTTTTTTTTTTTTTTTTGAGACAGTCTCACTCTGTCGCCCAGGCTGGAGTGCAGTTGTGCGATCTTGGCTCATTGCAACCTCCACCTTTCGGGCTCAAGCAATTCTCCTGCCTCAGCCTTCTGAGTAGCTGGGATTACAGGCGCACGTTACCACGCCTGGCTAATTCTTGCATTTTCAGTAGAGACGGTTTCACCATGTTAACTAGGCTGTCCTTGAACTCCTGACCTCAAGTGATCCACCCACCTCGGCCTTCCAAAGTGCTGGGATTACAGGCGTGAGCCACCGTGCCTGGCCATGGATGACTCAGTGTTTTGATGACCTATACTAACCTGCCCATGCTGGGGATAGTGCCGAGATATACCCATTGATACAGAAATTACCTGCTGGTTTTGTCCTTCCAAATAAAAGATCTAGTATATCCTTCAAAAATACAAAAATTCCCTCCCTATGTTTATTTGGTTTGTTCCTAGGGGAAGCATTGGAAAGTTTAAGGCAGTGTGGTGGTGACAGTACACTGGGCCTTTTGCTTTGATTATGAAGCTTATTTGCTACCTCTTTGTTTGCCTGAAAGTTATATCAGAGATGGACATAAAGCAACAGAAGAAGATGTTCAAGAAAATTCGAGGGAAAGAAGTTTACATGACTATGGCTTACGGCAAGGGAGACCCCCTCCTCCCACCCAGGCTGCAGCACAGTATGCATTATGGGCACGATCCTCCAATGCACTACTCACAGACAGCTGGCAATGTTATGTCTAATGAACATTTTCATCCTCAGCATCCATCTCCGAGACAAGGTCGGGGATATGGGATGCCCAGGTAAGACATTGACAGATTTGTATTTTCATGGTCTAGGGAAATATGAAGCAATTGAAGAGATCCAAGAAGATAGAATGCCATCAAGATGAGGGTCTCTGTGACATACAGACTGTATTTCATTAATAATAGTTAGCCCTAATGCCAGTATTGCAGAGAGCAGAGCTCTTTCTAGTTGAATGTTTTTAGAAAGACAGATTAGTTCTATTTAACTACAGAGACTGACTACTTAGGTATTAGTGAATAGAGAGTTCTAGTTTCCTTTCTCTTTATTCTTAGGAATTCATCTCGGTTTATAAACAGGCACAACATGCCGGGCCCTAAAGTTGATTTTTACCCAGGCCCAGGTAAAAGGTGCTGCCAGAGCTATGATAACTTCTCTTATAGATCTCGGTAAGTATTGTGTTGAAAGTCAGAGAAAATTGGTAAGTCTGATTTCATTGCTGAACATTAATGTTTTAAAAAGTGTCAACTTTGAGATATTTGAACTGTTATTTAGAAATTAGGAACAAGTTACTATATTTCATCATTTTTACTTTTTTATTATTTGAACCACTTAAGTTCATTTAGACGTAGTCACCGCCAGATGAGTTGTGTGAATAAGGAGTCCCAGTATGGATTTACCCCAGGGAATGGACAGATGCCCAGGGGCTTGGAAGAAACTATTACTTTTTATGAAGTTGAAGAAGGGGATGAGACTGCTTATCCAACTTTACCTGTGAGTGGATCAATGCTTTACTCAAAAAGCTGTTTACTTTTTTCATTTATTTTTTTGAAGTAAAGGCAATGTGGATAAATTTTAGATTTTGTACAAATAACCAAACAAAGCCTTTTCTGGAAAATGAAAATGAGAAAAGAGACATTTTCTCCCAGCTGTTCCTAGAGAAGGGAATAGAGGTAGACTTGATAATCTTGCCTATAGAGTATGGGTTAATATTTTCTATTTTCTTGATTTTTACTTCATATTTTTTGTATTCTAAACTGCATGGAAAACATTTAATTACAGAGTTCTCTTACAATAGCAGTTCACATTGTTAGGCTAGTTTTTAAACTGCCTTTTAAAACATCCCTCTAGCTTTTTTTTCTGACTATATAGTGAGAACTGCAGTGTGTGTGTGTCTCTCTGATACAGAATCATGGAGGTCCCTCTACAATGGTTCCTGCTACTTCAGGATACTGTGTTGGAAGGCGGGGACATAGCTCAGGCAAACAGACTTTGAATTTAGAGGAGGGCAATGGCCAGAGTGAAAATGGTGAGTCAATTACAGTTAAATATTTTTTAAAAGATTCTTGTGGCATTAGCACATCAGGCCAGTGAAGTAGACCAATTTGGTTTTGGCGTCTCTCTCTGTTCCAGTAGCTTAGTTCTGAAAGATTTATATAAGTTCTTAATGCTTGCTGGGTTTTTGAATATGTCCTGGTATTTCTCAGAAGAGTAGACTTCTATTTCATTAGGCTGCTACATTGTTATAACTTGTTTTCAGCTCTCTGCATAGGTCTTTAGTGAGTTTTGACTTGGTGTCAGATATCAGTATGGAAAACATCTATTCGTTGTTAGTAGGGCACTATTGATAGTTGTCCTCACCATTTGTATATGTTAGGCTTTTCGTGTGACTGGCTATTATTTTTTAAGACTACTATGAAGTAACTATTCGATAGTTACTTCATACTATGAAGTCTATTTGATCTATAAACATTACTCTTTATTGAACCCTACGTGATACCCACTCTACTAAGTCATTATATTCATAATATAGTCCTTCGTGTGCTCTTCTGAGGAATGTGCTGTCCCTATTTTACATATGAGGAAATTGAGATTCAGAGGGTAAATGACATGGCTAAGGTCATATCCTTGGTAAATGGCAGAGATATAATTTTTTGTAACTTTTATTGAGATATAATTTACATATCATACAATTCAGCTATTTAAAGAATACAATTCAATGGTTTTTTATTCAGAGTTGCATACCATCAACACAATTAATACTAGGACATTTTTATCACCACAATAGAGAAATCCTGTGCCCATTAGGAGCCATTCCCCATTTGCCCCAACCCCCAGCCCTTGGCAACCATCAGTCTGTTTTCTGTCTTTATGGATTTGCCTCTGCTGGACATTTTTTATAATTGGAATCGTATACACACACATAGCCTTAACAGTTTTTATGTTGACTCCTACCATGGAATGTGTTTATTTTTACCTTGTTACTTTTAAAAGATACTGTATATCCCTATTGAAACAATTGTGGAGCATTGAGTGGCTTAAGGAGGTGTCAGGCATTCCTAATGACTTGACTTATGAATAAGTTCCTTATTTTCTTGTACTCTTTTTTTCTACTAGTGTAGAAAAAAAATAGATATTTTTAGGAATTTAATGAGTAAAAAAATCTAGTGCAAGAATGATCTGTGAAAACTTTGTACGTGTGTGCATGCGTGTGCTTAAGGACATTTACTGTCTGCTCTCTTATTTAGATGACCCTTTTGTCTTTTAGCTCTATGGGTAGTGTGGCATATTTGAAATAACCAAATCTTTGCTCCCACCTTAAATCTGGAGGAGTTTCATGCGTGTGTGTTTGATAAGTGGTGTGTTTAAGAATCAAATTTAGTTTAGAACTGCGGGTTTATATTTGGTGGAAAACTGTCCGATTGAGTATTGACTTTCTCTGCATTTCAGTGGTACAGAAATCTTAAAAGTACTTCAGTCTACTGAGCCATCCTTTGAGGACACACTCATTTTACATGTATTACTTACATGAAACAGATTGAAAAACAGATGAGGCATACATGTTCCCTTAATGTCCACCTAAGGAAACAGTGGATTATACTCATACTTTATAGACACCATTGAGTATTTAGTATGTGTAAAGCACTATGCTAAGTTACTTTCACTTCCATTAACCATCCTCAAAAGGCCTATGAGCTAGGTACTGTTACTCCATTTTACAGTGAAGAATTGAGGCACAGAGATTAAATAACTTGCCTAAAGTCATGTAGTTAATCAGAATTCAAATCTAGGCAGTCCTCACTCCAGAGCCTATGTGCTTAATCACCACACTGTAGCCTCACTGGAAAAATTGGACACAACTGAGTTTTCACTTCTGCCTGACCTCTAAGAGCTAAGTGGATTTTCAGAGGAGAAATTTGTACAGCTTACAGCTAGTCTGTGGCTTCAATATCTGTTGACTAGTGTGAAAGCTCATATCACTTTTCAGGATGTATGCATTTTAGTTTTGAACATATAACCATAAAACTGGTGGAAAAAGCAAGTGCTGGCCATTTGGCTCTGCTGAGCTAAAAAGACCTATATAAACACATTTCTTCTGTCTTGTCTTTTTTCCCCAGGGCGATATCATGAAGAATATCTTTATCGTGCAGGTCAGTAAGATCTAGAAGTGATCTGGCATTCATCATTGTTTATAGAATTTCAAGCTATAAAATAATGCTCATTTTTTACTTTGGCTATATTCTCTAGAGCCAGACTATGAAACTTCAGGTGTTTATAGCACAACTGCATCTACAGCAAACTTGGTAGGTATTTAATAATAGCAAAGAGTTATAGCTCCTACTATGTACTAGGGCACTGTTAAGAGCTATACATATAAATGTATTTAAATCAGAACAACCCTGTGAGGCTTAGTATCATTCTCATTTTGAAGATGAAATTGAGACAGA
This sequence comes from Homo sapiens, assembly GCF_000001405.40. Classification (NCBI taxonomy): domain Eukaryota; kingdom Metazoa; phylum Chordata; class Mammalia; order Primates; family Hominidae; genus Homo; species Homo sapiens. Next base: position 111,730,725 of record NC_000023.11, read on the forward strand.
AATTAACTCGTGTTCTGGAACTAATATATTTAGAGATATTCTAACATAGGCAGTAATGATCTTTTAGAAGGTTTTATTATGATTTTTTTATTAGAATGGATGATACATCTCACTCAATATAACAAAAGTTTGCTTCTCCTTTATGCTACATGTCTAGTAGAGGTCTGTAGAAGGGCTTGCTCAGGTACTTAGGCTGATGGAAATTCATCCACAATTGCCAAGGCAGGAAATAAAATTCGGTAAATGGTGCACTGGCTCTTAGAGTTTCCACTAGAGGTGATACATGTCACTTTCTTTTCCATTTCACTGGCCAGAGCAGGTCCCACTGAAGAGTCTTAACTTTTCTGTGCTGGAAGGCAAAAAGAAACATGTTAACAGCGCTAAGAACTATATCATTCAACTTGCCCTCCCTCTCATAGGCAGAATACTTGTTTCTGTCTCAAAGGAGGCATCCTAAAATGTCCCATTCAGTGTAATCAAACTCAAAGCCTAGGATTTCTGGGCTATGTGTAGTACTTGTTATATTGGGTCCAGATGTAGCTTCTTGTGATCTTGAGACTTAAAACCAAAAATACAGAGGTTTTATTTTTTCCCCCTCCCTCCCCAGTTTACAGTGCTGAAGCAGGGACTGAAATTTCTATTCATAAAGGGAGAAAAAAACAGTTATTGGCCTGTAGCAATTCTGAGACCTTCATGGGCAGACGTTGTAAGGGCCCCCAACATACTCATGGGACTCTTCCCTGGAGGAACTCTCGTTCATTTTCTGGGGCTCTTGGTTACTCCCAAGGCCCATCCTTCCTTGGCAGTGTTTGGAGTAGGCATTGGAGAATAATCCTTCCTTGGCAACCGAGCAGCTTTCTAAGCTTGCTACTTACAGAAGATTGGAGGCCCAAGGGTGGTTTTATCTCAGTTGAATGGTTTTAGTTCTGGCTCGTGATTTCTTTGGCTGTAAGATTAATTTATTCTGCTTCTGTTTGATTTCTTTTGGTTTCATGTACCAATAGCCATACTACAGTTCTTTTCTATAGATATACTACTAAGATTTGCTATAATTCTTTGTGGTTTTATCCTTATATTTCTGTCTATTTGATTGCAAGTGGCTTGAGTTTATCAGGCACTGATGGAAGAGCCATGCATTTTGGACATTTTTCTACAAGCCATTTTGTTGAAGTGCAAGGATTTACTAGGTGTTACATCCTTAGTTGAACTCTAGCTTTGAGACATCTTAATACACTCGGGTTTTAACCAAAGAGTTCATTCTTGCTGCGAGGTCGAGTTTTCACTGTTTGTCGTTGTTCAAACCATTCATCAATATTACCTTTTATAGTTTAGGGTTGAAACAGTTGTTCCTTCAACCCTGTGAGTCCCTGTATGCAAGGAATCTATTCCCTTTCATTCCTGCCTGCAAACTACTAATTCTCTCCTACATACACCTGTCTTAAAATAACTTGCTTTAGACAATGCCAACAGTTATCAAAGCACAATACTAACATCATGTCTTCTAAATTGCTTACCCTAAGAGCTACATGTTCATAATCTCCTTCTCAATTAGGATTTTGTTATAGCCGTACCCTACTTCTAGTTACCAATTTCTGTTTTAGTCAAGCTAGGTTATGCTGCAGTTAACAACCCCCCAAAATCTCAGTGGCTTAACTCAGGAAAAGTTGTTCTTGCTAATGTTATATAGTTCAATGCGAGTTGGCAGCAGGCTGCCAGACTATGACTGTTCTTCATAGTCACCCAGGGACCCAGGCTGATGGACACATGCCATCATGATCATCACAGCAGGGCAAAAGATACAGAAATTGAACACTGACATTTCTGGTCATATTTTATTGACCAAGTAACATGGTCATTCTTGACTTTGGATGGAGCTGGGAAGGGCAATCCTACCATCTATTCAGGAAATCTGGAATATTTATGAAGAACTTGAATAACTACCTTATATTCTCTAATTATGACTAAACTGTGGCAGCTTCATGTACTAAATTTTTGTTTTTACTGTTTAGACAATATACCTTAGGAAGGAGAAGAAAACTCTGATACGTAATTCTCTTTCTGTTCTTTCTCCTTCCCTTACTTTGCTCCTTCCAGAGAAAGTTTTTTCCCCCATTTCCTGCCACCATTACTATTCTCATATCATGTGCTTTTGATATCACCTCTTGAAGTAGCCAAGTAAGAATCTTACCACAAGGGATGACAAGAATACTTTTTTTCTGTTCCTTCAATTTCACTTGTCACATGTTCCTTTTTGTTCTGAATTTAAACAACCTCAATAGCTTTCAATCTCTTCATATGTTCCAAGCCCTCTGCCCCCATCACCAAATCCATAGCAAATTTCTATTGTTGCTAAAATAAAGGATAAATGTCTTCAGAATTATCAGCATACATTAAAAAAAAACTCTTTGTCTTTAATTTTTAATTTCAATAGGTTTTTTGGAGAACAGGTGGTGGTTGGTTACAATGAATAAGTTCTTTAGTGATGACTTCTGAGATTTCAGTGCACCCATCACTTGAGCAGTGTACCACTGTAAGCAATGTATAGTCTTTTATCCCTCACCCCCTTCCCACCATTTCCCCCGAGTCCCCAAAGTCCATTGTATCATTCTTATGCCTTTGCTTCCTTAGCTTAGCTTCCACTTATGAGTGAGAACATATAGTGTTTGGTTTTCCATTCCTGAGTTACTTCACTTAGAATAACGGTCTTTAATTCCATCTGAGTTGCTTCAGATGCCATTATTTTGTTTCTTTGTATGGCTGAGTAGTATTCCATGGTATATATGCACCACATTTTCTTTATCCACTTGATGATTAATTGATGGGCATTTGGGCTGGTTCCATATTCTTGCGATTGCAAACTCTGCTGCTATAAACATATATGTGCTAGTATCTGTTTTGTGTAATGACTTCTTTTCCTCTGGGTACATACCCAGGAGTGGGATTGCTGGATCAGATGGTAGTTCTACTTTTAGTTCTTTAAGGAATCTCCACACTGTTTTCCATAGTGGAAAACAGTGTACACAGTTGTACTAGTTTACACTGCCACCAACAGTATAAAACCGTTCCCTTTTCACCACATCCATGCCAACATCTATTTTTTGATATTTTTGATTATGGCCATTCTTGCAGGAGCGAGGCGGTATCACATAATGGTTCTTATTTGCATTTCCCTGATAATTAATGACGTTGAGCATTTTTTCTTATGTTTGTTGACCATTTGTATATCTTCTTTTGAGAATTGTCTATTCATGTCCTTAGCTCACTTTTTGATGGGATTGTGTTTTTCTTGCTGATTTGAGTTTCTTGTAGATTCTGGATATTAGTCCTTTGTCGAATGTATAGATTGCTAGATTGTGAAGATTTTCTCCCACTCTGTGGGTTGTCTATCTGTTTACTCTGCTGGTTTTTTCTTTTTGCTGTGCAGAAGCTTTTTTGCTTAATTAAGTCCCATCTATTTATCTTTGTTTTTGTCCAACGCAGGACTCTTTGAATAAAGATTTCCAGGCAAAGCCTTCTAAGAAATCATGAACATTTATTTCTACTTCTTATTTCCATGTCTAACACTCAAATAAATGTTTCTCTAGAAGCATTTGGTATTCACTTGGGAACTTCTGAGCCAGGGCAAATGTTTGCTTTTTGGCAGGGGCTTTGGCTATACTTGAACACAGACTTTGGAATTGTCCATGTTAAGTGGGGCTCACCTTTTCACAGTAAGGTACTTTTTGTTGTTTGCTGTGATTACCTTTCCCTGTTCTTTCTGTGCTCTTACTAATGTAACCAATCTCTGCTGGTAGAGTTTTTGCTGCCATGACAGTCTATCATGCATGAGTCCAAGCCATTCAAAATCATTTTTACTTTTAGAAAGACAGGGTCTTAAGCCAGAGGAGAATGATATTTGAATCTTACAATATCTATTAAATCCCGCTTAGATAAAACGCAACTGAATAACCAGTTTACCCTTGTACCAAGCTACATATTCAGATAGAATGCCTTTTTTTTTTAAGCAAAACTATTGTTGGTCCTATGGTGCTTCAAGCTTTTAAGGCAAAGATCACTGAAAGACTGTTTAGATTTCAATTATCAGTTACATTTTAGTATCTACATCAGGACTTGAGTTAGATGTGTTGAGGATTTCTGTAGATATGTAACAAAACAGTCACCTACATCACATTTTAGAGTGATAACTTTTAGAGCTTTGTCTTAGGAGTCACTTCCAAATTTGAATTTTTTCAGGACTGATCACTTTCATATAGTTTTAAAATATGTTGAAACAAAGTTATTGATGTGTTGTTTGTTTTTTTATTTAACTATATTTTTGTATTAAAGTCTCTTCAGGACAGAAAGTCATGTTCTATGTCTCCTCAGGACACAGTTACCTCATACAACTACCCCCAGAAGGTAATCCTCATAGTGTTATTAAGCAGTTACAATGGCCTGAACACAGAAAAATGAATTTCCTCTTTTCATTTACCTTCATCATACTTCAAAGCAACTGCTTTTGTTCCTTTAGGTATTATTGTACCTTCTGGTGTCTGACACAGTGATTAGTAAATTAATTCAACAAATTATTGAGCATCTACTGTGTTCCAGACACTGTTCTATGTGCTGGCTTTAGATTACTCATAGTCTCCTGTGAGCCTCTTTTATATAAAGAGTGAGTTAATCTAAATTACCCATCAATTCTGTCTCATTAACTGAAACTTAATTTTAAAGCTTTCCTGTAGAATGGAGAGTCAGCATTATAAAAAGGTAGCTGAAACCATAGGAGTAAACAAGATCATCCTGGGCAAAGGAAGAGATTGAGAAGGGCATCTAGAACAGAGCCCATGGATTATCAAATTTTAGAAAATGGGCAGAGAAGGACCATCCAAGAGGGAGGAAAAGCACGAGAGAGGAATATTATGGAAGCCCTAGGAAGAGAATGTTTCAAGGAGCAGCCAGGTGTCAGTTGCTGCCAAGAGGTCAAGCAACATAAGACTTAACAAAAGTCTACTAAGATTTGTTGACATAGAGACCACTGGTGACTTTGAATACAGTTTCAGAGAACCAGTGTGGGTAGCAGCCACACTGCAGTTGGGTGGGAAGAAAATGGAGACTCCCAGTGAGGACAGTATGTTCAAGAAGAATCTGTTACCATTTACTGAATATCTTTCTGTGCACAGCCCTGTACTGGGTGCTGTGGAAAAATAGTTTATTCTCTTAAGGAGCTGTGGCCTAAGCAGAAAAAAAAAAATACAGTCTTACAATGTTATAAAAAATGCAAGGCACCTTTTCTCTTTAAAAAAGAGAAAAGTGTAGGCCAGATGCAGTGGCTCATGCCTGTAATCCCAACACTTTGGGATGCTAAGGCGGGCAGGTTACTTGAGCCCAGGGGTTCAACACCAGCCTTGGCAACATGACAAAACTGTCTCTACTAAAAATATAAAAAATTAGCTGTGCGTGGTGGTGCGTGACTGTAGTCCTAAGCTACTCAGGAGGCTGAGGTGGGAGAATCACTTGAGCCTGGAAAGTTGAGGCTACAGTGAATGAAATCATGCCACTTCACTCCAGCCTGGGCGATGGGAGTGAGACCCTGTCTCAAAGAAAGGTGTTTGCTTGTGTGGGGCAATATATATGCATGTAAAAATGAATTACAAACCTTTGGAATAATATGCAGGAAGCCCAGAGGTTAACTGTTTGGGGAGCGGGCAACTAGGCAGACAGGACAGGGCTTGGAGGGAAACTTTCCATTGTATACGATTTAATACTTGATTTTCAAATCATATTAATGTATTACCTTTTTAGAAATAAATGAATTAAAAAATTAAAGCTCTCAAGTGACCTAAGATCTTCTGAAAGAAATAACCTTCCTATATAAGGTTTACATAAAGATTGACTTTCAGTGTTTTAGTTTTCTAAACTAATTACTATTTTCTGAAGTTTAGGATCAGATAATCTACTGTTTGAAAAACCAAACTTAAGAGTTTTGAACTTTCTTCCACACTTACAGATGATGGGAAATATTGCAGCAGTTGCAGCTTCCTGTGCCAATAATGTTCCAGCTCCAGTCTTATCTAACGGTGCAGCGGCTAATCAAGCTATTAGTACCACTTCAGTTTCCTCACAGAATGCTATACAGCCTCTCTTTGTATCTCCACCTACACACGGCAGGCCAGGTAGGTTATTAGCAGATGCTTACTTTGGAAGCCTCTTTTCCTATTCATGAACATGCACATCCAGCTGTTCTGGTAATTACATACCATTACTTTAATTTCCAGAATTAAATTTATTTAACCTACTTAATTATGTTCTGCCATTGAGGAATCCATGAGATTTGAGAGTCAGGGATTCAAGTTTATTCTTGAAAATTTCGTGCTGGTAAGATTTTATACCTTTCATTTTGCTACCTGCTGAATTAGGGGACTTGTACTAGTTTCTCAAACTTTGAGTTAAGTTTTATCATATAAGAGTGAAGATAGCGATGCTTCTCACCTTATAGCAAACTTTTCAGGAATTTATTCTATAAAACACGTTCCTTTGTAATGAATAATTGTCCTGTAAATATCATAATAAAAGATACAGGCTCTGGAATTTAAAAGATCTGGGTTAGAATCCTGGTTTTACAACTTATTGTGTAATTTTGCACAAATTATTGAAGCTTTTTATCTGTGGCTTGGGGGCACTGATAGTACCAATTCATGAAGTGGTTGTGGACTTTTCAGTAAGTTAATAAAATTTTAAATTATCAGCAGACTTCTAGGAAGGTGGTGGCAACAACAGCATTAGCTTTTCTGAGTCTCAAAATAAAAATGGAAATAGTGAAGTCAAAACCCATGACACCTACAAAAATCTAGGTGACAAGGTATCCCCATGAACCCCAGGATTTAAGCAGGTAGGGACAAACCACTAGTCACAAGACCTGCATGCTATCAGGGTCTATGAGGGAGCAAGAACATAGAAGCATTGAGGATGTTGTCTTATGTACCTGAGAATTCCAATGAATAAGAATTCACTGAAAAGTAGGGCAGACAATTTGGAAGCAGCAGCCAAAACTGGGAAGGGATTTGGTCTCTCTAATACTAGGTGAGTGCATGAGGCACATAGTAGAAGGACTTGAAGGGCTTAGAACAGTTTAACCTCTAACTCTTCAAAATTGACCTGCCAGAGTTCCCTTTTAGGACAGTATTCCTCACTGGGAAGAAACTGCTAAGAGTGGAATCTGAATTGATCAGGATAGAGAAAAGAGCAGGTCAGGGAAAAGAACAAAAGAAAAGGATTAAGGTCAAATGCTACACAAATATATCTTAAGGAATAAAAAGCAGAATATCCCTACAGACAATGAAAACATGTTAGAAATGAAACACTAAACAGATCTAAATAAACTAAAAACTGTGACAAACTATTTCAAAATGAGCTAAAGATATTAATAATACAAAACATTAAAGAATAACATAAATCAGAATTAGAAAAACTCACCTGAGGTGATAGAACTCAGGAAAGAATTATAAAGGGGAGAAGGTCATTTTAGTAATGGAGACTAAACTGTAATGAGCTTGAGCAAATACAGGTTGAGTATTCTTTATTCAAAGTGCTTGGGACCAGAAGTGTTTTGGACTTAGGATTTTTTTAGATTTTGGAATATTTGCATTATGCTTGTTGAGCATTCCTAATCTGAAAATCCAAAATTCTCCAATAAGCATTTCCTTTGAGCGCTATGTAGGCACTCAGAAAGTTTTGGAATTTGGAGCAGTTTGAATTTCAGATTTTCAAATTAGGGATACCCACTCTGTATGTACAGCAGATAATGCTTTAAGAGAAATAAGAGTGCTTTAGGCTTTAAATTTTTTTTGTTTGAGACGGGGTATTGCTCTGTCACCAAGGCTGGAGTGCAGTGACATGATCATGGCTCACTGCAGCCTGGATCTCCAGGTTTCAAGCAGTCCTGCTGCCTCAGCCCCCCAGTACCTGGGACTATAGGCACACGCCACCACACTCGGCTAATTACTGTGTTTTTGTAGAGACAGGGTCTTGCCATGTTGCCCAAGCTGGTCTTGAACTCCTAGGCTTAAGTGATCCACCCACCTCAGCCTCCCAAAGTGCTGGGATTACAGGCATGAGCCACCACACCCGGCCATAAACTTTAGAAAAAAAAAAAAATGTAAGAAGAGGGAAATCTAAAATTGAAAAAAAAAAATGAAGATAAAGATTTAAAAGCGACATATTTGAAGTTAGGCAAATGAGATCAAACACAGAAGTCTCTGAAAAAACCAAAGTAAAGGAACAAAATAATACTAAAAGCTATAATTTAGAAAACTTTGCTGAAGTTTTGTATTAGGTTGTTTTCACACTGCTATAAAGAAATGCCTGAGACTGGGTAATATATAAAAGAAAGAGGTTTAATTTACTCACAGTTCTGCATGGCTGAGGAGGCCTCAGGAAACTTGCAATCATGGCGGAAAGTGAAGGGAAAGCAGACACCTTCTTTACAAGGCACCAGGAGAGAGAGAAAGACCAGGAGAAACTGCCATTTATAAAACTATCAGATCTCATGAGAATTTACTCACTATCACAAGAACAGCATAGGGGAAACCGCTCCCATGATCCAGCCACCTCCCACCAGGTCTGTCCCTTGACACCTGGGGATTACAACTCAGTTTACAATTCAAGATGAGATTTGGGTGGGGACAGAGTCAAACCATAAGTTTAAAAAGTTTTAAAAGTACATACTTGAAACAGCACCCTGAATACCTGAGAATATTGACCCAGAGCAATAAACAGCAGAATATTCTAATAAAGTTGCTAGAGTTAAAAAGTCCTAAGTATCTAAGAGTCTATGGCATATAAGAGAAATACAATGATAATCATCAAACTTTGACAGCATTGCTTTATGCTAGAAGACAGTGGAATAACATTTAAGATACTCAAGGAAAGAATATGTGAACCAGCAATTTTGTATCCAGTCAAACTGATTTTCAAGCACAAAGGGCAACATGTGAGAAACCAAGAATATTCTTCCCATGAGCCCTTCCTGATGAATCTGTGAGAACTGTGCTGTCAAGCAGGGTAATCACTAGCCACGTGTGGAAACTAAATTAATTACAGTTAAATAGAGTAAATCTGTAGTTCCTCAGTTGCATTAGCCACATGTGGCTAGTAGCTACTGTATTGGACAGCAGAGATATAGAATATTTCTATCATCACAAAAAGTTGTATTGGACAACAGTGTACTAGAGAATGAACTTTGAGTTTTAGGCTACCAGAACAATTAGAGACATTGTTCTGGTATTGTGTACCAGAACAATTAGAGGCAGAACAATTAGAGACATAAGACGTGATGGTAAGTATTAAATACATAGTTACCTGTAGAAGTAAGACAAATGAGGGCTGAGAAGTTGAGACTATACTATGTAATAGCCTTATGTTTGGAGGGTGTAGATGTAGTTATTTTTTTAAATGATAGAATTGAGAGAATATGGGCAAAGCATTTTTTCATGCTCTCAGTCACATCAGATTCTTTAGTTTAGATGCTCAGAAAGTTATTCCGAGACTATGTAATGTGGGCTAAAGCAAATGAGTAATGGTGGGATATTCTAATTTTATCCCGTGTCCTTGTGAACCAGGATTCTTAGTGTGGAAAAAAGGTAATGCAGATGTTATAGAGGTTAATTAAAAGCTTTTATAGTCTTGAACTTGAATTAGAAGTATCAGTATGAACTTGAGATATTTTATCTTTAAATATATATATATGTTTCCTCGCTGTGTCCACTGAAAGGCCTGAAAACAATAAGTATCCCTAGCACCGAGTTTGTGGTCTTAAAATACCATTTATTACTTTTAAAAATAAACGGCTCTGTGGAGAAATGGCTGATTCCAGGTCTGAGCAGGAAATGTTCAAGATGAGCCTGGAACATCTTGTCATACCAGATAGCAAGGAACATATCAAAGAGTATAGGCATTATGTCAGAAGGACTCAGAAACCATCACAAAGAGAGATTCCCACTGGCCAAAGATGGAACAATTTGAGCCTCAACAAAGATCATTGCAATAGATTGGAATATACCAAGTATGTTGAATATAAAAGTTCTTAGTGATATTTTAAAAATTGCTTACTTTAAGAGGATGATAGGAAATCAATTAATTTTCTTGAAAACTGGAACATGAAATAATCAAACATTTATTCTGCCTTCCTTATATGAACTATACTACTGAATAGCCAAATAGATGAGGGGAAGTATCTTTTTGTAATAGTATTCTAACTAATCAATTAAAAAGTGAAAATAATTTTTCAGTTCTTATTAAATGGATGGACATTAAACATCAGTAGCTACTAAGATTGCAAAGTCAGTCAAACATTAGCTATGGATGTTATAGATGTCCCAAAGGAATCAGTCCTGAATTTGATTCAGTCTCCTGGATCTAGCTGCCTATTGACAGGAAATAAAGAATAACATGTTGGATTGCAGCATGAGTATGTAATCTGCAAAATCCAGACTATGGGAAGCTTGTCAGGTCAAAGGGCCCAGGTTCTTTAAAGCAGAACTTGTCAGGAAATGGGTGGAGGAAGGACCAATAGATTAAGACATTCAAGAAATATCCAATTTTTTAATGGATGAGACTAAAAAACTGCTGTTCAAGGATGCACATTTGAGTGACAAAACTCTGAAAAGACCCCAAGGAAGTGATTACTATTAAAGTCAAAACAACAGTTGGTTATGGTAGGAGGGAAAAGTATTTATAGGCATGGGTAGTATCCACATTAAAATAACTCATTAAGCAGTATATTTGATTTGTTTGCTGTATCTGTTTTATTTATAAAAAGATAAAGTGAGCAGGGCATGGTGGCTCATGCCTGTAATCCCAGCACTCTGGGAGGCCGAGGTGGGCAGATCACCTGAGGTCAGGAGTTCGAGACCAGCCTGGCCAACATAGGGAAACCCCATCTCTACTAAAAATACAAAAATTAGCCAGGCATGGTGGCACATGCCTGTAATCCCAGCTACTCTGGAGGCTGAGGCAAGAGAATCACTTGAACTCAGGAGTCGGAGTTTGCATTGAGCTGAGATCACATCATTGCACTCCAGCCTGGGCAAGAGCGAGACTTTGTCTCAAAAAAAAAAAAAAAAGTGCTTAGCACAGTGCCTGGAACAAAAACATACAATAAATGTTAATGATGATATATTTTTTTCACTGGAAATGTTAATGTAGACACTACTTTTACTACTTTGTGCTAGTTGTAAGGGAAAATGTTTGCTGTCTGCTTCTAGCAGCTGTCTGAGCTTAAATTCAAGTGACAGATGAAGCAAGCATTGTAATGTTTTATTTATGTGGAATCATTGAAAGATTACGATTTAAATGCCAGATTTTTCTAAAAATGCATACTGCCTTCATTTATTTGCTTTTTGTTCTCTCAGTCACTTAATGAACCTCAACTATAGATCTTCTTTACTAGATCTGGCTGATTTTTAGTTGCTCTTTGTCATTCTTGTCAATCCTATAGATGAAACGACTGATTTTTCCCACTTTGTTCTTCATATGTCTCTCTGGCAGGCCCCTTCCATCCTTAAGTGACTGCTAATCTGCCAGGTAACAAGATGTGATGATTGCCTTCAAATATGAGTCTCCTTTTAGGCATTAAATCCTGTCAACTTCAAACTCTGGGTTTCAGTAAATGTTCCCAAGTCTTTTGCCAGGGCTGGGATCAGTGACTGTCCCTGAGTGCAAAATTTAATGGAATGCCAAAAAAAAAAAAAACAGTAATCAAGATAAATAACACTTTAATTCATCATTTTTAAAAATAAAGATTAATATAAAAAATTTGAGAACAAAGTATCAATTGTAAATAAAGACAGGATCTGTGGGTCAGGTTTAAGGTGCATTGAGTAAGGCATATACCCTTGGGGTCATACAAGTACAGGGTTGGATCCTGTCTTTACTGAAAATTTTGATGTTGTATTCATAATAGCTTTCTTTGTATTAGTTTTGGTAGCCCCTTAAATTTTGCACTGGAGCATCTCACCACACCTTGGCCTTGGCCCTGGTCTGTGATTTCTAGAGAAGCAGCAGTATCTTATTGTATATATTTATGTTCTCTTCTGAAGTGTCCTGAAGCAGACTACAGCTACATGGATGGGGGAAATCAGCATTCTGAATGCATTACGTTGATTTCTACTAGTATTTTAGAAGACGTTTCTATAATTCTTGAGACATCCCTTGAAGTGTATCTGTTAAGCCTGTGGAGCTCTTCTTAAGTCTGAGGATGAGAAGCTCATGCATCTCTATAGAAACTTGAAATTGTAAAAGCTTTTACTTAGAGGGTTTATTGTAATACTGTGCATTTATAAGGAAGGTGAATTCAGACAAAGTAACCTCCAAATTGTGTCTACTCTTGATTCTTTCAGGCCCGTGAGAATGTATTTAGCCACTTCTATGTCTTGGTTTTTACCTAGTGATCATAATCACATTCTACTATCTTCAGCTAATTGCCTTTCTCCATTTGCTTTTTTTTAAAAAAATGGCATGATACGTTTTCAGTGCTAGTTTAAAAGGAATAAGAGCAGAGCTTTGTTGGAGGAGCCATTTTATTTAAAAAAAATCTGTATCTAGAACATTTGGGGATATTCTGAAAATTAAGTTCCCCTCCCAAAACTGTAAAAGTAGAGATTTCGAAATATATGACAAAACTCCAAAACAGCTAGTTGAGCAAGCTTTAAAAACTTACTGTTTAATTTAGATACAGTATAATTCATTTTTTTGGTGCCCAGTTCTGTGAGCTTTGACAAATGCGTAGAGTTGTGTAACCACCACCACAATCAAGAGATAATTGCATCACTCCTAAACAGTTGTTTATCAAGTTTTACATCACCTGAAGACACAGACCTATTACTGTTAGCCTGTAAATGTACAAAAGATAAGATGAGTATATTGTTAGTACTGGTCACTAAATGGAAACAATGTGGATTATGTCTTGCTAAAATATCAGAATAACAAATTCAGCTTGTGTGAATTGTTCCTATGCTCCTATGCTAAACTCAGTGTGCTAAAACTCTGACTTTAAACATTTATAGAATGATAAGACTAAACTTTCTATGTTTCTCAGGGTTAAAATGATAATGCAGATAACAAAATGATGAAATTTTGTACTTGGATTTAAGCTGGCTAAAATTATTCAGTTAAACTTGAAGGTTTGTATCATTCATCTTTTGTAAAAAAAAAAAATTAACAAATTTGCGTGTTATGTCATACATATATGCAGGTATGTGTTTTTACTAGGTTGTAACCACATTGTTTCCTTTATTGTCATAGAGGATTAATATTTAAATATAATTACATCTGAATTTCTTATGTCAAAAACTTTTAAATATTGATTATTTCTAAGCTATAGTAACAGGTATAGAAAGCTAAAGGGATAAGATATTGTATCTAACCTGTTTTTAGATTCTGTACCTCCTTAGAAATGGAACGTTCATGATTTAAAGTTCCCTATATTCCTGAGATGCTACCAGTAGAAACCTTCAAGGATTGCTAAAATCTGTAGTCTGTGCACTTTAATCCATCTCTTATTAGCTTCTGCATTTTGTGATTTGACTGAGAGTGACAGATTGCTGAAAACATTCTTAAATTTGCATTGGGTATTAAACTAAGTAAAAATTTTGCTTTAGTTATGTTTTATTTATGTACCTGTTAGCTAAATGTTCAAAGTCTGATAGTCAAAGCTCTGCCTCTTCCAGTTTTTTCCCTTTTAATTTCCAATACTTTTCTTAAATCAAAATGACCTGTTATGAACTAGTTCTCCATTGGTATGTCTAAGAGAATGTAGACAATTCACTGTCCAAGTTTTTTTTATACCCAAACCTTAAGAATTAAGAGTTCTTTGACCATACTGGAGACAAGAAAAGTAGATGAGCCTACTGTTCATAAGGTGTTATAGTTGTGTATTGCTACTTTATGTTTTGTTTCTTTGTTAGTGATTGCCTCACCATCCTATCCATGCCATTCTGCTATTCCTCATGCTGGTGCCTCTCTACCACCACCACCACCACCACCACCACCACCACCACCACCACCACCTCCTCCTCCTCCTCCTCCTCCTCCTCCTCCTCCTCCTGCTCTTGATGTGGGAGAGACTTCAAACTTACAACCACCACCACCACTACCACCTCCACCTTATTCCTGTGATCCAAGCGGCAGTGATTTGCCTCAAGGTAAGTAGATTTTGAGACTTAGGTGAGGGATCTGAGACTTAAAAAATATTGTTAGAGCATATCTCTCTTTGGTTGACCTATTGGGGAATGGGGAACCAAATGAAAATTGACTTGAGAACACAATACTGGAAGTGACTAAGGAAAGGAGCAATTAAAAGCTGAAAACTGAGAATATCTTCTACATAATCAACAAGTGGATGGTTGAGTTGACGTGTGCTGCTGTTTTGTTTTGTTTTGTTTTGTTTTGGTAGCTACATGTCTACCCTGAAGAAGATTCTCAAATGAATATCTTTGCTTTTCTTAACTGTTTTTCCTTGCAAAACAGGACTTGGTATCAAATTTTTCTTTATTTCTTAAATTCTTTCCATAAGTGCATGAATTATTGCAGTCTTTTATATTTAGAATTTCAACTGAATTTTAAAGATTTGGGGGAGTGGGGATTAGGAGTCTTATCTGCCTTGAATTTCAGCTGTGTTTTCTTAAACATCTAAGGAGAGTAGTTTTTCATTGGAAGTTCTTTATTACTCAGTTTGGCATATTTCTCAAGAGAATTATAGTTGAGAATTGTTTGTAGCTTATACTTTCTTGCTATAATATTTTCTTGGTTTTTCTAGCTGCTTCTCTATTTTTGCTTTTTTTTTTCCAACCCCTAATCACCAAGATTTTCTTTAACTCCCTTCTGTTTTTTCCCTACCTTTAAACTTCCCTGTTACTTCTGTGTAGTTTATTCCTAAATGTAGCTAGCCTTGGCATCAGAAGTTTTAGTTTCTTGTCTCCAGATACTTGCTAGACATTTTCACTTAGCTTTTTAGTTTTCATTTCAATAATGAAATTCCTCATATTTATCTTTTCCCCAGACCACACAAAACATTGACTTTTCTCCTTGGTTTTTTATTTTGTTAATAGTGGTATCATTTCCACCTAATTTTCCCAATATCTAAACCCTGATTTCTTTACTACTCTCCCTTCCCTTACCTACCTGTACCCGAGATGTACTTAGTCACCACATAATGCTGATTTTGTATTTTTCCAATATTTTACTATGACAATATTCAAACATTCATCCAAGTTGAATTTTAAAATGAAGTCATATCTATCACTTAGATTCTATCATTAACATTTATACTTTATCACATATCTATCCATCTTCCCCTCCATCCATCTCTATTAATCCATCTTCTTTTTGATACATTAAGTAAATTGTAGACATTTGTACACTTCCCCATAAAAACTTCAGGATACATATCATTAAGTAGTTTTTTCCTTTTGATGTGCAGTTTACATATAATGAAATGTACAAAACTTAAATGCACATTAGCTTACTTTTAACATATGCATGCATGCACTTGTGTAACCCAAATCCCTATCAAAGTATAAAGTATTAACATTGTCCCACAAATTTCCCTCATGCTCCTTCCCAGTTTTTCCCGTGCTCTCCCTAGAGGCAACCACTGTTTGGACTTTTTTCTACCATAGATTAGTTTTACCTGTTTTAGAATTTTATAGAAATGTAATCATATAGTATATAATCTTTATGGAAAGCTTCTTAAACTTGGCATAATTTTGAGATTTGTCTGTTGTTGCATGTGTCAGTAGTCCATTTGTTTTCATGGCCGAGTAGCATTTCATTGTATGACTGTTCCACAGTTTGTCCATTCTCCTGTTGGTGATAGATAGCTGGACTGTTTCCAGTTTGGGGCTGTTACAAAAAAAGCTGCTAACAAAAAAAGCTGCTATGAACATTCTTGTAGAAGTCTTTGTAAACAGATGTTTTTATTTCCCTTGGGCAAATACCTAGCAGTGGAATTGCTGGGTCATAGAGAGATATGTGTTTACTTTTATAAGTAACTGCCAAACATTTTTCCAAAGTTGTACCATTTTACACTTCCACCAGCAGCGTATGAGAATTCCAGTAGTTTCTCTTGCTCACCAACGTTTATTGTCGCCACACTCCTTAACTTTATCCATTCTGGTGACTGATCATGTTGTAAAAAAATCTATTTTATAGAGCAGTTTTCTGTTTCTTGCCAAATTGAGAGGAAGGCATAGGGATTTCCCATTTTCCACCGGCCCCCACATGTCCGTAGCCTTCCATATTATCAGTGTCCCCCACCATACCAGAGTGTGGAATATTTGATACAATGATGAACCTACCTTGGCACATCATTATCATCCAGAGGCCATAGTTTATATTAGTGTTCATTCTTGCTCTTGCACTTTCATGAGTTTGGAAAAATGAATGATGACATGTATCCTTAATTATAGCATCACATGGATGCTATAATGGAGCATTTCTACCCCAGAAATCTGTGCTCTGCCTATTATTATTCATCCCCCAACTCCTGTCAATCACTGATTTTTTACTGTCTCCATAGTTTTGACTTTTCCAGAATGGCATATAGGTGCAGTCATGCAATATATAGCCTTTTCAGAATGGCTCTTAGCAATATATATTTAAGTTTCCTCACCAAATCATTATCTGAATGTACCACAGTTTATAGATCCATTCACCTACTGAATAACATCTTGGTTGCTCCCACTTTTGGTTACAGTTGCCCTAAACATCCATATGCAAGTTTTTTTGTGGAAATATATATAGAGAGATGGAGTCTTGCTCTGTCACCCAGGCTGGAATGCAGTGGCGTGATCTCAGCTCATTGCAACCTCTGCCTCCCGGGCTCAAGCAATTCTCCTGCCTAAGCCTCCTGAGCAGCTGGGAATATAGGCACCCACCACCACACCTGGCTAATTTTTGTATTTTTAGTAGAGATGGGGTTTCACCATGTTGGCCAGGCTGGTCTTGAACTCCTGACCTCGTGATCCACCCACCTCGGCCTCCTGAAGTGCTGGGACTACAGGTGTCAGCCACCACGCCCTGTGGAAATATATTTTTAACTCCTTTGGGTAAACACCAAGGATTACAATTGCTCTATTGAGTAAGAATATGTTTTATTTGGTAAGAAACTGTCAAACTGTCTTCCAGAGTGGCTATACCATTTTGCATTCCCACCAGCAATGAATGAGTGTTCCTGTAGTTCCACATCCATGCCAGTATTTGGTATTGTCAGTGTTCTGGATTTTGGCCATTCTAATAGGTGTGTAATGATATCTCATTGTTTTAATTTGCATTTCCCTTATGAAATCCGACGTAGAGCATCTTTTCATGTGCTTATTTGCCATCTATATATCTTTGGTGAAACATCTGTTAAGATGTTTGGCCCATTTTTAATTCAGGTAGTTTACTTATTGAGTTCTAAGAGTTCTTTGTATATTTTGGGTAACAGTCCATTATATCAGGTATGTCTTTTGCAAGTATTTTTTCCAAGTCTGTGGCTTGTCTTTTCATTAAGTGTCTTTCACAGAGCAGATGTTTTTAATTTTAAAGAACTCTAACATATAAATTATTTCTTTTATGGATCATGCCTATGGTATTGTATCTAAAAAGTAATCGCCAGTCTTGGGGTCATCTAGATTTTCTCCTATGTTATCGTCTAGGAGTTTTATGTTTTGCATTTTACTTTTAGGTCTGTGATCCATTTTGAGTGACCTTTTTGTGAAGTATGTAAAGTGTGTGTAGATTCATATTTTTGCATGTGGATGTCCAGTTGTTTGAGTACTTTTTTCATGTGCTTATTGGCCATTTGCATATTTTTTGTAAAGTGTTCACATATTTTGACTACTTTCTTTTTTATTGGGTGCTTGTTATTGAGTTGCAGACGTTCTCTGCATATTCTCTATGCTAGTCTTTTGTCAGGTATGTTTCGTGAATATCTGCTCCTATTCTGTGGCTTATCTATTTTCTTCATGGTGCCTTTTGATGGGTAGAGGATTTTAATTCTGATGGAATCTAATTGATCATTTTTTGGTGTGTATTGCTTTCTGTAATCTAAGCAACTGGCCGGGCATGGTGGCTGGCACCTGTAATCCTAACACTTTCGGAAGCCAAGGCAGGCAGATCAATTGAGGTCAGGAGTTCGAGTCCAGCCTGGCCAACATGGTGAAACCCTGTCTCTACTAAAAATACAAAAATTAGCTGGGAGAGGTGGTGAGCACCTGTAATGCTAGTTACTCGGGAGGCTGAGGCCGGAGAATCACTTGAACCCAGGAGGTGGAGGTTGTACTGAGCCGAGATCATGCCACACTGCACTCCAGCCTGGGTGACAGAGCGAAACTCTGACTTAATTTAAAAAAACAAAAAAAACAACAAAAAACCTTGGCCTTATTTGTCTTACTCCAAAGTCGTTATGATTGTTTCCTATGTTTTCCTTTAAAAGCTTAATTCATTTAGTTTTATGTTTAAGTCCACTATTCATCTCAAATTCATTTTTGTGGATGGTGGAGGTGATTTTTTTTTCTTTATGGATCTCCAGTATTCCAGCAGTACCATTTGTGAAAAAGATTTTCCTTTCCTCGTTGGATCACTTTGGTGTTTTAGTCAAAAATCAAATGACTGTTTTAAGTGCAGGTCTATTTCTGTGCCCTCTTTTGTTGCATTGATCAATTTTTTAATCCTTACATCAGTACTATACTGTCTTTTTAGTAAGGTTTGAAGTAAGGTAGGGTCATTTGCATGTCTCTTACACTATCAAATTTTACCAAAAAAAAAAAAACGTCTGGAAATTAGGGATTGTGTTTATAATCTATGGCTCAATTTGGGGAGAATGCCAATTCTTAACAGTATGGTCTCTTTGAATTCATGAACATAGTATCATAGTATACCCGTCAATTTATTTAGGTTGCGTTTGGTTTCTCAACTTTTTTTTTTTTGGTGTAGAAGTCTTCTACATCTTCTGTTAAATGTGTCCCTATGTATTTGGGTTTTTGGAACTGTAGTAAACAGAATTTTAAAACTTTTATTTTCCAATTTTGTCCTGTACATAAAAATAAAATTGATTTTTGCATGTTACCCTTGGCTGATTTATTAAAAATCTGTGTTTCACAGAGTGTTTTTAAAAAATATCCACTGCCTCTTTCCTAGGTCATGCCTTTATCACCTTGTCCCTGAACAGTTAGAGTAGCTTCTCCATTGGTCTCACTGCTCTGGTACTATTCCACTTTGTGTCTGTTCCTAGCTCAGAACTCTTCAGTGATTCTTTGGTTTCTGTAGATTAAAGTTCAACAGACTAAGTATGGCATTTATGACTTTCCACAATCTAGTCTCTATTCCAACCTTATCTCTTTCTACTCCTATGTGAACTCTATGTAGCAGGTTTTTTTCTCCTAAGCCTTTGCTGGCGTGGTGCTTCAACTCAAATTCTTTCCCCATTCACTTCCATCTAAGTTCTACTAACCCCGAGAATATATCATGTATTCGTTAGTAGGTGCTCCCCATTCTCCCTGGCCTTAGCAATCGCTCCTCTAGTTTGGCCATGGATTTGCCTATTCTGGACATTTCATGTAAATAGAATCATACAATATGTGGGCTTTTGCAACTAACTTTTTTTCTCTAAGCATACTATTTTCAAGGTTCATGTTGTTGCATGTATCAGTACTTTATTCTTTTTTATGGCCAAAAAAATTGCATTGTATGGATGTATTGGCATACTCCATTTTGTTGCACTTTGCTTTATTGTGTTCTACAGATATTGTGATTTTTATTTTTTTTACAAATTGAAGATTTGTGAGAACCCTGTGTCAAGCAAATCTATTGGCACCATTTTTCCAACAACATGTTCTCCCTTTTCTCCCTTCATTTCTGTCAGCATTTTTTTAGCAGTATTGTATTGTATTGTTTGTTTGTTTGTTTATTTACTTATTTATTTATTTATTTATTTATTTATTTTGAGATGGAGAGTCTCTGTCGCCCAGGCTGGAGTGCAGTGGTGCAATCTTGGCTCACTACAACCTCTGCCTCCCGAGCTCAAGCAATTCTCCTGCCTCAGCCTCCCAAGTAGCTGGCATTACAGGCACCCGCCACCATGCCCAGCTAATTTTTTGTATTTTTAGTAGAGATGGAGTTTCTCCATGTTGGCCAGGCTGGTCTCGAACTCCTGACCTCAAGTGGTTCGCCTGCCTTGGCCTCCCAGAGTGCTGAGATTACAGGCGTGAGCCACTGTGCCCGGCCAGCAATAACATATTTTAAAATTAAGGTATGTACATTGTTTTCTTAGACCTAACACTATTATACTCTTAAAAGACTACAGTATAGTGTATAAGCATAACTTTTTTTTTTTTTTTTTTTTTGCAACGGAGTCTTGCTCTGTTGCCAGGCTGAAGTGCAGTGGCGCGAGCTCAGCTCACAGAAACCTCCACCTCCCAGGTTCAAGTGATTCTCCTGCCTCAGCCTCCCGGGTAGCTGGGATTACAGGCACGTGCCACCACACCTGGCTAATTTTTGTATTTTTAGTAGAGACGGGGTTTCACCATGTTGGCCAGAATGGTCTCGATCTCCTGACCTCATGATCCATCCACCTTGGCCTCCCAAAGTGCTGGCATTACAGGCCTGGGCCACCACGCCCGGCCATAAGCATAACGCCCAGTACATAAGCATATTTACTGGGAAACCAAAAAATTGGTGTGACTCACTTCCTTGCAATATTGGCTTTATTTTTTTCTGGAACCAAAGCCATGATATCTCCAAAGTATGTCTGTATCATATTTTATCTATTAGTTGAGGAACATTTGGGTTGCTTTTACTTTCTGGCTATTAATACTGCTACGTGCGTTTGTGTATACAAGTTATTTGATACATACATGTATCAAGTAGAATCCCATGCCACTCATGAATTTATTTCCTACTATTTTTTTAAAATATTATGTAGCTTGAGCATTAGGCTTTATGCTGTGCTCCTATATAATAGTCAAAATACAAGCTGATTTTAAAAAAAAATGGCAATAAATGTATTTGTATGTGTAGGGAGTCTCCAACTTAAAGAGGGATTTTCTAAAAGTTCATCTGTTAGTGGAACTCAGGTTATATTACTTTATAAATAAAAATATGTGTGGATCTCAGGTCAAACAATAAAAATACATTTAGAGGTCCAATTGGAATGCTAAGAACAGTTTTTGTTCATTTATGAAATAGTTTAGTTTCATAACGTCAAGAGAAATTACCTTGCTCATTGCCCTTCTCTTTGGAGTTCTGGTGGTGGTATGTCAGTCATGGTAAATAAAAACAGGATGAATTGTTTCATATTGTTCTAATTGTCTCAGCAGGCATCACTAATCTCTGTCAGTGAGTATTAGTCTGTACTGTATATAAGTGCTAGTAACTGAGGACCAAAATGATTGTTTATGTTCTAGAAGTGTATTAAAGTAAAAATTCCATCTTGAAACAAACAAGAAAATGCCTTTATTGGATTCTTCCTAAATATTACCAAAGTGACATTCCTGTAACATCTGCCTACAATTAAGATTAGAAATAAAAATTTTATTTGGTAACTAAACCGTAGATGAGAAAATAATTTTACCTATATTGGTAGGTAAGTAGTCATTTACTATAAGGTAAAATTGAGAGTGGTATTAATGTGGCAAGATTACATTGATATCTTAATAATGCTCAAACAGAAAAGCTTTTTTTTTTCTTTTTTGAGATGGAGTCTCGCTCTGTCACCCAGGCTGGAGTGCAGTGGCATGATCTCGGCTCAGTGCAACCTCCATCTCCCAGATTCAAGTGATTCTCCTGCCTCAGCCTCCTGAGTAGCTGGGATTACAGGCACCCGCCACCACGTCCGGCTAATTTTTGTAGTTTTAGTAGAGACAGGGTTTCACCATGTTGGCCAGGATGGTCTTGAACTCCTGACCTCAAGTTATCTGCCCATCTAGGCCTCCCAAAGTGCTGGGATTACAGGCATGAGCCACCGTGCCCAGCCAGAAAAGCTTTTAAAAGATAATTCTAATTGCTTATGTCAGTCAAGTCACTAATTTTTTTGATTTTTAATTTTAGATACAAAAGTTTTGCAGTACTATTTCAATCTAGGATTGCAGGTAAGTGCCATGTTAAAATTTCTTTGATAAGCCCTATTTTCAAAGTATAGACCGTTTTGATAATCAGACTCTTGAACTTCGAAAGCCAAAATCACTAAGGGGACTAAACATTTTAATTCTGTCTAAGAGATCTCTGAAGATGACATAGTTCAGTTGTCTGCTTTAGCCTCCCAGTGCTTTAGTTTCTCTTATAAAATAGTCGTTAAACTGAAGAGAGGGGTACTGGGCTGTAAGCAGCACAATCAGCATATATTAGATGAGCCATCATATTTAACATTACATGCTAACTTTTCACTGTGGTGTTCTGTCTCAAAATAAATGAATTATCCTAAAATATTTTTATGACTATCTTTCCATTTTATGTGAAAATTAGACAAATTTGAAGAAATTTAAGGCACTGTATTTTGTTCTTTGAAACCAATGAGAACAAAGACACAATGTACCAGAATCTTTGAGACACAGCTAAAGCAGCGTTTAGAGGGAAATTTATAGCACTAAATACCCACATGAGAAACTGGGAAATATCTAAAATCAACACCCTAACATCACAATTAAAAGAACTAGAGAAGCAAAAGCAAACAAATTCAAAACCTAGCAAAAGACAAGAAATAACTAAGATCAGAGCAGAGCTGATAGAGACACAAAAAACCCTTCAAAAAATCTGAATCCAGGAGCTGGTTTGTTTTGAAAAGATTAACAAAATAGATAGACCATTAGCCAGGTGAATAAAGAAGAAAAGAGAGAAGAATCAAATAGACACAATAAAAAATGATACCACAGAAATACAAACTGCCATCAGAGAATACTATAAACACCTCTATGCAAATAAACTAGAAAATCTAGAAGAAATGGATAAATTCCTGGACACACACACCCTCCCAAGACTAAACCAGGAAGAAGTCGAATTCCTGAGTAGACCAATAACAAGTTCTGAAATTGAGGCAGTAATTAATAGCCTACCAACCAAAAAAAGTCCAGGACCAGATGGATTCACAGCCGAATTCTACCAGAGGTACAAAGAGGAGCTGGTACTATTCCTTCTGAACGATTCCAATCAATAGAAAGAGAGGAACTCCTTTCTAACTCATTTTATGAAGCCAACATCATCCTGATACCAAAACCTGGCAGAGACACAACAAAAAAAGAAAATTTCAGGCCAATATCCCTGATGAACATCGATGTGAAAATCCTCAATAAAATACTGGCAAACCGAATCCAGCAGCACATTAAAAAGCTTATCCACCACAATCAAGTTGGCTTCATCCCTGGGATGCAAGGGTGGTTCAACATATGCAAATCAATAAATGTAATCCATCACATAAACAGAACCAATGACAAAAACCACATGATTATCTCAATAGATGCAGAAAAGGCCTTCTATAAAATTCAGCACCCCTTCATGCTAAAAACTCTCTATAAACTAGGTATTGATGGAATGTATCTCAAATTAATAAGAGCTATTTATGACAAACCCACAGCCAATATCATACTGAATGGGCAAAAGCTGGAAGCATTCCCTTTGAAAACCGGTACAAGACAAGGATGTCCTCTCTCACCACTCCTATTCAGCATAGTATAGGAAGTTCTGGCCAGGGCAGTCAGGTAAGAGAAAGAAAGAAAGAAAGGGTATACGAATAGGAAGACAGGAAGTCACTTTGTCTTTGTTTGCAGATGACATAACTGTATATTTTAAAAACCCCATTGTCTCAGCCCAAAAGCTCCTTAAGCTGATAAGCAACTTCAGCAAAGTTGAAGTTGTGTGCAACACAAAATCAGTGTGCAAAAATCACAAGCATGTCTATACACCAATAATAGCCAAACCATGAGTGAATTCCCATTCACAATTGCTACAAAGAGAATAAAATACCTAGGAATCCAACTTACAAGGGATGTGAAGGACCTCTTCAAGGAGAACTACAAATCACTGCTCAATGATATAAGAGAGGACACAAAGGGAAAAACGTTCCATGCTTATGGATAGGAAAAATCAATATCATGAAAATGGCCATACTGCCCAAAGTAATTTATAGATTCAATGTTATTCCCATCAAGCTACCATTGACTTCCTTCACAGAATTAGAAAAAACTACTTTAAATTTCATATGGAACCAAAAAAGAGTCCATATAGCCAAGACAATCCCAAGCAAAAAGAACAAAGCTGGAGGCATCGTGCTATCTGACTTCAAACTATTTTACAAGGCCACAGTAACCAAAACAGCATGGTACTGGTACCAAAACAGGTATATAGACCAATAGGACCAATAGAACAGAACAGAGGACTCAGAAATAACACCACACATCTACAACCATCTGATCTTTGGCAAACCTGACAAAAACAAGGAATGGGGAAAGGATTCCCTATTTAATAAATGGTGCTGGGAAAACTGGCTAGCCATATGCAGAAAACTGAAACTGGACCCATTCCTTACATCTTATACAAAAATTAACTCAAGATGGATTAAAGACTTAAATGTAAGACCTAAAACCATAAAAACCCTAGAAGAAAACCTAGGCATTACCATTCAGGACATAGACATGGGCAAAAACTTCATGACTAAAACACCAAAAGCAATGGCAACAAAAGCAAAACTAAAATTGACAAGTGGGATCTAATTAAACTAAAGAGCTTCTGCACAGAAAAAGAACCTATCAGTGTGAACAGGCAACCTACAGAATGGGAGAAAAGTTTTGCAATCTATCCATCTGACAAAGGGCTAATATCCAGAATCTACAAGGAACTTAAATTTACAAGAAATAAACAACCCCATCAAAAAGTGGGCAAAGAATATGAACAGACACTTTTCAAAAGAAGACATTTATGTGGCCAACAAACAGGAAGAACTCATCACTGGTCATTAGAGAAATGCAAATCAAAAGCACAATGAGATACCATCTCATGCCAGTTAGAATGGCAATCATTAAAAAGTCAGGAAACAACAGATGCTGGAGAGGATGTGGAGAAATAGGAACACTTTTACACTGTTGGTTGGAGTGTAAATTAGTTCAACCATTGTGGAAGACAGTGTGGTAATTCCTCAAGGATCTAGAATGAGGAATACAATTTGATTTAGCAATCCCATTACTGGGTATATACCCAAAGGATTATAAATCATTTTATAAAGACACATGCACATGTATGTTTACTGCAGCACTATTCACAATGCCAAAGACTTGGAACCAACTCACATACCCATCAATGATAGACTGCATAAAGAAAATGTGGCACATACACACCATGGAATACTATGCAGCCATAAAAAAGAATGAGTTCATGTCCTTTGTAGGGACATGGATGAAGCTGGCAACCATTCTCAGCAAACTATCACAAGGACAGAAAACCAAACACCGCATGTTCTCACTCATAAGTGGGAGTTGAACAGTGAGAACATACGGGCACAGGGAGGTGAACATCACACATTGGGGCCTGTCGCGGGGTTGGGGGCAAAGGGAGGGAGAGCATTAGGACAAATACCTAATGTAGGTGACAGATTGATGGGTGTAGAAAACCACCATGGCACATGTATACCCATGTAACAAACCTGCATGTTCTGCATGTGTATCCCAAAACTTGTGTAATAAATATAAAAATAAAAATAGCTGCATTTTTAAAGCACTCATGTGTTCATAGATGCTTGCTCAACACTGTTTTTTCACCACTCCCCTGAGTTGTAGAGGCAGGTGGGTACTGACAAATGTCTTTATCAGTGAAAGGTGTCTCCGAGTTGAGGTGAGAGCTCTTTTATTTTAGTCTTTCAGGGATCACTTTCCCTCTGAAATACACTTGACTTAAAATGTAACAAGATGGCATATTTACTGAAAGGAATAATGCATCTTAAGATCTGTCAGATGATGATAAACTCTGTGCTCTCCTGGATAATGCTCAGATTAGTTCATATTCCCTGACACTGATTTCCCTGAAGCTTTAGACATGTCAGTGCCAAGAAAACTGTCTTCCCAAATAGTACACATCTATAAATTAAGAGTAATGGGGTGGGTTTTTGTTCTTTGAGACTATTTTTCCTAAATTTAGTTTCAAGAATTGATAAACCGCTTGCCCCTTCTGTTATGTTAGTTTATTATAGTCACATGTGGAAACTTTGTAATCTATTTCACTGAGGCATTTAAAAATATTCTGCCTTTTACATCATAGAATACCAGGAGATGCTGAATAGATATTTCAGTATTTTTCTTATTAGAAATCATAGTGTCCATTGTAGTACATTTTGAAAATACTGTGGTATAAAGAAAACTAAAATCACCTCTATGATCACTGTATACTTTATATATTTTCTTACAATTTTGTATTTTACAAACTATGGATTATGCTGTATAATTTTTAAATCTTTTAACAATACAAGCATTTTTTCTTTAAATATTTGACAGCATGATTTTCGTTGCCTGTATAGTATTTCATTACGGGTATATAATTTATCCAGTTCCCTGTTGTTAAATACTATGTGCAATGTTTTTTGCTTTTAAAAATACTATAAAAGACACCTTTGTATACAGGTCTTTTAGATTATTTCCTAAAAGAATTCTTAGGTTTAAATATGAGATACAAATGCTGCAAAAGATCCTAAAGTTCTAATAGAGAACAGACTGTCAAGTTTTTAGGTCAAAAAAGTCATTGCTACCTCACCTGAAAATCGTGGCCCAATTCTTATTTTTTTTTTTTTTTTGTCTGTGGGGAACTGTATTACATTAAGAATAGAGAAGAGTGAAGTTTCTTATTTTTTTGTTGCCCTTTCTTGCTCAAGTGCTATTACCACAGCTACTGGCACTCCATGGTCTATGTGCCACAGATGCAGCAGCAGCTTCATGTAGAGAATTATCCAGTCTATACTGAGCCACCTCTGGTAGATCAAACCGTTCCTCAATGCTACAGTGAGGTGAGGAGAGAAGATGGCATACAGGCGGAAGCATCAGCAAATGGTGAGTGTGTAATGAGATTGCCAGCAAGAAAGACAGTTGGATTTTATTGTGTGTAATTCAATAATAGCTTTCATATATTTCATCAGGTCCATGTACTACACCAGTGATTCTCAAAGCATGATATGTGGACCTCTTGTGGTCCCTAAGACTCTTTCAAGGGATTCATGAGGTCAGAAGTGTTCACAATAATACTAAGAGTTTATTTGCCCCTTTCACTGGCTTGCATTTTCATTGAGGACATAGAAACCAGTGGTGGGTAAAACTGCTGACACCTAAGCACTAGTTGGTACTGACCCCAGACTCTGCTAGTAATCAGTGTTTTTCTCACTGCCACACACCCATGGTACAAAAATGCCAATCTTATGTTTTTTTGTTTAATCAAAGACATTTTTACTAAATTTTTATCCTTGAATAGTTGTATTTTTCTTTGTGACAAAAATGGAACTACTTATAAAACACTTCTGCATACTAAATGAAGTATAATGATTAACTTAAGGAAAAAGACTTGTGCTATTAAGTTATGAGTTGTACTTGCTGACTTGAAAGAGGGATAAGCTATCATTATTCACACTTAGTTGATCTGGCCGGCATTTTCTTAAATGAACAAAGTGAGCCTGTCACTTTAGGATAAATAACTAGTAATATTTGTTGCCAAAGATACAATTTTAGCTTTCAAATAAAAATTAGAATTTTGGAAAACATGTATCTTCCACCATGAGCTTGACACCTTCCCACCAATTAAAACTCCTGTAATAAGATAAGTAGAGCTGAATGTAGTTTCTTAAATTGTATGAGGAAATGTGTCAACATTTGGAAGATCTGCATAACTCAGTGAAGGAAGAGTTTCCCAATTACCAATGCATGATATGACCAAGGTGTGATTTTTGTAACAGATCTTTCCAAGTGCAAGATAAAACAGTGGATTTTAATGTAACAGAGCATGAAAAATCCACATTGCTAGTGACCTTTGAGGAACTACCACTTATGTAGTTTGGGTGTAGCATCAAAGAATATCTACAATTATCTGAAAGGCTAGGTATTAAAATACTTCACTGAGCCAGGTGCGGTGGTTCACGCCTATAATCCCAGCACTTTGGGAGGCTGTGGCAGGTGGATCACCTGAGGTCAGGAGTTCGTACCTGACTTGCCAGGGTTGTTATAAGAACTAATTGGGACCTTATGTATAAGTATACTATTACCTGGTGCATATTAGGAATACTAATTTCTCTCTTCCTTTCCATTTTTAAAGCATATTACAGTGTCAATCTTTTTTTTTTGAATTTTGTGCAGTATACCTTTTATAGAGCTATTTTTAATTGTAGTTAACTATGAGGCAGTGGCAGTCTTAATTTCACAGAGTTAATCTAAGCCCAAGTAATGAATTTTTTTTTTTTTTTTTTGTCTAATGTGTATACTCATTATAGCAAGGTTAAAACAGCATTTATTTCTACTGGAACTGACTCATGGCAAAAGTGCTATGAAATTAAAATGTGATCTTAATGACATTCAGGAGATGACACTTTTAGGGTGTTCTTCAGAGCTATACTTTCAGGTATAGACCAGAATGTCTAGACACCTGAGTTTTTCATTGCTAAATGGTTATTCGGATGATGTATACTGTAAAACTATTGGATAACTCAATTGTGACCACCTCTTACAAGAATTTAATTAACTAGAAGGACTCTAAAGAATATTTATGTATTTAGCTTGCTGATACCTAAATCATCCCAGAAAGATAGCTGTCTGTACATTGAATAGATTTGACACATATATTTCACAGTTTTTTAATTTGGAAATTTTCATATTATCTTTACTCATTATTTGTATTTAAAGTGCTCCTGCTGCAATTGCTGTGATCTTTCTTATAGTTAGTTTTATTTTCACACATAAGAACATCCATTTATGTTGCATGGGGTTCTGTTTTGGTGAATTTTTGTATATAAAGTAGACTGTATACATCCTTTCTTTCAGATACTTTTCCGAATGCTGATTCTTCATCTGTCCCTCATGGAGCAGTCTATTATCCAGTAATGTCAGATCCCTATGGGCAGCCACCTTTGCCAGGTTTTGACTCCTGCCTTCCGGTTGTGCCAGATTATTCCTGTGTTCCCCCCTGGCATCCAGTTGGTACAGCATATGGTGGTTCTTCTCAAATTCATGGTGCTATAAATCCTGGGCCAATTGGCTGTATTGCTCCATCTCCCCCAGCTTCTCATTATGTACCTCAGGGTATGTAAGATCCAGCAGTATGAAGTATTCTTGCACTGCCATTTTCTTGCTGTTTTTGTTTTTAAAAAGTATTTTATGTTAGTGGTTAAATGATTTAGGTGATTAGTGTTTACTATTGTATTTGTCTTTAAAATTATTTTATCTTTTGATTTAAAATAGTACTTTAAAATTAAGGGGTATTATTTTGGGCTGTGACTAAGGAAATTGAGATGGATGTACAACTAGCCCCATATTGAGCATACTTCATTGTATTCAGCTGTTTTCCTGTCAGCCATTTGTCAGCTTTATATTAGCTGATGGTACCAATTGATAAAATGAATATAAAGTATTTCATTGGTTCAAAAATCACACATCATATTAAACCATGCAGAATTGGAGTAACTTCCACTTTTTTCTAGAAAGTAAAACCAAGAGCCTTTGCTTCTGGATAACTCACTTAATATTAAATTAAAGAGCTCTTCACGTTTCTTGAGAATTATCTGAAGCCAGTTGCATTCTGTGATATCAGTTTTGAAGGCACATGGTTCTCTGCTTTAGATTTATCCCATATGCTATTGTTTAATACTGGATGTATGTAAGTGTTTTACTGCACTGTATTGAATTGGTGTCTTTTGCACAGTTAGCAGTAAATAAAAATTAGCATTTAAAATTGCCAAAACGAGTGGGATTTTTTCTTTTTGCATTTTCATGTCAGCAAAGAGTACCGGACATTTGATTGTTTCAACATGTTTTTTCTCTGGCATTTTGGTTGCAAAAGAATGTGAATTTTTAGCATGAACTGGTGGGGAGTAGTTGCAGGGCCACTTGAGATGTTATTTAATCTAGAGTCATTGCAGCACATACTACCATATCTACGCCTTTTCTCCAGAAAATGTTCCTTTTATGTTGTATGTGTGTGTGTGTTTTTTTAAAGCATTTATAACCCTCTTATAGAACTTCAGACTTCTCATTATCCTATACTTTCAATAGTTGTAGGAGCCAAGGGAAAACTCCTTCACCCTCTAAAGGTTCACCAAAAACTCAGCTCACAAAAGGCAGATAAAGAGAAAGGGCGTACAAATTTTATTAATGTGTACATGGGAACCTTCAGAATGGAGACCCAAAAATACAGGGGAAATTGTCCATTTTTTATGCTTAGCTTCAATGAAGTATGGACAGCCATTAGAAATATCATTGGACAAAAAGGGTATGATCTGCTAATGGACTTGAGTAGGGGAAACCCAACAAGGCTTGTTTGTATTCTTGCCCTCTCTGAGCACACATTCCTTCCTTCTGGGTGTGGGACAGGATCCTCTCTGGAATAGGGGGTCTTATGACAGTCAAACCAGGTAAATCAGATAGTTTTTTATGACCAGTTTTTACACAGAAAGGTGGAGTAATATCTTTAGGTTTTAGAAAAGTTAGAGTAATATTTTTAGGTTTTATGGCTGGCTTTCAGGAAAAAGGGGTTCTGGTTTCTATGACCCACCTTGGGGAAGAGGGATTCTAGTTTCTATGGCTAGCTTTGGGGAAGAAGGAGACTGAGAGATAGGAGGGCAGGAGAAGGTCAGAGAAAAACTTGCTACTGAGGCCTTCATTCGGGGGTATTGTTTTCTGAGTCCAGACATTGTCACATCTTACCATTTTTGTTTTTAGACTTAATCTTGTATCTCTGAAGGCCTGGCTTGGCTTTGGCTTTGGCTTTGGCTTGCTGTGAGACACATTTCATCATCCTTTTTTGCCTTCTCCCTTTCATCTATCTGAAGACCACAAGATGTTCTGTATTGATCAGTTCTTCTCTGAGGGGCAAATCGTCCTGAATGCTTTGCTCTGTCTCACCTGACAAACAGCTATTTAAAAAGTGTTCTTTGGTTGCCACAAAACCTATTTATATCGCTTTCTTAAAAGGTTATTTTTGTGACTCAGTCTCTCCTTTCCCCCTGTGGCTACACCTTGGCCAAAAAGAATAATTTGAGACATCAGGGCTTGAAGTACTTGAACAGTTGAAGGTACTGGAGTGGAACATTGCAAAGAAGATACATCTTCAATGTACTGTTCTCAAGATGATTGATATTGATGAGTTCTAAATAAGCCAATGTACTAAAGGTTTCTGCTTCATAATAGACAGTACCGATTGGATTTGTTTTTGTATCCTTGATTTTAAGAAGGCCTTGCACTGTGAGTTAGCATCTGACAACTTAAGGTGGATGGTAGTGCACTAATGTTTTAATAACAACCAACTGTGTGTACTAGTGTTTTAACTTCTCTGCTAACCTCCTGGGTTCTCAATCTGTGCAGCCTGCAAATTGTGTTTTGCATAAAGGTTTGTTTTAGTCAAGCTTATAACATGGAACAGCCCCTTCCCAACATTTTTTGAATGTGCAAACATTTCTGAAGTATACATAATTCACAGAAAGTGATTGTCCTTTGTTTTCAGTTGTCAGTGGTTCACTAGCTTCTAAGGGGTGTTTTAGAAGGTTGTAGTCTTGAGAAATATGGGTTTGGAATTTGGCGGGTTTTGAGACAAGCACATCTGCCTTAGATTTCCAGTAGATTTGTTTTTATTTCAAACTTACATAATGCTGCCTTGACTTGTGCTCTATTACCAATTAATGAAATTTAATCATGATTGGCATTAACGTAACCTGAAAGCAATGTGTGTACTAGATTGTGAACTATCAATTGAGGTCAGTATTTGTGGCCTGCTTAAATCATGCAAGTTCTCTTTGTTTATGTATTAGAATCAGTCTTCTCTAAAAATAATCAAGGAGTGAGTCCTGGCCCTCCTGTTGTTGGGGGAGAGGTGAGGGTAACCTGTACTGCTGCAGAAGTCTGCAGTCGTTCTTGGAGGCAGCTGCCAGGTAAAAAGGAAATGGTTTTTGTGATGAAAACCAAAACAAAACCCTAACACTTAATCACCATCTAGGATAAACATAGTGGTAGACTTCTCCTTTTTACAGATTACCTCTTAAGTTGCTCTTGTTACAAAAGGTATCCTGTCTTTTCTCTGCTTTTAACCAAATTTCAGCCATTTAGAATTGTTTGGGGAAGGAAATACAAAGGCACTGTAATTTGTTTGGAACCCTTTACTTACAGCCCCTTCTTGACATAAATCTGGTTACGCTAAAGGTAAAAAGCTGGATAATTTCTCATAGCCAGGAAAAATAATTAAATTCATTTTTATGCTGTATATATTCTCAAAACTGATTGTGGCTTTCTGCCTTGATTAAGAGCAGATGAAAACATTGAGTCGGTTTTACTGTTGAAATTTAAGACTTATGAATTTAAAACAGCTTTCATTTCCTTAAAGCTTATAATCAAGGCATAACCTTTCAATTAGCTTTGGATTTAAAAGGATAAACAAATCATGGGATTTTTTATGTGAACACCAGACATTCAGAACTTAGACAAATCTCCATAGATAATGAATGATATAGTCTATTGGGAAGGGTGGAGCATAAACTTAATCTAGACTTTTGTAAATCTGGGCCAAATTTAGTTCATTTCATATGAAACCTCTTTAAGGCCTTTTATATTTACGTTTATAATAAAGAATTTATATAATTTATATAAGAATTCAAGAGAACTAATACAGGTTGAGCATCCCTAATCTGAAAATCCAAAATGCTGCAAAATCTGAAACTTCTTGAGCACTGACTTGCTGCTCAAAATGTTCTTTGTGGCAATTTGGAATTTCGAATTAGGAATGCTCAACCAGTAAATATAAAGCAAATATTCTCAAACCTGAAAAATTTTGAAATTCCAAACACTTCTGGTCCCAAACATTTCAGAAAAGGGATACTCAACCTATGTAGCAAGAGACAACCTCTTGTTTCCCTCCATCCTACCTAGAATGTTAAGTTTCAGTAGGAGCAACTTGATTTAGAACACTTGTCTTCTCTCCTACCTCAATGACCAAAGGCAGTTTTCCCTAAAATGCTTTTCAGGGACATGGAGGGTGCCTGTGTGTGGGAGATGTAGCTTCAGGAAAGGATTGACCTGAGTTTAGGTAATGACCTACTGTGTGACTAAAACTGCTTTAGAGTGATTATGGGAAGTGCTTCAAAGTAATTTCAGGATGAGTATTATAGATGAAAGAACATTAGCTGTGTGTCATTGAATAATTATCGTTGAAACTTAGGTTCATTATGCTATTTTGTTTGAAATTTTTGATAATAAAAACTACCTTGGTAACCTGCCATCTGGAGAGGAGATGTTTGCTTATGAAGTTAGTATGAGTTTGGGTTTTTTGAAATGTTGTCTTGAATCCTGAAAAGAATTAAACTTATAAGGTTGTAGAGAGGCTGTCACATAAGGTCCGCCCCTTAAAACATCTGGAGTTTTGGGGAAAGCTATAGGATGGAAAATGGGTTCTTGAAATTCTGTAATTAATATTTGCTAGCTACACGTAAAACTAGTTTTAATAAACACATGACATTTATTTGTAGTGGAAACTAATTGAGGTAAGTGAACCAATTCTGGTTTTATTGTTTCAGTAATTGTTTTCCCAATAATCACCACTTTTTTTTTTTTTTTGAGATGGAGTTTCTGTCTTGTCGCCCAGGCTGGAGTGCAATGGTGCGATCTCGGCTCACTGCAACCTTCTCATCCCGGGTTCAAGTGATTCTTCTGCCTCAGCCTCCGGAGTAGCTGGGATTACAGGCATGTGCCACCACACCCGCCTAATGTTGTATTTTTGGTAGAGACGGGGTTTCTCCATGTTGGTCAGGCTGGTCTCAAACTCCCAACCTCAGATGATCCGCCCGCCTTGGCCTCCCAAAGTGCTGGGATTATAGGCATGAGCCACCGCGCCTGGCCGATCACCACCACTTTTGAGTTTACTTTTTTTCTTATGGCCGCTGGTGAGGGGGGATCTTGGAAACAAGAAAATCTGACTATTGTTTAGTATTTTTCCTGGTAGGTGTCTCTTGCCACTGAGTAGACCTTTTGTAAAGGGGATGGGGTCTTTACAAACAATATTGAGGTTAAACTGAATCAGTTCTTATGAATTCAGACCAGTCAGTGAATAAAAACGTTAAAATCTGTTCTAGCCAAACATTATTGGTTCATAGTATTGATTTATTAGTGTTATATGGATGGTCAGTCCCCTCACATAATTAGCAAATCTTTCTTGCAGAACTTTTGGCTCTTTCCAGACTATATAATTCAGGTTTTTCCAAATTGTTTGCAGAATTGTTGAAAAAATTCTACCCTAATACTAGACTTAAAATAATGTTTTATTTCCTTGCTCTGGTATGTTGGCTGCCTCAAAGTGAAAATTTTTACCTTCATAAAAAGCTATTTTATATTCAGTTGTTTTGTTTGTTTTAGCAGTTGAAGTTTGTTTTGATTTTCTTTGATTCCTTTTAGCTCTGCTAAAATAGCTTCAACTACCCAAGAAGTTTTTCCTTTCCTGGTTGTTTTGAAACATGGCATAGGATTTTGTTAATTTAGTTCTTTTTCTTTACTCACTGCTTATTTTTTTTCCAACATTTTCTTATAAAAATCTTTTAAACACAGAGCAGTTGAAGGAATTGTTCAGTTAACGTGTATATTTACTACCTAAGTTCTATACTTAACATTTTCCTATACTTGCTTTTTCACATATCCATCTATAAGTCCTCATTTTTGATGCATTTCAAAGAAAATTGCAAACTTAAGTACAGATTACCTGTAAACATTTCATGCATATTGTTAACCAGAGTTCAATAGTTGTTAAAGATTTTTTTTCTTTTGAGGTGAAGTTTACATGCAGTGAAATGCACAAATCTTAAGTGTTGGATGCAGTGAGGTTTGACAAATCACATACTTGTGAAACCCAAGCCCTGATCAAGATAACATTATCATCCCCAGGAAGTCTCTTCATGCTTCTTCCCAGTCAAATCTTTCTATCCCATTCCCCTGGGTAACCACTCTTGGTTCTGAGTTTTCCCCAATAGATTAGTTTTCTGTTTTTCTAACTACATAAATGAAAGTATATGCTCTCTTGTGTAAGGCTTCTTTCAGCATAAGGTATTTGGGATTTATCTATGTTGTATGTATCAAAAATTTATTGCTGAATATTATTTCATTGTATGAATATGCCATAGTTTATCCTTTTGATGGACACCTGGGCCGTTTCCAGTTTTTTTTACATATTATAAATAAAGCTTCTATGGATATTTTTCTGTAAATCTTTTTATGAGCACGTTATCATTTATCTTGGAATAGAATTATTGGGTCATAGGTGAGATGCATGTTTAGTTTTTTTTATAAGAAACCGCAGGACATTTTTCTCAAGTGGTTGTACCATTTTAAACTCCCATCAGCAATGTATGACAGTTCCAGTTTCTCATTACCATCAGCATATGATGGTGTCAGTGGTTTTTATTTTAGTCATTTTGGTGGATGTGTAGTAAGTGGTATCTCATTGTAGTAAGTGGTATCTAATTTGCATTTCCCTGATTGTTTTTCATATCAAGCATTTTTATGTGCTTGTTCATTTGTATACCTTTGTGAAGTGTGTTCAAATAATTTGTGTTATTGCATTATAGGAGTTCTTTGTATATGCTGGTTGCAAATCTTTGTCAGATATACTTCTGTTTTTTTTTTTATTATTATACTTTAAGTTCTAGGGTACATGTGCACAACATGCAGGCTTATTACATACGTATACGTGTGCCATGTTGGTGTGCTGCACCCATTAACTCGTCATTTACATTAGGTATATCTCCTAATGCTATCCCTCCCCCCACCCCCACCCCATGACAGGCCCCAGTGTGTGATGTTCCCCTTCCTGTGTCCATGTGTTCTCATTGTTCAATTCCCACCTATGAGTGAGAACATGCGGTATTTGGTTTTTTGTCCTTGTGATAGTTTGCTGAGAATGATGGTTTCCAGCTTCATCCGTGTCCCTACAAAGGACATGAACTCATCATTTTTTATGGCTGCATAGTATTCCATGGTGTATATGTGCCACATTTTCTTAATCCAGTCTATCATTGATGGACATTTGGGTTGGTTCCAAGTCTTTGCTATTGTGAATAGTGCCACAATAAACATACGTGTGCATGTGTCTTTATAGCAGCATGATTTATAATCCTTTGGGTATATACCCAGTAATGGGATGGCTGGGTCAAATGGTATTTCTAGTTCTAGATCCTTGAGGAATCGCCACACTGTCTTCCACAATGGTTAAACTAGTTTACAGTCCCACCAACAGTGTAAAAGTGCTCCTATTTCTCCAGCACCTGTTGTTTCCTGACTTTTTAATGATTGCCATTCTAACTGGTGTGAGATGTTATCTCATTTGTGACTTCTGCTTATTTTAATTATGCTTATCTAACCAGTGTGTAAATGTTGTACACTCATTTATGCTTAAAATAATTAGGCCAGGACTTACAGGTGAGTTATTTAGCTGAAAGTTAAGCTTTTCTGATATGCTAACCAGTGCCCTGCTGGTGTAAAAGTTAATCAGTAAAATAAGACAATCAAACTTCAGGAATCTGAATTAGTAGAAAGCTAGTTGCTGAAAAGTCTGTTACTACAAAAAAAGCTGAAGGAGAAACGTCAACTGATTCTGGAATTATTGCTCAGATGTCCTCAGATGACACTGGTTTAATCATGACCAGCTTAACCTCCATTTATATGTCTTCTCACTGTCTCACAGATTCCAACTGTTCTATGCAATATGTATCATACTTTTAAGTACTCAATGAAGAATAATTAATTTCCAGGATTGGGCCTCTAAGGTTTTTCAATGTTGTAAGCTATAGCTTTAAAACTGTATTGGTCTCTTTACTTCATCTCATAGTTCTTATAAATTATTATTAAATTCTTAAATACTAGTCAGCTTTGTTTAATGGAAGATATAAAAATCAGAATATTTATTCTCATATACTTTTCAAAATATATTGGACTGTGGAGGTCTCCCATTAGTGTTTCTGCTAGGCAAATTACATTGTGAAGTCTTTTGTTCATAAATGTTAATAATAGGTGGCTACGAATGATTACACTGAAAAAGGGAGGAACATAACACCTTAAAATCTGAGTTGTCACACATTTCAGGGGAAAAAAGTAAATACTTTATTTTGTTGATACTGAAGCTAAAAATACACAAAATTATTTTATTGTACAAGATTCTTTTTAATACATTAAGATTGACACTGTGCACTTACAGAAAGTGTTTAAATAAAAGTGATAGTTATTCAAAGAGATTTCCACTTTGAAAATAGTCTTCAAAGCCAGTGTCATTTACACAGACACATTTGGAATTTTCCCTTTTCATGATTATGCTCAAGATGTATCATTTTAAACTGAAATTTGACACACTTTCTATATGGTGATATGTGGTTGGGGCTGCCAACTAGGCTTAGAAGGTGAATTACACATAGCTCGTATTCTCTAGTATTCTCCTTCCTGCTACCAAATGTTAGTTTGTAGCTGCAGACTGCATTCATTGTTTTGAGTAGAAAGAAACTCCCATCCCTAATTTCAACCCCATTTTTGAGAAATATGGAATAAATAGAATCCTGTGAAGAGTTTAACTATTGTTCTGTTGAATAGTACCTCTGGTGTGCATTCCTATTATAAGAAACAAACTAAAATGTATTTGCTTGAGAAGGATGTGTTTATCCTTATCTGAAGTGTCCTGGGGAAGGTCTGTGTCTTTACTGTTGAGATAAGATACAGCTTTACTTTTACTTTGTTAAGGTAGTAATTTGAACACTTAATTTTAAAGTTAATTTATCGAATTGAATTTCCTTTTACATTAAACCACAGACTAATGTGTTAACCCTTTGGGTTTAGAGGACTCTTCATGTGCTCACATAATATTCATTTTGGTGTCATTGGTCCCACTTATCCTGTTAAGACACTTGAGAATTCTGGCTGCTTCTCCTGCCCACGTACACTAAGCACAGTTATCACTGATTTATTGGACTACAGGTTACTTTGCCTTGGATATTTAAACTGATTGCTTAATATGTTTTACAAGGAGGTCCTACAAGGTGTGGCCACAACATGATGAGGCTATACTTTAAATACCATGACTAGATCTTATACAGGA
Organism: Homo sapiens; assembly: GCF_000001405.40. NCBI lineage: Eukaryota > Metazoa > Chordata > Mammalia > Primates > Hominidae > Homo > Homo sapiens. The sequence continues at coordinate 111,769,017 of NC_000023.11, forward strand.
AATACTTAATCTGAATATGTGACTTTCAAATGACCTGAACACATTCAGCTAGCTAGCTGCCATCTTCCTATTAGAGTTTCTTTCCATTGCTTCTGCCACCGTGGGTTCTTATGAGTCCAAAATCCTCCCCTCTGTTCTCTATGGAGGTTAGTGGTTTTTCTTTACTGTCCCTCTCCCTGATAACAGCCTAGTCACCAGAGCCTCTGTGCTATACAATGTCATTTCTTAAGGATCAAATAAGTTTGAGGAGTCAATTCTGAGTTTATTTACAGCATAAGCCATTGGAACTCAATGTATTTTACTGTTTAAACACAAAGGGTTAATCATTATGGTTGTTCCCAAATCAGTGAAGCTTCTCTATCTAAATATATTGCTCTTTAAAGTGTTCTCTTCAGGAGGCTATGTGCTTATTCATGTAAGGCTACCACTGCTCCAAGCATAATTGAAACTAGATTCCAGGATACAAAGGAGAACAAGCATTCTTGAGGGGGTGATGGAGATATTCTATAACTTGATTTTGGCTGGTGCTTCCAGGGGTATATACAACTCTGAAAACTCACCAATTTGTACACTTTAAATGAATGCAGGTAATTGTACATAAATCATTCCTCAATAAAGTTAATTAGGGGAAAAAAACTAGATTCCCAAGAACAGTTCCAGGTCCCTTACAAATCCCACAAGAGACAATCTCATTATTTTATAATTGCACCTATCAAAGTGCCTATTGTGTAGTAGCACTTGAAAATGTTTTTTGTTTGTTCGTTTGTTTGTTTTTAACCAGAGAAAGTGGTACTCATCTTGACTACCACATGTTTTACCAAGTGTGGATCTAAAATTACTTTTGGCAATTTCTAAATTCCTAAAAATTTAATCTTATAGGATCATGATTTTCTACCATTGAGGATATTCAGAGATTGTACTGTGGACTTTGAAAGTCATTTCAAAAGCAGAAGTCCAAAGTGGGTAGAGTAATGGCAGCATCATTAGAATATGGGTATGGCTTTTTAAGGTGACTACTTTAAAGGACCACGTTCATTTGGGTGCATAAGTTCTGGTATGTTTATGAAAATATCAGTCATTATCCTATTTTATGTTTATTCCAAATTTATGAGGCTAAAAGATGACAGCAGATACATAATCTGGCTTTTTGCCATAGTGCCCTTCCTTACCTTTCATTTCTCTTTCATGTTGTTTTGACAAACCCACTTTATTTCTTAGATAAAATTTGAAGGAAGTGATCTTTCCAATTGGCTAAAGTGTACATATTTATGAAAGCCCATCTGTGATATTGCATTATGGGTGTGGTGTGTTGAACTTATATTTACAGTGATCCCAAGGTTGAGAACTTGTTAACATCTGAAATTTAACCCAAATATGACCCAAAATTTGAAAAATGATTTACCGGTAGTTCTGCTTTCATATATTGTTGCATTTTTTGAATTTCATTAAAGGAGAAATGATGATGCTAATGTTTTAATTAACCATTTTAAATTATATTTTTAATTCAGGTTATTCATCTCAATTTGGCCATCCAAAAAACTGACAATTTGGTGGTTTAGCCCCGTGTTTTAAAGTGTATATCCTCACTCATCCTTACTTCAAAAGCTTTTCCAACTGTCTCTTTACTACACTATCACCATCTAAGTTTCCCAATCCCAGCAAAAATCCAAAGCCTCCTTTCTTCCTTCCAAGGGTCAGCTTTAAGAGTTGTGTAAGAGCGGAGAACTGTCAAGAGGGTTCCTAGGTTGGAAGGCAATTGGTGGCAATGAGTATTTTGGGGATATATTGAACTTCTGGGAAAAGATACAAAATGGCCAATCCCAGCTTAATTGTACTTTCAAATGGCTGGCTACCTTAGGCTTAAATAAAAGGCACACTGCCACATATTCATTCAAGTGCCACTAAGGACAGTGCCTTTTGTGTGTATGTATGTAAGCTCCTGGGATGTTAGGTTGCCCCAAAACCTGCTAAAGTCAAAGGGCAAATATGCTGAAAAATGGTGAAAATGACCTTCACGTTGCAAGTCATTCTAACCTACTTCAGTTAGTCTTTTTTGGTTCTATCAAGTCACTGGAGTTATAAAGAAAGTTCTTTGAGGGGGAGGAGGGTAGGACAGATACATGCTACTTTCAGGGATGTATGACAGTTGATTTCAATGATCAAAAGTTGTGGGCTGTTTATGTTCCTACAGAAATTGTTTGTCATTTATTTGTGTAGTAACAGGAAGCCTCTAGAGCTTTCACATCTTTTCACATCATATAAGAAAACTAGCTTTTTGGCATAAGGGCATTCCACTTAGTTTTATGTTTAAATATTATAATTCTTAATATGTATATGTCTCTCAGGTACCACAAACATTGATGGTATATCTTTAGAAAAAGAATGAACACAACTCAGATCCAGTAATCAAGTACAAGATACAAATCCACTCAAGTTGGGGATAACACAAATACTGAGCCTAAAGATGCTAGAGCACACTGGCTTGCTGCCTCTATCATTCCAGCAGTTAACTCTGTTTCTTAAACATTACATTTTCTAAAAGTAAAGCTCTCACAAAGCACCCACTAACACCTCCTCTGGATCACCACACAAAAGATGAAAATCCTAGGCCACGTACCAGCATATGAATGAATATTAACACCTCAAGTATGCACCAAATCTCAGGTATACAGTAAATCTGAAGTATGCAGACTGACTTTATTTTGCCAAAAATGTGTATATTTAAGTCTTCCAGGTAAGTTATTCTGACCTAAATGCTTTTTTTTTTTTTAAACAAAACCAGGAACCTCAAATCTTGATAGCTCTCAATATAAAAGTGCTACAGAAGATGCTGTCATGGCAGTTCATTTTGGCAATTCCTCACAGCTCAGGAAATGTCTCATTGAAAAGTTATTCTTGCTTCCCTCTCTTCAAAATGATCTAGTAATTACCTAAAGGGATAAAGGGCCAAGGGCAGAACCATCAAATGCTGTTAAGTTTTGTTATGTGTGTCTATGTATATACACAGACACGTTCTCACTTTTACAGACATCCCTCAAAAGGCAAAGCAAGCCAAAACCCACATCTGTTGGAAAAAAAGTTACTGGAAGGTTCATTGGAAATATAATGGTAACAATGTTTCTCTCTGCTGAAGTAAAGCTCACATTCATTTGGGGTACTCAGATCCCACTGCCGAGTCCTACACCAACAAGGTGGATATTTGGAGCAATTATCTAGATAAAGTAAGCCAAAGAAACAATCTAAAATATCCTTAGTTTTGAGGCAAAGCTGCAGGGATTGAAGGTAGGGCTGTGAAGTAGGTATGAAGAGGTTATTTAAATGATCTGAACACTTGGATCAATTTGCATTGACTATGTCTATATGAGCAATCTTTTGAAAACTTGATTACCAAGAAAATATACTCAATTTTTCTTAGGTACCTTTATTTATTTATTTTTGAGACAGTCTCGCTCTGCCGCCCAGGCTTGAGTGCAGTGGTGTGATCTCAGTGCACTGCAACCTCTGCCTCCCAGGTTCAAGTGATTCTCATGCCTCAGCCTCTCAAGTAGTTGGACTACAGGCGTGTACCACCATGCCCAGCTAATTTTTGTATTTTTAGTAGAGATGGGTTTCACCATGTTGGCCAGGCTGATCTCAAACTCCTGGACTCAAGTGAACCACCCATTTTGGCCTCCCAAAGTGCTGGGATTACAGGAGTGGGCCACCATGCCCAGCCTCAATTTTTCTAAGGTACTTTTAAACAAAGGATTTGCTGCCTATCTTCAAGTACTTTTTACCTGATGATTTAACAAACCAAGGTCTGGGGCACTAAAACTATTAGTCAAAACACCACACGAGATTCACCCATGATGTAACATGAATGCCAATGGTCATTTGTATTTTCAGGCTAAGGTTTGGCCTCATATTTATCTCTAAAGTTCCCACTGAGGTTTTCAGATGAGGTTTGCACTGCCATAAGAACTATAAAGTTCTTTTTGGAAAAGGTATTAAGTCATTTGAAAAGTGGAGGCGTTCGTTTTTTAAAAATGATTTAATCAAATTGCAGACAGGTATTTACGACTTAGCTGAAATAGCCTAAGTTAGGTCACAGTGGAATGAAAAATGATGGAGGCAGAACAGGGAATTTTTTAATATCTCCATGTCAGTAGACAGAAGCGTAACTTGAAGCATTTATATCTCTGTAAAGTTTGGCATTTTCCGAAAATGATTTTAAATTTAGTCTTTCCTCTGTATTTCACTGGACATAAAGCTGGAAGTGGAGATATTTCAACAATGGTCACTTTCTAATATAATTCAAATATTTTCTTTGTAATTTTTACCTTTATTATTAGGGAGATTTTATGAGATCAAATAAATGAATCCAAGGTGTCCGGAAGTGATAAGCCAACTGTAATGTAGGTGGAACATGATATGGATATTTTAGATAAGTAGTAAATGATTTTTGTATTATTTGTGTTTGACTTTGCAGTACATTTTTAACTTCACATTTAAATATGTAAGTCTGAAGTTTTGGAGTTCACAGCATTTTTGGCAAATGAACAAAAGGGTGTCTGTAGTGGCCACTTCACATCTATATATAACATATATGCTTACTAATAAATGTCTTCTATAATCTAGAAGACTTGAGTTTATTGACCAGCTCTGTGACCTTGAGCAAGTCATTGTCCTTCTCTGGGCCTCTTTATTTTCTATTTGTAAAATATGAGGTTGGAATAGAGTAGATCCTTTATAAAGTTCTCTTTTAGTTCTTTTTATGTTTATAAATTTACTCTCAAGTTGGCTTATAACTCCTCTGGGGTCAGAGGATATACCTAAGCATTTTCACTTGAAATACCTTTTATGATACTTGATCAAGAGAGTAAGGAAGTGAACAAAATCTTTTTCCTTTCCTACTTTGTACTGAATTAGAGTTAATAAAAATGTTGGTGTCACCAACATGGAAGTTAGGGCAATAGCTGTTCAGCTTTAACCCCCATCCTAAATGAGGCTTCACTATAGCTAGTAAAGTCTTAAGCCCAAGTCACAACGATAACCCTGAGAAGATCTGAAAAGGAATGTACTCCCGTGACATATGACACTGGTTCTTTCAATAGTAGAGATTGATTTACACATATTATCTCTTTAGAACGTAAGTGACAGAAGACTTTTGGAATACAGTTCCATGTCTGGCTAGCCTGTTTTCTGACAAGTTGATAAGGTCACTGCTAGAAAACTTATAAGTTTTCAGAAGTGATATACATTTCTGAGAAAAACATGTTTTTCTTTTTATAAAATGGGGTTATATGCTATTTCTTTTGGTGCTGTTAATATGAGTTAGGAATGTAGCCCAGGTTCTATTATTATTCAAAGTGAATTTGACAATTTGAAAAGCTGAATCTGTAACTTTAGAAACCTTTCTGGAAAGTAACCTGTGATTAAATGTCAAGGCCATTTTATGACAGTCTTAGCGAAGCAGGGGAGAAATTGATTTGAGTAAATAACCACTTCAGATATGATCAAGGAATTATTTTCGGACAACCTCTTGCCAAATGGGTCTTGATGCAGCTTTTTCACTTGATCACTTTTTCCTGGATATGAGGCTTTATTCTTCAAAACCTCCTCCTATTTCTGGCCCCTCCCCCTCCATTTTGCTCTTCTCCAGGCTAGAGACAAAGATGGGAATCCATTCAAATAACAGAAACCACACTTATCAAAAGCTAGTTTGGAGGCATATTTGCAGTTCGAAAGTTCCTCATTTCTCTTACTTTTATCAGAAATTACATACATTAATCTAAATGGATTCCTATTGGTGTTGACATTAAAAAAAACAGCGTGACACCTATTTTACTTTTCTGGGCTACACACTATTTATGTAATCTCTAGGACTCAGACCTAGAGTTGTTTCAGGTCATATGTTAGAGTCTAAACTGAGGAAACCTTTGTGCTAATGTTGGTAAAAGCCGTCCTTGCTCAGCAGGTTCTCAGTGGTTATCAGGTCTAGAATGATGACCATATGCATTATGGACTTTATTTTTTAACTTGAACCACTGTATTCTGATGAGGTACTCTTAAGCTGTGGAAAAGAATTTGTTTGGATGTATAAATGTAGCTTTCTTGGAAGACAGTAGAATTTGGATCACGTTTATAATTCCATGAATCCACTAGGGTTGTTATGATATATATCTAACATAATTTACACATGCAATTCCACTGCCCCCAATGAATATTAAAACTGCAACCTGAATTAGGTTATCTATACCTAAAGTTGCCATTTTTATAAAGCAGTTAATTAAAATGAAGATGCTCTTTTCTCATATTTTGACACTTCAGCAATATGCCATTTTTCTGATAAAAATATTTCAAATTCAGGCTTTTATCTTAGAAATTATTTGATAGCAATGATAATTAAAACTATCAACAGTAGAATAGGACCCAACAAATATGACAACTATTTATCTTGCCAATGTATGAGATGTAGTGACTATTGGTTAGAGTGTAGTAGATGTTTTTAAAAAATAGCACAAATTCTAAATACTAATTTTGATACTATCAAATTTTCAAATGTAGTAAGTTAACTGAAACACACAAACAGAAAAATAATTCGCCTAACTTATTAGATATGACATATACTATGGGGTAAATATTTCATTGGCACACATTAGGAAACTAACACATCTTTAAGAAACAAGAAAACTCAATAGCCCCCACAATAAGAAGTTGTAGTATTTAAGAACGAAACAAGCCACTTATACCCAGAAACCACAAGCTGACAATTCTTTGAAATCTCTTCAGCCTCCCTTTGATGCTGTTCATTGACCCAGCATGGGCAGCGCGTAGCACTGAATGGCAACAAAGATGGGCAGGGTAGTTTGCCTTATCTGATAGCTGGTGGGGACTGCTGACCACATCCCTCAGCTCTGCGGGAAAATGGCATGAGATTCTGAGGATGGTCAGGAATCTGTGCGGCAACAAGACCAGCAAAGTGGCACCTGGGGCTTCAAGGAAGCATGGGTGAGAAAAGCAAAGCAAAAAGGTTAAGCACCCAACTGCACCTCTGATGATTAGGTGCAACACCCCTTCAGTCGGTTGTAAGATGGACTTAGTGTGTATAGGTATTAAAAAGGCAAATAATAATGAAAGTAATAATAAAACAAGAACAAAAATGGAGAATGTGGCTATAAAAGATGGTGCAAATAAGAGTTTCACTCTCCTTTCTGGGGGGCAGGGGCAGTGAGGGAATCATATTCTGTGTCACCTCTGAGAGCAAGGAAATTACAGATTTCTGTTGAGTTCCAGAACAGATGATTAGGGCTTGACTTAGAGGCGAGTTGTAACTTGTTCTTCCTGTCCATCACCCCATTTGTGCATGAGCAAGTCACAAGCCTCTCCCCAAGTTTCAAATACATCCTCTGAGGAGTCTAAAAGTTTAGAATTTGAGGAGCAGATGCTGGATGCACAGTGAAGAGAGCTGGAACAGGCTAGAGGGCATTCACTGCTCTGAGCAGCGCCCTGGACTTCACCTAATTCTACCTCACTGAGGTTAATTTCACTTTGAGAACAGGCCTCTGCTTTCCCTTTCTCCATCTGAGAATATCTGATGTCCTGCCACATACAGTGCTGCTGAACAATTCCATCAGAAATTGTGTACATTGGCTCTGAACTGGGTTCAGACATATGACCATTAAATTTGGAGAATAGGAGACCCAGTTTCTTGAGAGAAGGACCCATGAAGGAGCGTTTGCTTGATGACTCAGCTTTTGACTTTCCTTGGGCACCACTGGACCTTGGCATGGTTCTGATGAGAGGTGGCCCATGGCAAGTCTTTTTCTTGCAGCCTAAATTAAAAGAGACACTCTTGGATTTGGCCCGAGCCCCACCACTGCCATCATTATTATCGTCTCTCTGAGACAGTTCAGTGCTGCTAGTGGAAAAGCTCCTTGGATGTTTTCTATTTCCCAAGAGGTCAAGCACTTCATACCGAAAGCTGGAGATGTCTTGCTTTAATTCCTGGGAAAAGAGAGGAGACATATTATGTCAAGAAGCTTGGTCTTTATTTCAAAGTAGGCACATTAGATACCTTTGGTATGTTCCAGGTTTTTGCCTAGTAGCAAATCACAAAACACCAGAAAAATCTGCCATTATTCAAACACAAGAAAAACATATTAATAATTCCATGGGCAGGGCTGGGCTGGCCATTGGCAAAATTGTACAATGGGTAAAGTTGATTCAGGATTAGCTAACACTTTAGCAGGGATTAGTCTGTTGAGGTGCTTTCATAAGGACTAACTCCTGCTAAGTATTAACTAACAAGTTATTAGATTAGGACACTGGCTCTCAGGTGTCTGCATATAAAAGGACTACTGAAGAGGAAAAAGCTTTTAAGACTCTAACGAGTGAAACTAGAAAAGTTGAATGTCAGGTGATGAGACTGCTGTTTTGAGACAGGGGGCCCTGTTCAAACCTCTATGAAATGTCTTCTATCTCCAACTGGCTGCTTACATACTAGATTGTTCCTTTAAAAGCCAAGCTGAAATCTGTTCATGTACTTCCCCTTCTCAAAACTTGTTACTAACTTGTCACTGACTTTAGGAAAAAGTAGAAATGCCATACCATGGACTACAAGGTTTTTCAAGGCCTAGTACATGTTGCTTTCTCCAGTTTCATCTTTCTACTCTTTTCCTAGGCTCTCTGCTGTCCACCTGTATGGACATATTCTCCCTTGCCTCTGGGCCTTTGCCTATGCTGTTCTCTCTGTCTAGAACATTCTTCTCCCCAACTCGCCCTTATCTGGCTGGCTTTGCTTTCAAGCCTCAGCTTAAGCATCACTTCCATTGGAAAGTCTGTCTTGACTCCCCAAGTCCCAGATGAGCGTCCCTCCTCTCTGTGTTTCCACAGTGTCCTGTGTTTAACCTGTCAGAATATAAAATTGTTCATCACCCTTTATTATTGTTTGTCACTCCTTGAGAGTAGGAGCTGGTTAGATCTTGCTCACCACTGTACCAGAGCACTTAGCAGAGTGCTTGGAACATAGCAGACCCTCAGTAGATGAATTATGTCTATGAATTAGGATAATGGACTTTCTGTGTGCCTTAGAAAATATAGATGTGTTCATGGACACTGGGAGGGGAACATCACACACAGGGGCCTGTCAGGTGGTGGGGGTTAGGGGAGGGATAGCATTAGGAGAAATACCTAATGTAGATGATGGGTTGATGGGTGCAGCAAACCACCACGGCACATGTATACCTATGTAACAAACTTGCATGTTCTGCACATGTATCCCAGAACTTAAAGTATAATAAAAAAATTAAAAAATATATATATAGATGTGTTCTAGGATAGGATTTCTCAATCTTGGCACTATTGACATGTTGGACTGGATAATTCTTGTTGTGGGAGACTGTACTATTCATTGTAGGATGCTTAGTAGCAACCTTGTCTTTACTGTCTAGATACCAGTGTGACAACCAAAAATATCTCCAGACATTGCCAAATGTGGTCTTGGGGACAAAATTGCCCCTGGTTGAAAACGGTTGTTTTAGGCTAATGCCACTAGTATAATTTTAATGTTTAATGGTAGAGTTTCTTAAGACCTTAGATTTAATAACAGATTTTTTGATCTTATATCTTTTAAGTAAAGAAGATAATTAAGTCTGCAGGCATCTTCCCTTTGTTATCTTGTCCCTCACCACCATGCATCCTTGCCACATCATTTAAAGCATTCAATTTCCACACTGAGAAACACTCAGAATATTAAAAGAATGCATACAGCAGATTTCCTTCATTCCTGACACTGATTGTGGTGTGACATACATTGGTAAAATCTCTCCGTCTACTGGATGAGAGACAATTCTAAGAGAATAAGCATTATAACTGGCTTTGCTATATTGTAAGCAGATGAAATTCCATCACCAGAAACCTCACACACTGTGAAGATTAAATGATGCTTATGATATGTAAAATGAAAAACCACTTCATGATTAAATTACCTTAAAATTTTCTTCTGTAAGTCCCTCATGTGTTTTGGAATTTCTTATCATAGCAGCCACATATCTTTTGACTAAATTCCTGATAACTTCCTGGAATTACAAAACATGAAGAAGCATTCAGTCTCCTTCTCAGGCTCTCAGTACAGTAAGAAACTTACATAGGAAATAAAACATGCTTAGACCTTCTTTGCAGTAGAAAATCCTCATAGGATCCAGCCTTTTATTGTAAAAATGAGTTAAGTCCATTGGCTAAACAACTATTGTGTCTCTGAATTTAGTGGCAGAATCAAATTAACCCTAAAGGAAAATTTTTTACCCAAGCATAAGGTAAACATGTATTTCCAGTGGAATAATTCTTGCATGGTCATATAGTTAATATCCTTTTCCTTTAGGATGGATTACACGTTAACACTCATAGTAAAACGAGAGTTTTATTCTCCTTTTATAAAATTGAGAGTTTTCTTCAGAGTCACTAAGTCTGCTGATTTTAATGTCTACTAATTACATAGTGAAGATATTTTTCTCATAGTCAACCTACACTTCTCCTTTATAGGAATGTCCTCTTTTCACTAAGCCCCCAGGGGAATGGTCTACACATGGTCACTACAGTTTGTATTAGTGATGGTGATGATGATAGCTACCACTTACTGCAATGTGTCAGGCAACACATGCACATAATACATATGATACATACTTATCACTCAATTTTCACAACTCTGTAAGTTAAGTTTTATTACTCTTCCCATGTTACAGATGAGGAAGTCAAGGCTCAATGAGGCTGACTCATCCAATGTTACACAACTAGTAAGTGTCAGCATTAGACTTTGATTCTACTTCAGTCTGATTTCAAGGCCAATGGTATTGCTTCTGCTACTATGTGTACTTGAGGAACTCACTGAGACATGCAGGAATCATTTTTTTTTGTTATTGTTGAGGGCTATGAAGCAGAAAATGAAGACAATGAATCTTATTTAAGATTTATTATTATAAAAGTAATAACATTTGAAGGCGGGAGTAGGGAGAGGAGGTTTACATACAAAATACCATATTTTCTGCTTCTCTTTGTTAGTTATGGTCTAAGGGGAACAAAGTTAGGAGAAGTGACCTATAGAATAAGGATGCATTTCCTTCAAACGCTGTAGAACATTTTTCTACTTTGGTTTTCTTTTGATCAGGATGGTGAGAGATGGTTGTCTCTTATTTGTGATTTGCAAGGATTATTCTCAAGAGGTGTTGGTGATATTTGTATGCTTGGCTGTTTTCTAGCTGGTGGGAAGAGTGTCCTAATGTTTATTAGGTTTATTACTTTTTTTTTTTTAACAAAATACAGAAGTGCTTCTCTATTTCTTTGATTAAAGTCATGTTGTAATTTATCAAGATCTAAATTCCTGACATTCAGATAAGCTTTTACTTCATTGAGGTTAGTTTCCTCCTGTTATATATATTACCATTACCCTGTGTATTTTTTCTTCATGGCAGTTTTTATCCTTGTAATCACTTAATTTTAATACAATCATCCCTTGGTATACTCTGGGGATTGGTCCCAGGACCCCCCGCCCCATGTACCAAAATCCATGCATACTCAAGTCCTGCAGTCACCCTGCAGAACCTGCAGATACAAAAAGTCAGCCCTCTTGTATATGTGGTTTTACATTCCATGAATACTATATTTTCTATTTGCGTTTGGTTGAAAAAATCTGCCTATAAGTCGATCTACACAGTTCAATCCTCTGTTGTTCAAGAGTCAACTGTAATTTTAATGACGTGTTATTTTATCCCTGCTAGATAATATATTTCATAAGGGCAGAAAGATTGCATCTTTTTTGTTCATAGTGATTTTTCTAGTATCTAGTGTAGTATTTTATGTACAGTAGGTACTCTCATATTTGACTGACTGACCAACCATATATTCTATTTTATGTAACTTCAAGGAAGACAGCTTTCTAAGTCATAGTTGTTGCTGATCAAGCCGAGGCAGTGCATAAGGGCCATGAACAGGATTATAAAGCAGGTGATTCCACTTGGAGAAGGTACTTCAGCCCTTGATAAATTACAGCCTTTCCAAGCCTCCTATCCCAGTCAAATGGGATCGTGTCCAGACACAGCCAGAGTGAAGTTTGCTTCTCCTCCACAGAACCAGCCAACAACTATTGTGCTTCATCCCTGTGAGGAAGCTTTACCTGATAATGTTGATTTTGTATCAGGCTGTCAGCATTGCGTTCCTATAATTGAAAATAGACAGAGATGTTACATCAGCAGTCTCCCAGCACCCTACCCACCCAAACATCTGAATATAATTATTTCTATATATTAGGACTAGAGAATGCTACAGGAGCTCCTGCCTGACAAATCCCCAAAGCAAATGTATGTTGGAATGATTTTATGATGTTTAAAACAGTGAGTTGGTCACAAAGGAGGGACGGGAGGAAACAGTTTTGTTTAAAAAGATTCATAATATTGGCCAGGTGCGGTGGCTCATGCCTGCAATCCCAGCACTTTGGGAGGCCAAGGCAGGAGGATCACGAGGTCAGGAGTTCAAGACCAGCCTGGCCAACATAGTGAAACCCTGTCTCTACTAAAAATACAAAAATGTGCCCAGCATGGTGGTGCTCGTCTGTAATCCCAGCTACTTGGGAGGCTGAGGCAGGAGAATCACTTGAACCTGGGAGGCAGAGGTGGCAGTGAGCTGACATGGTGCCACTGCACTCCAGCCTGGATGACAGAGCGAGACGCCATCTCAAAAAGTAATAAATACAAAAAATTAGCCAGGTGTGGTGGCAGACGCCTGTAATCCCAGCTACTGGGGAGGCTGAGGCATGAGAATTGCTTGAACCCAGGCAGCAGAGGTTGGCAGTGACCCGAGACCGTGCCACTGCACTCCAGCCTGGGTGACAGAGTGAGACTCCATCTCAATTTTTAAAAATTAAGTTTTCAAAATTAAAAGTCTTACTGTGAAACTTCTCAAGTTGCGCCTTCTCCGTCTACCGTCAGGGTCTCTTTTGGGGCAGAAGGTGTTGTTGAACCAGTTACCAAGGTATAGAAATGACTTGGGGCTGGGGATGATGTTGAAAGGAGGTGGCAAGGTGCCACCTTCATCAAAGTAACTCATCCAGAGCTTCGTCCTTGCAAACTTCCACTCGATATCAGCATGATCCTATGAAAGATAATGAAGTTCAAGGATTTGGGATGGGAAACTGCACGATGTACTCACTTCTTATTCTAAACTTTCTAGTTGCTTCTATAGAGGGCAATATGTCAAGAGCTATATAAATTCAAATTATACATACCCTGTCACCCAGTAACCCTACTCTTAGAAATATATCTTATCAATATACTTACAAAAACATGTATGTACATGGCTGTTCACTGTAGCACAGATAATAGTAGCAAAACGACTGGCAGCAACCTAAATATTCAACAGTAGAACTGGTTAAATAAATGGTGTTACATCTACAAAATGGTATAAAATATAACTACTAATATATGGTAGATCCATAAACATTATAGATATGTATATATATGCATCTGTCCAAGCCCTCTAAGTGAATAAAGCAATATAGAGCACAACATATATTATGTACAGTGATCCCATTTATACAACTGGAAAATCTTTTATATTACATGCTTACATGTTCTAGACAAGTACACACTAAACTGTCAATAGTAGTTATTTTTAAGGTGTCGGATTGTGGTGGAAGGCTTTTTTATTTTAAAAAATTCAACTTTATTGAGGCACAATTTACACAGAATAAAATTCAACCATTTAAAGTGTTTGATGAGTTTTGACAGGTATATATACCCATGTAACAATCATTATAATCAACACACACACACACACACACACACACACACACACATCAGTGTACATTTCTAGGAGTTTTAAGAGCTGCATTGACTGATGTAACTGTTACTACAATCAGGATACACAACAGTTCTATCACCCTCCAAAGTTCCCTATTGTTACCTCTTTGTAGTCAAACTCTCCCAACCTCTAACCTCTGACAACTGCTCCTCTGTTTTCTGTCCCTATAGTTTACCTTTTCCAAAATGTCATATAAATGGAATCATACAGTAGGTAACCTTTTAAGATTGGCTCATTTTACTCAGCATAACACCTTTGAGATTCATCTGTGTTTTCGTATGTATCAATAGCCCATTCAATCACATTGCTGAGTAGTTTTCTATTATATGGATGCACGATGGTTTCTTTGTTTACCCACTGAAGAACATTTGGGTTATTTCCAGTTTTTAGCAATTATGAGTAAAGCTGCTATGACCATTCATGTACAGGTTTTTGTCTAAATATACGTTTAATTTTTCTAACTTACATATCTAAGAGTGGTATTGCTGGATTGTGTGTTAAGGGTGTGTTTATAATAAAATGCCAAACTGTTTCCAGAGTGGCTATACTGTTTTCCATTTTCACTAATTGCTCTATATCTTCTTTAGTGCTTGTCAGGTTTTTAAAGTTTAGTCATTCTAACAGGTATGTAGTGGGATCTCATTATGGTTATAATTTGCGTTTCCCAAATGGCTAATGATGTTGAGCATCTTTTCACATGCTTATTTACCATCTATATATCTTCTGTGATGAAGTGTTTTTCAGATCCTTTGCCCATTTTTATTATATATATGTAATATAATATAGAATATACATATATATTCTAGATACAATCCCTTTGTTAGATATATGGCTTGCAAATATTTTCTTCCAGTCTGTATCTTGTCTTTTCATTCTCTTAATGATGTCTTTACTGGAGCAAACTTTTACTTTTGAGAAAGTCAAAATTATCATGTTTATAAAACTATCCATTTTTTCATAGATTGTGCTTTTTCTGTCATGTCCAGGAACTCTTCAGCTAGCCCAAGGTCATGAAGATGTTCTCCTATGTTTTCCTCCACAACTTTTATAGTTGTAAGATATGCCTTTAGTTCTATGATCCATTTTGAGTTAATTTTTCTATAAGGGAAGAGGTTTATGTTGAGGTTCTTTTTGAAAATATGAGTGAACAATTGCTCTGACCCAATTTGTTGGACAACTCTCATTTCTCCATTGAACTGCTTTTCCCCTTTGCCGAACATCAGTGGGGCATGCTGGACTACTAGACATCCACATTCAAAAGAGTAGAGTTAAACACCTACTTTATACCACGTACAAAACTCAAAATGGATCATAGACCTATACTTAACAGATAAAAACTATAAAACTCTAATAGGAAAGCATAGGAGTAAATCTTTGTGACCTTGGATAAAACAACGATTTCTTAGATATGACACCAGAAACCAAGTGACAAAAGAAAATAGGTAAATTTGACTTAATCAAAATTAAAAACATTTTTACATCAAAGGACAGCATAAAGAAAATGAAAAGATAACTCATAGAACGTGAGAAAATAATTTAATATCATATATCTGATAAGGGACTTGTATCACAATATATAAAGAATAATTATGGGGGAGTGGGGGCATTACAAGATGGCCAACTAGGAATAGCTCTGGTCTGCAGCTCCCAGCGTGATCGACACAGAAGACAGATGATTTCAGCATTTCCAACTGAGGTAACTGGTTCATCTCATTGGGACTGGTTGGACAGTGGGTGCAGCCCACAGAGGGCGAGCTGAAGCAGAGCAGGGTGTCACCTCACCCAGGAAGCACAAGGGGTTGGGGGATTTCCCTTTCCTAGCCAAGGGAAGCCATGAAAGACTATTTGGAAAAACAGGACACTCCCACCCAAATACTGCACTTTTCCCAAGGTCTTAGCAACTGGCAGAGAAGAAGGTTCTCTCCCGTGCCTGGCTTGGCAGGTCCCACGCCCACGGAACCTTGCTTGCTGCTAGTGCAGCAGTCTGAGATTGATCTGCAAGGCGGCAGCCTGGCTGGGGGAGGGGGGTCCACCATTGAGGCTTGAGTAGCTAAACAAAGCAGCCAGGAAGCTCGAACTGGGGGGAGCCCACTGTAGCTCAATGAGGCCCACTGCCTCTAGACTCCACCTCTGTGGGCAGGGCATAACCGAACAAAAGGCAGCAGACAACTCTGCAGACTTAAACGTCCCTGTCTGACAGCTCTGAAGAGAGCAGTGGTTCTCCCAGCATGGCGTTTGAGCTCTCAGAACGGACAGACTGCCTCCTCAAGTGGGACCCTGACCCTCGTGTAGCCTGAGAGACACCTCATATAGGCAGCTGTCCCTCTGGGATGAAGCTTCCAGAGGAAGGATTAGGCAGTAATATTTGCTGTTCTGCAGTATTTGCTGTTTTGCAGCCTCCACTGGGGACACGCAGGTAAACAGGGTCTGGAGTGGAACTACAGCAAACTCCAACAGACCTGTAGCTGAGGGACCTGACTGTTAGAAGGAAAACTAACAAACAGATGGGAATAGCATCAACATCAACAAAAAGGTCATCTATACCAAAACCCCATCTGTAGGTCACCAACTTCAAAGACCAAAGGTAGATAAAACCACAAAGATGGGGAGAAACCAGAGCAGAAAAGCTGAAGATTCTAAAAATCAGAGCGCCTCTTCTCCTCCAAAGAATCACATCTCCTCACCAACAATGGAAGAAAGCTGGACGGAGAATCACTTTCACGAGTTCACAGAAGTAGGCTTCAGAAGGTCGGTAATAACAAACTACTCTGAGCTAAAGGAGGATGTTCGAACCCATCATAAGGAAGCTAAAAACCTTGAAAAAAGATTAGACGAATGGCTAACTAGAATAAACAGTGTAGAGAAGACCTTAAATGACCTGATGGAGCTGAAAACCATGACACAAGAACTTCGTGACACATGCACAAGCTTCAATAGCCAATTTGATCAAGTGGAAGAAAGGGTATCAGTGATTGAAGATCAAAGTAAGGAAATAAAGTGAGAAGACAAGGTTAGAGAAAAAAGAGTAAAAAGAAATGAACAAAGCCTCCAAGAAATATGGGACTATGGGAAAAGACCAAATCTATGTTTGATTGGTGTACCTGAAAGTGATGGGGAGAATGGAACCAAGTTGGAAAACACTCTTCAGGATATTATCCAGGAGAACTTCCCCAACTTAGCAAGGCAGGCCAACATTCAAATTCAGGAAATACAGAGAACATCACAAAGATACTCCTTGAGAAGAGCAACCCCAAGACACATAATTTTCAGATTCACCAAAGTCAAAATGAAGGAAAAAGTGTTAAGGGCAGCCACAGAGGAAGGTCGAGTTACCCACAAAGGGAAGCCCATCAGACTAACAACGGACCTCTCGGCAGAAACCCTACGAGCCAGAAGAAAGTGGGGGCCAATATTCAACATTCTGAAAGAAAAGAATTTTCAACCCAGAATTTCATATCCACCCAAACTAAGCTTCATAAGTGAAGCAGAAATAAAATCCTTTACAGACAAGCAAATGCTGAGAGATTTTGTCACCACCAGGCCTGCCTTACAAGAGCTACTGAATGAAGCACTAAACATGGATAGAAACAACCGGTACTAGCCACTGCAAAAATATGCCAAATTGTAAAGACCATCGATGCTATGAAGAAACTGCATCAATTAACGGGCAAAATAACCAGTGAACATCATAATGACAGGATCAAATTCACACATAAAATATTAACCTTAAATGTAAATGGGCTAAATGCCCCAATTAGAAGACACAGACTGGCAAATTGGATAAAGAGTCAAGACCCATGAGTGTGCTGTATTCAGGAGACCCATCTCACATGCAGAGATGCACATAGGCTCAAAATAAAGGGATGGAGGAACATCTACCAAGCAAATGGAAAGCAAAAAAAAAGCAGGGGTTGCAATCCTAGTCTCTGATAAAAGAGACTTTAACCCAACAAAGATCTAAAGAGACAAAGAAGGCCATTACATAATGTTAAAGGGATCAATTCAACAAGAAGAGCTAGCTATCCTAAATATATATGCGCCCAATACAGGAGCACCCAGATTCATAAAGCAAGTCCTTAGAGACCTACAAAGAGGCTTAGACTCCCACACAATAATAATGGGAGACTTTACACCCCACTGTCAATATTAGATCAACGAGACAGAAAGTTCCAGGTCCGGGACCTGAACTCAGCTCTGAAACAAGGAGACCTAATAGACATCTACAGAACTTTCCACCCCAAATCAACAGAATATGCATTCTTCTCAGCACCACATCACACTTATTCTAAAATTGACCACATAATTGGAAGTAAAGCACTCCTCAGCAAATGTAAAAGAACAGAAATCACAACAAACTGTCTCTCAGACCACAGTGCAATCAAATTAGAACTCAGGGTTAAGAAAATCACTCAAAACTGCACAACTACATGGAAACTGAACAACTTGCTCCTGAATGACTACTGGGTAAATAACAAAATGAAGGCAGAAATAAAGATGTTCTTTGAAATCAATGAGAACAAAGACACAATGTACCAGAATCTCTGGGACACATTTAAAGCAGTGTGTAGAGGGAAATTTATAGCGCTAAATGCCCACAAGAGAAAGCAGGAAAGATCTAAAATGGACACCCTAACATCACAATTAAAAGAACTAGAGAAGCAAGAGCAAACAAATTCAAAAGCTAGCAGAAGGCAAGAAATAACTAAGATCAGAGCACAACTGAAAGTGATAGAGACAAAAAAAAAAAAAACCCTTCAAAAACCCAATGAATCCAGAAGCTGGTTTTTTGAAAAGATCAACAAAATTGATAGACCACTAGCAAGACTAATAAAGAAGAAAAGAGAGAAGAATCAAATCGATGCAATAAAAAACGATAAAGGGGATATCACCACTGGTCCCACAGAAATTCAAACTACCATCAGGGAATACTATAAACACCTCTACACAAATAACCTAGAAAATCTGGAAGAAATGGATAAATTCCTCGACACATACACCCTCCCAAGACTAAACCAGGAAGAAGTTGAATCTCTGAATAGGTCAATAACAGGCTCTGAATTTGAGGCCATAATTAATAGCCTACCAATCAAAAAAAGTCCAGTACCAGATGGATTTACAGCCGAATTCTACCAGAGGTACAAAGAGGAGCTGGTACCATTCCTTCTGAAATTAATCCAATCAATAGATAAAGACGGAATCCTCCCTAACTCATTTTATGAGGCCAACATCATATTGATACCAAAGCCGGGCAGAGATACAACAAAAAAAGAGAATTTCAGACCAATATCCCTGATGAACATCAATGCGAAAATCCTCAATGAAATACTGGCAAACCGAATCCAGCAGCACATCAAAAAGCTTATCCACCATGATCAAGTTGGCTTTATCCCTGGGATGCAAGGCTGGTTCAACATACACAAATCAATAAACACAATGCATCACATAAACAGAACCAACAACAAAAACCACATGATTATCTCAATAGATGCAGAAAAGGCCTTCAACAAAATTCAACACCCTTTCATGCTAAAAACTCTCAATAAACTAGGTATTGATGGAATGTATCTCAAAATAATAAGAGCTATTTATGACAAACCCACAGCCAATATCATACTGAATGGGCAAAAACTGGAAGCATTCCCTTTGAAAACCTGCACAAGTCAAGGATGCCCTCTCTCACCACTCGTATTCAACATAGTGTTGGAAGTTCTGGCCGGGGAAATCAGGCAAGAGAAAGAAATAAAGGATATTCAATTAGGAAATGAGGAAGTCAAATTGTCCCTGTTTGCAGATGACATGACTGTATATTTAGAAAACCCCGTCACCTCAGCCCAAAATCTCCTTAAGCTGATACGCAACTTCAACAAAGTCTCAGGATACAAAATCAATGTGCAAAAATCACAAGCATTCTTATACACCAATAACAGACAAACAGAGAGCCAAATCATGAGTGAACTCCCATTCACAATTGCTGCAAAGAGAATAAAATACCTAGGAATTCAACTTACAAGGGATGTGAAGGACCTCTTCAAGGAGAACTACAAACCATTGCTCAATGAAATAAAATAGGGTACAAACAAATGGAAGAATATTCCATGCTCATAGATAGGAAGAATCATTATCGTGAAAATGGCCATACTGCCCAAAGTAATTTATAGATTCAATGCCATCCCCGTCAAGCTACCAATGACTTTCTTCACAGAATTGGAAAAAACTACTTTAAAGTTCACATGGAACTAAAAAAGAGCCCACATTGCCAAAACAATCCTAAGCAAAAAGAACAAAGCTGGAGGCATCACACTACCTGACTTCAAACTATACTACAAGGCCACTGTAACCAAAACAGCATGGTACTGGTACCAAAACAGATATATAGACCAATGGAACAGAACAGAGGCCTCAGAAATAACACCACACATCTACAACCATCTGATCTTTGACAAACCTGACAAAAACAAGCAATGGGGAAAGGATTCCCTATTTAATAAATGGTACTGGGAAAACTGGCTAGCCATATGTAGAAAGCTGAAACTGGATCCCTTACTTACACCTTATACAAACATTAATTCAAGATGGATTAAAGACTTAAACGTTATACCTAAAGCCACAAAAATCCTAGAAGAAAACCTAGGCAATACCATTCAGGACATAGGCATGGGCAAGGACTTCATGACTAAAACACCAAAAGCAATGCCAACAAAAGTCAAAATAGACAAATGGGATCTAATTAAACTAAAGAGCTTCTGCACAGCAAAGGAAACTACCATCAGAGAGAACAGGCATCCTACAGAATGGGAGAAAATTTGTGCAATCTGCCCATCTGACAAAGGGCTAATATCCAGAATCTACAAAGAACTCAAGCAAATTTACAAGAAAAAAGCAACCCCATCAAAAATGGGCAAAAGATATAAACAGACTTCTTAAAACAAGACATCTATGCAGCCAACAGACACATGAGAAAATGCTCACCATCACTGGTCATCAGAGAAATGCAAATCAAAACCACAATAAGATACCATCTCATGCCAGTTAGAATGGCAATCATTAAAAAGTCAGGAAACAGTAGATGCTGGAGAGGATGTGGAGAAATAGGAACACTTTTACACTGTTGGTGGGAGTGTAAATTGGTTCAACAATTGTGGAAGACAGTGTGGCAATTCCTCAAGGATCTAGAATGAGGAATACAATTTGATTCAGCAATCCCACTACTGGGTATATACCCAAAGGATTATAAATCATGCTGCTATAAAGACACATGCACAGGTATGTTTATTGTGGCACTATTCACAATAGCAAAGACTTGGAACCAACCCAAATGTCCATCAATGATAGACTGGATAAAGAAAATGTGGCACATATACACCATGGAATACTATGCAGCCATAAAAAAGGATGAGTTCATGTCCTTTGCAGGGACATGGATGAAGCTGGAAACCATCATTCTCAGCAAACTATCACAAGGACAGAAAACCACACACTGCATGTTCTCACTCATAGGTGGGAATTGAACAATGAGATCACTTGGACACAGGGCAGGGAACATCACACATCAGGGCCTGTCGGAGGGTGGGGGACTGGGGGAGGGATAGCATTAGGAGAAATACCTAATGTAAATGATGAGTTGATGAGTGCAGCAAACCAACATGACACATGTATACCTATGTATCACACCTGTACGTTGTGCACATGTACCCTAGAACTATAAGTATCATAAATAAATAAATAGGGGAAAAAACTGACTAAAGGATTTATTCCGCTAGCTTTTGGGAAGCTTTTATGCTGACAGCCTTCTTCAGTGACTGTCTTGCTAAAGAAACCTGCCTTATTCAAGGTCCTGCCACCTTCTAGGGACAGCCTGCAACAAATGACTAGTCAATGTGGGACTGTTAAGACCTGATCCATGGTGGCTCATGCCTGGAATCCCAGCACTTTGGGAGGCCAAAGCTGGGGATCAGTTGAGGCCAAGAGTTCAAGACCAGCTTTGCCAACATGGTGAAACCCCATCTCTACTAAAAATATGAAAACTTAGCTGGGTATGGTGGCTCGCACCTGTAATCCCAGCTGCTTGGGAGGCTGAGGCGCAGAATTGCTTGAACGCAGGAGGCAGAGGTTGCAGTGAGCCAAGATTGCACCACTGCACTCCAACCTGGGCCACAGAGCAAGACTCCATCTCAAAAAAAAAAAAAAAAAAAAAAAAAAAAAAAAAAGACCTGACCCTCTCACCTCCTCAGGGAACATCTCTGAAGCATCATCCCACCTTTAGAACTCCCCACAGGGTTGGCTGAGGACTGGTTGTGACTACACTGCAGCCCACTTTCTCTTTCTGCCAATTTTGCTTCCATCCTTTTCCTCCACAGGTCCCAAGAGCATCTACCATTGAAGAGGTATTTAATAACTAAATGGAATGACTCAGCCCGTTGATGTCAGCCAGCTTTTTCATCAGCCACCCTAGTCCTGGCACAATGGATTCATAAGCAGAGGAGACATGGAAGCAAAGAAGGAGGCTATCCATGGGCCCAAGCTGCTGTCACAGCCAGATAATCACCCTGACACCAACAGAAACCATTGCTGAAACTCAGTACAACAATATCCCTTGAAGATACCAACCAGCCACTTGGTGGCAAGTTGACCGTATTGAACTCTTTCCATAATGAAAGGGGCAGCCATTAATTTCCACAGGAATAGGCAGGTATTCTGTGTATGGGTTTGCCTTTCCTGCCTGCAGAGTCTCATCCAACATGACCATCCAAGGGCTTATGCTATATTTAATCCATCAATGTGGCATTCCACATATCACTGCAGCAGACTAAGGGACCTACTTTACAGCAAAGGACACACAGCAGTGGTCACATGACCATGGAATCCACTGAACCCATCATATGGCACACCACCCAAGCTACTGGTCTCATAAGCAATGGAACAGCCTATTGAAAGCTTGGCTAAAGTGCCAGCTTGGAAGTGATACCCTGTGAGGATAAAGCACTGTCCTTGGAATGCTTTTACACTGTTGGTGGGAGTGTAAATTAGTTCAACCCTGTGGAAGACAGTGTGGTGATTTCTCAAGGATCTAGAACCAGAAATACCATTTGACCCAGCAATCCCATTACTGGGTACATACCCAAAGGATTATAAATCATTCTACTCTAAAGACACATGCACATGTATGTTTACTGAAGCAGTATTTACAATAGCAAAG
Source organism: Homo sapiens (assembly GCF_000001405.40). Taxonomy (NCBI): domain Eukaryota; kingdom Metazoa; phylum Chordata; class Mammalia; order Primates; family Hominidae; genus Homo; species Homo sapiens. The sequence continues at coordinate 111,792,043 of NC_000023.11, forward strand.
ACTTGGAACCAACACAAATGCCCATCAATGATGGACTGGATAAAGAAAATGTGGCACATATACACCATGGAATACTATGCAGCCATATAAAAGAATGAGATCATGTCCTTTGCGGGGACATGGATGAAACTGGAAGCCATCATTCTCAGCAAACTAACACAGGAACAGAAAACCAAATATCACATGTTCTCACTCATAAGTGGGAGTTGAACAATGAGAACACATGGACACAGAGAGGGGAACATCACATACCAGGGCCTGTTGGGGTCGGGGGCAAGGGGAGGGAGAGCATTAGGACAAATACCTAATGCATGTGGGGCTTCAAACCTAGATGACGGGTTGATGGGTGCAGCAAACCACCATGGCACATGTTTACCTATGTAACAAACCTGCACATTCTGTGCATGTATACCAGAACTTAAAATTTTAAAAAATTAAAAAAAAGCACTACCCTCCAGGATGCAGTAATGCCTGAAGTCAATCACCATTATATAATGCTGTATCCCCAAGAGAATACCTGGGAGAGGAATCCATGGTGTGGGAGCAGCAGTGTCCCCACTTGCTATCATTCCCAGTGACCCACTTAAAGAATTTGTGTTTTCATCCTCACAAATGTAGCCCACAGGGTCAAAGGTCTTGGTTCCCAAAGGGGAAACATTTCCACCAGGGAATACAGCAAGAGTCTTCACTGAACTTTAAGCTACGTCATCATCCAGGCACTTTGGGCCCTTCATGCCAAGGACCAGCAGGCAAGGAAAGGATCCTGGTTGGCATGATTGACTCTTATCATCAAGAGGCAGTCCAGCTATTGTTACACAATGGAGGCAGGAGGCATATGTTTGATACCCAGATCATCAACTTGGACACCTGTTAGTACCACCTTGCACAATTTCAATGGCAAATGGACAAGTTCAGCAGCTACAGCCTGAGAAGGTATGGCAAACAGGAACTAGAATGCCTCCGTTTGGAGAGACTGAGTCACACCACTAGGAAACTCACCTAAACCTTCACAGGGAGTCATCAATGGTAAGCAGAATCTAGAATGCACAGCAGAGGAGCAGGGGAATGAATATCAGCTATAGCCGCAAGACCAGCTGCAGCTGCAGGGGGGCTGTAGTTCATCCTACCAACCCTCCTTTTACAAGTCATCCCCAGGAAGAGAGTCCCATCAGCGTCCCGAAGGAGCCTCTCCCAGAACTCTTGTACAGAAAGTAGATCTGAGTGACACTTGCTGTATTAGGCTGTTCTCGCATTGCTATGAATAAATATCTGAGACTGGGTAATTTATAAAAAAAATAATTACAGCTCAGCAATGAAAAGACAAACCAATGTAAAAATGGGAAAATCGTTTGAATAGACATTTCTTCGAAGAAGATACATAAATGGACAACAAGCTCCTGAAAATATTCTCAACATCATTAATCATTAGGAAAATTCAAATCAAAACCACAATGAGATACCACCTCATACCCAATAGGATGACTATTATAAGAAAAGACAGATAATAACAACTGTTTGTGAGGATATACATAAATTGGTCCCCTCATACACTGCTCGTGTGTGTGTAAAATGGTATAGCCACTTTGGAAAGCAGTATGGTTGCTACTCAAATTGTTAAACATAGAGCTACCACATGACCCAGCAAATCCACTCCTAGGTATATACCCAAGAGAAATGAAAACGTATCTCCACTCAAAAACTTGTATACAAATGTTCACAGCAGCATTTTTATAATGACTGAAGAATGAAAATAACCCAAATGTCTATCAACCAATAAATGGATGAACAAAATGTGGCACATTCATACAATGAAATATAATCTGGCATTAAAGAGGAATGAAGCACTGATACATGCTACAACATGGATGAACCTTGAAAATGTTATTCTAAGTGAAAGTAGCCAGTCAGTCACAAGAGGCTGTATTCTATGATTCAATTTCTATGAAATGGTCAGAATAGACAAATCCATAGAAACAGAAAGTAGATTAGTGGCTGTTAGGGGCTAGCAGGAGAAGGGAATAGGGGGTATGGGGCTTCATTTTTAAATGAGAAATGCTCTGGCATTAGACAGTAGTAAAGGCTGCACATATATTCAAATATACTAAAAACCACTGAATTATATAACTTAAAAGGGTAAATTTTATTGTATGTGAATTATATCTTAGTAAGACTTATTTTTTTAAATGCAAAAGAAAAAATCAGTTGGGGATATTTGTGTGAGTCTATGTCTGAATTCTCTGTTCTGTTACATTAATCTATATGTCCATCTCTGCATCATACCACACTGTCTTGATGGCTGTAGCTATATAGTAACTGTTGAAATTAGGTAGCGCAATTCCATTCCTTCCACTTTAATTTTCTTTGTCAAGATTGTTAATATATTTATTCTGTTAAGTCTTCTAGTCCACAAATACAGTATATCATTTTTTCCATTGTGTTTTATAGTTTTCAGTGTACAGCTCTTCTGCATGTTTTGTTAAGCTTATAACTAAGTATTTCATTTTCTTTGCAGTGATTGTCAATGAGACTTAGTTTATTTGGGCTGCTATAACAAAATACCATTAACTGAGTGGCTTGTAAACAACAGAAATTTATTTCTCACAATTCTGGAGCCTGGGAAGTTCAAGATCAAGGTGCCAGCAGATTTGCTGTCATCTGGTGAGGGCCTTCTTGCTGTAACCTCATATGGTGAAGCAAAAGGGGGAAAGGCAATGTCCTCTGGGGCCTCTTTTATAAGAGCACAATTCCATTCAAGAAGACTGTGCCCTTATAATCTTACCATCTCCCAAAGGCCCCATCTAATACCATCACATTGGTGATTAGGTTTTCAACATATGAACTTGGGGGAGGGGGACACAAAACATTCAGATAATAGCCAGAACTATATTTTAAAATTTCAGTTACCAATGATTTATTGCTAGTATATATTGAGATTTGTGTGTTGACCTTGCATTCTGTGGCCTTGTTAAACTAATTTTTAGTTCTAGGAAGTTTTTTTGTAGATTCCATAGGGGTCTCTTCATATAAGATCATATTGTTTCTAAATAAAGAGAGTTTTCCTTCTTCCTTTCCAATCTGTATATCCTTAATGATTTTTTTTCTTATTTCACTGTCTAGAATTGTCAGCATAACATAGACTAGAAGTAGTGAGAGTAGATATACTATCTTTATTACTGATTTTAGACAAAAAACCTTCAATCTTTCACCGCTAAGTTTAATGTTAGCTGTAGGTTTTTGTGGATTCTTTATATCAGGTTGTGGAAGTTACATTCTATTCCTAGTTTGTTGAGACCTTTTTTTTAAAAAAAAATCATCAATGTATGTTGAAGTTTGCAGATGCTTTTTCTACATCAATTGATATGATCATGGGCTTTTTCTTGTTTTAACTGTTAATATGATTGGTTACTTTGCATTCCACAGATAAATCCCATTTGGTTATTTATAAATAGTTTTATTTGTTTGGTAGTTTTTGCTTTAAATATTTTGTATATGTCATCACAATGACTTCTAGTGCCCATGGTTTCTGATTAAAAAAAAATTAGTTGTTGTCATATTGAAGATCCCCTGTACATGACATAATACTTTTTCTCTTGCTGCTTTCAAGGTTCTTTGTTTGTCTTTCATTTTGTCAGTTTGACTATGATGTAAATATCTTTGTATTTATCCTGCTAGGGGTTATTTGAACTCTTAGATGTATAGATTAATTTTTTTCATCAAATTTGGTAAGATTTTGTCCATTATTTCTTCAAATATTCTTTCTTCCCATTTATCCTTTCCTCCTGGGACATCCATTATGTATATGTTGGTACATCTGATGTCCCACAAGTCTTTGAGGTTCTGTTCAATTTTCTTCACCCTTTTTTCTTTCTGTTCCCCAGACTAGAAGTCTTAATTGATCCATTATGTATATGTTGGTACATCTGATGTCCCACAAGTCTTTGAGGTTCTGTTCAATTTTCTTCACCCTTTTTTCTTTCTGTTCCCCAGACTAGAAGTCTTAATTGATCCATCTTCCAGTTTGTTGATTCTTTGTGTCAGTTCAAATCTGCTATTGAGCCTCTGTAGTGACTTTTTCATTCTGTTATTGTGCTTTTCAAATCCAGAATTTCAATTTGATTCTTTTTTTATCACCTCTATCACTTTATTAATATTCTCTATTTGTTGAAAAATTCTCATAGTTTCCTTTCATTCTTTAGACATGGTTTCCTATAGTTCTTTGACATAGGATATGTCATATTTAAAACACATTTAAAATAGCTGGTTTAGTCTTTGTCCAGTAAATCCAACTTCTTGGCTTCCTCAAGTACAGTTTCTATTGGTATATTTCTTTCCTGTATATGGGCCATACTTTCTTGCTTTTTTGCGTGTTTTGTATTTTATAAAACTAGACATTTTAAAAACATAATGTGGCTACTCTGGAAATTTGAGCCCCTCCCACCAGGTTTTTTGTTGGTGTTTGTTTAGTGACTTTCTTTGACTAATTATTATAAGCCTGTATTCTTTGTCTTATAAAGCCATTGAAGTCTATTTTCAGTCTAGTGCTCAGTTAATGATTGCACAGTGATTTTATCAAATGCCTTGAATCAATAGTTCTCCCATTCTTTGCTAAGGTGCTCATGTATTGTGACACAGCTTCAACACTCCCTCAGTTTAAAACTCTGCCTTGGCCTTTCCTTACTACTTGTGTAGAGCTCAAGATTAGCCAGAAGGGAGAGATTAGGGCCTTCTCCAATGTTTCTGGGCATGCATACAGCCCTGTACATGTCCATGGCCTTCTAGATCCCTAGAACTCTGTTGGAGGTTTTCAAAGCCCCCTATGGGCATCTTGTTACCAATGTTTTCCTTTACATTTTTTTATCAGCCTCTTTTTAGCCCTAACTGGCCTTGTTGCCTTAGGCTGCTGTGCTGTTAAAAAATTGCCACTTCAAAAAAATAAAAATCTCTTTCTTTACTTGCACATGAGATTTTTAAAAAGAGAGCTATCCCTTACAATGTTGGCTTACAGTGGTTTTTGAGTGAACATTCAGTCTGTCAGTAAATCCTAGAATTTTCTCTTTATCCTTTCAGGTATTCCATGAAGGCTTTCATTTTGCTCTCCAAGGTAGTAGTGCTTAGCTGTCATATTAAAGGATTAGCAGATTGAGTCCAATAATGTCATTTAATGAAACAGGGATTGTTAAACTTGATTCTATGAATAAAGTTAATGGAGTCAATGGATCTACTAAACCTGTATGTGAAATATTGAAAGTTTTGCATTTTTCTGGATTTTCATTATATTTTCAAAGGAAACTGCACATCCCCAAATGACTAAGAACTACTGAATTAGAGGATTCTGTTGATTTCTGAGATCCTCAATGTGTATTTCTGAATAAGAGATCCTAATCAGCTATTAATGGATAAAGTGGATATACCTCTATCTTTTCTAGGAGGGACTAAATGGTTTTGGGTCAAGTGTGCAGTAAGTTCAAAATAAAAATGAAGCCTTTAGATAAAATTAGGTACTTATTAGACCCACTGCTAGATTTTGTTATTTAATGAATTAATAAAGAAGCACATATATTACCATATCACAAATTTGTGTTTAAAAATATTTGGATAACTGTTTATTTCAACATTTCTTTCTTTTGTAATTCTATATATTTTATTTTGATGTGGCTCAATTTATCTATTTTCTCTTTCATTGCGTATGTTTTTGCTGTATTAATCTAAGAAACTGTTGCCTAACATTAGGTCATGAAGATTTACTACTGTGTTTTCTTTTATGAGTTTATTTTTTAGCAACAGCTTTATTGAGATATATTATATACATCATAAAATTAATTCTTTAAAATTTACATTTCAAGAGTTTTTAATACAGGTGACCCTTGAACAATATGTGAACTGTGTGTGAGCCCATTCATGTGGATTTCTAAAAAATAAATTTATTGGAAAATTATTTGGATATTTTCAACAATTTGAAATAACTCATAGATGAACCGCAGAGCCTAGAAATATTGAAAAATTAAGAAAAAAATGGATATATCCTGAATGCATAAAATATGTGTTGATGCTAGTCTATTATATTATTTACTACCATAAACTATACACAACTATTATAAAAAGTTAAAATTTATCAAAATGTATGCACACATAGAGCATACATGGCACCATTTGCAGTTGAGAGAAATGTAAACAAGCATAAAGATGAAGTATTAAATCACAACTGCATGAAATTAACTGTAATACATACTATACTACTATAATAATTTTGTAGCCACCTCCTGTTGCCATTGTGGTGAGCTCAGGTGTTGTGAGTGTCCATTTAAAATGCTGTGTGCCACTTATCTCCATATAAACAATTACTCCAATAAATTGCATATTGCAGTAAAAAGTGATCTCTTGTGGTTCTTGCATATTTTTATTGTATTTAGTGCAATACTGCAAACATTGGATAACACCGGGGGGCCATATGAAGTGCCACTAGCAATGCTGGAAGTACTCCCAAGAAACAGAAATGTCATGACATTACAAGAAAATGTCAAATTTCTTGATATGTATCGTAGATTGAGGTCTGCAGCTGTGGTTGCCCACTATTTCAAGATAAATGAATTCAGCATAAGGACCATTGTAAAAATAAAAAAAAAAGGAAATTTGTGAAGCTGTCACTGCAGCTATTCCAGCATGTGCAAAAACTTTGCACTTTTTGCAAAATACCTTTATTATCTCGTCTTGAAAATGCACCTTTTGTATGGGTGCAGGATTGCTATAAGGAAGGCATACCTATAGATTCTAATATGATTCAAGAAAAAGTGAATTCATTATATGACAACTTAAAGCAAAAGGAAGGTGAAGGATCTAAAGCTGTAGTATTTAATGCCAGCAAAAGATGGTTTGATAATTTTAGAAAGAGGTTTGGCTTTAAAAATGTCAAGATAACAGGAGAAGCAGCTTCTGCCGATGAAGTGGCAGCTGACGAGTTTGCAGACTCTTCTTGAAGAGAAAGGATATCTGCCTGAATAGGTTTTTTAATGCAGATGAAAGTGTTCTGTTCTTGGGGGGGAAATGCCACAAAGGACAGTTATTAGTAAGGAAGAGAAGTGGGCCCCAGGATTAAAGGCAAGAAGAGATGGGCTAACTCTATTCTTTTGTGCTGGGCTTATGATCAAGACTGCCCTTATCTATGAACCTTTTAACCCCTCAGCCCTGAAGGAAAAAAATAAAGCCCAGTTGCTAGTCTTTTGTTTGTACTAGAAGGCCTGGACAATGAGAACCCTTTTTCTGGATAGCTTCCCTCAATGCTTTGTCCCTGAAGTCAGGAAGTACCTTGCTAGTAAGGGATTGCCTTTTAAAGATCTTTTGATATTGGAAAATGCCCTGGCCACTCAGAATGCTGTGAGTTCAACACCAAAGACATCAAAGTGGTCTACTTGACCCAAAATACAACACCTTGAATCCAGCTTCTAGATCAGGGGGCCATAAGGACTTTTAAGGCTCTTTTCACATGGTACTCTATGGAAAGTGCTGTCAATGCTATGGAAGAAAACCTCGATAAAAAGAACACTGAAAGTCTGGAAGGATTACACCATTGAGGATGCCACCTTTGTTATAGAAAAAGCCGTAGAAACCTTCAAAGCCCAAAACAGTAAATTCCTGCTAGAGAAAACTGTGCCTAGATATTGTGCATGAATTCACAGGATTTATGACAGAGCCAATCAGGGAAATCATGAATGAAATTGTGGATGTGGATAAAAAAAAAAGGGTAACAAATGAAGGGTTTCAAGATATGGGTCTTGGAGATATTCAAGGGCTAACAGATACCACAGCAGAGGAATTAACTGAAGATCACTTGACGGAGATGAGTGCTTCTGAACCAGTGACAGACAATGAGGAAGAATGTGAAGAAGCAGTGCCAGAAAACAAATTAACATTAGACAATCTGGCAGAAGAGTTCTGATTATTCAAGACTACTTTTGACTTCTTTATGACAGGGACCCTTCTATGATATGGGCATGAAAACTGAAGCAAATGGTGGAAGGATTGGTACCATATAGAAAAATTTTTACAGAAATGAAAAAGCAAAATCTCACACTGAGTGTACCTGCCTCTTCTGCCTCCCATTTCACCTCTTCCACCTCTTCTGTCTCTGCTACCCCTAAGACAGCAAGATCAGCCACTCCTCTTTCCCTTCCTCTTCAGCCTACTCAACGTGAAGATAATAAGGATGAAGACCTTCATGATGATTCACTTCCACTTAATGAATAATAAATATATTTTTCTTCCTTATGATTTTCTTAATAACATTTTCTTTTGTCTACCTTACTTCATCATAAGAATACAGTATATGTCCCGCTTGTAATCCCAGCACTTTGGAAGGCCGAGGAGGGTGGATCACGAGGTCAGGAGTTTGAGGGTAGCCTAGCCAATATAGTGACGCTCTGTCTCTACTAAAAATCCAAAAATTGGCCAGGCATGGTGGCTCATGCCTGTAATCCCAGCACTTTGGGAGGCCAAGGCGGGGGGATCACTTGAGGTCAGGAGTTCGAGACCAGCCTGGCCAACATGGTGAAACCCCCTCTCTACTAAATTTGCTTTTGTGGTGGTGCATGCCTGTAATCCCAGCTACTAGGGAGGCTGAGGCAGGAGACTCGCTTGTACACGGGAGGTGGAGGTTGCAGTGAGCCGAGATCATGCCACTGCACTCTAGCCTGGGTGACAGAGTGAGACTCCATCTCAAAAAAAAAAAATACAGTATATAATATGTATAACATACAAAATATGTGTTAATTGTTATTAGTAAGGCTTCCCATCAAGAGTAGGCTATTAGTGTATTAGTAGTTAAGTTTTGGGGAAACCAAAAGTTATAAGCAGATTATTGACTACATGAAGGATCAGCACCCCTAACCTGTGCATTGTTCAAGGGTCAGCTATATATTCACAGAGTTCAGCATCCATCACCACTACCTAGATTTAAAACATTCTCATCACTCCAAAAATAAACTTATTGGCAGTTACTTTCCAGCACTCCCTTCTTGCTGCCCTTTCTTGTCTCTGTCAACCACTAATCATTCTACTTTCATCTCTACTGATTTATCTGTTTTGAACATTTCATATAAATGGAATCATAAAATATTGGTCCCTTGTGTGTGTATTCTTACACCTAGCATAATGATTTCAAGGTTCACCAATTTTGTAACGTGTCGGTACTTCATTCCTTTCCGTGGCTGAATAATATTTCCTTGTATAGACTTCTTGTTTATCCATTAATCAATTGATGGTCATTCGGGTTGTTTCCACTCTTTGCTATTGTGAATATTTTGAATAATTCTCCTATGAGTATTTGTGTACGAGTTTTTATGGAAGTATATGTTCTTAATTCTCTTGAGTATATACCTATGAATGAAATTGCTGGGTCATATGATAACTTTAACTATCTGAGGGATATCCCTATTGTTTCCCAAAGTGGCTATACAGTTTTACTTTCCCATCAGCAATATACGAGGGTTCCAATTTCTCCACATCCTTACCAACATTTGTTACTGTCCATGTTTTTTATTATAGCCATCCTAGTGTGAACTGGTGGTATCTCATTCTGGTTTTAATTTGCATTTTCTTAATGCCGAATGATGTTGAGGATGTTACAATGTGCTCATTGACCATTTGTACATCTTATTTGGAGAAATGTCATTTCATATCCTTTGCCCACTTAAAAAATCAGGTTGTCTTTGTATTATTGAGACGTAAACATTGTGTGTTCTGGATACCAGTCACTTATTAGATCTATGATTTGCAAATATTCTCTTCTATTCTGTGGGCTGTCTTCTGATTTCTTGATAGTATATGTTGAGGCAAAAAGTTTTTAACTTTAATGAAACTCAACTATGAATCATCTCTTTTATCACTTGTGCTTCCAGTGTCATATCTGTGAAATCATTGTCTAACCCATGGTCACAAAGATTTACTCCTAGGTTTTCTTCTAAGAGTTTTATCACTTACATTTAGGTCTGTGCTCAATATAGAGTTAGTTTTTGTGTATGGTATGAAAAAGGAGCCTTACTTTACTCTTTTGCATGTGGAAATCCAGTTGTCTCAGCACCGTTTGTTAGAAAAGACTAGTCTTTCTCCATTGAATTGTCTTGGTACCCTTGACAGAAACTCATAAAAAATTTATTTCTTCTGGACCTTTAATTCTATTCTGTTGGTCTTTATGTCAATTCTTATGCCACTACCACACTGTTTTGATTACTATAGCTTTGTAGTAAGTTTTGAAACTTGGAAGTATAAATCCTCAAACTTCATTGATTTTTCAAGATTATATTGGTTCTTTGGGGTCTCTTATATTTGTATATGAATTTTAGGAGCAGCTTGTCAATTTATGCAAAAGCAAATTATATTTTTATATATTTAAAAGTATAATTCTAGATAAGGAATCCAAAGGCTTCACAAAGCAGTAAAAAAAATTCCATGCCATTAAAATATTAAGATGACACCTTCAATTACTGTACCATGTATCCATCATTGGCTTTTTAAAAATCACTCTACACCTTATACATATTTTTATTAAGGGTGAAGCTTAGATACACAGTGTTTGAGCTGGTTTGGGGGATACTGGGATAATTTGTAGTGGTATTACAAGAGTGATGATAATCTTCTTTTAACGACCTCCTCTACATTTCTCAACTATTGCTCAAGGAATATATCATTCCTGAGGGAGAATTCTGTAAAGGCAAAGCGAAAAAGACAACATTAGAAGAACTATCTATATCACCTCATTTCATAATGGTGACAAACTCATAGCAAGCCTGCATGTTATATCTATATCTTTATTTATTTATTCATTTATTTATGTATTTTTTTATTATTATACTTTAAGTTCTAGGGTACATGTGCACAACCTGCAGGTTCAATACATAGGTATACATGCGCCATGTTGGTGTGCTGCACCCATCAACTCATCATTTACATCAGGTGTTTCTCCTAATGCTATCCCTCCCCCAGCCCTCCACCCCTCGACAAGCCCCAGTGTGTGATGTTCCACACCCTGTGTCCAAGTGATCTCATTGTTCAATTCCCACCTATGAGTGAGAACATGCGGTGTTTGGTTTTCTGTCTTTGTGATAGTTTGCTGAGAATGATGGTTTCCAGCTTCATCCATGTCCCTGCAAAGGACATGAACTCATCCTTCTCCATGGCTGCATAGTATTCCATGGTGTATATGTGCCACATTTTCTTTATCCAGTCTATTATTGATGGACATTTGCTATTGTGAATAGTGCCATAATAAACATAATAAACATACTTGTGCATGTGCCTTTATGGTAGCATGATTCATAATCCTTTGGGTATATACCCAGTAATGGGATTGCTGGATCAAATTGTATTTCTCATTCTAGATCCTTGAGGAATTGTCACACTGTCTTCCACACTGGTTGAACTAATTTACACTCCAATCAACAGTGTAAAAGCATTCCTATTTCTCCACATCCTCTCCAGCATCTGTGGTTTTCTGACTCTTTAATGATTCTAACTGGTGTGAGATGGTATCTCATTGTGGTTTTGATTTGCATTTATCTGATGACCAGTGATGGTGAGCATTTTTTCATGTGTCTTTTGGCTGCATAGATGTCTTCTTTTGAGAAGTATCTGTTCATATCCTTTGCGAACTTTTTGATGGGGTTTTTTGTTTTTTTCTTGTAAATTTGCTTGTGTTCTTTGTAGATTCTGGATATTAGCCCTTTGTCAGATGGATAGATTGCAAAAAATTTCTCCCATTCTGTAGGTTGCCTGTTCAATGTGATGATAGTTTCTTTTGCTGTGCAGAAGCTCTTTAGTTTAATTAGATCCCATTTGTCTATTTTGGCTTTTGTTGCCATTGCTTTTGGTGTTTTAGTCATGAAGTCCTTGCCCATGCCTATGTCCTGAATGGTAATGCCTAGGTTTTCTTCTAGAGTTTTTATGGTTTTAGGTATAACATTTAAGTCTTTAATCCATCTTGAATTAATGTTTGTATAAGGTGTAAGTAAGGGATCCAGTTTCAGCTTTCTACATATGGCTAGCCAGTTTTCCCAGCACCATTTATTAAATAGGGAATCCTTTCCCCATTACTTGTTTTTGTCAGGTTTGTCAAAGATCAGATGGTTGTAGATGTGTGGTGTTATTTCTGAGGGCTCTGTTCTGTTCCATTGGTCTATATCTCTGTTTTGGTACCAGTGCTATGCTGTTTTGGTTTCAGTAGCCTTGTAGTATAGTTTGAAGTCAGGTAGAGTGATGCCTCCAGCTTTGTTCTTTTGGCTTAGGATTGACTTGGCAATGCTGGCTCTTTTTTGGTTCCATATGAACTTTAAAGTAGTTTTTTTCCAATTCTGTGAAGGAAGTCATTGGTAGCTTGATGGGGATGGCATTGAATCTATAAATTACTTTGGGCAGTATGGCCATTTTCATGATATTGATTCTTCCTATCTATGAGCATGGAATATTCTTCCATTTGTTTGTGTCCTCTTTTATTTTGTTGAGCAGTGGTTTGTAGTTCTCCTTGAAGAGGTCCTTCACGTCCCTTGTACGTAGGATTCCTAGGTATTTTATTCTTTTTGTAGCAATTGTGAATGGGAGTTCACTCATGATTTGGCTCTCTGTTTGTCTGTTATTGGTGTATAGGAATGCTTGTGATTTTTGCACATTGATTTTGTATTCTGAGACTTTGCTGAAGTTGCTTATCAGCTTAAGGAGATTTTGGGCTGAGATGGGGTTTTCTAAATATACAATCATGTCATCTGCAAAGACACACAATTTGACTTCCTCATTTCCCAATTGAATATCCTTTATTTCTTTCTCTTGCCTGATTTCCCTGGCCAGAACTTCCAACACTATGTTGAATACGAGTGGTGAAAGAGGGCATCCTTGTCTTGTGCCAGTTTTCAAAAGGAATGCTTCCAGTTTTTGCACTTTCAGAATGATATTGGCTGTGGGTTTGTCATAAATAGCTCTTATTATTTTGAGATATGTTCCATCAATACCTAGTTTATTGAGAGTTTTTAGCATGAAGGGCTGTTGAATTTTCTTGAAGGCCTTTTCTGCATCTATTGAGGTAATCATGCGATTTTTTGTCGTTGGTTCTGATTACGTGATGGATTACATTTATTGATTTGCATATGTTGAACCAGCTTTTCATCCCAGGGGTGAAGCCAACTTGATCGTGGTGGATAAGCTTTTTGATGTGCTGCTGGATTTGGTTTGCCAGTATTTTATTGAGGATTTTTGCATCAATGTTCATCAGGGATATTGGTCTAAAATTCTCTTTTTTTGTTGTGTCTTTGCCAGGCTTTGGTATCAATATGATGTTGGCCTCATAAAATGAGTTAGGGAGGATTCCATCTTTTTCTATTGATTGGACTAGTTTCAGAAGGAATGGTACCAGTTCCTCTTTGTACCTCTGGTAGAATTCGGCTGTGAATCCATCTGGACCTTGACTTTTTTTGGTTTCCAAAGTGGGCAAAGGGCATGAAGAGTACTGACATATTTATTGAGCTGAAAAATCAAGCTGTATTTTTTGAGACAGAAAATAAGTAAGTGTGATTTAGCCAATTGTTTTGGAAATGAAAATTATTATGCCAGTTAGGCTAAATTACAGATATCTATCTATCTATCTATCTATCTATAGATATAGATATATTTTTGAGATAGGGTATCACTCTGTCACCCAGGCTGGAGTGCAGTGGTGCTATCTCAGCTTACTGCAACCTCACCTCCCAGGCTCAAGTGATATTCCCACCTCAACCTCCTGAGTAGCTGGGACTACAGGCGCATACCACCACACCTGGCTCATTTTTGTATTTTTTGTAGAGACAGGGTTTTGCTGTGTTGCCCAGGCTGAACTTGAACTCCTGAGCTCAAGCGATCTGCCCACCTCAGCCTCCCAAAGTGCTGGGATTACAGCACTTGGCCAATATTTTCTATAAATTGCTAAATCTGCAGCTCTGTAGTTTTGGTAAAATTATATTCAAAGCATGTGATAATACAAAAGCATTTAAAAAATGTTTTATTGGTAAAGGTATATTAAAATTATTAAAATATCTATTTTCTATATCATGAATTTTACTTAATATGTTGGGTTAAACAAGGTACCTCTAAGTAAAAGAGTAATTTGTATATTTAATAAGTATTTGATAAGTCTTAGTAAAGCCTTTTTGGTTTTATCTAAAAACTTAAAGCTTAAAACCACAAACATTTATTATCCCAGTTTCTGTGGGTCAGGAATCTGGGTGTGGCAAAGTTATGTGCCTCTGGCTCAAGATCTCTTACAAGGGTATGGACAAGGTGTTGGCTAGAGCTAACGTCTCATCTGAAGACTCAACCAAGGAAGGATTTTCTTCCAAATTCACTTACATGGTTGTTGGCAGGTTTAGTTCTTCATGGGCTATGCGGCTGAAGGTCTTAGAGCCTTGTTAGCTATTGGACAGAGGCCTCCCTCAGTTCCTTGCCATGTGGGCCTCTCTGCAGGGCAACTCACAGCATGGTAGCAGGCTTTTCTCAGAGTAAGAGAGAGAGAAAAGCCATGGTCTTTTTGTAACGTAATCTTGGAAATGACATCACTTTTGCCATATTCTTTTTCTTCTCCTGGCATTTTAAATGTAAACTTGACAAAAATTGTATATTTTTCATGGTGTACAACATGATGTTTTGATTTATATATAATTGTAAAATGATTAAATCAAGCTAATTAACATATCCATCACCTCAAACAGTTACCATTTTTTTTTCGTTTGTTTATCTGGGACAATCTTTACTTATCCTTTATGTTTAAAGGATATTTTTTCACTGGGTATACTATTCTAGGATAAAAGTTTTTTCCTTCAGCATTTTAAATAATTCATGCTACTCTCTCCTGGCCTGTAAAGTTTCCACTGACAAGTCTGCTGCCAGGTGTATTAGAACTTCATTACATGTTATTTGCTTCTTTTTTCTTGCTGCTTTCAGGATCCTTTCTTTACCCTTGACCTTTGGGAAGAATTTGATTATTAAATGTCTTGAGGTAGTCTTTTGGTTAAATCTGCTTGGTGTTCTATTACCTTCTTGTACTTGAATATTAATATATTTCTATAGGTTTGGGAAGTTATCTGTTATTATTTCTTTGACTAAACTTTCAACCCCCATCTCTTTCTCTACATCCCCTTTAAGGCCAAAACTTTTAGCTTTGCCCTTTTGAGGCTATTTTCTAGATCTTGTAGGGATGCTTCATTCTTTTTTCTTTTGTTTCCTCTGCCTGTGTATTTTCAAATAGCCTGTCTTCAAGCTTACTAATTCTTTCTTCTATTTGATCAACTCTGCTATTGAGAGACTCATGCATTCTTCAGTATGCCAATTGCACTTTTCCACTACAGAATTTCTTCCCGATTCTTTTAAATTATTTCTATCTTTTTAAAAAAATGTATCTGATAGGATTCTGAATTCCTTTTCTGTGTTATCTTGAATTTTGTTGAGTTCCCTCAAAACAGCTATTTTGAATTCTCTGTCTGAAGGGCCACATATCTCTGTATCCCTGGGATTGGTCCCTGGTGCCTTATTTAGTTCATTTGGTGAAGTCTTGTTTTCGTGGATGCTCTTGATGCTGGTCCATATTTATCTGTGTCTGGGCATTGAAGAGTTAGATATTTATTGTAGTCTTCACAGTCTGGGGTTGTTTGTGCATGTCTTCTTGGGAAGGCTTTCCAGATATTTGAAGGGATTTAGGTGTTGTGATCTAAGGTTTTTGTCACTGCAGCTGTATCTGCATTAGGGGACACCCCAAGCCCAGTAATACTGTGGCTCTTGCAGACTTGTAGAGGTACTGCCTTCATGGTCTTTGATAAGATCTGGAAGAATTCTCTGGATTATAAGACAGAGGCTCTTGTTGTCTTCCGTTATTTTCTCCCAAACAAATGGAGTCTCTCTCTCTCTCTCTCTGTGTGTGTGTGTGTGTGTGTGTGTGTGTGTGTGTGCACGCGCTGAGCTGCATGGAGTTGGGGGGAGGTAACACAAGCACCACTGTGGCCACCACCACTAGGACTTCCCTGGGTCAGACCTGAAACCAGCACAGCACTGGCTCTCACCCAAGGCCTGCGGTGACCACTGCCTGGCTACCATCTATGTTTGCTCAAGGCCCTAGGGCTCTACAATCGGCAGGTGGCAAAGCCAGCCAAGCTTGTGTCTTTCCCTTCTGGGTGGTAAGTTCCCCCAGTCCCCAGGTGGGTCCAGAGATACCATACAGGAGCCAGGGCCTACAGTCAGAAACCTTAGGAATCTACCTGGTGCTCTATTTTACTGGGGCTGAGCTGGCACCCAAGCCACAAGACAAAACCCTTCCCAATCTTTCCTCCCCACTCTTTCCTCCCCTTTTCATAAGCTGAGGAGTCTTTCCCCATGGCCACCACCACACCAGGCACATAGCAAGTATTGCCTGCCTACTGCTGATGTTCACTCAAGGGCCAATGACCCTTCAGTCAGCTTGCAATGAATGCTGCCAGTCCTGGGACTATCCCTTCAGGGCAGTGGTACCCCCTTTGGTGCAGGGAAGGTCCAGAAATGCTGTCCAAGAGCCAAGGCCTGGGATCAAGGACCAAAAGAGACTGCTTGGTGCTCTACTCCACTGTGGCTGAGCTGACACCTAAGCTGCAAGACAAAGTCCCCTTTACTCTTCCCTCTCCTTTTCTCAAGCAGAAGGGGTCTCTCCCTGTAGCCACCATAGCTGAGAATAATGCTGGGCCACACCTGAAGCCAATATATTTCTCAGTCTCACCCAAGGCTCACAGTGAGTACTACAGGACTAACACTCCTGATTATTCAGGGTCCAAGGGCTCTTTAGTCAGTGTGTGATGAATCCTTCCAGAACTGAGTCCTTCCCTTCAAAGCAGCAGGTTCTCTTCTGGCCCAGGATGTGTCTAGAATTGTCATTCAAGAGCCAGGGCCTGGAATGGGGGCCTCAGGACTCTGCCCAGTGCCCTATCCTACTGTGGCTGAGCCGGTATCCAAGTTGCAAGAGAAAGTCTTCTTGTTTCTTCCCTCTCTGCTCCTCAAGCAGAAGGAAGGGGTCTTACCTGGAGCTATGAGTTGCACTGCCTGGATTGTGAGAGGGGTGGTACAAGCACTCCCTTGGCCGCCCCTGCTGGTGTCTCACTAGGTCACATGTACCCCAAGTCTGCTTGCATCATGTGCAGCACAGCACCAGGACTTGCCAAGGAATTGCAGTCCTTGTGGCCCAGATTACCTTTCAAGTGCATTTAGAACCCCAGAGCACTTTGGCCTGAGGTGGTGAGGCTTACTGGAACTCAGGTTCTGATGGTTGGGATGAACAGTTCCCCTCTGGCTAGGGCTGGTCTAAATGCTCACTCCAGGGGTTAGCCCAGCTCACTGGGCTGGGTTCTGCCCAGTGTTGCTTCTGCTGTGACAGGGCAGCACTGAATTCAATGCAATGTCTCAGCCACTATGCTCTCCCTCTTCCAAGTGTACAGATTCTGTCTCCATGCCATGCAGCCACTGCCAGAGGTGCAGGAAGGATGGTGTCGGGAATGCGTGACTGTCTTTTCTACCCTCTTCAGTGTCTCTTTCAGCAATACGAGGTTAAAAACAGGTACTATGATCCCTCACCTGATTTTTTGTTATTTGTTTTTTATGAAGGTGCTTTACGGTGTGTGTAGTTGTTTAATTTGGTGTTCCTGCACAGAGGACGGTTGTTGGAGGCTTCTATTCAGTCATCTTGCTCTGCCTCCTCAGTTACCATTTTGTTTATGTGTGTGTGGTGAGAACATTTAAGATCTACTCTCTCAGCAACTTCAAGTATACAATACATTATTATTATTAACTATGGTCACCATGCCGTAGTCTTCATTTTGTTTTTTTTTTTGTTGTTGTTGTTGTTTTTGTTTTGTTTTGTTTTGTTTTTGAGATGGAGTCTTGCCCTGTCGCCCAGGCTGGAGAGCACTGGCGTGATTTTGGCTCACTGCAACCTCTGCCTCCTGGGTTCAAGCAATTCTCCTGCCTCAGCATCCCGAGTAGCTGGGATTACAGGCACCCGCCACCATGCCAGGCTAATTTTTGTATTTTTAGTAGAGATGGGGAGTCACCATATTGGCCAAGCTGGACTCGAACTCCTGACCTCGTGATCCGCCCGCCTCGACCTCCCAAAGTGTGGGGATTACAGGCATGAGCCACCGTGCCTGCCTCTTTTGCCATATTCTATTTGTTAAAAGTGAGTTCTTGGGTCTAGCCCACACTCATGGGGAGAGGACTGCATAAGGACTCAAATGCCAGAAAGTGGAAATCACAGGGGTCCATCTCAGAAGCTGCCTACCAGAGTAGTACTTCCCAGAAATTGAGAAACTGAATGACTCTAATCTTAGGTAACAAATTGTCTTCTGTCTCAGGTGGTTTCTAATTTATTGACTTCAATAACATTTAAGGAGAACTTAATCAAGTATTCAGATAATAAATTGTTAAAAATATTATTTTATGAAAAATAATTATATGACTTTCTGGCACACAACTCTGAGTTAAAAAATTGAGTGACAGTAGCATAATTAAACTCTATCAATTCACATATAATTATTGATATGAAAAAGATTTCATAACATTTACTTTTATAAAAATGGAAACAAAATATAATTGATGCTGAATCTTGTTCCTGAATGTTATTCAGTATTCATCTGTGAATATAATACCTAGTTGGGAGAAAAGCTCCAATCACATTTTTAAGAAGAAAGGCATTTTTAATAAAAGTGTAATTTTATCTCTAATAATTGTTTATCAAAATTTATATTTATATTTGTGTTCTTTCAAGTAGTTTGGTACTACTAATAATTAAAGGACAACTAAATTCAGAAGAATGGTTTTAACATTATTACCTTATGGCAATAGGGAATAAAAAAATTAAATTTCAATTTATGCTTTCTTATGAAGAAATATGACAAAGCAATAAAAAATAAAATACTTAAATGCAAAAATTATATAACATTACAATAAAATTTTGTGGGGATGTGGAACGGAAATGAGAATTCAAGGAGACAAAGGAATGATGTAAACTTTCTTCCCCTGAAGAAGATTTAAGCCATTTATTTTCTTAACATATGGGTATGAGTAAGAAGTTGCTATAGTATTCAGATTCCATTGGATGCATTTAAATGAGTAATTACATAGTTTTATTTTAAATGTCAATGTCTACCGTATTCCAGAAATTACATCCTTTGCAACTGTTGAAACTTATGATGAAATATTTGGACATCAATCCAAAAATATGTAAGGAGATATATAGATTTTGTTTTTCCAAATTCATTAGAGGGTATGCCAGCAAAATGTTAGAATGCTCTTGATGAGACCCTGAACTAAAACAATTTCAATATATAAATTTTATGTACGTGCACACGCTTGCGCGTGCACACACACACACAAACACACACAGAGTTATGGCTATAATAAACTCTCACTGTCCTGAAATTTGCCATGGGATACAGTGTTTCTGTAGGCAAATTAGGATGCAGAGGAGGATAGGAGGTAAGAGCAGTATGAAATATTGAGAAGCAGCATGCCACTGTCAAAAGGGCAGAGGTTTTGGGGGGGAGTCAAACAACACAGAACGGTTTGGAATACTCCTGTTCTACTTACTAGCTATGTGATCTCAGACCAGTAAATTCAAGTCTTTGAGTCACAGTTTTCTCAACAGTAAAAATGGGGGGAAATACCTACCAAGCAGAATGGTTGTAGAAGTCAATATAAAATTCCTAGGCTACTCCCTGGTATGTAGTAAGAGCTATATAATTGTTGATTCCTTCCCCTGTACTTCTGAACATATAATACCAGGAACAAACCTTGAGTTCTCATTTTACCCTTTGATGGCCCAGAACAGCAATCTCTCATCCTTGGAAATACACTTATGTTTTGCTACCACAGCTCTTGAAATGAAGTAGATATTCAATCAGTATTTCTTAAAATGAACTGAGTCACATTTTCAAGCACAGATTTCCATCTGTGGACATGTTCAAAAAGGGAGAATGATGATTCAACTCCTGTGGGTATTCAGCCATTTTTTTAATAAACTTGGCTAGATGTCTTGGTATCTGGAAATGCCGGTGGTTTTTTTTTTTTAATCCCTACGTGAGTTTAGCTTTTTGTTTGTAGGTATTTTAAACAATAAGCAGTTATGTCCTTTAAAAATTTTCTAAAGGTTTTGAGGGAAGAATACTTGATTTTTGACAGAGAATGGAAAGATACAGTAGGCCAAGTTATAAACCATAGGCAACTTTTTGTGTGTGTGCATAGAATGCTTTCTGGTGCCCCTCATTGCACCCACTCCACTGATATGAGGATATGATTTTAGCTAAGCATTTTGAAAAGAGCTTGAGGACCCCAATTGCTCCCATTCCTCTGGTGCTCACGTGACCTCACGTTGGGAATTATTATGCAATAATTTAGCAGAGAAATTATTATAAATACTCTTCTAAACAGTCTTTTTCCATTCATTTATCATGTATCAATTCATTATCTAACTATCCATTTATTTTTTTGATTCCTGTGTTGAGCAACTCCCACATTGCAAGTGTTCTGTATAGTTCTGGGTATAAAGAGATGATTGTCCAGTGGCGGTGATGGGAATGCCACACAGAATACAATTGGAGTACAGCGGTATTACCTGAATCCTAAAGATCAGCAACTATAGCCCACCTGGAAGGATTGGATAAACACAGTAAGCTGCTAATTGTTGAGTAAGGTAAGCATTCATACATTAATTCATTCAAAAATATGTGTTGATTGTCTGCCAGATGCTAGGTGGTGGGATTATAGCAGTGAATAATATGGATGACAAAATCACTTGGTATATAGAAATCTGTTTTATTTATAACCCTTGATTTAAACTGAATTATAACATTATGGATGTGCTTTTGTAATCATACTTATCTAAAACTTTCCAAGAGATATCATCCCCAATAAATTTTCATTTATTTTCGTGGGACTAGCCTTTCACCTTATCTGATAGACAAATTGGACATTGGCTGTTCCCTTGTTTACTTTCAGTGTTTGGTAGTGATGCCCTTTTCTACTATCTGTCCTACCCTCTCTACCCAACTATGACTTTGGAACATTTTCCCAGATCAGCTCCTGGCTGGGTGGTTTTGTGTAAGAGACAAACTACACCACCATAGACAGTGGTCCTGCCTTTTCTCCACTTTCCACAGTGTTTAGGACTTTTGTGCGGCTATAATGTGCACCTAACGACACATAGCCTTACAGATGTGTTCTAATTCATGTGTGTGCCCTGCATTGCCTTTCAGATTGTCAGCTCCTGTAGAGCAGGCCAAGGCTTCTATTTGTTTTAGCTCCTTTCACAGTGTGAGTATATATACTCTGATTGTAGAGCACACCCTCAAATGTTGTTGATTTGTCCAGATTCTGAGCACATGGCCATAGCTAGAGGTTAAATGAACATGCCTGTTCAATTTTACATTTCTCAACAAATCCAAGCTCACAGTTATTTTCCTTGCAATCAAACTGCAAGGCCAATTTCTTACCAGTTTTTGACAAAGTCTTACATATTCTTTCAGATTTCCTGCAAGCAACTATCTTGTTTAGCAAATTGGAAAACTTTATAACCTAATACAAAGGGAGAGTGGCAGGCACAAACACAGCAAAAGCAGAGCTAATGATAACTCTTAAGGAGAAAGGCTGCTCCTAGGAATCTTAGGCCCCATGGGCAGGCCGGTTGGAGAGATATTTTGGGCAGGGGGACATATTGGGAGGCTTCACTTTAACTGGTAGTTACCTACTTCACTTGAGTATAAGACCAGCTCTACTTCACTTTGATGGGAAAGCAACACAAATTGCTGTGACATATACATGCCAAAGAGAAGCGAGAGGGTTCATTTTCCCTGACAAGGGAAGTCTACCTCACTTGGATTGCTTTCTTCTCTTGGTAGAATTCAGGGCATGCTTCTCAAATGTTGGTGTGTATCAAAATCATATGGGGCATTTGCTAAAAATGCAGATTTCTGGACCTCACTAGAAATTATACATTGTATTGTAGTTTTGCTTTGGGGCTAAAAATGTAATTTTAAAAATATGTTAGCATTTTGAAGAGATTATAATTTTTAACTTTATTTTTTCAACTTGTTTAAAAAATATACAGGAGTCTTCAAAATATGGAGGTAGTCAAAGCCTCCCTCAACCTTGTGGAGACCCTGAAGCCAGAAACATTCCTCAGCAAGTATTCCCATATCCCTCAATGCCCTCCCCTCTAACTTATTGCATCCATGCAGTGTGGTCTATGGGGAGCCAATTCCCTCCCACAAAACAGTCCACAATCCTCATTTACTCTCTAAGGTTTCTAGGTGGTTAGAATTTACTGTTCTAATCATTCTGGGGCCTGCTGGGAATCACTTTGAGATTGGTTTAGCTAGTCTAGAGCCCTCACAGCAACTTCAATTTAAGTGTACAAACTCAGCTGCAAAGTGTCAGGGCCAAAAAGAGAGCTGTCCCTCCAGTTATTATTCACTGCCCATCCACTGCCCCCAAGACTCCCTTGCACCCTAGTACCGATGCTTCCCAATAGCCCCTTTAACCTTTCCCAAACTCCAAGAGCCCCCTTGGTGAGTGTTGCAAACAGGTCCTTTTCCCTACTGAGCATGTGCAGTAGTCTAGTGGGCAGCCATTCTGTTTGTCTCCCATCCCCATCCTCAGGCATGAAAGGGCTGCTAATCCCCCTCCCAAATTATGGTTTCTAGGTGGTTGGGGTCACTGCTCTGACCATTTGAGGACTTGGCGTGTGTTACTTTTTTTTACTAGTACTCAGCTTCCAGCCTTTTTAACCACCTCAGCTCCAGTGTGCAAACTCAGGTGCTACACTTCAGGGCAAACCTCAGAACTCAAGCTCCAGCTCCATTCCAGCTCTCCCATCCTCATGTTCCCAATTCCCCTCACACTCCACTACTGACATCAAGCCAATATTCTGTCTCATTGCTTCAAGAGAGATCCCAGCTATTTGCAGGTGAGAAACAGAAAGCAGAGAAGACATTACGAAATAGGTTATATTTGAGCTGGGCCTTGAGACATTAGCAGGATATCTCTGGGCAGAGATGGAGGGAAGAAACTCCTCAGAAAGAGGCTACCATATGAAAACTCAAGAAGAATATAGAGGTTGAGCATGCCTTTGAAACCGGGTGAATGTATTAGAATTTGTTTACATCAGTGGTTCTCAAACCTCAGTGGATATCAGACTGACCTAGGGTGCTTGTCAAAATGCAGATTCCTGGGTCCCACTGCAGATACACAAAAAAATTATGCTCTGGGGGTGGGAGGCCCAAGAATCTTCATTGTTTAACAAGCTTCTTTCGATGATTTTGATGCAGGTGGTCGCTGACCATTTTCAGAAACATGAATTCAGAGTTTCTACCTGCTAATCTAGATATACTCAGGCCCAGCACGGTCGCCCATACCTGTAATCACAGCACTTTGGGAAGCCGAGGTAGGTGGATCACTTGAGTCAGAGTTTCACCTGACCAACATGGTGAAACCCCGTCTCTACTAAAAATACAAAAATTAGCCAGGCATGGTGGCACGCGCCTGTAATCGCAGCTACTCGGGAGGTTGAGGCAGGCGAATTGCTTTAACTCAGGAGGCAGAGGTTGCAGTGAGCCAAGATCGCACCACTGCACTCCAGCCTGGGAGACAGAGAGAGACAGAGTGAGAATCACACACACATATATATATATATATATTCAGCAGGCCAAAGCAGCTAACCAGCAACTCTTCCTCCTTTCCATCTGTCCCTCTTTTCGCCTGTCCATGTCACCTTCCGTCTCTCTGTTGACAAGACACAGGACGGTGGAGAGTAGGTATAATTTGTGCATCCCTGGTGATAATGTTATTAGGCCATGTAGCAAAATGAACCAAGTTAGTTTATCAGGCTACTATGGAAAGAAGATAGGAGAAGGAGGAACAAAGACAGAATAAACAACCAGTAGTCTTCCCAGCCTTTCCTAATGTGTGCACAATACAACCCAAATATATGGCCTTCTAACTAATGAATGAGAGAGGGAGGGAGCAGAGATAGAAATGATATTCAGTGGTTATTTAGGCTTGGCACTCTCTGGTCTTTCTAATGGAAAACCAGCAGGCTGCCTTGCATGGGTAACAATAAAAGTGGCAGAACAAAAGACAATTGCAATTGATCCAGTGTATTGGGTCCCTGAGACTGCACAGGAATCTCCTTTTCATCTTCTAAAATGGTCCTGCAAGGTCTTCACAGTCATCACTGGATTTTATTTAGAGAGACTGTCACCAACCACGAGCATTTAGTATATAGAACACATGTGTACTCATAAAAGCAACACAGGCCATAAACAATGGGCCTTAATTATCTTTCCCTCTCTGATTCCAAGGGATGTGGCAGGAAAAGTTGCAAGCAAATTGGTGAGAGCACAGGATCCCCAGGGTTCCTTCATCTGTGATCTAACCTCTGACCCACTCTGTTGCCTTCAACAAAGTCATTTACTTTCTGAGAGTCAGAATGAAATTTGGGCAGTTTTAAAATTCACGATTTCTCATGAAATCAACCAATAGAGTTGCAGGGCTTCTTCAGTTCCCCATACCTTCTCTGTAGTCATCTTGTCAGTTTCAATTTTTCTCCTGTTCCTGTCCTCCCTTTCCTACCACAAAGTGGGGTAATGGTGAAGGGAGAAGGGAAAAAAAAAGTTCAAGGTAGTTGGAAGCTGGAACTGTCAAAATGTAGCTCTTTCCTGGTAGATGCCACCCCTCTCCATTGTTATGGAAGGAAGGTGGGGCCTTAATGGAGTAGGATGGAGGGAGAAGATGGGAGCAGGGTGCCTTATGTACGGTCAGAAAGAACAGCAACATAGAGGCCTCTGGGTAATATAAAATATGTATATTATAGTTGAGACTTGGAAATAAACATGTTACTTCCTTAAAGTCTCCAGTTTATTACTGCAGAAACAATTCTTGTGATATCTCAGGTGGTACTCAAAGGAAATAATGGCCTCGCAGGGCCCTCTGAGCTCACATAGTGGAAGAATCCTCCTTACATCCTTAGAAGTGGTGCTTGCCACCATGGGATGGGACTCTTTTTGGACTTTCTGGGGCTACTGTCTTCTCTACATAAGGGCTTTCTGGCCAATCTCAAACAGATGGACCAGAAAATTAAATGCCAAGTGTTTCACCTGTCAGCCTATCAGTGGGAAAGGGACACTAGACAGCCAGTACCTCATATTTGTCTTTCCTAGCTTCCTGGCTTTATGTTTTTCCTAGCACATTCACATACTTTCTCTTATCTGATTTTTTTTTTTTTTTTTTTTTGAGATGGAGTCTAGCTCTATCACCCAGGCTGGAGTGCAGTGGTGCCGTCTTGGCTCACTGCAACCTCCGCCTCCAAGGTTCAAGCAATTCTCCTGCTTCGGCCTCCCAGTAGCTGGGATTCCAGGCGCCCATCACCACACCCAGATAATTTTTGTATTTTTAGTAGAGACGGGGTTTCACTGTGTTGGCCAGGCTGGTCTCGAACTCCTGACCTCGTGATCTGCCCGCCTCGGCCTCCCAAAGTGCTGGTATTACAAGCATGAGCCACCGTGCCCGGCCTCTTTTCTGATTTTTACACCCACTCTGTGAACTGTGAAGTTGGCAGGAAACCCTGTGAAGTTGTTACCTTGCACAGATGTGGCAACTGAGGTTCTGGAGAGAGAAATTACTTCTCTAGGGTCACAGATCTAGTCAATGATAAAGCAGATCCAGAATCGAAGTCTTCTGACTCCTGCTTTCATGCACATCTACCACTTACTTCATTTCCTGTCTATGGGGTTACTGCCTGGACAGGAGTATCCTCATAGAATTCAGTGGGATAATAACTGGAGAGATTAGCCTCTCTTTAGCATCCTGCCACACCCCACTTCACATCAGAAGTGCCAGCTAGCTTGAACTTCTTTCATCCTCGCTCCCAAACACCTGTGTCTGATCTTCACTCTCCTGCCAACCTTTCTGAGCTTTGGTATGGGCACATCAATACCCACTGAACAAATGCTCCTTCTGCCCTCTATCATTTCCCCAGTAAAATTGCAACTCAAGGCTCGACTCCGCAAGAACCTCCTTAAAATGGCCAGAAGCCTAAAGGCCTGGATAAAAGGACAGCAACTGGGGGGAAAATTTTGCCTCATATATTTCAATTATTTTTTTCCTAAACAGGAACATAGAGCTGGCTCATTTTCATCCATCAGTTCGTAGCTCAAGTATTACCTTCTCAAAGAGACCTTCCCTGAGCAACCAACTTAAAGTGTACTTCTCTATTATTCTATTTTTTCTCATACCAATCATTGCAAATAAATAATTATTAATGGATTCCTCTCTATTTGCCTATTCTTAGGCTACCCCAGTAGAATCAAAGCCCACTGAGGTTAGAGACTTTGTCTTGTTCACTATTGTATTCCTAGAGATCAGTCCTAGAGCCTGGCACAAAGTAGGTGTACAATCAAATTTGTAGAATAAATTAATTGAAGACCCAAAGGCAGATATGAAACTGAGGGTAGCATCAGCAATATTACCTACCACTTTTCTTTTCTTTTTCTCTTTTTTTTTTTTTTTTTTTAGACAGAGTCTCGCTCTGTCACCAGGCTGGAGTACAGCAGCACGATCTTGGCTCACTGCAACCTCCGCCTCCCAGGTTCTAGCGATTCTCCTCCCTCAGCCTCCCAAGTAGCTGGGATTACAGGTGCACACCACCACGCCCAGCTAATTTTTGTATTTTTAGTAGAGGCGGGGTTTCTCCATATTGGTCAGGCTGGTCTCGAACTCCTGACCTCAGGTGATCCACCCGCCTCAGCCTACTAAAGTGCTGGGATTACAGGCGTGAGCCACCGTGCCCGGCTACTTTTCAAGCATATCAGTAAATCTTAATAATTGCTTGATGAAATGGGTTCCATTACTGTTTCCATTTTATAGATTGGGAAACAGGCTCACCAAAGTGAAAAAATTTGTCTAAAGATGTACAGCTAGAAACTGGTGGACTACAACTCAAATCTGGATGGGGCAGACGCTAGATGCCAAGTTCTTAACCACTGAGCTATACTGTCTTTTTGGGAAGTGCACCGGCATCAGGAAGGTTCCTGCAAAATGTGTGGAAACAGAAACAGAGCCTGATCAGGGCCTTGGATTTTGAAGAACAGATCCCTGTATATACTCAGCCAGGCCTTTGACTGCCCAGGTTTCTCTTTTGCTTATGTTTCCTGCAGAAAAAAGCAGCTTTTTCTGCTTCAGAAGTGACCCTTTAGAGATTCTGCATTCAGCTGTGC
Source organism: Homo sapiens (assembly GCF_000001405.40). NCBI lineage: Eukaryota > Metazoa > Chordata > Mammalia > Primates > Hominidae > Homo > Homo sapiens. The sequence continues at coordinate 111,819,327 of NC_000023.11, forward strand.
AGGTCATATACTGCACAATTTTGGGAGCACCATTCTAGCAGATGTGGTACTCCTGAATCCCACTGAACTGCTTGTCACCTTTACTGGGCAACTCCAGAGATGTAAATCCTTGAGTCAAGGAGGCACAGATCATTCTTTTGGCCTGTGTCTTTCCACTGGGGAGTGAGGGAACCATAATGTAAGAATGGTGGTTTTTGCTGAGCTTAACCTGCAGTTTTCAGAAATAACTGGAACTAAGCCAATCAGAACTTCTATTTGTGAGCCTGGATGAAGATAGAGGTATACCTTATCACTTGGGACATGGGAAAAGCTGCAGGTCCGTCCTCACCTGGAATTCTTACTGGTATCATGTACTCAGATAGTCATAATGTGTGTTTTCTAACTTCCTACCTCACTTATCAGGAACTAACTTTTAACTTCCCAAGCCATACTTCCATCTTATAGATAGCTTCTAAAAATCACCTCAGGGGTCACTAGACCTGAGTTCCCTCTCACCTACTTCCTTGCACATAGCAGACTCACAAGTTCTTATGGAAAGAATGAATGAATGAACAAACACACCTGGCATGAAACCCCAGGCAAGTCTCAAACTCGGGAAGCCTGTTTCCTCATCTGTAACATTCAGATAATAGTGCCTACTTTCATAGAGCTCTTGTGAGGATCGAATAAGACAATATGATATGCTATTGTGCTTTGGAAAGTATAAAGCACTGTATTGACTATAATTATAAAATCCATCATCTAGGTAGATTTTCTTTCCATTAGATAATACCCCTACCCACTGCCATAGAAATTTATTGATCTCTAAACACTTGCAATGGATATAAATTGACATCATGTATTTTTTAACATAGTCGACAAACTATAGATCAGAGATATCCCCAACCTTTTCCCTATCAATCAGTGAAAAGGTATTTATTGAGTATCTTCTATATGTGCCATATTTTACCAGGCACCAGAGGAATATAGAGAAAACCTAAAGCAGAGCCCTTGTCTTCACAGAGCTTTAGTCCTCAAAGTTTGAAAATAGACACATTTTGAAGCAACTACAGTAGGAGGGGGTAAACTATGGCTTGCAGGCCAAATTTGGACTGTCACCTGGTTTTGTATTGCCCATGAGCTAAGAATGATTTTTTACATTATTAAGTGATTGAAAAAATAAAAATAATATTTTTGACACTTGAAATTATACAAATTTCAAATTTCAGTGTCAATAAGTAAATTTTTATTGGCACATAGCCATGCCCGTTCATTTATGTACTGCCTATGACCGATTTTGTGTTACAATGGGTAGTTGAGACAGAGTCCACAAAACCTAAGACACTCACCATCTGGCCCTTTACAGACAACATTTGCTAACCCCTGAACAAGAAGACAATAAACTTAGGTTTAGTCAGCTTTGTCAGTTGCTCTCTCCTCATTTTAAAATATTCCGGGAAGTCTTATACATTAGCAATTAATTAATTTGTCCATTTATTCAATAAATATTAAAAGAAAGCCTACTATGTGCCAGAAAGTGTATCCTGGTTAAGGATGGAGAGATTTCAGCATAAAATATCTCTGAGTTGATTAATGTTCCTGTATGAAACATATGAAATAAGGTATTAAGAGAAAAACCCTGTGGTATAACCTCCTAGAATATCCATTGGGCAATGGAAACTTCTCTATACCCCCAAGAATCTTTAGGGTCAGGGCAGTGGGAGCTCTGATGAAGTCAGTTGAGTTGGTTCTAATCACACTAGTCCAAACCTTCTTTAATAATTGGTGTTGATTTCCTAATGAATGAGGAGGCCTACGGTACTTTCTTTCCTTATGTTCTGGGAAACTCCTGATACACTACATTTATTAGGAAGGGCTTTGAGATAAATACATTCCTTGACAAGTCTTTGTGATTAGCTCACAATTTTATGGGCCCAGGAGTTCTGTAAGTTCAAATACCCAGGGGGAAATTGGGATACAGAACAAAACAGAGGAAAAAGCAAAATCCTGTGAGAAAAGAGAGAAATACAATGACTTTCCCCTCCCACATTTTCACTCTTAGATTTTTTTCTATTTCCTCTTTTAAAGAAAAGCGGATTTACCTTGACAGCTGAGATAACGTAATTCTGCTGTCAGATCTCAAGTAAAAGGGAGAGTAATGCAGTGGGTTGTAATCTTTGATGCTCCACTGGGTATTCTGACCTCTGTGTTACAGCTAAAGGACACCTCCTTGCCCTTCTGCCTCTCACATTGAGCCAGGCTATGGCACAAGGCTCCAGTAACCACAGGAAGAGAGAGGGCCTTATTAATATTAATAACTCAGAACTCACATTTAGTTTTTAAACCTCAGGTTTCTCAGAAATAAATAAAGTTTCTATCTCTTAGCTTTCTAGTCAAATGATTCCTGGTGCCCAGAACAAGGATTATGGGAATAAGGCAGAAGCCAAGAAGAACCACACCCTCAGACAATGACCTTTGGGCCATGGACATTTGACTTGTCTACAAATGTTTGTATCCTATGGAGAGAACATTCAGAGACCAATTTAAGTAGGAAGGCTAAGTATTCCACAAGGATCAATTCTTTTTTTTTTAACTTTTGCTTTAGGTTCCGGGGTACCCTTTGGTTGGCACAACCCTTCAGAGTGTTGTGGACAGTGGTCCAGAAACACCACAAAAAGCAATACTTTCTGAACCTCAACTCTGATACTTTTGGAAATAAAAACACAGTCATTTTTATCTCAGGAATGTCCATGGGTAATTGTTATTTTATGTAGAGGCCAAAGGCACCTTTGACTTGGGGACTATTACACCGACCTGATTCTTTGCAAAACTGTGATGATGGTGACATTTCCTTCAGTGTCTCCAATCTCTTTTTCTTGTTGTTGTCCCCTCCTCAGTATTCCTCAGGCGCATTTCCCTTATGGTATCTCTCACTTGCTTGGTCACATGGGAAAACCTGATCTTAATAAGGGATTGGACATACTCATTTACACTGAGTCCTAAGCGACCTATTCATAGCTCAAAGCATATTTGCATTATAACTGAGGACAAATCTTAAGGTAAGGAATTTCTGGATGATAATGAGAGGATGCCTGTAAACCCTTTGAGATGCTAAACTTTATGTATGTTTGCTAATATATGCTTTTTTCTTGTTCATGTTCATCAGATTGTCAAAGGAATCTGTGACCCATAAAAGGTTAAGTGCAGCCTTAAGGTAAAGAAACAAAATGCAAATAGTGAAATTTGAAACTGTAGTTCCATGATTGGACAGTCCATGTAGACTCCATGAGAACAAGGACCCAGTCTGTCTTGTTCACCTATCACCCTACTGTATCTCCACTGCCAAGAATGTAGTGTGGCACATAGTAGTGCCTCAATACATGTTTATTAAGTTATTAAGTTTATTCATTTATCCATACAATAGATATTTATTCAATTGTTAATTTATTGTTAAGTGAATGAATGAAAGAGTAAAGGACATCAGCCGGTAGATGGGGAGAGGTATTTTTTTTGGGCACTGGAACCTTTCTGTCACTGGCATTGTTGGTCTTGTCTCTGAGTTACCCAAGATAGTCTTCATGACAATTACTGATGTTCCCGATGAACATCCCAGCTGAGTCTGGGATCCGGAGGAGTAGCTCACACATCTGCCCTGTTTGGTTGCCGTTTAGGACAGGAAAAGAAAATCTACATCCTTTCATTTGTCCTCATCCCATTTCCACTTGCATCTTTGTCAGTCACCAAAATCATTAGCAGGTAGAAGCAAGTATCAAAGAATGTTGCTGCTGTTGGAAGCAGAGACTGCTGCTTGGCACAGACCTGCCAAAGTACACCCTGAGAATTTTGTGGCAAAGAGCTCTCAGCCTCTCAGACAGCTTGCTGACAAAACCAGGAGCAGGCATTGATGCAGAATGACCAAGAAATCTGTTGCTGTCTCAAACCACCAGGGGGAGGGCCAGGCCAGGCCCAGGCAGAATGGGGGAGGTCTGTCTGAAAAGTCAGCCTTTGGTACCCCCTGCAGCGTTTGCAGAGACAATGCTCCTCCCTCCTTCCCTGAAGATGGATATTATATAGTCCATTTACTGGTGTGAGTATAATGTCAAGAGAGGCTTTAGGCATGCAAAGAGCTGTCTGGCAAAGAACAAGGCTGAGATGTCTCAAGGCAGGATGTGTTCATTCAATGAGGAATTCTTGTCATACAAACGAACTTGGTAGTGCTGACCCGTTTACTCCCTGTGGCTGTGGTTGTCTGCTTGCTCATTTGGGGAGGCTGGAAGTATTAGGGGCAGAGTTGAGAAGAAACTGGTTGTGTGAAGTCTGCTGGACACACTAAAGAAGAAAAAGAGAGCTAGTTGGCGTGTGTTGGGGGTAGAGATAGGGGATCTCAGCTTAGGAAATAAGTCGCTTTGTGTCCAGAACCAAGGGAAAGGCTCCTTAAAGGATCCTTCTGGTTAGGACCTAGGGAACAGTCAGCAAGTTAGTCAACCAGGGGGAAGCATGAAGCCAGGGAAGTCTGAGGTTGGGCAGGGGTCCGGTGTGGTTTGTGTATCAGGGCCTGGGGGCTTGAGATGCTGGCAGGAAAAGAGGAAGTGAGATATCTTTGTTACTTCAGGTCGGACAGACCTTATTAAGAGTATGCCCTTGGCAGGGAGTGGTGGCTCATGCCTGTAATCCTAGCACTTTGGGAGGATGGGGAGGTCGGATCGCTTGAGCTCAGGAGTTCGAGATCAGCCTGCACAACATGATGAAACGCCATCTCTACAAAAAATACAAAAATGAGCTGGGCATGGTGGCTTGCACCTGTGGTCCCAGCTACTCGGAAAGCTGAGGCTGGAGGATTACATGAGATGGGAAGTGGAGGTTTCAGAGAGCTGAGATTGTGCCACTGCATTCCAGCCTGGGTAACAGAGCAAGACCCTGTCTCAAAAAAAAAAAAAAAAAAAAATGTGTACCCTTGGGCGAGTCACTTTTATCTCTGTGCCTCAGTTTCCTTACCCATAGAATGTAGTCAATAACAGTACCTACCTTATAAAGCTGATGTGAGAATTTAATGAGATAATAGGTACAAAGTGTTGTGTATAGTGTTTGGGACATAAATGCTTAATAAATGGTAGTTATTAATAGTAGTTATAATAGTAATAGAAAGCACTTAGTGCTGGCATTTAATAAAGGCTTGTCTATATGCTAGATATTATTATTTCTTACATTCATATTTACTGACTTCTTTAAGCCTTAGTGAATGAGAAAGAGCTCAGTTTGGGCCTAGAGGAGGGGCCTGGGGCTTTTCCAGGTCAGGCGGTCTAGGGTTCTGTGCTGAGCCAGGTAGACAGCAATGTGAGGACCCAGAGTTGGGATGTGGGAATACACACAAACACACCTCATCTCCTTGTATGATTTTTCTAAAGGTAGGCTCTGCACTTTGTCATGCAGTTCCTAAAGATGCGACTACTGTTTTTGCTTCTCCTCATTGTTGGGGCAGGGGGGACTTCACTGCCTGTTGAAAAGATAGTTTCCTGGGGAATAAAGTATGGTAGGCAGAGAAGACTGAAGCCAATCCTTACAGTGTTACCGCCTTTAATAAACACTAGGCCAATCCCCGCTGGTGTGCAAGCTATTTCCTTGCCAAAAATGAAATCTGATACCACGTCCTCAATTTTCTGTCTTTCCAAATTTGACCAATTCTTCAAGGCTCAGTTCAATTTGTACTTCCTAAACGTACCTCACAATGATTCAATCAGATACGTGTTGGTTGGGGTACAGCCAGGAAAACAGAAATCACTCTAGGACTTTCTTTCATTTTCTCTTTCTTTCTTTTCTTTCTTTTCCTTCCTTCCTTCCTTCCTTTCTTTCTTTCTTTCTTTCTTTCTTTCTTTCTTTCTTTCTTTCTTTCTTTCTTTCTTTCTTTCTTTCTTTCTTCTTTCTTTCTCTCTCTCTCTCTCTCTCTCTCTCTTTCTTTCTTTCTTTCTTCGACAGTCTTGCTCTGTCACTCAGGCTGGAATGCAGTGGCATGATCTCAGCTCACTGCAACCTCCACCTCCTGGGTTCCAGCGATTCTTGTGCCTCAGTCTCCCGAGTAGCTGGGACTACAGGTACGCACCACCATACCCAGCTCATTTTTGTATTTTTTGTAGAGACGGGGTTTCACCATGTTGGCCAGGCTCATCTCAAACTTGAATTCCTGGTCTCAAGTGATCCACCTACCTCAGCCTCACAAAGTGCTGAGATTACAGGCATGAGCCACTGCACCCGGCCCACTCTAGGACTTTCAAATCTAGATTTAATGCGGGGATTGGTTACACAGATGATGTAAGATCTGACAAGTTAAAAAGGGAATAGTGAGACAACTTAGAGATTAGCAACAACAGGAAGCCCCTTTTATCCTTGGAGTTCGAGGGTCAACAGGAAGAGGTAGTGTTCTTAGATCCAAGACTAGTGCACTCTGGCTGGAGCTTGAGCCAAGACGGGGAGTCGCTGCAAAAGCTGGGGCCAAGTAGGGAGGAGATGGCTGGCGGAATTTGGAGTTGAGCCCCAGAGGAGCTACAGCTGCTGCTGGGGGCACCAAAATAAGTGAGGATGGGATGGGGAAGAAATAGTCTAGCTTCTCCCTTCCTCCTACCATCTGATTGGTTGAATCTGCTCAGACACCAAAGGGCAAAGGATTGTGAGGAATGTAGTTTTCTTGATACAAGAAACAGGCAGGGAATAGACCTGAGAGTAAGCAGCAAATGAAAAGCCTAGTTATCTTCCCTATTTTACAGAGAAGTCAAATGAGGCAGAAAGAGGTCAAGTTGCCGAAAACCACAGTAAATGGCTATCCAGGTTTCAAATCCAGGTAGTCTGACTACTCTTGAGCCAATGCTGTCTGTAATCACTGCTACTATTCTTGTGATAATAGTGCTATTGTTTTACTCATGTCAGACTTTTCCCTCTAAACTAGACTACAAGCTTCCTAATGGTATCACCTGTGTCTTTCCCTTTATACAACTTACAGCACCTAGCTCTTGTATCTCTTACAGAATCTACCAGAAAATGTAAATTGTTGTCTGAAATGAGATTATCAGCAGGTGTTCATAGATTCCACATTACCCAAGGGAGGAGGGCACTATTAAAATGTCCTCCATAGTTCTGAATGTTTTCTTTCTCCTCAGTGAAACGTAGCAACCCTTGATCAGATTCCAGACAATGGTTTGGCAACAGGGAAAATCACAAGCTGAGATGAGAAAAATACGTAGATTGCCTGAGGGCATCCCAAAGGGAAGAGACAGTTATTAAAATTTGAAATGGCTTTGCTCCAATGTCATGATATGCCTACAGCTTGAATTAAGCAACTCCTTCACCTGAATAGAGATTATACTATTCCTTAGACTTACTATAGCTTCCATGGTTTGGACTGTTTAGTGGAAGTGAAAGGTGGCAGGGTTTATGTTTTGTTCTGTTTTCTTAAGAGATGGCTCTTGGGAGCTGAGACACAGACAATGGGTATGTTGATGAAGCATCAGTGATTCTTATCCTGGAAGAAATTAGGGCAGATATTGGGCTCTTCGTCCCCTCAGGATTATAATGAGCCCTTTTATCACTGGAACTGATAGGACAAGGAGACTGAACAGTTCAGAGTTGTGATAAGATAAGGAAAGGAAAGAAGGTCTGTTAGGGCCCTTGTAGTGAAAGTGCATATCAGGTGCTTCTTGCCTTCAAGGTAAGTGTCAACATGATAGTGTAGAGGTTCTGTGTGTGGGTCTTGGGGTTAGACTACCTCAATTTAAATCCAGACAGTACCACTTACTAGCATATGACTTATTAGCATATTGGGAATAATATAGTATTATAATATAGCACATTGTCTTGATTTTTCTCCCATCCCTCTGGCTGTTCTTTCTCAGTCTCTTTGGATAATCCATCCTCACATTTCCAGCCTCTAAATATTGGAGTGCCCCAGACTTCATTTTCAGATCTCTTTTCTTTTCTCTCCACACTCACTCCTTAGTGATCTCATCTAGTTCCATAGCTTTAGATACTATGCGTATGCTGGTAACTCTCAAATCTCTATTGCCAGCCTGGACCTCTCCTCTAGACCTGTAGACCACCCAATGCCTCTACCTGGATGTCTAATAGGCATCTCCAATTCCACATGTCTAAAAGTCAACTCTGGATCTCTGTTTCACCTCCCTCCCCGACCAGGCCTGCTCCTTTCCTACTCTTCCCCATCTCAGTAATGGACAACTCCACCCTGCCAGTTACTCAGACCAAAAAACCTGGATGACATTCTTCACTACTGTCTTTTGCTCACACTTCACATCTGATCTAGTTCAAAATATATACAGAATCTGACCACTTCTCATCACTGCCATCATGACCAACCTGGCCAAAACCACCATCAGCTTTTGTCTGGGTTAGTGCAATGGTCTCATAATTGGTCTCTCTGTATTTGCCCCTATCCCACTCTAGTCTATTCCCAATCAGACACAGCACTCTTACTAAAATACAAGTTAGATCATGTACCTCTTCTGCTCAAAACCCTCCCATGGCTCCCTATCATGCTTAGAATAGAAGCCCAAATCCTTCCAACGGTCCATGAGGCCCTAAGTGATCTGTCACTCACTCCCATTACCTCTCTGACTCCATCTCCTACTTCCCTCTCCTCCCTTGGTTACTCCACTCCAGTCATACTGGCCTTCACAAGGCTGAAGTTAAGGTGTCAATGTGGCTGAGCTCTTATCTGGAGGCTCTGGAGAAGAATCTGCTTCCAAGTTCATTTATGTTGTTTATAGAATTCATTTCTATAGTGAGAGCTTGGGCTCCCTTTCTTCTCCTGCACACTGCCTGAATTTCTTACTACTTGTCTCGCTCCATCTTCAAGCCAGCAATGCACATCAAATCTTCCTTGTGCTTCAGATCACTTACTGATATGGTTTGGCTGTGTCCCCACCCAAATCTCATATTGAATTATAATCCCCATAATCCCCATGTGTCAGGGAGGGATCCAGCGGGAGGTAATTGAATCATGGGGGTTGTTTTCCCCATGCTGTTCTCATTATAGTGAATGAGTTCTCATGAGATCTGATGGTTTTATAAGCATCTGGTATTTCCCCTGTTGGCACTCATTCTCTCTCCTGCTGCCCTGTGAAGAGGTGGCTTCCACCATGATTGTAAGTTTCCTGAGGCCTCCCAGCCATGCAGAACTGTGAGTCAATTAAACCTCTTTTCCTTATAAATTACCCAGTCTTGGGTATTTCTTCATAGCAGCGTGAGAACAGACTAATATAGTAAATTCATACCGAGAGTGGGGCACTGCTGTAAAGATACCTGAGAATGGGGAAGCAGCTTTGGAACTGGGCAATGGGCAGAGGTTGGAACAGTTTGGAGGGCTCAGAAGAAGAAGGAAAATGTGGGAAAATTTGGAACTTCCTAAAGACTTGGAGGGCTCAGAAGAGAGGAGAATATGGGAGAGTTTGGAACGTCCTAGAGACGTGTTGAATGGCTTTGACCAAAATGCTGATAGTGATATGGACAATGAAGTCCAGGCTGAGGTGAGGAACTTACTGGGAACTGGAATAAAAATGACTCTTGGTTTGCTTTAGCAAAGACACTTGGTGGCATTTTGCCCCTGCCCTAGAGATCTGTGGAACTTTGAACTTGAGAGAGATGATTTAGGGTATCCAGCAGAAGAAATTTCAAAGCAGCAAAGCATTCAGTAGGAAGCAGAGCATAAAAGTTTGAGCTGGGCATGGTGGCTCATGCCTGTAATCCCAGCACTTTGGGAGGCCAAGGTGGGTGGATCACGAGGTCAGGCATTCGAGACCAGCCTGGCCAACATAGTGAAACCCCATCTCTACTAAAAATACAAAAATTAGCCAGGTGTGGTGGCAGGTGCCTGTAATCCCAGCTACTCAGGAGGCTGAGGTAGGAGAATTGGTTGAACCCAGGAGGAAGAGGTTGCAGTGAGCTGAGATCACACCACTGCACTCCGGCCCGGGCGACAGTATGAGACTCTGTCTCAAAAAAAAAAAAAAAAAAAAAAAAAGTTGGGAAAATTTGCAGCCTGAAAATGTGATAGAAAAGAAAAACCTATTTTCTGGGGAGAAATTCAAGCCAGCTGGATAAATTTGCATAAGTAATGAGGAGGTGAATGTTAATCACTAAGATAATGGGGAAAATGTCTCCAGGGCATGTCAGAGACCTTCACAGAAGCCCCTCCCATCACGGGCCCAGAGGCCTAGGAGGGAAAAATGGTTTCCTGGGCTAGGCCCAGGGACCACCTTGCTGTATGCAGCCTAGGGACTTGGTGCCCTGTTTTCCAGCCGATCTAGCCATGGCTAAAAGGTGCCCAGGTACAGCTTGGGCTGTGGCTTTAGAGGGTACAAGCCCCAACCCTTGGCAGCTTCCATGTGGTGTTGGTCCTGTGGGTGGGCAGAAGACAAGAACTGAGGTTTGGGAACCTCCACCTAGATTTCAGATGATGCATGGAAATGCCTGAATGTCCAGGCAGAGGTGTGCTGCAGGGGCAGAGCCCTCATGGAGATCCTCTGCTAGGGCAGTGCAGAAGGGAAATGTGGGGTGGGAGTCCCCACACAGTCCCCACTGGGGCACTGCCTAGTAGAGCCATGAGAATAGGCCACTGTCCTCCAGACCCCAGAATGGTAAATCCACTGACAGCTTGCACCATGTACCTGGTGAAGCCACAGACACTCGACACCAGCCTGTGAAAGCAGCCAGGATGGGGGGCTGTACCCTGCAAAGCCACAGAAGTGGAGCTGCCCAAGGCAATGGGAGCCCACCACTTGCATCATTGTAACCTGGATGTGAGACATGGAGTCAAAGGAGATCATTTTGAAACTTCAAGGTTTAATGACCGCCCTAGTGGATTTGGGACTTGCATGGAGCCTGTAGCCCCTTTGTTTTGGCCAATTTCTCCAATTTGGAATGGGTGTATTTACCCAATGCCTGTACCCCCATTGTATCTAGGCAGTAACTAACTTGTTTTTTATTTTACAAGCTCTTAGGCAGAAGGGACTTGCCTTGTCTCAGATGAAACTTTGGACTTAGACTTTTGGGTTAATACTGGAATTAGTTAAGACTTTGAGGGACTGTTGGAAAGGCATGATTGTGTTTTAAAAATGTAAGGTCATGAGATTTGGGAGGGGCCAGGGATGGAATGATATGGTTTGACTGTGTCCCCACCCAAAATCTCATCTTGAGTTACAATCCAAATTACAATCCTCATATATTAGGGGAGGGACCTCCTGGGGGGTGATTAGATCATGGGGGCAGTTCCCCTATGCTGCTTTCATGATAGTGAGTTCTCATGAGATCTGACAGTTTTATAAGGGGCTCTTCCCCCTTCCCTCTCACTCTCTCTCACCTGCCACCATGTAAGACCTGCGTGCTTTTCCTTCTGCCATGATTGTAAGATTAATGAAGCATCCCCAGCCATGTGGAACTGTGAGTCAATTAAAACTCTTTTCTTTATAAATGACTGAGTCTCAGGTATTTCTTCATAGCAGACTGAGAACAGACTAATACACTGACATTCTCTTCTGCTACCGGTTGGAGAAAACAGTGCTTCTAAGACTCATGTGATTAGATTAGGCCTACCTGGATAATCTCTCTGAATACTAACCTTCATTACATCTGCAGAATCCCTTTTGCCACATAATACAACACAATCACAAGTGTGGTATCTCTTCATATTAATAGTCTTGAGTATTAGAGTGGGGAATCTAGGGGGAGCATTTTAGGGTTTTGCCTACTATAGTGATATTCAGACTGTTTAAAAAACCAATCAATCCAAATGTAGGCCAGTTTTGGTGCTGGAGCAGGGTCCTAGATTCTAGCAGCTGTTCCAAATGTTACCCTTTACTTGCTGGATTGTCGGGAGGTCTGGGTATGTCATAGAAGGAACAGCTGGAGTGGCACCTATTTACCAACTGGTATGGAAGTGTTTCAATATTTTAACAGTTGAGTAGCCATATCAGTGCATAGCAGTTGGTTATCAGTCCTGCTGATAGAGAGTTAAAATCATGGTATTGTGTGTGAAGTGCTGCTTTGAGAGTCTCTGCTTTGAAAGTCTCTGCTTTGAGAATCTGAGGTTGGTCCTAGATGACTGGGGGTGGGTGGGGAGACCACCTGCCCTTCTTGGCACTTAGATGGTATGCAACAGCCCTCTCTAGTCTTGCCTGCTATCTTGTGTTGCCAGGTTTGTTTGGAAGAATGTCGTCATTTGCATGAATGTGTTCTGCAGTGGAAGAGTCCATTCATCATCTGGGCCTCCAAATGCTGCCACCCTAAGGGAGACAACCAATTATGTATATTTGGACTCTCCCCAAGCCATCCAGCAGCTGTGGCTCAGTGAAGCAAGTGCTGTTTACTTATTTTCAGCACTAAAGCAAATACTCCATAGCAGCCAAAGAAACCAAGGGTTCTTACTAACTTGCTGAATGAGGCTTTATCACAGACCATTATGAGCACTATGTTTTGGGAGGACTAATCTCAGGCAACAGAGATGGCCATTGTGGGTGGGTAGGGGGTAGGAATAGGGCCTAAGGTAATGAACTTTGTGGGATTGATCTTATCTCTTCCACCTAATATTTTTTAACGGATGAATCTGATTAAAATGGCACTGAGGGCAGCTTTGGTTGATGGAGCTTGTGCCTATACATCAGGGACAGCAGTGACAAGGTAGATGTATTTTAAAAAGTGTCATTGAGAGTAATAAGGAGATTGAGGGAGATATAAGAATAAAAGGAGAAGTAAATCACTGCTAATTGTCAATAACAATAATATACAATATGGCCAGCTTCACCTGCTGATGCTGGGACCACAGAGCACAGGCCTGGAGTGATTCCTGCTTCACTGTATCTTAAGAATAACTCTATACACTACTGAGGTGGAGCCTCCTATGACATGGAAATACAAATTGCTACAGAGCCATATATTCACATCACCAGCATCTCTGAATCCTGCATGGAACATTGATAAAGAGCTTAACCCTTCAAGGGATTGGTATTACCTGATGTTCTTGAGGACTGTCCTAGAATGTACACAAAACAGATTCACAGTGAGGCATGTTGACAACTCAGTCCCTACCTAGACTGAATCAGCCTGTGATACCTTTTAAAATAGGAGAAATTTGTCTTCAGTGGTTTCCCTTTCTGTAACCTTTCTCCCTATATCAAGGACCTTGTAAAAATTACATTCAGTACTGAAGCAGAGATGTTGCAAATGAAATTAAATCTACTTTCTGGCCCTTACCACTTAAGCAGATCCAGGTATTTTTGGAATCAGGTTGTCCAATATCATGATCCCACTGGATCCATTTCCAAATGGTAAAAACACACTCCCGTGGGATCCAAAAGCAGTAAAGATATTATTCAGAATGGTTGGCCATGACTTCAGATTTATGAGATGGTATAGACTCCATTTAGGCCATCTACCGTTGGCTCCCTCCCAAGCCAATGTGTTTTCTTTGGGTGCAGCAGTAGGTGGCATTAAAACAAAACTTACTACCAGCAGGTGGTGATGGGAGCTGGAGTTGATTATTTTCGCCCTTCCTAGAAAATGTCACTGAGCTCAGTGAGAAGGACCACAGCCCTGCATTAGGTGACAAGAAAATCTCTCCCTTTTCTACTGTCACAAGGAAAAATCAGCTATCAGACACCCAGTGAGAAAATTACAAATGCCTTTGCATGAATATTGCCATCTTTGGCAGGGGTGAAGGATAGAATGCCAAGCAGAGGGGATGGAAAAGTCAATTCCTGAGATTCCATGCCTGCCCCTGCCCCCTTATAGAGATAGACTAGGAGTGAACATAAATCATTTTAGAGTTCTTGGCCTAGTTGTTTGAATGAGGGGGAATGAGTGAATGGAACTGAACTATATTGAATTTCAAATGCAACAGAAAAACAGAATTTCAGAGCTAGAAAGGACCTTGTGAGCCTATCTTGTTAATCTGTAGGCACCCGGACACATAGGATGTCAGAGCTAGCAAGGATATTAAAAACCATTGATTTCAATACCCTCACTTTTGGATGATGACATTGAGGCTCAAGAGGGAAAAGTAAGTTACTAAAGACATGCAGTTATAAACCACAGAACCATGATTAGAGTCCCTGGTTTATTAACTTCAAATCTTTTTTTCCACTACACTCCTCTCCCTTCTCTACCACCTAGATACCTAATATCTAAACTATCCTAGCAGACAATTTTATATCCTAATTTTTTAAACTCTCCAATAACAGAAATTCTATAGACCCACCTGTGAGAATATATTTATTTCATTGCCATTTATAGTTAGGAATTTCTCCCAAATAGGTAACTCAAAAGCCTCCTACTCCATTCCTTTTTGGTTCTGTCCTTAGTGGAAATGGATCACAGACGTTCACTATTAACAATAACATTTAAGACATGGACAATGTGCATGTATGGGTATGTGTGTGTGTGTGTGCATATATATATATGCACATACACATATACATACATATATATATCTATGTATATGTAACAAGTAATTTGAGCTTCTTTTCTATAGGCTAAATAACTCCTCAGTGGCAAACCAAATCTGAGAAATAGCATCTAGAAAGGAAAACAAGACGTGGGTTTATTTATTTTGTACTTTCTCTGCTACAGCAAAAACTTTGAGCAACAGACTGATCCAGAGGGGGTAATCTAGCATTATAGTAAGAACTACACATCCAAATTTACTAATGCCCAACTAAATCAGACCTCAGGTAATGAGGACTCCTTTGCCAAAACTCAATTTCTAGGAATTATATGCAGATTAAAATAAAATAAGCTAAGGTTAGATATCTACTTTGACATAAAAAACCAGGGCAGGGACTAAATTGATCCTGTATCCTACACTTTCACTATTTCTAGTCTAGGGTAATAAACACTGCTGATCTAAATGGTAACATGATGGTGCAAAAAAATTCAGCAATGGACTGTACTTAGGAGTGCCTTGCAATGGAGTGCAGTTACTTATATATACTTGATTAAAAAATAGCCACTGGCTGGGTGCAGTGGCTGATGCCTGTAATCCCAGCACTTAGGGAGGCTGAGGTGGGAGGATCACTTGAGGCCAGGAGTTTCAGACCAGCCTGGGCAACATATCAGGAGCCCATCTCTATTTTTTAAAATAGGAAAAAACGTAGCCCCCTCCCCTCTCTGTCTCTCTCTCAGAAGACCATCCTTGTCAATGGGATTCTTAGTTTTCAGAGGGAGATGTTTGTAGTGAATAGGGAGATAGGGCTCTCTTGCCTAGAGAACCAGATCAGCTGAATTAACCCTGGAGATGAGTGAGGTGACACGTTGTAGCCAAATTGTGCTCAAACCCTGAGTTTTCCACTGAGGCAAGAAAATTGATTCTGAAATTTAGAAATATTTTCAATAAGTAGCTAGAAAATCTTATTCACTCGAATAACTTAGATGATGAAGAGTCTATAGACTAAGAGTCCAACCTGAATTGCATTGGAAAGAAATAATTCAGTCTAACAACTAGGAAAGCTAATGTAAATTAATTGAGGCAGACGAACTCTTTCATTGAGCTTCTAATGAACTCTATGCCGATGTTGCCCCAACCTGAAACCAAAGTAAGCACGCTTGTAAAGCAAAGCTACTCACGGCAATAAGCTGATAGGAGTTGTTCATCATAGCAATCAGCATGTTCAGCAGCACTACCAGGGAGATGACATTGTATGTTCCAAACATGGTAGCTCCTACAAACTCGGTGAATTCGTGTCTGGCTTTCACATTGGTGACATATAGATTTAAAAGGCCAAATACAGACCAGAAGAGTGACTGAAGAGTCTCAAAGAGCCTAAAAGAGATCAAAGAGCAGGTTAGTTAATTCTTTAAGAAGAGCAAGAAAAGAGAGAGAAAATGTAAGGTGATCTGCTTAACGAAGGGGCTGCCAGATCTGTGACAGATAAACTGGTGATCTCACATATTTTGGGCTCTTCCCTAACACAGACTGACCATCCATGTCCATTTGTTTGTTTGTTTCCACTTCTATGTCTTATGCTTTGCTTTTCTACCTGAAATACCATTCCCTCTTCTCAGTGTATGCATAGCCTAAAATTTTTCAAGGCTTATTTCAAGAGCTATTTCCTCTACCAAACTTTGTCTTTTGTCTTCAGACCATGTTATTTTTTTACCATTCTAATTATGCAGAGGCAATACATGCAGTGGTTAAGAATATGGTGCTTGAGGCCAGGAGTGGTGGCTCACGCTTGTAATCCCAGCACTTTGGGAGGCCGAGGCGGGTGGATCACAAGGTCAGGAGATCGAGACCATCCTGGCTAATACGGTGAAACCCCGTCTCTACTAAAAATACAAAAAATTAGCCGGGCATGGTGGCGGGCGCCTGTAGTCCCAGCTACTCGGGAGGCTGAGGCAGGAGAATGGTGCTTGGGTTAGATTGCACTGGGTTAGGATCTCAGTTCTGGCATTTGCTGGCTGAGTGAACATGAGAACAAATTACCATTTCTGATACTTCTTTTGTGGCTCTCACAGGACCCAGATAACTCTAAACTGCATGGAGGAGCTTGAGGATTCTCAAATTAACACTTTATACAGATAATTGTTAATGATATATTAACCAACTGTTATTGAGGCTTTTGAGAACTCAACTATTATTGAGAACTTATAAGCATGTTAGGTACTTTTACATACATACATTATCATTATGATCCTTGTAAAATTTTATTGTTACTGATGACGAAACAGAGATTCAGAGACTGAATGACTTGCCCAAGGACACCTTACTAGTATGTTTTGAGCCAGATCTCAAATCTAGGTCTGTCTGCCCTTCCAAAACCACTATATTGATGGCTTCTCAAATTATTATTTCCTCTCTTAGACTTCACATCCAAACATGTAACTGCAATGATATCCTTTTGGTGTCTAGGGTTTCTTTTGCTTTATATTCAGAAATCTGAATACAGCAATAAAATGCAGCCAGTTCGTGGGTGGCAGAGATTAGCCATTGCCCAAGCCTATGGAAACCATGCAGAACATAAGAAATGCTACTTTAAGAATGGATGCATTTTTCAGTGTGCTCAAAATGTGTCGTTCTTAATGAGCACAATGTATTTTGAGAGTCTTAGGGATTTGTTCTTCGGTTCATTTTAGAGGTGGGTGAGAGGTACTTTAAGGAGTCCCTCTGTCTGAAAGTGCTCTGCCCCCTGATCTTTACACAGCTGCCTTCTTATCATCAAGGTCTCAGCTCAAATGTCACTTCTTCAGAGAGGCTTTTCTTGGTTGCTCTACCTAATGTAGCTCCATCAGTTTTTCTCTATCCTATTGTCTTGTTTAATTTTCTTTGTAGCACTTGAAGCTTCATAAAATTATATTAGGTAATTTTTGGTTTAAATGGTTATTTTCCGTCCCTCTCTACTATAATGTAAGCTCTATGGAGGCAGAGACATAGCTGCTAGGTAGCTGGCACATAATAGGGACTAAATGACATTTATTGAAGAAATGAATGAATATATGAAAACTATTACTATTACTGTTATCATTAGATTAAAGTGGAGAAGATTCCAATCCCATTGACAATTTTGCAGTCAGTAGGCTGCACAAAAAGGGCTAGTTTATTTTGTTTAAGGCTGTGCTCTCCACTGGCCTGACTCTCAAGGGCCCTTTTCAGGGCTGCCTGGGCAATGTGCACATGGCCCTTCTCAACTTGCTAAGTGGCTCTTCTCTGATTATCATAGATAAATTCCATGATCTTTTCAGCATCACGCTGCTAGAGAGCTAGCCTAAAAGGAATAAATTTGCTTTTTGTTTGGTGAAAGTAAATGCCAGCTGGTGAAGCAGTTGAGAATCAAAAGTAAGATGAGAGTCTGGAGTTCAGGGGCCAGGGCACAAGAACCAGACAATATGGCAAGTCAGACCTATCACAGGATCTAAATTTTCAGGAGACTCTACCAGCCAGGGCCAGGCAATACAATGCATCGCAGAACCAGGCAGAGGGTTGAAAAATGAGGAAGACATGGGGCTAAGTAATCTGGCCCCTGCTAGGAGGGCACAGTCAACACCTGATGATGCCTATTAGATACCAGAAATCAGGCAGGCAGGAGGCCAGCAGTAAATAGCACAAGCAGCTAGCACAGCTGCTAGGTAACAGAAGCCAGGGCAGATTGTAGTTCAGAATTTTAAAGAGCAGCTGCAGTGAGTAGGAATGTCATTCTGAGGAACCAGAGTCCCTGGAAGCTGAATGACCTTGAACACAGAATGCATTCA